>NC_000001.11:183809587-184434587 GCF_000001405.40 Homo sapiens | reverse complement strand
GTACCATCCTGTCTTCTTCTGGCATTGCTCAGTTAGCTGAAATAATCTCATCCACTTACATGCATAAGCTTCCCCCAACCAAATCTAAGTTCCTAAAGGATAGAGTCTCTGCCTCTTTCGTCGAATGCTATTATCCCCTGTGTCTGAAACAGTGCCTAGCATGCACTTGGTGGCCAATACACAATTACTGACTGACTGACTGAATGAATGACTTTGAGTCTCATTCCCTGCATCTTTACATGGAGATAATAGCCCCTACCTGACAGAGTAAAGTCAGGATCAGGTAATATACATCAAGTGCCTGACACCACAGAGACCCTCGGGGAGTGCTCAGCAGTCACCTGGTATTAGCCTTAGCCACACTCATACTTTTACCCCAGTGTTTATTCAAGAGTCATTGAATTCTGTATTCTGACACCATGCTAAGTGCTTGTTAAACAAAAATAAATAGGAAACCATCCCTGTCATGAAAGTGCTCATGGTCTAGTGAAGGACGGGTCCAGAGTCTGGAAAATAATTACAGTACACAGGGAGGAAGCCTGCTGGAGAATCAGGGGTTTTAAGAGCCCTGGGAATGGAGCACTTTGTCTGCCCTTGGTGAGAAGTGGACAGGGATGGGCTCTTAGAGAAAGACTCTCAGAAGAAGTGATACTTAAAAATGTAAAGAAAGGACTGGAATTTCTCAGGCATGGGAAAGAAATAGCTCATGTAAATGTTCCCAAGTAGGAAATAGGCAAGCATTGTTCCTAGGATTGAAAGAGAGGTGAGGATTGGGGTCCAAGGGAAACTAAAGGTCAAGAGACCAAAACTATTTGGTCCAGTGTGGTAGCTGCTAGCTACATGTAGCTTCTAAGCACATGAAATATGACGAGTGTCACATGCTGAAATAATATTTTTGATATACTGGATACAATAAAATATGTTGTTAAAACTAACCTTATCTGTTTATTTTTCTATTTTATAATGTGACAACTAAAAAATTTTTAATTACATATGTGGCTTGCTTTACATTCCTGATGGACAGCAATGGTCTAGGAAGATAGGAAGAGACTGGTCATGGAAGGCTTTGCATATTGTACTAAGAAATTGGAGTTTATTCCATAATCATTCCTTCTGTAGGCAATGGGAACAATTGGAAGCATCTATGTGTGCAAGTAACATGTTCAGATCTGCACTTTACAAAGACAGGCATACAGATGACACTATGAATGCATGACATGTTTTAAACCAGTCCTCTATAAAGAGAAGATTCGGGAAGAAAGACTTCCACATATCCACTCCTCTCTGCCAGCCCAGCAGAGAGCCCCAGTGCCACTGTTGGCACTCTGAGGAGAAGAAGAAAGGATTTTCCATGGCTAGGGTTTTAGAGCAGAGCAGGAAGGACTCTACCACTCTGCACACACACCCCACCACATCCCTACAATCATGGGAAAAGCTGCCAGACCTGCTACACCACTGAGGCCAACAGGGGATGGCCACAGCAGGTGAAAAAGTCTATCCACCTATGTCTGGGGACAGCTCAGCAAAGAGAGCTATTTGTGGTTCCTCACCCTACAAACCTAAGGGGACTGTAGCATGTACCTCTTGGGTCTGACTTGGATACCACTGATCTTGAATTTTGGTGTCAAAAATTATGTGACTGAGGTTTTTTAAAAATGAAGATTCTGGAACTTGTCTCTTGTTATCAAATACAATAAAGAAAACGGCAAAATTATATTCTATATTCCCTTTTCCTTCAATAAAGACAGCAAAAACAAAGCAGAGGAATCTTAAGGATTTTGCAAGCCTCTCATGTTCTCCATTTAGGACTTCAGCAAATATCTAAACTCACAAAAAGCCTATAAATTTTGCAAGGACATGGGGCTGTATTTTTCCTTCTTCCTCACAGAGGCACCAGATTTTTTTTTCTTTTCTTTTTTTTTAATACTTTAAGTGCTGAGATACATGTGGAGAACGTGCAGGTTTGTTACATAGGTATACATGTGCCACGGTGGTTTGCTGCACCCATCAACCCATCATCTACATTAGGTATTTCTCCTAATGCTATCCCTCCCCTAGCCCCTACCCTGCAACAGGCCCCAGCGTGTGATATTCCCCTCTCTGTGTCCTTGTGTTCTCATTGTTCAGCTCCTACTTACGAGTGAGAACATGCAGTGTTTGGTTTTCTGTTCCCGTGTTAGTTTGCTGAGAATGATAGTTTCCAGCTTCATCCATGTCCCTGCAAAGGACATGAACTCATCCTTTTTTATGGTTGCATAGTATTCCATGTATATGTGCCACATTTTCTTTATCCAGTCTATCACTGATGGGCACTTAGATTGGTTCCAAGTCTTTGCTATTGTGAATAGTGCTGCAATAAACATACATGTGCATGTGTCATTAGAGTAGAATGATTTATAATCCTTTGGGTATACACCCAGTAATGGGATTGCTGGGTCAAATGGTATTTCTGGTTCTAGATCCTTGAGGAATTGCCACACTGTCTTCCACAATAGTTGAACTAATGTACACTCCCACAACAGTGTAAAAATGTTCCTATTTCTCCACATCCTCTCCAGCATCTGTTGTTTCCTGACTTTTTAATGATCGCCATTCTAACTGGCGTGAGATGGTATCTCATCGTGGTTTTGATTTGCATTTCTCTAATGACCAGTGATGATGAGCATTTTTTCATGTTTGTTTGCTGCATAAATGTCTTCTTTTGAGAAGTGTCTGTTCATATCCTTTGCCCACTTTTTGATGAGGTTGTTTGTTTTTTTCTAGTAAATTTGTTTGAGTTCCTGGCCACTTTTTGATGAGGTTGTTTGTTTTTTTCTTGTAAATTTGTTTCAGTTCCCTGTACATTCTGGATATTAGCCCTTTGTAAGATGGATAGATTGCAAAAATTTTCTCCCATTCTGTAGGTTGCCTGTTCACTCTGATGGTAGTTTCTTTTTCTGTGCAGAAGCTCTTTAGTTTAATTAGATCCCGTTTGTCAATTTTGGCTTTTGTTGCTATTGCTTTTGGTGTTTTAATCATGAAGTCTTTGCCCATGCCTATGTCCTCAATGGTATTGCCTAGGTTTTCTTCTAGGGTTTTTATGGTTTTAGGTCTTATGTTTAAGTCTTTAATCCATCTTGAGTTAATTTTTGTATAAGGCATAAGGAAGGGGTCCAGTTTCAGTTTTCTGCATATGGCTAGCCAGATTTCCCAATACCATTTATTAAATAGGGAATCCTGCCCTCATTGCCTGTTTTTATCAGGTTTGTCAAAGATCAGGTGGTTGTAGATGTGTGGCGTTATTTCTGAGGCCTCTGTTCTGTTCCATTGGCCTATATATCTGTTTTTGTACCAGTACCATGCTGTTTTGGTTACTGTAGCCTTGTAGTATAGTTTGAAATTAGGTAGCGTGATGCCTTCAGCTTTGTTCTTTTTGCTTAGGATTGTCTTGGCTATATGGGCTCTTTTTTGGTTCCATATGAAATCAGTGTGCAAAAATCACAAGCATTCCTATATATCAATAATAGACAGCCAAATCATGAGTGAACGCTGACTCACAATTGCTACAAAGAGAATAAAATACCTATGGATACTACTTACAAGGGATGTGAAGCACCTCTTCAAGGAGAACTACAAACCACTGCTCAAGGAAATAAAAGAGGACACAAACAAATGGAAAAACATTCCGTGCTCATGGATAGGAAGAATCAATATCGTGAAAATGGCCATTCTACCCAAAGTAATTTATAGATTCAATGCTATCCCCATCAAGCTGCCATTGACTTTCTTCACAGAATTAGAAGAAACTACTTTAAATTTAATATGGAACCAGAGGCACCAGATCTTAAAAGAAGGAATGATGAATGGATATAGTTATAAATATTCCAAGGCTAATTAGAACCAAAGATGAAAAATCTGTAGAAGAATCTGGTATTTGGGGGCCAGATGCTGGTGTGTGCTTGAATTAACAGGTCTCGACCTCGTATAAATTACAGAGCTAACTTATCAGATAAGAAAAATTAAGCCCCAAAAGCACTCATAAATTCTATAAATTCAAATTTCACCAATATTTTAAAAGTCTGTTTTTCAAAATGTAAGTAGCTACTAATGAAGATACAAATTATACATATGGACATTTTAAGGATTTTAATAGAATGGTTGTTTGTCATTTTATTAATAGTTGGCAGAAAAGAAACATTAATCAAAGCCTTACAAATCGTAAACTGTGCTGTTTGAAATCACAATCCTCATATCTGAGGAGGGGCTCAGAGTGGAGGACAGTCACTGGCACATCAAACATCTAATTGGCTGAAAAGTTTCTGATCATCTGATAGACACTTTTGTGCAGTATTATTACCTCTACTGATATATTCTCAGTATCACAGATCATAGACAGAGGCTACCTAGAGTTGCCAGGTTTAGCTTAAAAAAAAATAGGCTCCCCAGTTAAATGTGAATTTCAGATAAACAATGGATTTTTTTTTTTTTTTTTTTTGTGAGACGGAGTCTCGCTCTGTCGCCCAGGCTGGAGTGCAGTGGGGTGATCTCGGCTCACTGCAAGCTCCACCTCCCGGGTTCACGCCATTCTCCTGCCTCAGCCTCCCGAGTAGCTGGGACTACAGGCACCCACCACTTCACCCGGCTAATTTTGTTTTTGTATTTTTAGTAGAGACAGGGTTTCACCATATTAGCTAGGATGGTCTCGATCTTCTGACCTCATGATCCGCCTACCTCAGCCTCCCAAAGTGCTGGGATTACAAGTGTAAGCCAGCATGCCCAGCCAAACAATGAATTATTTTTAGTATAAGTATGTCCCAAAGTATATCACATGGGATATACTTATCCTAAAAATTATTTGTTAAAAATATTATAAGTAAAATACTCTTTGTATTTTTAGTATACTGTATATTACCTGGCAAACCCAACACTGTCTTGTGGTTATGCTACTAAGCTGCTGGAACATTTCAACTGAATCTTAGAACAACAGATCCGTCTAAGTACCTTGAGTTGCCCTCACACCAAAATCCAGTAATTCTTTTATGCCAGATGGTGCCAAATGTGACTAAGCAGACACCTCAACATAACATCCACAGTGTCCATGGAAACACGTACAAAAACTGTCTGCCTGCTTTCCTAAATTAATTTAGAATCATACAATCACAGAATTTTAGAATTGGAGACTTGCATAGATTCTTTTTCTTAAGAAAAAAATTATGTCATTTGCAAACGACATAATTTACAAATGATGCAAAGACCTTTCCTACAACCAGTTACCCATGTGGGGGTAAGGAGGGTGTCATGAACTCCATGCTGAACTATAAGGTACCCAAGAAGATGCCAGGGCCTCTCCAGCCCCAGAATCTATTTATTCTTTCAATGCTAGCAACGTGCTGAGGTCCATTTCTACAAGTGGTGCTATAAATAAAAAAGAAATGGACTATGCCCTCCTCTAGGACCAAATCGCTGTTGAATTCATCTGAGTAATCAAAGTGTTTAGCACTCATTGGGCACTTAATGGATGCTTGGTGAATGAATGAGTGACTGTGTTGTCTGGAGTCAATGAGACAAAAAGTGTGTTGGACTGGGTTGGGGGATGGAGCCAGGGGTAGGATCAGATGGGGAAAACTGTGCAAGGAATGTAAGCTGGGGGGCAGGGTGACCACAGCCCCTGCCCTGAGTCCATTTTCCTGACCAGATCCTTTTATTTGGCAAGTCCTTAATAGCAATGCAGAGATGTCATCACTCCCTGCATTTGGGTCCTCAGAAAAGCAACAAAATCTCATCCCAGGTTCAGCTCAGACCCAGCTTCTTTCCCTGTCTGGGCCCATTTTATCCACCAGGGGCACAAGCACAGGCCAGTGTGCCACAGACTTTCCACAGACCTATGGAAACATCCTAGACCCAAGGAAAACATAATTAGCTCTAAGATACAAAAGTAAATCAGAACTATGAAAATTTACAAATGTTTGCTTAAATGTCTACAAAGTATTACTTTAAGGTCAATAATCAACTGCAACTTGATGTTCGTATCATTAAGTATAAGTCATATTTAATGTAGGATGTAGGTATATTTTGTTAATTCTGATACAACATGAAGTGTGACCAGCCCTCTTCATGTTCTTTCTCTCTCCCATCTGAAGCTGCTCTAATCACAATGCAAATTACCTGGTAGACCACTTCTTGCAACATTTAGAAAAAGAATTATTTCTTCTGGTCCCTCCCTGCCTCCTATCCTCTTCCTCTTCTCAGCTGTTCATTGAAGTAATGCCCTGATTTTAAATGTTTTTTCCATGCAGCACATTTGTTTACCTGTAAAGTTTCATACTGTCCCCTATACAATGATATACCATGTGGGACAGCTTAAGAATTCAGTGTAGATCTTCTGGAAAATGTTCCAATAGTTGACAAATGGAAAAAGGCACAAATATTTAAAATGGCTAACTTTCAAAGATTATGCACCATACCTAAATTACTGTGGTCAGGAAGGTACTGATACCTCACAACACCCACTGAAGTGGGGTCTATTATCATCCTCATTTTATAGACAAGGAAACCAAAACTCAGAGGGCTTAAGTATCTTGCCCAAGGTTGTACAGCTGAACTAGTATTTAAAATTGAGCAACCTGATCTTGTTTTAGATAAGTCATTGAGTGTTCCAGCCCTGGAGTCCAGTGGACATAAGGCCCTTACCTAAGTCATAAGGCCCTTACTTAAGAGTCGTTCAAACCTGTAAGAATGTCAGGATGGCTGTGCCCAAAATGAGCTAAGAGTACAGGAAAGTATGTGGAGGGTGGGAGGAGAAGAAAGATAACCAAACAGATTTTTCCAAGCAAGGCCGATGGCAAAGATGGAAAAGGTAAGATGTAAATGCCTGAAATTGAAGGCAGAGTTACTTCAACCTATATTTTGGAGCTGGAGGGTCACTAGATCAGGAAGTGGAGTTTCCTATTGCTCAGAGCTGAAGGGAGACATCAATTTCATTCATTTCAACCACATCATTTGACAGATGGGTGATCAAAGCCAAGAAAGGTTCAATAACCTGCCCAAGATCACCCAGCTGAAGAGAATTCCAGGGACCCAGACTCCACTCTAGTGCTCACTTCTTTCCTACCCCTAACTGTCTCACTGGTCCTGAAAGTGAGAAGGGAAAGGCAAAAATCATTGGGGGAAAAAAAAAGCAATCCAGGACAGATCCTGACCTCCAAGCCTCTCTGAGAAATCTTTAGGGCTCCACAGAGTAAGAGAAGCTCATACAAACAGAGACATGTCAGATTTTATTTTATTTTTTAATATGGGAGTAGATTCAGGAAACTAAACCAGTAGAGAGATTTCTGTCAAAGCTAAAAAGTAGCTTTAGCAGATTTTTGTAAGCACTAGGCACTAACAAGGATTCACTAAGAATATCATCTCAAGTTAACTTTTACACCCTGGTTTTGACGGAGTTCTTGGTGAGCAGGAAGTCTGGTCCACTTAGGGTGTCAAGATTTTGGCAGTGTTTGTGCCAGTCTGATATCTGGTGAATAAAATGGTAAAATAAGAGCTGGATTCAGCTCAAACATAACATTCTTACCTTCACCAGCCCTGGGCAGACCTAGAAACTTGATCCTCTCCATTGGCTGTGCTAGCAAAGGTGACATCTTCCTGTGGTTCCTTTACCTGTATGAATCTCCTAAGTACCCAGCCCCTGCACACAGGAGGGTCTCAATAAACGTAGGTTGAAGAAATGAATTCAGACTTTATGTTTATCCAGCCATCATCAGATGAGCATCTACAGTGTGTCAGGCATTGTGTTATCGCACCCAGTATGCCTTGGTTAGACAGACAAGGTCCCTGCCTGCTCCCAGGGAATTTAGAATCTACTGGGAGGGAAAGGCATTAGGAATAATTATACAAATAATTATCAGCATTCAGAAGGGAAAGTACCTGATGCTAAGAGAGGCACATTAGGGAAGATTTCTCTGAGGAAAGGACATTTAAGCCAAGAATCAAGATAGGAGTTTGCAAATTAAAAGATAGGAGGAAGACCGTTTCAAGAAGAAAGAGCCTAAGTGAAATCCCACAGGCAGGGAGATGCAGGCATTCAGAGAACTGAAAGACAACCTGTGGGGATGAAATAGGGTGGAGCGTACCCCAGAGAGAGGTGGGTGGGTCTCGCTCAGGGTTCCTCCTCTGACACCAATGGGGTGTGTTACTGAAGGGTTTGAAGCAGGGGAGCGATGTAATCAGACGGGCTCTTTAAAAGATCGCTCTGAGGGTGCTTGCAGAATAAATTAGAGGGAGAAGGTAGAAGACCACCAGTTAGGAGACTCCTCAGTAATCCTGGCAGACGAACTGATCATGAAAGTAGAAGACCACCAGTTAGGAGACTTCTCAGTAATCCTGGACAGACGAATTGATCATGCACTGTTCTGAGGACTCACCATTACATAAAACAACGCCAGAGATAATTTATGATTGGGTAATAATTTGGAGGAAGAGCTTAACACAGGGCCACATTTCTCCAGGGCTCCGCCCTTGGCCCTGCCCTTTCCAACATCTTTATCTTGATCGGGATGATGCCAGAAGGGAAACTGGCAGAGCTGCTGAGTACATAAATCTGGGTGGGATGGCCAATATCAAAGACCCAATTGAATCACTATTTGACTCTCTTTATAGCCTCCCTGAAGGGGAAGAGTCATAAAGACAAAAACTATATGGTCTCCATTCTCAAGGAACTCTCTTCTAGTGGCGGAAGTGTGGACATAACAAATACTAATTCAAGGCGGACTGAGATAAGGTCTATATCAGTGCTGTAAACAAAGCTGTGTGAATGTCTACTGGTAAGAAAAATTAATTCTGCCAGGCAAGTAAGGAAAGGTTTTTCAAAATTGGCCTCTGACCTTGCCCTTTCAAGCTAAGTAACATTTTGAGGGGTGACAGAGGGGAGGAAAGGGCAGCATTCCTGGCAGCAGGAAAAACCTGAATAAGGCAACAACAGAGGGAGGCAAGACTGCTGGAGACCATGGGTAAGGCAGGCTACACTCCATATTTTAAGACACCAGGATCAGTGCCAGGCATGGTAGCTCATGCCTGTAATCCCAACACTTTGGGAGGCCAGGATGGGAAAATTGCTTGAGCCCAGGAGTTTGGAATCAGCCTGGGTACCACAGAGAGACCTCGTCTCTACAAAAAACTTAAAAATTAGGCATGGTGGCACATGCCTGTAGTCTCAGCTACTCTGGAGGCTGAGGCAGGAGGATTGCTTGAACCCAGGAGGTGGAGGCTGCAGGGCCAAGATCACACCACTGCACTCCATCCTGGGTGCCAGAACGAGACCTTGTCTCAAGGAAAAAAAAAAAAAAGATATCAGGATTATCATCAATTTGCTGGTTTGCAAAGTCCTTCCACATACACCATCTCAGTTAATCTAATACCCACACTGAGGTCAGGACGGCTAATCTTGATTGACATCTAAGAACATTACATCACCCAATCACATGGGATAGAGCCAGAAGTCACACCCAAACATTCAGGCCCCATTCATGAGCCTTATTCCACTATTAATTAGATGGGGCAAAGCCAATGGTGTGACATTTAACAGAAATTAAGTTAAAGACCTCCACCTAAGTTTTTTAAGATGTTCATAAATGCAGGATGGAGAACATCTGACTCTGCCCCATTCAAGGTATACAGGGCTAGGTGTTCTGATAACCAGAAACTCAACATGTGCTCGCAAATACTATGCTTCTGCTAATGTATCTTCACTACAGTTGGAGATTATGGTAAATAATGGCCCTTATGTGGGAGGAAGTCAGTGCACTGACTTTGAAGTTGACAGCCCTGCATTTGATTTCCAGTACTTCCACTTACTGGCTGTGTGCCCGTGAACTGGAAATTACTTCACTCCTCTGAGGCTCAGTTTCCCTATCTTAGTATTAGCATACTAAACCCATCCAATGAGGGCTGTTGCAAGGCTGAATGAGAAAATGCAGATAATGAGGCTTATGGAGCCGGGCACATTCTCTTAGTGTTGGCCTTTATTAACTCTCATCACAGCTCTCTACCAAGGTTAGAACACATCTGAGACACCATACTTCATTTCTGGTTCCACAATTTTGAGAGATATTGAAAATTTACAGAACGTTTGGGAAGGGTTATCAGGACAGACAGTTTGAAAAAGCACTAGTCTTGCAAGTCTGGACAATGGAAAGCCTAAATTCTTGTCCTAGTTTTGCCACTAACTAGCTCTGCGATCTTAGGCAAGTCACAACTTATTTGTGACTCAGCTCCTATCTGTAAAGTGATGAGGGCTGAGATATGAATTGTAAATGACTTCTAAAGTCTCACTCAGCTCCAAAAGTCCTTAAGTTTTATGAATTCAGCCTTAGGAGGCCCTTTTAAGGGAACTGGATTTTCCACAGAGAAGACAAGGAAGCTCCATGATACGGTTTGTAAAAATGATAAAAGCAATCACAAAAAAAGAGAATGTCAGTGTATTACAAGAAAAAATTAGAAAAGTAGGACCAGTAGGAGACAGGCCTAAAATAAAGGAGATTTCACTCAATCCAAGGAAAAAAGAACTTTCCAACAATAATAATTATTCAATAATGGACACCAAGTATGAGACTAGACTGTGAGATCCTCAAGGGCAGGACTATTGTATTAAACTTTACGTTGCCAGCACCTACCCCAGTAACAGGCATTAAGGAAACCCTTAAATGATAGATTGATGGATGGATGGATGGATGGATGGATGGATGGATGGATGGACGATGGGTGGATGGATGAGTGGAGGGATGGATGGGTAGATGGATGGATGGAAGAAGAGATGGAAGGAGGGATGAATGGATGGTTGGCTGGAGAGGAGGGAAAAACTGAAATAGGGAGAAAGGAAGAAAGGAAAGAAGGAGCTGCTTAAGGAAGAAGTGAACTTCCCCTTCCTGGTGTGTTCAGGCATCATCAGCTGGATAACCATCTGTAAGGGGTGCTGCAGAATGGATTTCTATTCTGTGTAGGAGGTTTCACTAAAGGTCTATGTGATATTTATTTCCTCATTTCTCTCTCCACTAACTCATCCTACATATTTTTGTCAGATTAATCTTCCTAAAGGACAGTTCTGTTGATGTCACCCTCCTACTCAAAAAATCTCAGTGGCTCCCCATTGCCTATTCAGTTAAGGCCGCAATCCCAGTATTTGAAGGCTTCATTCCTGCTCTGCCTTAAGGACTTTTATTCATTTTTCAAAACCCATCTTGGATATATCCTCCATCATGAAGACTTCTCTTCACCTTTCATCCTCACAAAGTTATCTGTTTTGTACATTATTGCATAGATTATAATTTACTTGGTGACCATTCTTCTCTTCTATGAGACTGGTGAAGTTCCTGAATGAGGAAGGAATCTTTATTTCTGCACCTCCAACAAGTAGCAGAGTACCTGACTTTCAGCAGTTATTCAGCAATAATAAAAGTAATTGTTTATTGCTTATCATAAACCAGGCATTCTGTTAAATCCCGATACACATTGTCTCCTTGGCTCTTTATAACAACTCATTGTCCCCATTAAGTAAACAAGGAAGTGGAGGCTTAAGGGAGGATAAATAGTTTACACAAGACATAATGCCAATGGATGGTAGGGGCTGGATTAAAACCTAGTAGTACATGCCTTAACGTCTTGCGTATGAACCACTCCACAGGACTGCTTTCCCTGCAGCAAGTCAATCTGTGCCAGACAAAACATTTTATTCGTTCAGTCCATCAACACTTACCAAGCCATTGGGGGACAAGTTCTGTACGTAGAGTGACCTCAAGAAGCTTTCTGTCTAACATGTGAAATAGACAATTCAACAGTTATGGCAAAGTGCAACAATGCTCTCAGAGAGATATGTACGGGAAGAAAATCCTATCAATCAAACTGAGGAGACAGGAAATATTAACAATAGAAAAGACTTCCAATTATCTACCGCATGCTGAATAGTGTGCTGAAAATTTTTTCACAAGGCTTTACAAATAAACTGCCGCCTAGCAAGGTTCTAGTGGAGTGGTTAAGAGCATAGTTTCTGAACTCAAAGAACCAGTGTTCTACTCTTTGTACTTCTACTTTCTAGCTGTGTGTCCTGAAGCGAGTTACTTACCCTTTCTACACCTCAGTTCTCCACCTGTAAAATGAGAATAATAATAGCTCCTACCTCATTAGGGATGTTGTTATGATTAAATGACCAGACCTATGCAAGGTGCTAAGAATGCTGCCTGGCTTACAGTGTTACACAAATTTTGCTTATTATTAAGCTACTTGACCAAGAGGAAGGCAAGTGTTTGATTCCAAAATCTGCAAGCATTTCAAACAAAGCCTTCCTCAGGAACACACCTAGGACAAGGTGATATTCGAGCTGAGTTTCGAAAGGGAAATGAGCGGGAGAGGATAGGATCAGCAACGGGAACATCCACACGGCCCTGATGCTGCACTATTGCTTATTCCTTTTTCTGCCTGATACTCTTTCTCTAGCCATCTTGACCCACTGAAATCTTATCCATCAGCCAAAGCCATCCCATCGGACTTCTTCCAAGAATGCTCCCCACGTATTCAGTTGATATCTTTCATCAAGGTTAGCCTTGGATATACAGTTGGCATTTATATGCTTTCATCCATGCACATATGCACACACATGCATACAAATGAACAGATATCCACATGGCTTCCAGAGGACCTTGCACTCATGGGGAAGCGGACTTTATAAAGCACCATAGACAATGGTCATGAGCTTAAGTTCTGAGATATTTGTTATACTAATTACCACTTCAATGCTGAAATTAGAAACCATCCCCAAACTACAGACAGCTCCACTGTAAATAGTATTTCCCACTCATCCTAACTCATCATCTTGAATTTCTCACCCATGGAGGAGGTAAACTATGATTTATTTTTTAAGACTGTAACTCCATCTGAGTAGTTAAAAAAACAGAAAAGGAGACCTTGAGACACAGAAACTTCTACCGCCCCAAGTACATATTTATCAGAAACTGTCACGTTTACTTTCTTGGTTTCCTGTAAAGCTGAGGTGGAAAAACGTGGGAAGAAATTTTATATTAAAAATTATCTGAAACACAATAAAAATTTCCTAATGCTGGCATATGTTGAATATTGTTGTTGTTTTGTTTTAAAGCCTAAAGGAATTTTATTTTTCTCATGGCCAACTTTTGGTTTGATGAAACACCTCAAGAATACACATTCAAAGCTGAGAATGGCGGCTCATGTCCAGCACTTTGGAAGGCCCAAGTAAGAGGACTGCTTGAGCCCAGGAGTTCAAGGCCAGGCTGGGCAACACAGTGAGACCCCCATTTCTACAAAAAATTTAAAAATTAGCTGGGTATGGTGGCATGCCTTGGGAGGCTGAGGCAGGCCCTTGAGCTCAGGAGTTGGAGGTTACAGTGAGTTATGATCACACCAGTACACTCCAGCCTGGGTGACAGAGTAAGACCCTGTCTCTAAAACAAAACAAAAGAATGTATTAAAGCAGAAGTGTAATCTTGGGTCGGGGAGAAATGAAGAGAGAAATGCACCAAAACAATGGTGAAACTATGAAGTTAATAGATGAAAATAGACAAATATGAATCCCATCTCTTTTCCCTCTTTCAGCCCAGTCACATAGAAAGGGTAGGTGCATTTGTGGTCACAAGATAGGCAAAGTAACAGAAAGGAAGCAAGAAGATCAAGATGATCCAAAAATCAGACAATCATCCCTCCCTCAAATAATTAACTTGGTATGTGAGTACTGATTAATTGTTATATATTACAGGTTTTCTTATTTAAAAAAAAAAACTCATGGGCTTAAAAATATTTAGAAAATTACAACTGAAGGAGGATTAATGTTGTGTGGGGGGGTTATTTTAGACATCAACTTATTTTTTAACAACTTCAGGTTAAGCAAAAGGCCAGATAAAAGTACATTTTGATGCCAAATAAAACATTTTTTGGATTTCCCCAAAGCAGAGGTAAAGTAGAGAGACTGGGAGTTAAAAATGAAAAGGCCTCATAGTAAGGCAAGCCTACCAAACTATTTATTTTTTCCTCCTAATAATCTAAAATTAGACACCTTAGCAATGATGTCTTTCTTTAGGTAACAATGATTTATTACCACAGGCCTAACTTTTAGCACCACTGAAGTATTTTGTATTTTGGTCCCATAACTTCTTGACAGTGAACTTTATAGCTAACCAGAACTAGAAAATTTAAGTCTAATAAAATGTCAGAGCCAACGTAATGAAATCCCATGTCTTACGTGAATAATCCATCTAAAAACACACAGCCATGTGGAAAAACCAGCCCACCCCCCCACAAAAGTAATTTTAGGCTACAAAAATGCCTCAGTTTTCATACCCCAAAGACACACTGTTAGTTAAAAAAAAATGAGACCAGCATTTTTTTTTCTTCTTGCACAACCTAAATCCTGGCTCTTAGAGAGTAATCAGATATTTCAAGATTTCCCTGAAAACTTCCTTCCATTTTGGATGTCTGACACTCACAGTGGTATGGCAGCAGACCCAGGATTTGACCTCTGACTCCACATTCTATCCTAACTCATGAAGGAATTAATGGTGTCCTCTGCCATCTACGTCTCCATCTGCTTACTCTGAGTCACAGCCAGTGATCCTATAAAAACTAAGGCAGAATATGTCATTTCCCTGTTAGAAACCCTTCACCTTCCCTCTGAGTAAAAACCAAAGCCCTCAGTGGCCTCCAGGGCCTCACACAATCTGGCGCTGTGCCCTTGCCTCCTCTTTTTCTCCCCTTTGCTCATCCCTCCAGCCACACTGGCCTCGATGCCCAGTGACTCTCTCTGCACTGGCTGTTCCCTGGCCTGGAAGGTTCCTCCCTCAAATAGCTGCATGGCTAACTCAAGCACCTTCAAAGCTTTGAATAAATGTTACCCTCCCAGTTAGATTCATTTAAAATTTTATGTCCTTTAAGCTCTGTTTTTTTTTTCTGTTTTTCCCCTAGTACTAAACACTTTCAAACATATGGCGTAACTGACATGACTGTGTGTATTGTTTATTGTCTGTTTCCTCCAGTTCTAAAGTATATGCTCCTCGAGGGCTGAGATTTGCATTGCTCAGTGAAACCTCAAGTGCCTGGTATGTAGCAGGTGTTCAATAAATATTTGTAGAGTGAATGAATAAGACCTTTTATTGCTCTAACTTCTTAGGACTCCATAAGGAATTCAATACTCCCTGCATGGTAAACTGGTAATGGGTTATCTTCCCCACAAAAACCAACCCAAGAAACTGAGTTACTATAGTATGAAAACATTTGACTGCCACCGTTTAGTGAAAATTTACTATGCACAGGATATCGTTTTACATGTCTTCTCATTTTATCTTCACCAAAAGCCAGTAAGCAAGACATTATTATCCAAATGTTACAGAGGAGGAAACAGAGGCTTGGAAAGAGGAAATAAGTAAGCCAAGATCACACCACCGTGACTGCCTGTGCTGGGCTTTCTGTAGATCCGGGGCTGTTTGACATCCCATTCTACCTCCCTCATTATAAAACTAATTCACCTCTTCAACAGCACCAAACAACAGAAAGACCCCTTGGACATATTATGGAAAGCCTCTAGAGTGCAGTTTACTCATGTAAAGAAAACATGGCCCAAGAACACACAGACACATATACACACACAAAAAAGAAGCTGTACTTTTATAACAAAACATATGGTCATTCTTACAAAATCATTCTGACATTGTGATAGCCAAACCAACAGTAGTAGAATGTGAAACAGGAACTGGCATGAGCTACTAAATTCAACATCAGTCTCCCTGAAGACCTGCTACATGACCAGGAGAGCCTCAGACCTCTTCACTAAGCCTCAACAAACTGGTGCTGCCACCAAGCCTTCTGTAGTGCCTGAGGATATTGACATTAAATGAGAAAAATCTGTGTCAAAATTAATGAATCCACAAAAGAAAGGCATTCTGTAAATTCAAGTATTTCTTGATCACAAACAAGTTCTGAGGAGTAGTGTGAGAGCCATTTCACAAGCCCAACAGAGCAAAACCTAAGTCAAGTCAGACAGCTAAGTCCAGCAGTTCCCAGAGCGCAGAAGAAAAGTTATAACTTCGCCGGGCACAGTGGTTCAAGCCTGTAATCACAGCACTTTGAGAGGCCAAGGCAGGTAGATTGCTTCAGCCCAGGAGTTCAAGACCAGACTGGGCAACATGGTGAAACCCTATCTCTACAAAAAACATACAAAAAAATTAGCCAGGCATGGTGGCACATGCCAGCTATTTGGGAGGCTGAGGTGGGAAGATCACCTGAGCCCAGGAGGCAAGGCTGCAGTGAGCCATGATGGCGCCACTGCATTCCAGCCCTGGGAGACAGAGTAAGACCCTATCTCCAAAAAATAAAGAGAAGTTATGATAACTCTATTGGAGGTTCTTTCCTCTGATTCAGCACAGTGGTGGACCAAAGTTTTAGTTGATGACAGGCCACAAAGGAGACAGGATCTATGAGCAAAAGTTTCCAGAAGGGTCAGCTTCTCTTCAGGAAAGGGGAAATACTCCAAACCAGTCACTCACTTATTTGGCTAAGAATAGGGACTGTGTGGTTAGGCAAGGGTGGGAATGCCCACTCAGAGGCTACCATCACCACCTTAACCAACTCCTGAACCAAAGACATTGAAAGGAGAGGGAGGTCAGCAAAGAGTTCTGCTGCCCCCACACATTCATGCAGCGATACCCCATCCCCTGTCAGACCTGGCCTTATCCCAACACATTGATTATGTCTTCTATACAAACTCCCACAGTGGTTTCTCCACCAGATACAGCATAAGAAAACATTTGCTTTCACCATTCCAAGATGGGAGGTGGCAAGCTCAGTGACTAGAGAAAGCGGGAGAAGAAGAATCTGGCATTCTGATGTTTGAAACTGCCTGATTCAGATGAAATATCTTCTACTGCAAGGTATCATGTGAATAACTGAAGTTTTTCTTTTACTTGTTCGTTCTATATTTTGAGTTTAAAGATGCAAAGTTAGATTACACACAAACACCAAGAATTCCTTTTGTGATAAGTGCTAAAAACCTCAAATTTTAAATCCCTGCTTAAACTGTGTTAAATAAGATACCAAACCTAAAGTCTAAATTTTTGAGGTCTATAATTTGCAGATATTTTTACTTTATTGTAGTGTAAAATAAACAAGCTGGGTTAAATTAAAAGCCTTCACAAGCATTCCGTAGCTACTCTGAGAGCTATCTTGACACATGGATGTCTTTGGGGGAGGGGTGTATTTCAGATCTAACTGTACTTAAAAAATAGCATTGTCGCTATGGAAGCAGCTCTAAATTTTGACCGTTTTTCCTTATGCTAGCAAAGGCCATTTTCTTTTTATGCAGCTTTTCTTTTCACTGAAAAGGGCTCTGACAGTAATCCTCTGAGTCTGCAGCATGTCCTGCCTTGCCTACAGTCACCCTTCCCTCTTAGTGTCAAGCACTGCTCTTTCGACTGAGCCAAAAACAGGAGAGTATAAATCACCTGGAATTTACACACACACACCCCACAAGAGATTTTCATTCATTCAATCATTCCTTCCTTGAAGGAATCATAGGCAATACCCATTCAGGTCCTTGTCACTAAACTGGCCTAATTCCAATCTCCTGTTTCTCAGACCCTTCATTGGCAACTTTTCCATCAAAATCGTCAAGTAAGTGTGACCAATTTTTGTTTTAAAACAAATGTGTCAGGAATTTTATGTCTAAGAGTGGTCATCTTTAGAAACTAGCATTTCTTCCAGTAACACGATGAAAAACATTGCTCCATTATGTTTGAAACACTTCCTTCTGAGCTGCCTCCGAAGTCTGTGTCCCATTCCAATAGGTCAGGGATGATTATCATTCTTTGAAGATATATTTCATTCTGGGAAGCAACAACAGGCATTCAGAGACAACCCTGCCAAATAAGGTAGGTGATCATGCTGAGTAATACTGCTTTTCATAAAAATGAGGTGTAGCCCTTAAGCAATGAAACCAGTTTTCTCATGAGGATCATTACCTGACTTTGAAGGGAAATTCAAGAGTTCCAAAAGTGATTTGTGCTGGACATTTTTGCTTTTTTTTAATTTTAAGCAATGACAAATTATTTGGGATTAGTATAAAAAATCACCAAAGCTACTTGGAAGACAGCATTTCCCACTTAGACACACATAGGCACATATATAATAAATTAAATTAAATTAAATTAATGATTTCTGTCAACTGCCTTCTAACATTTTGATTAATTTTCATAAAATTTTATTTTTTCCCATTGTAATTCTTATAGGTTAAAATCATCCACTGCAATGGAAACAAAATCTTAAAATACATGATTCCTTCAAGGAACAAATTACTGAATGAGTAAAAGTCTTATTTAAAATCTTAGAATAAAATAGCTTTAGAAAGCACTCATCCAAAAAAAACATTTATGGAGCAAATACTAGTGAAGAAAGAGATATTCAGTTTGCCAGGGGTGACCATCTAGATAGCCTTTCAATAAATCATCTCTTTAGGAAGATGATTTTGTTCCTATGAAGATGTGGTTTGGTTCATCTCTGGCAATCCTTTTTGCCTAGGACTGTTCTTACATGTTATCCAAATTGTTTTCACTAAGTGGAAGGGAATAAGGTTCCCGATTATATTCCTGAGAAGATGTAGAAAGGATCTTCCTACTCTATGTTCTAATTCTAAGAAAAAGTTTCTTTTGCAATGATGGGATCAACACTTCTATCCTGTGGCAGTTCAGGGGACATTGTCAATATTAAAACCTGTAAAACAGGTAATCAGTGCTGCAGGAGAAGGATGAATCCAAAATCTTCGATTTGCACATTCAAGTCAATTTGCCATAAGTAGGCCTAATAGACTTTTGAAGGTACAGACTTGGAAATAAGGTGTTGCTGTAACTAATACCTAAAAATATAGGAGGTGGCTTTCTAACTTCATTGAGCTTCACTCCATGATGCTTCCAATAATTTCCTTTCTCTTCTGTTTCATTTTTTTAATGCTTTTCAAAATCTACTAAATTGATTTAATGACTCATTAATAGGTCACCTCCCACAGTTTGGAAAGCACTGACCTACGCCATGTGTTTTTGGCAATGTGGCTCACAGACCACCTCCATCAGAACAGAACACGCAAAATAAGCAAATTTCAGGGCTCCATCCCAGACCTACTGAACAGATTATCTGTTAGTAAAACCCAGGAACTGTTGCTTCAATTATCTTCCTAGATGATTCTGATGTGCACTTAAGTTTGAAAACTAGTCTAGACACTTACCGAGTAAGGAGTCAAAAGAAGAAGGTCCAAAGAGGCTAAGTGATTTTTTACTGTCACATTCCTAATTAGTAGTAAAGCCAACAGGAGAGGTCCTTGCCTCCTGGCTTCCTGGTTAGTGTTCTTTAAACACATAAACTTGGGCTACCTATGCCCATCTCCAATGCAACACCCCACAACTTTACTCAACGGCCACGCTCCAGTGCCTGGAACAATGTCATGTTGAGTGAGGGTCAGGAGGAACCAAAGGAAGGTATGTCTCATCATTTTTAAAATGAAAGTTCCAAGAAGATAGCAGCCCAAAACTACACATGTGGCCAATCCAACAACCAATGCACTGTTTATTAAGTATTGACCTTCATCACACGTACCTCTAACAATCTCAAACGTTGAAAAACAAAATCATGAAAGCAAAGGTGGCTTGCTTTCCCCCCACACAAAAGTAAGAAGAAAACATTACATAATTGACCTAAAGGTGGCCAAAAGAACCAATAAACTGGTCATGAGACCCATCAGTTTTAGCTCCTAAGTCATAAAACTCAACAAATGGTTTTCCAAGATTTTAACAAAGGAACAGTATCAACAAAAAACAAGTCAATCTAGGATTTTAAATAAAGCTATGTAAGAAAATAAAAATAGACCATGGAATTTGAACATTTATTGACAAAAACATAGTTTGGTTAGGCTGTCTGATTTTGTCTTTCTAATACAGTGTCATTTTTTTTTTTTCCTACCAGAAGGGCTCTTACACTTAGTTCAGGTTTACATAGTCAAGCTTTGGTGTACACAAACACAGTAATTCTCACAGTAAGACCAATGCTCAATGAGGATTCTGCTGAATAATATCTGCCCTCTCTTTGAGAAACAGTCCAAAGATGGGTTCCCCAGGGTCTAAAATCAAATCCGGCCGAGCATAGTGACTTACACCTATCATCTCACACTTTGAAACGCCGAGGCAGGAGAAATGCTTGAGCCCAGGAGTTCAAGACCAGCCCGGGCAACATAGCAAGACTTTGTCTCAACAAAAAATTAAAAAATTAGCCAGGCATGTTGGCATGCCTGTGGTCCCAGCTACTTGGGAGGCTGAAGAGGGAGGATCGCTTGAGCCTGGGAGTCGAGGCCACGGTGAGCCATGGTTGTACCCCACCACTCCAGCCTGAGCAATAGAGATCCTCTAGAAAAAGAAAAAGTGAAATTAATTCAACATGCATTTATTGAGCAACTCTTAACTCTGGTCCGGTGTTAGGTTCAGGGAAGACGCACTCTGCAGTTCTCAAGGCACACCTTCTATTGCAAAAGCTCTCTGTGTATACATAAATATTATGTTATTGTAAATCACACAAGAAGGCACAATGGTCAATAGGTTTACCTGAGATGAAGGAGGAAGCAACTGCAATATGTATACAAAGAAAAATTATTTTCAGGAAAACTGGCAAATTTAAGGCAGAGTGACCTTTCCTTGCTCCTCCTCTCTGATTTTGAGAATCTCCTTCCTCCTTTTCCTTTTGACTTCCCAGCAAACTATAAATGGGAAAAGAGGCCTGAAGATAACCCCACCACACAGGGACCGTATTTTCATGGTAGAGACACTTCTTCACAAGGCTCCAGGAGTAACGGCAAAGCTGACAGTCTTGTCACTTCATTTCCTATATCCCGCTCCAAGAGTCCCCACAGTGAGACAGCCAGCCGCTGTATCTACAGACTCAATGCCTCGGGTTCCTGGGCGTTTTTCAGAAACATAGTTTTCTGGTGCAGTCAGGTCTGACCAGAGCTACTTCAGAGACTTACTGCCAACCTCTATAGCTGGTCAAAACAAGAAAGAAATATTTTACAGATTTCAAACACATTAATGAACCTAAAAAAATTCAACTCTACCATCAATATGTTAATACATGACATCTACGCTTCACTCCCTTATTTTGGTCATCCTTAATACTATGAGATTTTGTTCAAATAAATTCTAGAACTGACTGCAAATATTCTGTATAATTTTTACGGGGATGTGAGGATGAGCTTCACCTCTAGGTTTGATGACAAATATTAGCATTTTAAGAATTTCTCCCACATATATTTTGTCACACATGTATATACATATAACATCTCAGCATCCATGAAGTCCCAGTCACTCCTTCCCTTGAAGAAATGAAGAAACTTCATGGTGGACACTGCAGGATTACCACAGCAACAGGTGTCCACCAAAGAGATATCAGGAAGAATAACAGAGATTAGGTTTCCTTTACTTGCTCTTAGGAATCTTGGGATGAGTATATCCTGAGAGTTAATTCCTCCAGATGTGTAAAACGTGGTGTCTCACAATGCTCCATGCTTGCAGTCATCAAAACAGAATTATTTCTAGAAAGGCTAAGGAAGATATCTCGGTTTTCCCAAGCAAAGATAAATTGTCAACTCTCAATGTCCCTTCACAAGGAGAAATTTCTCTCTCAGTTGTAGGAACTGCTGCACTTGTCCAAAGCAATGATATATATTTTTCTTTTCTTATAACTGAATTTTTTGTTTTTGTTTTTGAGGCAGGGTCTCGCTCTGTGGCCCAGGCTGGAGTGTGGTGGCACAATCATAGCTCACTGCAACCTTGAACTCCTGGGCTCAAGCAAACCTCTGGCCTCAGTCTCCCCAACAGCTAGGATGACAGGTGTGTGCCACCATGCCCAACTATTTTTTTTCTTTTTTGCAGAGATGGGGTCTCACTATGTTGCCCAGGCTATAACAGAATCTTGTGACTGATAGTGTTTCTTGTTTTCATATGGTTACAGAAAACTCAGGGCCAGATTTGCAAATTACTTTTAATATAATTAGGCAGAGCCTTAGAGAATACATTTCTGGATATTAACACTCTTCTGGTTTCATCTGTTTGATCCATACACCATTTTTGTCTTTATTATTGTGTTTCTTTAAGAAACAAGCAAATAAGAACCTAGGCTTTGCTTATCCTACCTGAGGCTTCCCCTAAGGGATGTCCATCACCTGGGAGGACATTCCCAAGCATGGAAACAGGTTCACATTACCCTGAGTCTGTAATCTATCCCTTCAAATGCATTCCTTACAAAAGAAAACCCATCCTTGCCCTACTGACAATACCTGCACCTTAACAGTGGGGTGGTAATGCAGTCTTCTCACTAAGTAGAAATTAAACCTGGCTTCATCATTTCCTAAGAAAATCCTTGTTTTAGCTGACAGGAATATTTAAAAATGGGGGTAAGGGAACTAAAATAACTAATCTAAAATTATAGAAATATAAAACCCCCCAATGATGTAATCCTTGCCACAGAATCCATCACATTGAAAAGCTGTCCGGACTTCTGCAATAAAGGGAGACAGAGGTAGATTGTAAAGCCTTTTCATCCCAGTTTCTCTTCAAGATTTTATTAGGCAATAAACAGCCATATCAAATAATGTCTAAATATACAATCATCTCTGCATAATTTTAGGTAGTCCAACCATATTAGCACCAGGAGAGCATCAAATAAGTTTTGTATCTCACATCTGGGTCCAGATTCCTCTGAGACAAACTTGGTGGACTGAAGACAAATTCAAGTTTATGACAGAACATATAGAAGCTCTTATATATGGCTTCTTAAGAAATACCCATAACCGGCTGGGCGCGGTGGCTCACGCCTGCAATCCCAGCACTTTGGGAGGCCAAGGCGGGCGGATCACGAGGTCAGGAGATCCAGACCATCCTGGCTAACACAGTGAAACCCTGTCTCTATTAAAAATACAAAAAAAATAGCCAGGCGTGATGGCGGGCGCCTGTAGTCCCAGCTACTCGGGAGGCTGAGGCAGGAGAATGGCGTGAACCCGGGAGGCGGAGCTTGCAGTGAGCCGAGATTGCACCACTGCACTCCAGCCTGGGCGACAGAGTGAGACTCCGTCTCAAAAAAAAAAAAAAAAAAAAAAAGGAAATACCCATAACCAATAATTTTTCATTACGTTGGCTTAAGGAAAAGATAACATTGAACTCTCCATGCTCTGACTTGATAGTATGGAAAGCTGCCCAGCAAGCAACATTCTACTACAAAGAACAAATAAATATTCTTAATTATTTTGCAATCATTAATAAGGGAATAATGTCCCCCAATGGGCTTGCAGAAGAGCCCTCTAGAACCTAGAGAAGCCAGTAGGTTTTTCAAGCCTGCTGAAAAGCCAAAACCTGAAAACTAGATGGGACCTCACAGACTCTTACATCTGATCACAAACTTTCCCGTAAACCACATATGTTCCTGTTTAAACAAAAAAATTAGCAGTAAGGCATTTTCTCCAAATCGGAACTATTTCATTTACATTATCTCTGCAGGATTTTAGAATTTCCTGAGAGAAGCAACTCTAGTTGATGCAGAGATTTAGGGGGAGAAAATATTTTCGAGGCCAGGCGCGGTGGCTCACCCCTGTAACCCCAACAGTTTGGCAGGCCAAGGCGGGTGTATCATCTGACGTCAGGAGAGCGAGACCAGCCTGGACAACGTGGCAAAACCCCGACTCTACTAAAAATACAAAAATTAGCCTGGCATGGAGGCGCCTGTAAGGAGGGAGGCTGAGGCAGGAGAATCACTTGAACCTGGGAGGCAGAGGTTGCAGTGAGCCAAGATCACACCATTGCACTCCAGCCTGGGCAACAGGAGCGAAACTCCATCTCAAAAAAAAAAAAAAAAAATATATATATATATATATATATATATATATATATATATATATATATAATATATATGGCAAATTAATCTTTCACTATGTTGAATAAAATTAATCCAAAGAATATATGTATTAGAAGAAAATCTGAAAAGTGACTATAACCTCTTATTTAATACCATCATATGCCATTAGCAACCTTCATCCACATAAAAATTCACTGTAATTTGTTTCAATTTACAGAAATATGTCCACCTGGAAACAAATTGACTCTCGTTTTGCACACTAAATCGAGACTGAATCTAAAATGTTCATTGCGCTATTGTGAATTTGGTGAAAATCATTCAACGTCTTCAAAAGTTAGGACAAAAGTATAAAATCAAAGATATCCACCTGAAAAATCATCCTTTATCTCAGCATAATCCTGTCAAGATAAATTCAAACTTCTTGAAACATCTTCACCTACCCAGACACAGATATAATTATCAGGACATTGCTTCCAAAGCTATTATTCCTAGATGCACAAGCTATTCACAGATCTTTTATCTAATATAGTTCTTTTTTTCTTTGGCCAGAACAATAAGTTCTTAAATAAGAAGAACCTTACAGTATATTTACTAGCTATATTTTAAAATTTAAGATCAGACACTTTATTTCAATTCATAATAAAAAAATACATTTCCTACTGGACTTTCTTCTCCACAGAGCATGTCTAATATATCACTTTTATTTCTCATAAGTCTGCCAATTTTTCATACATGAATCCCTATTCTGCTGTCTTTGCCTGCCATTATACGAATTTACATAAATGTTTTGATTCTCTTCTGTTGGGAGCTACTCTGCAGTGCTGCTAGAGAAGGGCATAAATAAGAGCAAAGCCAACTGAAGGCATAGTCTAGAACAGTAAAATACTACTCAGTAATTCACAGAGAAGGGAATTAAACAGTCAATACCCAGAGCCCCTGGAGTCATGATAACATTTAATTCTATTTGGTGCGTATTTGTCCAGGCCCACCCTGAATCAGGTGGTGTGCTGGGTAGCAGATGAGCTACAAATGAGGCAGGACATGTAGACCAAAGACCTCACTCTGTAAGTTCGTTGGTGTTCTATAAGGAGCTAGTTGTCATAACCAAGATGGTTATATTATTTTGGTCAAGATCACCTTCTTTCTTATTCTTTCTGTTTTAATTTTCCAAGATCCATTACGAATCCCTTCATTCCAGTAGGACTAGAAAGAGGACCTGTACTAAAAATCCACCTGTGGGTCATTTTCTGCAATCTTCCCATCCCCCTACCCGCAGCCCACATTCCTCACCCCACAAACCTTCCATTAGTACCTCATTTCACTTCCTCCCCAATATTGTAAGGTTATTTCTTTCTACAAAAAGCAAATATTAAAGTCAATGCCAACATAAGAAGGACCTGCTCACTGACAAATACAAACAGCAGATTTTCTGGGCCTCTCAGCTGTGACTCATCTAGACCAGAAGAAACTACAGTAAGATCCCACCCTAGTCTAGGCAACTGCTGGCCCAGGTCATCCCAGCACTAGAAAACATGCCAAAGGAAGCTTTCTTTGAAAACTGAGAAAGAAAGAACAAAAAAGTGCTGAATAGGAAACGGAAGTGTTGGAAACTACCCGTATTTCACCTTCTCAGCTGAAATAACTCAGTAGTTTCTTCTAGGACCAATGCTGACATCCAAACCCATTAGGTCACTGTGAGAATGGCCATGTGATTAAGGCACAGACTTTGTTCTAAAATGTTCTGGGGGAAGCATTGTGAGAATTAAATAAAAGGACCCTAATGTGCCATTTTTATTATGCATGAGACTTCATCAGATTGGGATGCTGGAGAAAAGGCGGTGAAACCTGATCGGCCTCACAACTGCCTCTTCAAAGGTCAGACTATCCCCAAGGGGTGTAAAGCCTTCAGGGGAATTGCCTTCACTTTCTATCTAGTTAGCAGCTTATCAGAGATTCCTCTCTCCTCACAAAGACTCAACACAGATAAAAATCCCTCCTTGATGGTAAACAGTTTAACTTATAGCTCAATTTAGCAAACAAAGCTCCAGGCCCTAACAAATGACCCAAATAATAACCTTTGTTGATCTGGATTCAAAATAATGGGAAAAAAAAGCAAGGCAATGAAAAGCCCAGTAGAACAGTGATTTCTCACTGATGGGATGGAATATGAAAGTCTCTTTGGGGGCAGAATTTTCCTACAAGCACAAACCCTCCAAGCCCTGGGCTGCTGCAGCAGAATAAATTCACTCACCTTCTCTGTTCATTCGGCTGGCCGTCTATTTAATGAAAAGTAATGTTTCCTTTCAGGCTTTATGTTTGATTTGCAAATAAACCACCCTCAACAAAAATAAACCATTCCCCACTGTGATGTAACAATATTAACACAACATTCCAGTCTTAATAGAGCAATTTTAATGTTTTACCAAGTGTATTGAGTCATCTACCTACTCAGCGAGGAAATACTGAATTGCTGCAATTTCTATTTAGGACACTTTTCTCATTCTTAGCTGCCTAATCTCAGTATTATTGAGTTATTAATTCTCCAGCTGCTCTGTCTTATGTCGATCATCTTAGGTAACAAAAATAGAGGCCAGGTTAATAAAAAGTGAAAATGAGAACTCAGACTGTCTGTGGCCCACCTGATGGTTTCTAAAACCCTGATGTGGAAGGTTAGGGCTTCCTTTCTCACCTGGCATCCATTAGCCCATCTGCAATGAAGTTTATATGGCCATGCTGTGCAGAAACCAGACCATGGGACCTTTTCAAACTGTTTCCTATTTATCATGACTATCAGCGCAACCAAGATATATAACTTTTTATTTTAGGGTTCTTTACACTTCATTTTGTAAAAGGATAAATAGTATTCAAATATATTGTTCATCTGGCATCCAAACAGCCATGAATAATTTGCTAGAGACCTAGTATATTTCCTCAAATGCTTCTATTTCCTCTTCCCCCACCACTCCCCCACAAAAGTCATGATGCTTCAAAGGCAAGCAGGTAAGAGATTTATTATAGCTACCAAAATAATCCAAGGTGATGTATTTTCTTTGCTTTGGGGGGAAATGGTGTTTGTGGATTTCTGGACTCATGAGCACTCATTTGTTTAACAGATGCACACGCTGCACTAAGCGGATGCGGCACAACTCAGGATGTGACCCGTGGGGAAAGTCTCATTTAGCTTAAAAAGAAAATCTTACCTGAGAGATTTTCTGAGTTTTTCACATTACATGTTACCAGACAAATGTAGCTGCATATTCATTCAATTATGGTAAATACCATTTAGGTACCTATTTCATTTTTTTCCCATTTTAGACATGTAAAATGTTTTAGCCACAGTTAGTTCCACATTAAAGACTCAATTCCACAGAAAAATTGGGGTTGGGGGAGGTATGGGGTGTGGTGGCTCATGCCTGTAGTCCCAGCAACTTGGAATGCTAAAGTGAGAAGATTGCTTGAGACCAGGAGTTCAAGACCAGCCTAGGCAACATAGTGAGACCCTGTCTCTAAATTTTTTTTTAAATTAGCCAAGCCTAGTGATATGCACCCATAGTCCCAGCTACTGGAGAGGCTAAAGCAAGGTGGGAAGATCACTTGAGCCCAGGAGCCTGAGGCTGCAGTAAGCTACTATGATTGAGCCACTGTATTCCAGTTTGGATGACAGAGCAAGACTCGGTCTCTAGAAAAACAAAGAGAAAAAAAATCAGGGCCTAGCATGGTGGCTCACACCTGTAATCCCATCATTTTGGTAGGCCGAGGCAAGAGGATCACTTGAGCCCAGAAGTTGAGGCTGCTGTGAGCTGTGATCATGCCACTATACTCCAGCCTGGGTGACAGGGCAAGACCCTGTCTCAAAAAATAAAAAGAAAAATCAGAGTAGGAGGCAGTGTGGAAAGGAGGAAAAAACACACTTACTGTGACAAACCCATTCAAATTTGGACCATGGCCTCCATAAATTTCCCTTACCCTTAGATACACATGCAGCTGGCCCATTAAAGCACAATGTAACAGACATAGTAAGGCTCCAGTCCTTCCTGAATAGCCCTTTAAAGGAGCAATCAGGAAAAGATGTTCTGAATGCACTTCTGTAAATTACAAGGTTGTCTTCAGGCTGCATAGAGAAGACCAGCAGTGTTAACCCAGCTTAATTCCTCCCCCTCCCAGTTATGATCCTCTATGCCACTTAATAAATAGCCTACCACAAACTCTAATACAAATTTCATTTTCCAAAAAACAACACTTATCATTAATATCAATGTTTTTTTTCCTTCTCTTAAAAGAGTATTACTCCCTCACCCTCAGTCTAATCCCACCTTTGTGATTGACAATATTTAAGATCCAAAGAAGAGCCCCAGCATTGTTGTTATATAATTTAACATAGGAGTAGAAAACCAAGATGAATTTTACATGCATTTCATTTCTAGATATACTCATTTTACTCCCTTGCTAATCACAGGAGTTTATTTTATTCTATTGAGTTCATTTTTAACTTGGTTAATTTGAGATGTAATTATCCCCAAAAAAGTGAAAAATCAAAACACATGTAAGAGATTTTATCTTCACACAGAGGATCATAAAATTCTCATTTGAGATAATACTAAGAGAAAGTATTTTTCTTGACATTTCAACCGAAAGGAAACTTGGTAGACACTCAAATATAATGAAAATAGAAGGAAGATATAAAGAGGGTTTTAGTATCACTATAAAAACTCTCCTGCTGGGGCTTGGAGAGGCACACATATCCCTACAGATCAGAAGATAAGATAGGGATTCACCAACTTCACTCTTACACTGACCTCATTTTGATTAGAATAAATTTTTTGTCACTTCAGTCCCTGGAAAAAGCAAGTCTAACAGCTCCCAGGGAAAGAGACTGAATAACTTTAGGAACTTCAGTCATCTCCAAAGCTAGAGGAGCACCAATCTAAAGAGGAATAGACAGAGATTCCAAACAGCTCTGCTGTAATTTCTAAACAACTTTGGGAAGTCACAATTACTGAGTAAACTAGGTTCCCTAGCAACCAAATGCTCATTTGAATGCTCCCTCCCACCCTGTCCCCTTCATCAGCTGCATTCTCTGCGAAAATATCAGTGGAAAGTAGGGGTAGCAAGAATGGGGGAACTGCAAAGATAAACATGATGTAACTTTAAAGCATAATAGGAATTTTTAGGGCCAGGTGTGGTGGCTCACACCTGTAACCCCAGCACTTTGGAGGCCGAGGCAGGTAGATGGCTTGGGACTGGGAGTTCAAGACCAGCCTGGGCAACATAGTGAAACCCTGTCTCTCCAAAAAATACAAAAATTTGCCAGGCATGGTGGCACACTCCTGAAGTCCAAGCTACTCAGGAGGCTACAGTGGGAGGATTGATAGAGCCAGGGAGATTGAGGCTGCAATAAGCTGTGATCGTGCCACTGCACTCCAGCATGGGCAACAGAGCAAGACCCTGACTCAAAAAGAAAAAAAAAAGAATTATTAGCACTGGGTCTAATAAAAACATGCCAAATAATGATTCAGATAAAAGACCAGGGAACGTTTCATTTGCTGATATCACAATTTGCATAACATAAGGTAATCTCTGAAGAATTAAGAAAAAGGTTTTAAAATTTTGACAGGCTGGAGAAACAGACACATAAAATTTTAATGCAAGGAGAAATGGGATGCAAGGGTTTTGCACAGGCTTAGCCAAGAAAGGTTTTAATGTCCAGGGTAATCTTGAGGATGGAAATCTGTGGAAGGCTTCAGATCAGAAAACAAACAAATAGAAATCCAAGCAGGTCTCTCTCTGCCCAGTCAATCAAATTCTTTAGGGCCAGCAAATCTATGAAAGGACGCATCACGAGGGGGTAGAGAGTGACTGTTTAATGGCACTAAAGAAAAGCAAGCTTAAAATTGATGTTAACATTCACTTAGCTATTGTGAAGAACTGCCACAATCTATTCAAGGATTTCCTTCTCTGGACTTCAGAAATACCTTCTGGGATGGGCCTTGCTATGGTTTGAATGTTTGTTCCTTCTAAAACTTATGTTGAAATTGAATTGCTATGGTAACTGTATTAAGAGGCAAGAGTTTAAAGAGGTGATTACACCATTAAGGCTCTACTCTCATGGGTAGAATTGGTGCCAGAAAAGAAGGGCAACTCCAGCCCTCTTTCTCACTTTCTCTCGGCTCTTCTGCTTTCCCGTTCCTCCCCTCTGGAGGATGCAGCATTCAAGGAGCCATCTTGGAAGCCAAGACTGGGCCCTCATGAGACACCAAACCTGCCAGCACCTTGACCTTGGACTTCCCAGACCCCAGAACCTTGAGAAATAAATTTTTGTTCTTTATAAATTACCCAGTCTCAGTTGTTCTGTTATAGCAGCACAAAATGGACTAAGGACTCCACTGAGAAAAGGTACAGATTAGCACCTGAAGTTCTTAACAAGATACTCTGGAACAGAAAGCTGAAAACACAGGCTTTGGGGACAGATAAACCTGCATTAAAATCCCATCATGTACTTCCTGTGTGACTTTGGACAAGCTACTTAACCTCTCTGAGTATCAGTTTATTCATCTGTAAAATGTAGACCATATCTAATTCTTCATGGGCTATTATCCGATTAAATGAGTTAATGTAGGTGCTATATCTGGCATATAACATATCCTTAATAAACATTTCCTATTTATTATGTTCCTTCAAAAATCTCCTGCTGAATAAAGTTAAAATTGACTATGATGATATTTTGCATAAATGGTACCAAAAAACTGCTTAGTGTTAAAGTACCCATGACTCTACCTTTAATTGTTACCTGGTGATGTAATTGTCATTCATGTGTGTATAATACACAATAACAGATTTCTTACTGCTTGACCCAGACACTAAAAGGAAATTTCTATCTGCAATCTTTAACACAATCAATCAAAAAGTTATTGCCACTAAATAAAAAATTAAAAGCCAAGTGTTCCACTTGAGAAAGAAGTTTTTCTCAAGCATAAATTTAATTATCTGAGTTTCGGTTAGCCTATTCCTGTGTCTAGATTTTTGTTTTTGTTGTTTTGTTTCTCTTTTGTTATGAAATAATCACATAATACATGTATAATTTAATGTATAAAAGCAAATGAACAATTATGTACATACCTACAGAACATCACAAGCACCTCTGAAGTCTCATGTATAACCCTGCCCAAGCACAACATACCCTTCACCCCAGAAGTAATTAATTATCCTTCTGCATTTTGTTAATCTTCCCCTGCTTTTCTTAGCAGTCTTCCCATTTATGAGTCTATCTTTAAACAATATATTACTTTAGCCGTTTTTGAACTTTACATAAATAGAATCATATTGTATTAGTCTTCTATTTTGCTTTTCCACTCATCTTTATGCTTTTGAATTCATCCCTGTTGGCACGCACAGTTGTAGGTTACTCTTACTATTGTTTCATATGAATGTACCACAATTTCTTTATTCACTACACTGTTGATAGACATATACACTGTTTGCAGGGTTTCAGTATTATCAACAGTGTTACTTTGTGCATTCTTGTACATGTTAAGAGTTCTTTTAAGGCAGTGTTTCCCAACCTTTTTCACAATCCAACTGGTAAAGAAAACAGTAATATTGGTAGGGCAAACTGAAGTTATTAGACAAAACTGCTCCCACTCCAGCCTTGCTACCTGCCCTACTCCTTTATTCTGCTACCCTGAAAGATAAGGGAAGCAGGGGAACACTTTACAAGGTATAGTCTGTTCAAAATTATTCTAACAACTTATACTCTCACCAGCATGGTATGCATGTTTCTTTCCTTTGCCCTGTGCCTTTTCCAAACACTTAATATTGACAGGTGCTTGTCAATCTGGTAGACGCGAAATGGCGTCTTGCCATGGTTTTAATATGAAGACATACTGTACAACCTCTGTGATTAAAACAGTAGGGTATTGGAACATGAAGGGACAGACCAATAGAGGAAAACAGAAAATGCAGAAATACAGCCAACTATGTATAGAAATGAATTATATAAGGGGGGCACATCTCAAATCAGTGGGAAAAAGATGGACTTTTTTTTTTTTTTTTGAGACAGGGTCTTGCTCTGTCACCCAGGCTGGAGTGCAGTGGCACAATCACTGTAACCTTGAATTCCTGGGTTCAAGCCATCCTCCCACCTCAGCCTCCCGAGTAGCTGGGACTTCAGGCATGCAACACTATGCCCAGCTAAGTTTATAAAATTTTTCTGAAGAGATGAGGTCTCATTATATTGCCCTGGCTGGTCTCAAATTCCTGGCCTCAAGTGCTCCTTCTGCCTAGCCAAAGATGGACTTTTAATAAGCGGTTTGTGATGCCAGATAGCCATGTTGCAAAAATTAGATCCATTCTCCATACCATACAACAAAATAAATTCATACATGTAAATGTTCATGATAAAATCACACAAGTACTAAAAGAAAATACAGATGACTGTCTCTACAACTGCACTGTCCAAAATGGTAGCCATTAACCATATGTGGCTACTGAGACCTTGAAACATAGATAGTGTGACCGAGGAACTAAATTTTCAGTTTTATTTAATTTTAATTAACTGAAATTTTAAAATGGATATTCAATTAGGTATTGGAAAACTTTTTAAGTACAACTAGAACAACCTGGTTATGTGAATTTACTTTTTTCAACTGTAAATTTTATGAAACCTAAATACAGATCAAGCATTTATGATGAAAATTTAGTGACCAAATTGAAATATGTTAAATATATAAAACACGCATTAGTTCTTAAAAACTTAGCATGAAAAAAGAATGAAAAATATCTCACTAATATTTTTAAATACTGATTACTTATTGAAATTGATAATATTTTTGATACTTTAGGTTAAATAAAAATATTATTAAAATTAATTTCACCTGGGTTTTTTTTTTTTGCTGTAAATGTATCTACTAAATATTTACACATGTATTGTATTTACATATGTCTTGCTCTATAACCTGGATGTAAGGAAATTTTTTCCAACAATGACTTAAAACTAAGAGACAATCAAGAAACACTGATAATACTGACTGCACCAAAGAAAATAATTTGCTTAACATCATAATCAAAGAAAAATGACAAATAATAAACTGGGAAAAATATTTGCCAAATATTAGGGATGTTATCCCTAATATAAAATAAAGGGGGCTGGGCGCCGTGGCTCACACCTGTAATCCCAGTACTTTGGGAGACTGAGGCAGGCGGATCACCTGATCTGCCAAGTCAGGAGTTCCAGACCAGGCTGGCTGCGTGGCGAAACCCCGTCTTTACGAAAAATACAAAAATTAGCAGGGCATGGTGGTGCATGCCTGTAATCCCAGCTACTGGGGAGGCTGAGACAGGAAAATCACTTGAACCCAGGAGGTGGAGGTTGCAGTGAGCCGAGATGGTGCCACTGCACTCCAGCCTGGGCAACGACAGTGAAACTCCATCTCAAAAAATAAAAATAAGTAAAATAAAATAAAATGGAAAAAGACCCACAATTCTATAAAAATGGGCAAAAAAATATGAAGAAACTGTTCATAGAAAAAGAAATGCAAACCCCTAGACACATGAAAAAGAGCTGAAACTAGCTCAGAATCAGAGAGATAAAAATTAAAATTACACTAGACTATCATTTCTCACCAGTTAGATGGCTAAGACCTAAAGGCTGTACAATGTTTTTCTATTGGTGAGGCTCTAGGGTAAGAGGCAGTCTCATATTTTGTTAGTGGGAATGCAAAATAATGTAGCACATAACACCCACAGAAGGGAATTTGGTAATGTCTAGCAAAACTGCAAATGTATTTATCCTTTGACCCAGTGATCCCACTTCTAGGAATCTATTTTAAAGATAAATCAGCAAGAATATGAATGTAAATATTCACAAAGCTGTTTATTGCACCACTGTTCATTCCACTGTCCATCTAGTTAATTAAATGAAGTTTCAATTCTGGCTTTGTTTGACTTACAAATAAACCCCCATCAACAACAACAACAACAACAACAACAAAAAATTCCCCACTAAAATGTAAGAGCAAAAGATTAGAAACAACCATACAGCCAAATGAATAATTATGGTATATCTGTACGGTAGAATTTCTGCAGTTGTAAAATGCAATGAGAAATTTCTACCCATGGTACAGAGTGATCTCGGAAATATACTGTTAAGTACAAAATGCAAGGTGCAGAACTACAGTAGGCAACCTTTTTGCTAAGAGGGAAGAAATAGGGAAACAATATGTAAACATGCATATATACATATATATCATACCTACACATACATACAAACACACACACATATATATCTGAGTGGACACATATGTACACATACATATTTTTCTGAACTCTGTCCACTGAAAAGGCCTAAAAACAATGACCAGCTCAAAGGCAATGAGAACCCCTAACAACTGTACTGTGGTCTCGAAATACTGTTTACCACTAAAAAGATCTGGGGTAGAAAAAGTACAAAACAAATCTGAAATATCTTATTAAACAAGAAAGTAAAAATGTTATCAAAAACTACTGTCGTCTCATCAAAAAGATTCAGAAGCCAATTTAAAGAGTCTCACACTGGACACAAAAATAATTTGAGCTTCAAAATAAACTGCAAGGGATTAAAACACATAAATTGTGTTAAAATCCACAAGTTCATAATGATACTAAAAAAAAAAAATCTTGTTGGTTTCCTCTAGAGGCTACTAGAAAATCAGCTCATTATTTCTGATATTGGTTTAAATAGAAGAAAGAAAACCAAGCATCAATTTTCCTACATAAACTATATCTCAGGGTAACAAATAGTTGATGTTGTCAAGGTTTCTTGAGAGAAAAATTCCAGCTAGGAAATGCAGAAGGGATGACAGAATATCACCATTTTATAACCCTTACTAAATAATAATCACAATAGCATCAATGTTTTTTACAGGGCCTGTGATCAGACTAACAACACCTAAATCCACTGTTAGACTTAACTTCACAAAAGAAGAAACGAGAAGGCATGTGTGCCTCCTGATGTGATGTAATAGGAAGTACCTAACATGGCCAGGAGTGGTGGCTCATGCCTATAATCCGAGCACTTTGGGAGCCAAAGGTGGGCAGATTGCTTGAGCTCATGAATTCGAGACCAGCCTGGGCAACATGGCAAAAACCCCTCTCTACAAAATATTAGCTGGGTGTGGTGGCATACACCTATAGTCCCAGCTACTCGACAGGCTGAGGTGGGAGGATGGCTTGAGCCCAGGAGGCAGAGGCTGCAGTGAGCCGAGATCACAGCATTACACTCCAGCCTGGCCAATAGAGTCAGACCTTGTCTCAAAAAAAAAAAAAAAAAAAAAAAATAGAAGTACATAACACTTCCTGTGATGTGCTCTTGCCAAAAATTTCTAATAAGCTTCCAGTCTAGCTCAAACTACTAGTTTACAGGAAATACATGAGGAAACAGAGAAATATAATAAAAAACAGCAACAAAGAAGATGCAGTCAGGATACAGGGAATCCTATAGACAAATCCCTGTTTCCTCAACAAATAAACTTCCAGAGAAGGAAAAGAGATAAAAATAGGGAAAGAAAGCCTGTAAATAAGACAAATGCATCTCTCAGGTGTGGAAATTGTTTGGATCCCAAAAACGCAAAAAAGTAATAATTTTTAAAAATGATGACAATCAAGGAAATTTGCTTTCTGACTAAATATTTGATATTAGGAAATTACTGTTAGAAATTAGACATGATAATAATATTATGATTATTTTAAAAGGAAAACGACTCTGTATCTTTTAGAAATACATACAGCCATGTGCCACATAACCATGTTTTGGTCAGCAATGGTCAATGGATATGAAACTGTGGTTTCATAAGATTATATAATGGAGCTGTCCTACACAGGTATATCATTTTTTATATTTTATACCATATTTTACCTTTTCTATATTTAGATGTTTGGATACACAAATACCATTTTGTTACAACTGCCCATAGTATTCAGTACAGAGATGTATTGTACAGGTCTATAGCCTAGGAGCAATAGGCTATATCCTATAGCCTAGGTGTGCAGCAAGCTATACCATCTAGGTTTGTGTAAGTACACTCTATGATGTATGCACAATGATGAAATCATCTAAAGACACATTTCTTAGAATATACCTGTGTGGTTAAATGACAATCTATTATGTACAGAGCAGATAATACAATGTCTGATTTGCTTCATAAAGAACCAGTAAATGAGAAGAAAGGAGTGTACGAGGAAGGGGGCAGAGAAAACAGAACTGGCTGGGAGTTGACAATTAAAAGTCTGACTTTAAAGTAGGAGCGCTCGGATTCCAGTCTTAGCACCACCACTATTAGCTACAAGACCTAATCAAGATCCTAAACACACTGAGGCTTAGTCATTCTCTGTCTGTGAAGAAGAGGTAACAGTAGTGGGTTCCTCATAGAGTTGCTGCAAGCATTAAAGGAACAGTGCATGTCGTGTACTCAGCACAGTACCTAGGCACAGAGTCATCACTCAGTACATGTTAGCTTTCATTATTACTATTGTCAATTATTGCCGTTGTCATTCAAGATCACTAATCTGGAGTTAGGAGGTGGCGAAACTAGGATAGAATCCGCTGAATCCATAGCCCACATTCTTCCCGCTACATTATGATGCCTCACCTACCTCTCCTTGACCCTCTCAGTGGAGTCCGAGAATGAGTAACAAACATACTCTGCAATAAGCTTCCCTATTTATACTACAAACCTTTAATGACACTGCTTCTCAGCCTCCACTTCTGGAATCAAATAGCAATCATTTGCTGTAACTTAAAGTGTTCTTACAATTGATGGCTATTCATCTGGTAGGATGTAAATACCCATGTATTTTTAATCCCCTTACAAATTAACGCACACACTTATAAATTCACAATGATTAAACACTGGCACTTTCAACATCATCCCAAACCATGGCTCCAAATTTTTACTACATTGGGTGCTCGCATAAGTTATACAAGGCTAAACTCAGATTCCAAACATACAAAACTAACAAAGTGATAAAACATTAAACTTTGCATGCAGCATAAGCTAATACATAATATTACAATGCTAAGTAGCCATACAGTTGTTTTTTTTTCTTTTTCAGACCAAGTCTCACTCTGTCACCCAGGCTGGAGTGCAGTAGCGCGATCTTGGCTCACTGCAAGCTCTGCCTCCTGGGTTCACGACATTCTCCTGCCTCAGCCTCCCAAGTAGCTGGGACTACAGGCGCCCGCCACCACACCTGGCTAATTTTTTGTGTTTTTAGTAGAGACGGGGTTTCACCGTGTTAGCCAGGATGGTCTTGATCTCCTGACCTTGTGACCTGCCCTCCTTGGCCTCCTAAAGTGCTGGGATTACAGGCGTGAGCCACTGTGCCTAGCCAGCCATACAGTTTTTTAACGGTGAGAAAACATGTTGATATATTCCCATCAAATAAACGTTCCCACATCTATTTAATAACAGACATTATGAAAATGTCTTTAGATTTGTTTTACTTCTTCATACAACAATTCTGACCACATGCCACTGCCTGATCCTCCCTTTTCTTTGACAGACACCACACTTGCCTGGTTTGAGTCTCCTTCACCATCCTTTTCTATCACACCTCTGAAACACGGGGGTTCCCTAGAACTCACTGTTTAGTTTTCTTCTACATACTTTCCCTGTGCAAACTGATGCTGAACCACAACAGCTTCAACTATCACATTTATAAAAACTCTTTCAATCACTGATTTATTCATCCATTCAACAAATATGTGCTGGGCCCCTAGTGTGCGGCAGGTGTTCTTTGGATACAAAAGGATCAAAAACAAATACAGTCTTGCCTTCATGAACCCTACAGTTGCAGGCGGTGGGGGGATGTTATTAGCATTAATCAAATAAACTCAAAAATGAATGAGCAATTACAATATTGGAAAGTGCATACAGACAAGGAGAGGAGGTACGTGGTGTGGTAAGAGGGTAGAATAGAGGGATTTGACCTCATCATGGAAATGTAGTGAATGATTCCGAGAAAATGATGACTGAGCTGACAGCAAACTCATAATTCTATCCCAACCCTCTCTTCTGAATTATAGACCAGAATTTCAGTTATGTGTTAGATATCTCCTTCTAAGAGAGCATACACACCAGAAACTCAACCTCTTGCAAACTGAGTTAATTATCTTTCCCTCTAATGGCTATTAGCTTCCACAGCTCAGAGTATAATCCAACCAGAAATTTTACAATTATCCTTTACTCTATCCCCTTTATCACTCTCCTGCCCAATTTTTCACTGAGTCCTATCAGTTCTGCTTCCTAAATCCTTCTTCTGTCTGTCCCCTTTCTCCATTTTCAGTTCTCAGTATCTCCCTCCTAGTTAGTACTACAGTTCACTTGTTCTGACTCATCTCTGTCCCCTCCAGTCTCTTACCCATACTCAATAGAGAACCAAACATCATACAAAATAGGCTTTTCTCTCTTTATAATCTTTCAGTGACCCTCACTGCTTATATTGTGGGCAAAAAGTCCAAACTCTTAGCATGACCTAAAAGGATTTGCATAGTTCATCAGCCTCATCTCCCATTGCTCTCTATCATATGTGGAAAGTCCAGCGACATCAATCCATAACCACATGGCTCCACGTCATTACATTTCTTCTGTTTGAAGTGGCCTACTTCATCTTCCATCTGCCCCCAAACCCCTTTATCCCCAAATGCCAGTAAGAGAATTGGTCTATGAGTGTACAGTAAAATAAAAAAAATTCAAAGTTAGCAAACCAGTGTTAGTCCCCAGTATTTTTGGCAATGTAAGCAGTGTCCTGGAGGACTCCTGGTAGCTTTCAAGTGTCAGTCCAAATATATCCCTCTCTGTGATACCTTTTATGACTCCTCGATGTTGGGGAGTCATCATTTATTGTCCAAACTGAGATCCTTTTGAGAGTAAAGGGAACACTATTATTAACTACGTTGGACAGTGGGAATAAGCCAGGACTGCCCCAGGGAAACTGGGATGCACAGTCTGCTTCCCACTAAACAGAGCTTGGTGCTTTCTTATCTCAACTCCCAAAGCACCTTTGTCTATTCACCACATATCATGTGTTCGCATGTCAATTCTCCTGCTTGTCTGAGAACTCCACAAAGGCAGGGCCAGGCCTTTTTATCTATCTCCAGCATCTCTCCAGTCCCAGGCACCAGAAATGACACAAAACTTCATTAACAAAAGTCAATGTTTGTTCAATAAATTATCTGAGTGAATAACAAAGATTAGGTCCCTTAACCCTGGCCAACAAAGGAATTTAAAAATTTATATTATCTTTTCTCATTCCAGACTATACTTCCTCATTATATTAAAGAAGGCTTCAAACGGGAGCAAGGTCTTCATAGACAGAAACTGTGAGCCTCAGGATCAATGACAAGCTGTCAATCAATCAATAACTACTTATTTAGACCAATCTACTTTTAAGGCCCAGTGGGCACAATAGAAGGGTTTACATTTGGCTGGGGACAAAAATATATATAATAAAAATCAAAACTAATAATAAAATAAATTAAGCCTAAAATAAGTATTACAGCAGTTCATGGAAGGTAAGGGAGAAACCACTCTTATAGCAGAAAAAGGGCTCCTTGGAGGAGGTGGGATTTGAAGTGAGATTTGAGAAATATCTTGGATCTCAAGAGACACAGTAGAGGGGAAGAAGGATATCCCAGGGTGAGGCAGGGGTGGGTGTTGGGGAGGCCATGGAAGGGAGGCATAAAATTTGTTTTGGGAGTCGCATCTAGACTGTCATGGATTCCTGGCACAAACCAGAATATCTGAATTTTCAGCAACTACTAAGCAACTCAAGAGATGTTCCTGGATTCTCACTTCCTTCATCAAAATATTATCCACCTGAAACATATAATGAGATATATGTTGCTTATTCCTTATAACCTATTAATTGCAAGAACTGTTAACAAAATTATCTTAGAAAAACTGCTTTTGGCAGAACTTTGAGATAGAACCACTGAAGTCACCCTGACTATCTGTGTCTTTGAGAAGTTTCCTGCAAATCACAGCCTGGCAGCCCGCAGCATCTCCTTACTTTACACCTGGCCTTTCAATTGTCTCATGTAAAAGGACATAGTGCTAATACAGGGGCTCTACTAGACCTCCTTGTCAACTGTGGAATTCAGGAAGAAGCTTTTAGGAATGGCTATGATATGCATGCATGTCATGGTTTGTTGAGAGTACATCCCTTAGCACTTGTATCTATGATGATGGGTATGAAAAAGGTTCCCACACTTCAGTGAAAACAATCAACTTCTCAATCGCCTTTCCTCACCCAGTTCAGGTGGGAAAAACCATAAGTCACCAGGCAAAGTAAAATATATTCTAACATGTGGTTTAACAATGAACTGAAACTGCTGCAGTATCCATGACACTCAAATAAAATACAGATCCATCCAAGAAAAGGAATTATTACTTAAAAACCATCATCTCCCTGTTCTGCTTTAAAGTACCTTTTTCCAAAAGCCCTAAAGCACTCAGGATATTGCATAACAAATGTTGGATCTACTTTTGAAGTAGTTTTCTAAAAAGACCAATCCAAATTCATATGTAGTGAGTCAATGGGATATATTTTTCCAGTAGTAGTGCTCAGTTTACTTTTTTCCCCACTGACCCTACTGATAGGGCTGATATAGGCTACAAACTTATAGAGGAAACCAACAACATTAGGTGTTAGCTAAAGAATCTTCACTTGGCATAAATGTGTCCCATGAATTTATAAAATTTTCATGGAGAGCAGTAAAATTACAACAAATTGGAAAAAATTAGTTCAAGTTGCAGGAATACTTATTTAACCAACATTTACTTAACCAAAGGAGAAAAAAAAAGGTAATGAAGATGAAATTAAATAAACCATTCTACTTTTGTGATTAGCAAGCCGAATTTGGTGTGTAATAAAGTCTTCCTTTGGTGCTATTATGAAAATCTCTGGAATGCTTTTCCAGATTTGTTGTCCAAATCTTTTAAAATAACAATAATCATCAAGATATTTCCTTTAGCTTATCCAATGGAGAATGTAATAGCTAAGAGAAGTGAAGAAGCAAAGTACTCACCTACTAATAAATGGCTTAAGAGCCTTACAAAGTCAACAATATAACATACTAGAATCAAAAATGAAAACAAAGGCAAAAAGATCCCTAAACTTGGGGGTGCTCTAATTCCACTTTTCTACAAGGTATAAAGTATGTGGATGTCAACTCATGAATACTATAAACACATGTGTTGAGATGGCGGGAGCCTGAGAAACAGGCAGAGGCAGGTATGTGCTGGAAGATCTAAAAGCTTGATGGAGAGAAGTGGGTGGGAGGAAGAAGGGAGGAGGTGTGGGGCAAAGTAGGACAGGGGCCCTGAGGGAAGAAGGGAGTCACTGGGCTGGAAGCAAGAAGTCTACTGTCAGGCAGATAGGTGGGAGGAGCCAGATAGACAGTGGATCTGGAGATACGGTTAAAATACTGTACTGGAAAAGCTCATTCAGACACATTCAGACAATAAAGTCTTGCAGGCAAAAGTAAGGTGTGGGATAGGAAGCAGAAGGGAGCCTGACACAGTGGCTGATGCTGCGGTGGTCTTGGGGAGGCTGAGGCAGGGGGATCGCTTGAGCTCAGGAGTTCCAGACCAGCCTGGGCGACATGGCAAGACCTCATCTCTAGAAAAAAACACAAAAACTCTCCAGGTGTATGGTGTGCACCTGTGGCTCCAGCTACTCAAGAGTCTGATGTGGGAGGATGACTTGAGCCAGGGAGGCAGAGGTTGCAGTGAGCCAAAATTGTGCCACTGCACTCTAGCCTGGGTGACAGAATGAAACCCTGTCTCAAGAAAAAAAAAAAAAAAAAAAAAAAAGGAGGAATGTCTATGGATAAAAATCTATGGGCCAGAAAAACATGAAAAATCTTCAGAAAGGAAGTGATAGATGAAAGGGATACTTGTCAAAGGTGGACTAAGAGGCCAAAGCCAGCCCAAGAGACAGAACAGGTATAGGGGGAAAGCCACTGGATGCTGGGAGCCTGAGTGGGCTCAGTGCACTAACAGGTCTCAACTTTCCTTTACTTCAGTTATTATTTTTTTTAAATTTAGATTTAGATGATAGGAGTGCAGTTCTGTGACATGGATATATTGTGTAGTGGTGAAGTCTGGGCTTTTAGTGTACCCATCACCCAAATAGTGTACATTGTGCCCAATACGTAATTTCTCAACCCTCGCCGCCCTCCCATCCTCCCATCTTTTGGAGCCTCCAGTGTCTATTATTCCACTCTAAACGTCCATGTGTACACACTGTTTAGCTCCTGCTTTATTCAGGTTATCTTAGAGGGAGCAGCAGTGAATCTAATAAATCAAGAGGTGGAGGGCTTCCTGAGCTTTCCCTGGACCTCTCCAGCACTCCTTGATCCAGGCACATTCTGGGAAAGATCCCAGCATGGAAAATCCTGACTGCTACGGCTGCAGCCAAACGTCAAATGAGACAGGTTACATGAAAGGACTTTGAAAACCATAAGGCACACTATAAATATTAGGCACTGTTATTCACCAAATCCCTGAGGCAAATAAGATGAAGACCACAGCTACAATCATAAGGGAAGGAACGCCTGTCAAATACAGAAATTATATCTATTCCAAATCAAGATGCTCCTAACTAGAAATTCTTGTAATTTGGGGGCCGGGCACGGTGGCTCACGCCTGTAATCCCAGCACTTTGGGAGGCCATGGTGGGCAGATCACTTGAGGTCAAGAGATCGAGACCATCCTGGCCAACATGGCAAAACCCTGTCTCTACTAAAAATACAAAAATTAGCCAGCCATGGTGGCACCTGCCTGTAATCCCAGCTACTCAGGAGGCTGAGGCATGAGAATTGCTTGGACCCAGGAGGTGGAGATTGCAGTGAGATTGCACCACTGCACTCCAGCTTGGGTGACGGAGCAAGACTCTGTCTCGAAAAAAAAAAAAGAAAGAAAGAAATTTCAATAATTTGAGAGGACATCATGCTTGGTATGTTTCCTGTCAAATGTGTCTCAACATTTAAAAATCCTACCTGAGGCATAATATGGGGCTCTTAATAAACTACCATACACATTTATTAAAACTTAAGTCCACATCTAATGTATTTCTCCAAGGAAATTTTGACACATTGCAGATCTTAACTAATTAGGTAAATTCCATTCCATTCAATCACTCATTGAGTGACTTCCAAGTGCAAAGTAGTGTGCTAGCTGCTATGGGGGTTGCTGAGATGAGCAAAAGGGCCTAGCCTTCCAGTAGCTTGGCCAATTAGTCTTCTCAGCTTCCATTTTAGACTGGGGAAGCTGCATCTCCTTTCACAAATGTAAGAGAAAGCAATCATTAGTTTAGGTGATTAGCCTACAACCTGGGAAATACATTTTCTAGTAATATAGTTAACAAAAAAGCAAAGAAACTTCTTAATACCTGGTGACTGGAGACACTGTTGTGTGCTCATTTCTATGTTTATCCTAGCCCAGTTTACCTCCAACCACTCTTGTCATAATTGCATAACCACAGCATGTCATGTTGTTTCTTGTTGCAACTATAACTTGTAAAATTAAACTTCAGAACCGAGACAGTCAAGCTAAATAATTGCCTACTTTAAAAAATATGTATGTATGTAATTTACATGCCACTTCAGATAAGCTCTTGAATTATGATCTCTGGAAGTCAAAACTGTCACCATTATTTAAAATATAGTTTCACTGTCGCAATCTTTCTTGTACACAAGCCCTATCCCTGTTTTTTCAGTTTTCTAAGCAGTACTTTATACTGGTCTATTGCAATCTGCTTTTTGTGTTTTATGAAGAACCCAATTAAGCATAATTTTTATTTACTGCATGCTACGGGACTTTTAAAATTGAGGCTCAAAGAAGGACCATAAAGTGGCCAAAGATGTATTTGTTTGCTAAAAGCCTATTCATAAAAGTATCTTTACACAGTAAAGCTGGAAAAAAAAAGGTCATCTGAGTACCCACCACGTACATTGTGTAGGGTCCTCCAACCTGTATTATATATCATGTAACCCTTCCCTCACCTTGGGAGGGAGGCTTCACTATATCCATTTCCAAAATAGTATTTTTAGGAGATGTATATTTTCATGAAGACTGATCGACCCAATATCTCTGAGTGAATTCTGATTGACTAGATGTATAAGTAGATTTACGTAGTCAATATGTTCCTAAAAAACTGGAGGCAAATCAACTTTCACATACAAATTATTTTCATGTAAACTTGCATTGTAAGATCAGACCTGCCATACCCTCACTCCTGATTGATAATCAGCACTGTGCTGCTCAGAGCACTTGCTGGAGTCTGAAGCTTACCCATGTGTACATACCCTTTCCTAACTCTTTGATGCGTCTGGATTCCATTCCACCCATGAGGAGGTGCAGAATGAAACAGTTTAAATCACCTGAAATGAGCAGTGACCACACTCTAAGATACCAGCTAAACATCAGGAGAGAAAATACAAACAAAGCAATGCTCTCTCCTCTCTTTATATTTGGTTCTAAGAAGCTGGAGGAAAACAAAGTATCATAAGACAGTGAGGTTTCACCAATTTCTCTGTTAACTGGCAGTATCCTACAATCTCCCTCCGGAATTACTGTACGATTACCCTTTAGTTAGGGCCACCCTCAAAGTAGAGCTGGAAGGAAACTTCAAAGGATACAGAACCCCAAGACCTCTGTACTTAAACATGTGAGCTACACAAGATGCCTCATTATATGGCTGTAAGTTGTATTGATAAATTCAAATGAAGACAGTCATATTTATCACCTTAGGACTCTTCTGTAAATATGTCACCTGCCTTCTCCTGCCCTATTGGAAGGTGACATGACATTCCCTCTCCCAGCCTTTGGTGTCTCCTTTAGACAAAAACAAACAAACAAAAAACAAAAACAAAAAAACGTCTTATAGAAGGGGGCTGCTTAGAGCCTGGAGCAAGCCACTCAGAATGTAAAACTCAAAGCTTGCCTGGTCACAAAGGCAACACAGTACTGAGGCATGATTCACTTGGAAATTATAATAGAGCAAACCACCTTCCTCCTTAGTAGGATTTTTGAATAAGTCATAGCAAATAGTACCAAAGCTCTTGAATGATGCCCTGTGATTCTTCAAGAATCAAACCCCTTCAGACAGTGGCCTATTAATTCCCAGAAACCCATGTTGAATGATAAAGTGAGATGGGGCGGAGGAGGGATAAATGTCTAGCCAAGAAAACAAAATTATCAGTTTTCTAAACTCGGAGTTAAATTAAGTCAACCCTGAGAAGGAAAGCTGGAACTTTAAGGTCCTTCTAGGATGAACTTTTAACACTGGAGGATGTGAGACCTCTCTACCACCCAAGGCCATTTTTCTTTGGAAACATGCCCAGTTGTGACAAAGCTAGACAACAGAAGCACCCCGCCCCTCCTCAGGCACCCACCCACCCAAGAGCTGAGCGCACTGGTCTTTGTTGCCCTTTTTAGAAGCCTCCAGGACTGTTCTCTGAAGCAGGTTTGCACAGCAGTAAACATTGAGTGACATCCTCTTTCAACGCTGCATTTGTGATCTGTGAAGTACCAGTCCCAGCATTGGTTTAACGCCTATAAATACACTCCGTTGTCCTATCACTGGTACTTCCTACTTTGTAAGTAGCAAAACAAAAATAGGTGATCCAATCCAAATTAATTTCCATGTCTGACAATTACATTTCCAAACAGCCAACATGGAACATGTTCTATTGATCCTACAATCCAGCTCTAGACAATATGAAAAAGGGGGGAAAACTCCAAATTCAGCATCTTGAACTTAAAAGACCCTTCAGAAACATCACCTTCTCCCCACAACAGTGCTGAAGTAGCTCAGGCCCACTCCACCTATGTTTGTTTCTATCCTGGTACATTCCAATTCTATCAAATCAAAAGGTTATTCCTATTAGGCAGAAGCTGAACCCATCCCCTTGAATAGGGAGGTGTTCATTACATCTGTCTGTGTAATGAACTTGTCATTTCCCCAAACGGTCTGGACAGTCTCCTACAAAAAAAAAAAAGAAAAGAAAGAAAAAAATACTCCATGGAATCTATGGTGTGTCAGTCCCCTTCCTAACATCTGAGTCAGACTACGTGTGTCTTTACTGAGGTTCTGGGTGCCCAGGGTGTATCACTTTCAGAATTGCTTCAGTAACTGAACTATGGCTGTCTTCCAGCCACGGACAACACAAGCACTATCTATTTTAAAACAATTTTCCTAACCCACCGGCAATGGAAGAGATCCCATAGGTCACCGACTTCCTATTGAAAACAAATTATTTCTCTCTCAAACTGCTTGCCGTCTCTCAGAATTAATGCGTGTTTATGTGTGCATATTTTTATCTTTGGCCATGCAACTCTTGGAGCAAAGAGGACCACCCCAAATTTTACCGACATGCCTGAGCCATTCAGAGCTTTAGAAGAGAAATGAACGAGTGCTGAGAGCCCTTAAGCCCAGGACTTCTCTCACACAAACAGTAAGTGGAAAGGAAAAAACAAAAACAAAAACAAAAACTAACCCTCCGTAGAGGGAGGGAGCAGGGTGGATGATAGGGAAAGGACATTAACCAGCAGACCAAAGGCAGCCGCGGCGGCGGCACTTCGCGAACTGCCTGCAGAGGAGAGTGAAATCTGTTTCGTGTACAATAACCAAGCACCCTCTGGCTGCCTCGCATGGGCACGAATAATAAATACACCGAGGTGGGCAAACAGATGCAACGAAACGAGCCACCCCAAAAAGGTCAAAACTTCAGAAATCCCGGGGGTCAAACCACCCACACAAACACATCAATCAGTCGGAGCGAGAGAAGGGACTTGGATACTTAGCAAAGGATCCTAAATTGTGTTTTTCCTTTCAAGCTCTGGCTTGCAAAGTACGGTGGCTACATGCAAAGCTAGAGGAGAGCAGGAAGGCTGAGGGCGGCAGGGTGCGGGTGGGAAGGGAGGGGTGTCTAACACCAGCCACCCAGGCCTCGATGTGACGAAAGTCGTCAGCAGCCCCGACCACATCCCAGCCCCTCCGCCCAGGCCGGCAGACGCCCCTCGCGGCTCCCCCACCCCAGCTTCCGTCCCTGGCAGCAACCCCGCCAGCCCCGCACCAGCAGCAGCCCCGGCCCGGGCCCCGCGCAGGCAGCGCCACGACCGCGGCTCCCATCCCTTCCGTGCGGCAGACACCCCGCAGGCCTCCCTCCCTGCCCACCCGGGGATGCCCGGGTAGCCGAGCCGGGGCGGGCTGCACCGCCAGCTCCCCCCGCCCCAGAGCAGGCAATGGCTCACACTTACCTTGGGCGTTCGCGGGGGGGCTGAAGGTGGCAAGCCTCCCGCCCCCCGCCCCTGTCCTCCTCGTCTTTTTTCTTCCTCCCTCCTCCTCTTCTTCCTCCTCCTCCCCACAGTGTGTCCGGGGCTCCCCCTCCTCCCCGCCGCTTGGAGTAAGAACCCAAAACCCCGAAGCCGGGCCCGCGTGCAAGCGTGCGGGAGGCGGCGGCGCGCGGCCAGCTCTCCAGTAACTGAGCGCGGCGCGCAGCTCCCAACTAAAGTGTGAAAGAAGCAGCGGCCGCGGCGGCCGCGGCACGGAACGTCCCCCCGGGAGTGGGCAGGGAGCGAGCGGGAGCTTGCGAGGAGCGAGCGAGGGAGGGGAGCTCCTCGCTCAGTCACTCACTCGAGGGGCGGGGGCAGCAGACACTCCCCCACCGCCGGCCCCTCCCCGAGCCTAGCTCCCGCGCGCGCCTGGCTCTCCTCCCCGGGGCGGGGCCTGCGGAGGCCGCCGGGGCGCAGCGCGCTGGGGAGCGGGTTGGGGGCTGCTAGGGCTGCGGGGCGGGAAGGAGGCGGCAGTGTGTGTGTGTGTGTGTGTGTGTGTGTGTGGGCAGGTGTGTGTGTGTGTGTACGTGTGTGCGCGCGCGCCCTGCAGCGGCCGGCCAGCCGGAGGGAAGACCCCGGCGGGAAGACTGCGTCCCGTCCGGCCTTCCCGGGCCTGTCACTTGGGCGGTGGCGTGGGAGCGGCGAGGCTGCTCGGGGGGCAGCCGGGTGGGCCCAGCTCTAGGGGAGATTCGGGTCAGCCCCTGAGCCCAGCCTCCCGGCTGTGCCTGCTGGAAGCAGACGGAGGGAAGGCCGGGCGTCTTTGGCCCACCGCGCGGCCGCTCCCCTCCCGGGCCAGGCTGAACGGGCGGGCGCAGCCCAGAGGCCCGGGCTCTGCCACCGATCCGCCTCCATACTGACCCGAGCTGCGGCGCCTGCAAGATTAATGAAGCATCCGCGATTCGGTAGAGGCGGCACGGGGAGGAAAGACACAAGATCGTGCTGCCCCCCTCTCCCCACCCTTCTCAGCCTCCTAGGACCTAAAGGCGTAGGCTGCGTCTGCTGGGCGCGTCCGGAGTGGTCCAGAGAGATCGCCATCCACCACTGCATCCGTCCAGTTCTTTGTGGACCCTCACAGAAGCTCAATCAATTTCCCACCCTCTGGAAAAGGGTATTTTTCTCTTCCCTGGCATATTGGGTGTTTCTTGTGTGCACCTAATTGATCTTTTTCCATTGATAGCCTTTGGATGTCTTTTGTGCGGCTTCCCCGCGCTTCACTGCTCCCTCATTGCCTTAGACACGCGAGGAATGTCAGGCCCCCAGAGTGAGAACACCCAAGAAAACAATAGGGGCAAAAGATCCTCCCTGGGCCTCGCGGATTATGCACAAACCAGATCATTTCCCACATTCGGCCAGGGTGAAGATGGAAAATGGAAAAGAACGCCATCAGAGTGGTGACACTGACGAGAAAAGCCAATTCATAATTTAGTTTAATGAAATGAGTTAGTAATCAACCACTAATGTCTAGGAAATTGGCCTTTTTTGAAAACTGGTTTTCCCTTTCTCCACCCCTTTTTTTTTCAAATTAAAAGACTAGTATCCCACTGTTGTTGTTTTAATTTTTATTGTTTTCAGGGATGGGGTCTGCTGCCAAGGCTGGATTCGAACTCCTGAACCCAAGAGATCCTCCTCAAGGGATCTTCCCCATCTCAGCCTCCCAAGTAGCTGGGACTACAGGCCAATTCCACCGCACCCTGCCTAACATCACATTGTTCAGGAACCTCAACTTACATTCCATTTTTACAAAATATCCATATTCTGGTTCATACTTCTTGGAGCCCAAATTTTTTGTAGTCTAGCCTCTTGGAAAGGAGCGGTTAAGAAGGGAGGGTAGATAAATTGAGATTTCAATCAGGGGCAGCCAGCCCCATCCCTTTCACCACTGGTGACTTGTTTCATTTCTTCTTTCTTTCCTCATCTGTAAAGGCATTGATAATGATCGTTCCTACCTCATAAGCTTGTGAAAGTAAAAAGAAAATAAAACGAGGTGGCAATGCATGTAAAACACTTTGCATAGTGCCTGACACATGGGTGAGAACTCAATAAATAGAAGCTATTGTTTCAGACTTGATTATTTTAAACTCAAATTTGGTAGAATTTTATTCTCTTTCCATTCCTTCTGAAAAGTTAGGGAGGAGAATGGACACAGCTGATGGATTTATTCAAATGTAGTCCACTCTTCCCTTGGGTTTTTACGCCCTGCCTGAAACTTTTGCCTGTGGTAAAATGAAATAAATACATAACTGAGGGGTGTGTGTGTGTGTGTGTGTGTGTGTGTGTGTGTGTGTGTACATCCATATAAAAGGATCTTTGAGCACAATAAGTTTTGTTCTTCCCCCTCCTTTTTCCTTCTCTCATCTACATAGACCACCCTGAATAGACAGAGCTCTGTGATGTTGACCTGTGTACCCCTTCAGGGCTCAGACAGTGCTTGGTACTGTAGATTTCTTGAGGGCAAGGCTATGGGGTTTGCTTGGCTTGATATCCTTAGAACTAACCGAAGGCCACAGAAGAAGCACTTCATACATGTGTAGATGAAAGAACATCTATACTACGAACTTTTAAAGCTAGGTTTAGATTACTCAAGATAATACAGGTCCATTGTGGAAATTTTCAACATTTGAAAAAAGCTAAGTACAAAGAAAATGAAAATCATAATTCCACCATCTAGAGAAAAGCATTCAATAAGTGCCTCAAGTTTGTCTGTTTTCCCTTCATTTATTTCATCATCATTCAATCAACAAACATTTATTAAGTACCTAGTTAGAGATCAGACAATTTACCAATACAAGAAAAGATTGTATATGTGTTGTAAGTGTTGTTTGTTTCTCATAGAAACTGCTCCACAGAAGCAACATTTTATACAGTAGTAAGGTTCTCAGGATAGCCTACAAAAGCCCATGGAAGGAATCCCACAATTAAATGACCATGCTGACCAGAGACAATCCAGATTTTGTGGGACTTGAAGCACTTAAAATTTGGGGAGCCACCTTCAAGATTAAAAAAGACAAAAGTACTAAAACCCCTTAGGAGAGGCTAATGTAAATGAAGGTCGTGAAACAATTTGGGGAGCTACCTTCAATGTAAGAAAGACAAAAGTACAAAAACCCCTTGATTGGGCTCATGTAAATGAAGGTCTAAGCCCCATTTGCTTTTGAGTAAACCTACTCTCTCTGGTGCTGGAATTTCTATAGAAATTAACTGCTTTGATAAACATTGCTTCAATGTGAAATGTTCCTCATTTTACCTGGGATCCCCGGGACACCTCTGCTCCCCTCCCCCACAAATTTAGAAGAGGTGAGAGGGAGACTCCCATCACCACCAACACACACTTCCCTGCACCTGGCCACAGCAGGGGCAGTGGGACTGGGGACTTCTATAGGGGCTGCAGAAGGAAAGGAGGGAGAGAAGAACAAAATGGGAGGGGAGGGGACAGACAGGTTGGCCACTAAGGTGCTGGAGAGGCACATCGGGCATTGGTATGCACACCAACTCACTAACTGTGCAACAGGAGTGGCCACAAATTGCAAATCTGCTTGGTGTGCACAAGCTAAATCTACTAGACATTTTATCACAGAATAATCTCTGTAGCTATTTATAATTAGTAAGATGACTATAAGCATATTTACATAAAAAGAATGAAGAACATGATTTTTTTCCCCCTGGTTGCATCACCCTTCCACACCACCAGAATCTCTGGATTCCATATCTTCAAACACTCTAAATATGATTTTCCAAAAATTTAATATTCTTTTTGCCCAGAAAAGTTACATTTTAATCTTCAAAGGCACCACTCTCATTATCAATTTTCTCTTAGTCCTAAAGCTTTAGCTGATAAAGACTTGCATCTGTAGGACTGTACATAACATAATGGTTTGAATTATTTCTTTCTTCTTTTTCTTTTAAATATGATATGCCCTTCCATGGGCTTTTGTAGGCCAAACTGAATGTTTGAAGCCCTAACCCTCAATGTGTTGGTATTAGAATGTGAGGTCTTTAGGAGGCAATTGGAGTTTGACAATTTGAGAGTGGGGTCCTCATGATAGGATTAGTGCATTGATAAGAAAAGCCAGACAGCTTGTTCCCTCCCACCCGCATATGAGAACACAGCAAGAAGACAGCCATCTAAGCCAGGAAGAGGGGTTCTACCAAGAACCTGAGCAGGCTGGCATCACGATCTTGGACTTTAAGCCTCCAGACCTGTGAGAAATGAATATCTTTTGTTTAAACCGTGCAGTCTATGGTGTTTCGTTACAGCAGCCTGAACCCACCAAGACAATAGGTTCCCTTTATCATTGATTGTCAAGGAAAATATATGATTGTTTAAAAGATAGTAAAAGCAACACACCACTCTCCTATAACTTCTCATCTAAATCTAAATGAATTCATTTTATGTGGTTTATTTTTTAAAGGTTTTCCCATAAAGTTAATTTTTCTGAATAATCAAGTTCAAAAGTAGCTTTGGCAGAGACATTCAAAAATAAGTGACCCTAAGCTGAAGACTACTCTGAAATGTGCTTTCTTTCCATTTGCTCCATGCAATCACAGCTAACACTGGTTGTCTGCTGTATGTCAAGCATGGCATCATGTAATTCATAATACAAACTAACTCATCTTCCTGACAACACACTCAGATAGATGCTAATATTATCATCATTCCCATGCAGATGTGGAAACAGAGGCACGGAGGGGTGAAGTCATGAGTGCAAGGTAAAGTAGTTGATTTTCATTAGTCAGATGCCAGAGCCCATGTGTTTAACTGTATTTATTTATTTATTTATTTATTTATTTATTTATTTATTTTTGAGACAGAGTCTCACTCTGTTGCCCAGGGTGGAGTGCAGTGGCGCGATCTCGGCTCACTGCAGCCTCCGCCTCCTGGGTTCACACCACTCTCCTGCCTCAGCCTCCCGAGTAGCTGGGACTACAGACGCCCGCCACTATGCCAGGCTAATTTTTTTGTATTTTTTAAGTAGAGACGGGGTTTCACCATGTTAGCCAGGATGGTCTTGATATCCTGACCTCATGATCTGCCCATCTCAGCCTCCCAAAGTGCTAGGATTACAGGCGTGAGCCACTGCACCCAGCCTTAACTGTTAAGAAGTATGTTTTCTCTTCAATCTCCTCTGTTTTTCTGCCTCAGTTTTACTCGTCTTTCAAGACCAGGCTCAAACCCTAACTCCTAAGTGAGTGATCTCAGCTTCTGAGTTTCTGAACTTTTGAAGTATCCAGGATCTTCTACAGCCTTACACTGTTAGGGATCTTCCACATCTTTTACATTAGCTCCACCAGGCTTGATTTTGTGTGTGTGTGTGTGTGTGTGTGTGTGTGTGTGTGTGTGTGTGTGTGGTGGGGGGTGTTTAAAATCTTCCTTTGGGGATACCACAGCACACACACAAGTAAAGGACCCAATAAGCAGCTGTGAATGGAGGGCTGTCTATGCATTTTTATTTTATAATGGTGCCACTTATGGTGACGCAGCTCCTTCTGGATGGTTCCAGGCTAAATCAGAGCAGAGTTTAAAGTCAGTGCTAACAACTTGCTAATGGTTCTAATTGGTCTTTCAATGATGTGTGAATTACTCTGAGTAACCAGCTTTTCCAGACCTTAGATAGCTCTTACTTTCTTGTTTATATCTGTTATCTGTTTATTTTCTTCTTGGCTTTCTCCTTAGGGGTTTTTTTGGTTTGTTTTTTGTTTTGTTTTGTTTTGTTTTGTTTTGTTTTGAGATGGAGTCTCTGTCACCAGGCTGGAGTGCAGTGGCGCGATCTTGGCTCACCGCAACCTGTGCCTCTTGGGTTCAAGCAATTCTCCTGCCTCAGCCTCCTGAGTAGCTGGGACTACAGGCATGCGCCACCATACCCAGCTCCTTTTTCTATTTTTAGTAGAGATGGGGCTTCGCCATGTTGGCCAGGAGGTCTTGATCTCTTGACCTTGTGATCCTCTTGCCTCAGCCTCCGACAGTGCTGGGATTACAGGCGTGAGCCACTGCGCCTGGCCTGTATTCTCTTTTATGTCGTTTTCAAGAGTTGGGTAGATAGAAGATGAGAACATGGAACATTTTCCCTTGAAGTAAGGAGTGTAAGAGCCCATCACCAGAGTAAGACTCAAAATGAGGCAGAGGGAAGGTAAATCCAGATACTATTAAGCGGTCAGCAGAGCCTCTCAAGGTTGCCGGCTTCCCCCCATTTTTGCTTTCTGGCCTTTGTTTCACCCAGATATTGAAGTTAGCATTCCAGTGTAGAGCTCTTTTCTCCCAGGCTACTTGACAGCCCCACCACTGTGGGTATAACTGATGAATCCCCAGACGCTCAAGTCATCCGGCCCTTACTGATACCTGCTTAGAGTATTATTCCGCTGCCAGCTTATACATGCTAATAGTATTGTTATTTCACACACTGGCCCTGTCTCTCCAATCAACTATAAGCTCTATGAAAACAGGAGACCTTGTTGTTCTCACAGGGCTCAGGCTCAATATACCTTTGGAAGTTGATGGATCAATCAATTAAGTTACTATGTGCATTCCTCTTAGTGGAGATAGAAAGCAAATATTGACATCCAGAAATTTCAGCAACCATGACACAGCAAGAAGGATGTGGCTAAAAGGAAATAGAGAGTGAGAAGAAACAAAAAAACAAAACCACATTATTTTTCATCTCTTTCTCAGCTTTACCTCTTTGAAAATGTCCTCTCCTTCCCCCATCCTTTTCAGAAAGTGAAACAGTATTGAAAAGATAAACACAGGCTGGGTGTGGTGGCTCACGCCTGTAATCTCAGCACTTTGGGAGGCTGAGGTGGATGGATTGCTTGAGCTCAGGAGTTTAAGATCAGCCTGAGCAATATAGGGAGACTTCATCTCTATAAAAAATTTAAAAATTAGCCAGGTGTGGTGGCATGCACCTACCTGTAGTCCTAGCTACTTGGGAGGCTGAGTTGGAGGATTGTTTGAGCCTTGGAGGTCAAGACTACAGTGAGCCATGTTCGAGCCACTGCATTAGAGCCCGGGCAACAGAGTGAGACTCCATCTCAAATAATAAATAAATAGATAAATAGATAGATAGATAAACACAGGGAGTAAAGTTGCAGTTTTCTTCATCATAATGAAGCAAGAACCCTTAAAGCAGCTAGTAAGTCTTTAGCATGGATTACACTAGTTTTCAAAAGCTATACTGGTTCTGATACTATGGTCTGATTTCAGATGCAATTGTTGAGAATCAAGTTATCTTAAGAGTGAATGGAAAATATTGCTACCATAGAGATATAAGCAAACTATTATTTCAAGATTGTATTATAAAAAGGAGAAAGGAAGGGATTGGAAAGCCCCAAAAGAAGAATTTCAAATAGTTTTTGGACATTAGTGTATTAAGCAGTTTTCTAATCTTTACTGCCTGTTTAAACTGATTTAAGCCTCCCAACAGTGCTATGAAGATGTTATTATTATTATCTCTATTTTCCAGATATGAAATCCAAGGAACAGCAAGGTTAAGTAAGTAGAGCAAAGCCAAGGGTGCCCAGCTATAAGTGGCAGAGCTGGGATTTGCTCTTAAGCCTGGTACTAAACCACTACCCCAAACTGATGGTGGCCTCTAAACCTTTGTGACTCTGGGTATAGAAGTGAACAATTTATCTCCTGGAATCTGCTGAATGATAGATATCTGCAGTATACTTTTCACCTTCTCCTGCGTGGGTGTAGTCTTTATGACATGTGAGGGGCCAGGACAAGGAAAAGGGGATTAACGTTCTCAGACCATGCCACCTACTGGCTAACAGAAGCTCCCCCTCGCTTCTCCTAGCCAGAAGACTATTAACCTCATGAGGTAGGAGCCTATAACAGAGCAAAGAGGGCTAGAAGGTTTAGGACAGGATAGTATTTCCATGCATCAGCACTCAGTTTAATTAAATCAGTCCTTGGTCCAAAATAACGCTGTTGATGAAGAACGTCATTTCACCTTATTCGCAGTGCCAAATGTTAATGGAAAGGAATGTAAACACTTAAAATGCTTGCACCAATTTGAAATGATGGTTTTATCAGCTTCCTCCTTTCCTCCTTGTTTAGCTCTGCAACCCTAGCCCAGACCTCAGTCTCTCTATCCTGGATTCTTAACCAGTTGTCTTGACATTAGGCTCTGTGGTTGTGCATCATCCTTGCTGCTAAAGCCCTGTCTCTAAAGCATAGATCTGTTCCAGCTTAAAAGTCCCAGCTCCTGGAAGAGTTTAAAATGAAGCCTAAACTTTTCCATCATGCATGCAAAACCTTCCATAAATTGGCTCCTGCCTACTTTTTCAGACAGATCCCTGGTTCCAAACACTAACTGGACAAATAGCCCAATCACCTGGCTGCCTTGCTGGTTCCCATCCATATTCTGCTGTTTTCTACCCCTTCACCCTTGCACTTATCCTTCCCTCTGCGTAGACTACTCAAACCCCTACACAATTCAGGAGCTGCCTCTCAGCCAATCTCACTCTTTCCCTGACACTCATTAGCTCTCTGGCCATGGGCAAGCCACCTTGACCTCTCTGATGGTCTTCATCTGCAACAAAGAGAACATATTATGTAGACGGAGAATTTGAAATAAAGACCTGGTACTCTGCACACTTACAGAACAGATACAGGTGTTTTGTAAATGGCTATCATGTTAACCCTTGTTCCTTGAGATCTGGCTTAAATGCTGTTTGTTCTGAGAAGCTTTCCAAAATTTCCCTTGTTAGAATGGAGCTCTTCCCCTCTTCATCTCTTGTTAAAGTTTCGAGGTTTTTTGAAAACCTCAGAAATTTGGTTTATTCATTATAATTCTGACTAATACACAGCAGATATGTATTTTGTAAATTACACAATTCAGTGGTGTTTAATATACTTACATGACTGTGCAACCATCACCACCATCTAATTTTGGGACATTCCTATCACTCCAAAGCATAGAATAGCTCCCATTTCTCTGCATCCTCACAATTTTATTGCCTGACTTTTTTTTTTTTTTTTTTTGAGACCGAGTTTCACTCTGTCACCCAGGCTGGAGTGCAGTGGCATGATCTTCGCTCACTACAACTTCTGCCTCCCAGGTTCAGGCAATTCTCAGCCTCCCGAGTAGCTGGGACTATAGGGCATGCCACCCTGCCAGGCTAATTTTTGTATTTTTAGTAGAGATGGAGTTTCACCATGTTGGCCAGGCTGGTCCCGAACCACCGACCTCAGGTGATCTGCCCGCCTCGGCCTCCCAAAGTGCTGGGATTACAGGCGTGAGCCTCTGTGCCTGGCCTGACTTTTTTATTCCAGCTATCCTAGTGGATGTGAAATGGTAGCTCTTTATAGTTTTCAAATACATTTCCCTAATAACGAATCATGTTGAGCATTTTTTTAATGTGCTGTCCTGTGGAAGTTTACAATTTTACGATGGCAGTTGCTACAGCCAGTACTCAGTTACCCTTTGCATGTCCTACAATTCTTTGCTCAAAGTTTTACAAATTGTGGGGCTCCAAATGTGTTTATTGAATGAGTTATTTACTCCTAATATCACCCATTAGGTATCCTGACATGAAATGACTACAAGGGAGAAGAGAGAGAATAAAGAAGGTACAAAGAAAAAAATTGAGCAAAATTCAAAGAATATGTTGCATACCATTCTGAGATTATCCGTTGTATGTTTTTATTGTTTGTTTGTTTGTTTGGTTGGTTTTTTTTTTTTGAGTCGGGGTCTCACTCTGTTGCCCAGGCTGGGGTGCAGTGGTGCAATCATGGCTCATTGCAGCCTCAAACTCCTGGGCTTAAGCAATCCTTCCACTTCAGCCTCCTGAGTAGCTAGAACTACAGGCGCATGCCACCACAGCCAACTAAGTTTTTTAAAAATATTTTTGTAGAGATGGGGGTCTTGTTATGTTGCTCAGGCTGTAATTATATTTAATATGTTTCATTTCAGCTATTAAAAATGTCCTAGTATTTCTACCAACTGATGCCTATTCATTGTACTTTTCTTCCCTTAATTACTTGGGCAGATTCAATAAAGAGGTATTATTTTAAACTGAAAACTTTTTAGTTTAAAATGAGAAAAAAGGAATTAGACCAGGAAAAGTAATCTTCAACTCATGATGGTAATTGGAACACAAAGGCTTAACTCGCCCATGTTCCCTCAAAATCCACTCTTAAAGGAATTAAAACAATAGGGGGACATTTGTGACCATCCTAGAAACTCAATTGAGGTGCTACCACATTCCAAAGCAATCCACAAAATATGTATTAGATACTCTCTTTCAATGAAGTGCAATGCATTTGAAAGAAAAGAAGGAAAACTCTCAATTCACCAAATGCAAAAGAAAGACCCAAAGAGCCAGAGAAGGAGGTTTGCAGCAGAATCTTCCTGTAACTGTGGCTAGAGGGGCTGGAGCTACTATAACCAGGGAGGGGGGAATAGGTACTTACTAAATCCGTTTGGAAGTGTACCAGACAGCAAAGCTCAGAATTCAGATCCCAAGGCAGTGCCAGGCCCTGTCACCATGGGAGAACTCCTGGGGGAGAAGGCCTGGTCCAGCTATGCAACATCTCCTTGGAGCTGCTACTCAGTAGAGGTCTCCCGGTCGGCTAGGGCTGCTTGCCTCCTTAGAGACCCATGTTTGAGCTTATCTGATATGAACTGGACCCTCTTTCAGCCCTAAAGAATGTACATGGTGTTTCAATTAGGCTTTTTTTTTTTAATTGTGAGGAATAGAGGCTTAATCATACTGGCTTGAGTCAGAGGGACCAGAAAGAATTACCGTAATTACTCTCTGCAGCATCACGGGAAGCAGGGTCCTTCTTGAAATTCAAAAACAGAAACCACAATGGCCAGGCCTCATGGACACCAACGCATAGGAACCTTGGCAGCCACCACCCAGCACTTCTGTTACTCCATGCTGTGATTCCATACAGCTCCCACCAGTCTGTCCCACTAGAAAGAACTGTAATGCTGGTGAGTAAGGATTATATTATTATTGGGGAGACATCAAAAATACCCTAATTTGGCTGGGTGCAGTGGCTCACACCTGTAATCCCAGCACTTTGGGAGGTCGAGGCAAGTGGGTCACCTAAGGTTAGGAGTTTGAGACCAGCCTGCCTAACGTGGTGAAACCCAGTCTCTACCAAAAATACAAAAATTAGCCAGGCCTCATGGTGCATGCCTGTAATCCCAGTTACTTGGGAGGCTGAGGCAGGAGAATCGCTTAACCCCAGAGGTGTAGGTTGAGTGAACCGAGATTGTGCCATCGCACTCCAGTCTGGACAACAAGAGTGAAACTCTGTCTCAGACAAAAAAAAAAAAAAAAAAAGCCAAAATCCTAATTTATAAAAATGTACACCATTCACAAGTTTAAATATTTTAAAATAGTCAAACTTTACTTTGCAACATACCACATAACATAACAGTTCACCGTGACTGAGACCCACTATACTTAGCAAAAGAGCAATGTCCATATATTTTCCAAAGTAGACAAATATCTAGGCCATGTTCTCTGATTACATTGCAATAAAACTGGAAATGAATAACAAAAGGATTTTTAAAACCCACAGCAATTTTTAAAACATTATCCTTGTGCAAGATGAAAATTCAAATAAATAGGAAAGGATAGATTATGCCATAGTGTTGGGAACAACTGGCAATATTTTGTAAAATAAGAAAATTAGCTGCCTACCTTCACTAATATATAAAAATAAATTCCAGATGGATAACATATTGAATATGAAAAGTAAATCCACTTTTGTTTTCCTTTCAGTAGAAGAAAAAACATAAGGAAATTTGTATATAATCTTGAAATAGGCAAGGCTTACCTAAGCAGAAACCATAAATGAAAAGATTGCTAGTTTTGCATACATAAAACAATTATATGTCAGAAAAACATAATAAACAAAAATGGAAAATAAATGACCCACTGGACTGACATTCGTAATATATTTGATAGATAAATGATTAGTTCACTTAATATGTAAAGAGTCCTAGGCCGGGCGTAGTGGCTCACGCCTGTAATCCCAGCACTTTGGGAGGCTGAGGTGAGAGGATATCTTGAGGCCAGGAGTTCGAGAGCAGCCTGGGCAACATGGTGAAACCCTGTCTCTACTAAAAATAGAAAAAGTAGCTGGGCATGGTGGTGCACACCTGTAGTCCCAGCTACTGTGGTAGCTGAGGCACAAGAATCACTTGAGCCCTAGAGGCAGAAGTTGCGATGGGCTGAGATCACGCCACTGCACTCCAGCCTGGGTGACAGAGTGAGACTCTGTCTCAAAACAAACAAACAGAAAGAGTCCTATAAGTCCAGAAAAAAACAGCAATTCAATAGAAAACTGGTCAATCAAGGATATGAAGAAATAATTTACAAAAGAGGAAATATAAATTATTAATAAAATAAATGAAAAGTTCAATGTTACTAGTAATAAAAGGAAATACACTGAAAATATGAGGCCATTTTCTGTCTATTCAATTGACAAAGATTTTTTTAAAGTAGTTCTCTAGAGTTGTGGAAGGTTTAGAAAAAGAGGCACTCTTACCCCACTGATAAAGTAATTTATCACTATGTTCAAAATTAGAAGTTGTACATCCTTTGTCCTAGCAATTATTAGCCTTCTAAGAATTTACCATGAGAAAATAATCAGAGATGTATAATAATATATGTTAAGAAGGTTGTTTTTTTTTTTTGACAGTGTCTTGCTCTGTTACCCAGGCTGGAGTGCGGTGGTGAGATGACAGCTTACTGCAGCCTAGAATCCAAGAGACTCTCCTGCCTCAGCAATTTTTTTTTTTTTTTTTGAGACGTAGTTTCACTCTTGTCTCCCATGCTGGAGTGCAATGGCACAATCTCAGCTCACTGCAACCTCCACCTCCTGAGTTCAAGCAATTCTCCCACCTCAGCCTCCTGAGTAGCTATGATTACAGGCGCCCGCCACCCCGCCCGGCTAATTTTTGTATTTTTAGTAGAGACGGGGTTTCACCATGTTGGCCAGGCTGGTCTTGAACTCCTGACCTCAGTTGATCCACCCACCTTGGCCTCCCAAAGTGCTGGGATTATAGGCGTGAGCCACCGCACCCGGCCTGCCTCAGCTTCTTGAGTAGCTGGGACTACAGGTGTGTGCCACTATGCCCAGCTAATTTTTGTATTTTTAGTAGAGATGAGGTCTCGCTATGTTGGTCAGTCTGGTCTCAAACTCCTGGCCTCAAGTGATCTGCCTGCTGCAGCCTCCCAAAGTGCTGGGATTATAGGCATGAGCCACTATGCCCAGCCTGTTAAGGAATTTTTAATGATATGGGGAAATGTTTATGATACATTATACTACAAAAGAATATGTAAAATTGTATCTATACTATGATCAAGTTAAAATAGATACAAGTGTGCTTTGGAAAAATAAAATGTTAATGATAAGTTTTATGTGGTAGGATTTGGGGTGATTTCTCTTTAAAATACATTTTCTCTAAATTTCAAAGTTTCTATAAAGAGTACATTTTACTTTAGTATAGACAGAAAAAAAACCAGTTATTGAAAAAGGAGTTGATGCCTTTGAGAATATTTCCCTGAAAATAGTTAAAGAAGTATAGCTGTTGGAATTGGAAGTGACTTTTAAGATTTTTAGTTCAAACCCCTATTCTGCTCGCTGTAAACTCATTTAGCACTTCAACGTATACTATAATTAATATATTTTGGAGTTACTCTTTTTTCTTTAGGTACATATATATTTCTTTATAGTTTTCAGAGGGGAGCCATGCAAATAAATGAAGGATGAACCATAAGACCTAGGTGGGCAGGTAAAGATACTGGTATCCTAAGGATGAGAGAAAGTGGTGGCCACTTTCAGTCTTTGCTCTTTTGCAGGGAATATTCTCATGCGTTTTCTAGTTTGACCACTGGATACCATAGATGGCTCCTGCAGCTGCTGAGAATGCATTGGCTGACCTCCAACTAGGGAGAACACACAGGACCCAGGGCCCCAGGTTACTGTGCCCTGAAACCCGTTGCTGTGCGTCTGCAGAGGCCACACTTCCCATAGGCTACTCCCAGCCAATGACTGAGTGCAGTAGGGATACTAAGGCACCCCATTCCTGGGAGACACAGGATTCCTCCGACTTTGTCCCTGGGTCTCTCCCATGCTTTGCTGAACCTGCCTTAGGCTGCACAGCAGCCTGGGATGCTTCCACTCAACTTTCTCTCCCTCTCTCCTTCTGAGGGCTTAGACTTACTCTCCCTGCCTTCTCTGGGTCTCTCCCTATTTTCTTTCCCACAAGCATTTTCCCTAATAAAAACCCATGTGCATTTAAGCCCAAGTTGGCATTTGCTTCTTACAGGACCCAAGCAAACACAACTTCCCAGCAGTCTTGAAATCCTAAACCTTGCTACCTCCTCCTTCCCATTCTCCATCTCACCATCATCTTTACCAGGAAGTGTCAGTTAAAGCAGAAGGAAAAGGTCGAGAATCAGATTAGAGGACAGACATCTTGTTGCAGTTCCAGGTTCTATGCGGTACTAGACACAGATCTAGTCACATTTCACCTATTTTGATTCATATTCCATTTCCATTAGGATGTATATATCACCCCAACTACTGGGAGTTTGGGTATATTTTTGCTGAACACACATTCACTAACAAGACCAATGGTATTCAATAGAAATATAATGCAAACCACACGTTATTTTAAATTTTCTAGTATCTACATTGGAAACTAAAAAAAAAATCATAAAATTATTTTTAATAACAGATTGCATTTAACCCAATATATCAAAATATTATCATTTCAAAATATCTTTAAAATCTAGTGTCACTAAAATGTCATTAAATATCATTAAAATCCAGCATGTATTTTACACGTACAGCACAGCTTGATTCAGACTAACTACATTTCCAGTGCTCCGGAGCCCCACGTGGTTAGGGAATATTGTATTGGGTGGCACAGAACTAGGCTGTAAGTGCCTTGAGCATAGTGGTGAGTTTTCTTCTAACTTTTGAATTTTCCCAATTTCTTGAAATTTTCCTACTCAGAGAGCAACCAGGACCGTAATGGACATTTAGTAGGTGCTTCGTAATTACTTGTTAGCTGGTTATTTGTACATGACATGGTGCAGAAAGTGGATAAGTGTCCCTTACTCACATGCCTATAAAGGCTCAGAAGTAACTTGGGCGATAGGGCAGGCTGTAGGGACTGGGGTGCATCACAGCATGCCCCACTCCACCATCTGCAGGGGCCAGCCACCTCCCAGTTTCAGGTGGTCATTGACATCTGTGGGGGTGAATCTCATATGGTTTCTCAAGAGAGGCCAGAAATAGATTTTTACATGCAATTTTTGAGTTGTTGATATCAGCAATTAATTCAAATGTAAAAAGTCAGTGCTAGCTTGTGGAACACACATGCTTGTGATTAGTACTGTCCACTGTATGTAACTCCTTTGAGGACAGACAAAATACAGTGACAAGCTAATTCATATTAGTAAGAGAAGTAAACAAAAAAAAATCATAAAACTGCCATATTGCCTTTTTGTGAGGAAGGGGGCAGTTTTAATATGTTTTTGAAAGCTTGGGTTAACCTATTTCAGAAATATAAATATCTGGTTTCTTAACCTCTCTCTGTCTTTCTCTCTATGTACATATAGCTAGACCTTTATGTTTCCCTATAGAAGCCTAGCTAGATGAGGCACAACAGCTTTAAATGCTTGGCATCACCATTGCTAACAACCCATGGGGCAGAAAGTGCTTACTGTATTTAAATGTGACAATGTCAAAATCCTTTCCATTCTCAGCTACAAAAGAGCTGTGACCTCTTGTTGGTAGAGAGAAACTTAGGAAGTAACCTCGTGAAGCACTGCTGTGGCAGGACAGCTGTAACCCACGCTCCTCTGGTTTTGCCTGGGGTTCAGAGTGGCCAAGAAGCTCTTATTCGGCACCATGAACATTCTGGATGCAATCCTGAGCATCCTCCATGCTGATACCACATTGTTGTGGGTGTAGATTCAACGCTGATTCTGTAGATCTGGGCTCGAAGCGAGTGGAGCTGCCACTTCCACTGATGGTAATGCATCTGAAGACAGGCACAATAAAAACTACAGTGCCAAATGTTTCCTTCACCACTCGGGCTGACTTACTGTCACTCCCTCCCAGGTCTTTAAACCGAGGATTTTCTGATTCCAGGGCCATGATTCTTTCATCGTGCTCTCTAGGCAGAGGGTGCTGGCCTGCACATATCACCTTCACTGCTGAGCCACTCTGTCTCCCCACAGCCATTGGATATGGAGGTGAAATAGCACCTCCTACAACAGCGTCTATGTCCTGAGGCTCTCTGCATGCCAGGCACAGCACTGTTTGACTTGCATCATTTCCATTTGATCCTCACAGCATCTCTGTGAGGAAGGTGCTATTATACCCAATTAACAGATGAAGATATGGAAGCTCATGGAATTTAGGTCACTTATACAAAGTCCTCCCAAAGCTAGTAAATAGCATTCAGATTTGAACCTGGGATTTTTTTTTTTTACATTTATTTATTATCCAATTCACCTCCTAAAAGGATTGGAGGCTAGCATTGTCAGCAGTGATAAAACCCAGAAGTTACTTTTATAAAACTGATTTTAGTGGAAAGTGAGGTGAGGAGGGGGGATTCAGGGCAGGCTCAAGTGAATTTTTTTTTACTACAGGAATCTATACTTCTAGACAGGTCTGTGTCAATGAATACTTTTATTTAGGTTGTCAACTATGAATTAAGGTAATATTTTCCTGGGTTGCCCAAACTTGGAATCATCAATCACTCCTCCCATTCCCACACTTGTCCAATCAGCACTTACTCTCCCCAAATTTGGCCCTCTTCTCTGCTCCTATCGCTGCTCCCACAGTGCAGGTCCACATCATCTCTTGCTGAGTATCGAAGTAGTTTCCAAACACGTCCTCCCTCTGTTCCTTTTTCCTCTACACTGTCACCAGAATCTTGTTGATTTTACCTCCTAAATAGGCTTCCTTTCCATTCCTTCTCTGTTTCAGCTCAGACTTTACCATTTCTTGCCTGGTAATCTAACCTGTCTCTCTACCTCTTGGCCTTGCCCCATTCAAACCCAACTTCCAACACACCAATTAAAAATATCAATTATTGGCTTAAATTATTTACTGACCTTTTGTACATCAAAGGACACTGTCAACAACGTGAAAAGGCAACCCACAAAATGGGAGAAAATATTTGCAAATCATGCATCTTATAAGCAATTAAGATCCAGAATATATAAAGAAATCCTATGACTTAACAACAAAAAAGCAAACAGCCCAACTTTAAAATGGACAAAGGACTTAAATAGACATTTCTCCTAAGAAGATATACAAATGCCCAATAAACACATGAAAAAAATGCTCAACACCAACTACTCATTAGAGAAATGCAAATTCAAGCCACAATGAGATCCACTACACATCATTAGGATGGCTACTAATTCTTTATTTTTATTTTTTGAGATGAAGTCTCGCTCTGTTGCCCAGGCTGGAGTGGGAGTGTAGCGGCACAATCTCCACTCACTACAACTTCCCCCTCCTGGGTTCAAGCAATTCTCCTGTCTCAGCCTCCCAAGTAGCTGGTACTACAGATACATGCCACCACGTCCAGCTAATTTTTGTATTTTTAGTAGAGAAGGGGTTTCACCACATTGGTCAGGCTTGTCTCTAACTCCTGACTTCAGGTGATCCACCCACCTCAGCCTCCCAAAGTGCTGGGATTACAGGTGTGAGCAACCATGCCTGGCTCAGGATGGCTACTATTAACCACCCCCAATCCCAGAAAATAACAAGTATTGGCAAGGATATGGAGAAATTGGAACTCTTGTGCAATGCTTGTAGGAATGTAAAATGTCGCAGCTGCTGTGTAGAACAGATTGACTGTTCTTCAAAAAGTTAAATTAGAAGTACCATATAATCTATCAATCTACTTCTAGGTATATACCACAAAAACTTGAAAGATCTTATTGGCCAATCTTAGCAGCCTGGATTTTATCCTGCTGATAGTCAATAATATATTTTTTTATTGTGGTAAAATATACATAACATACAATTCACCATTTTAACTATTTTTAAGTATGCAGTTCATTGGCATTAAGTACATTCACAATGTTGTGCAACCATCACCACTATCCATTTTCATAACTTTTTCATCATTCCAAACAGAAACTCATTATTAAACATGACATCCCCACTCTTCTCTCTCCTCAGCCTCTGGTAACCACTATTTTACTTTCTGTCTCTATAAATTTGCCTACTCTAGGAACTTCTAGCTGGAATAATATAATATTTGTCTTTTGGTGTCTGGCTTAGATCACTTATTGAATGTTTTTGAGGTTTGTTCATTTGTAGCATGTGTAACAATTTCATTCTTTTTAAGGCTGAATAATATTCCATTATATACACACCAAATTTTGTTAATGCAGTAATCTGTTGGTATACATTTGGGTTGCTTCCACTCTTTGGCTAATGTGAATAGTGCTGCTACGAACATTGTTTGATTTCATTTTTGTGGGCTGGTTATCTTTTAGCTTTAAGGATATATCATGAGCACCATAATCAGTTGTCATTACTTCTACTAATAGCTTTCAGAAGAAGAAAAATACTAGAAAAAAAAAACAGAAGTAAACTTTTAATAACTTCCAGAAAATGTATGTCTTTAGATAGAAATATTTCACTCAAACCATGGAGCATACCGCTACCTAATGCTATTTCTTCACATTTATATTGCCTTGTATTACCCAATCTCTACCTTCCCAAAATAAATCGTTATATCATTACTCACTCCTGTTTTCAGTTGTTCCTACCATCACCAAATGTTAACCTTCAGCCAAAGTCATTCTTAAACACAAACTCCCAGGAAAGTCTAATACAGAAAGAGGGAATAATAAGTACAAATTTTGAATACTTGTTATTCCAGGCTCTGCCCCTCAGTGTACTACTTATGCTCCCTGCATTTGTTTGCTATGATGGCTATAACAAAGCACCAGGAACACAGTGGCTTAAACTACAGAAATTTGTGGTCTTAGAGTTCTGGAGGCTAGAAGGCCAAGATCAAGTTGTTGGTCTGGTTGGTATGGGTCCTTCTGAGGGCTGGAAAGAAGAATGTGTACCATGCCTCTCCCTTAGCTTCTGGTGGTTGGCTGATCATCTCTGGTGTTCCTTGGCTTGTAGAAACATCACTCTGACGTCTGCCTTAATCTTCACATGGTGTTCTTCTTGCATGCTTTTCTGACTCCAAATTTTCCCTTCTTATAAGGTCACCAGTTGTACTAGAGTAGGGTGAACACGCTTTTCCAGTTTGGCCTTATCTTAATGAGCTACATTGGCAATGGCCATATTTCCAAATAAGGTCACATTCTGAGGTACTGGGAGCTAGGATTCCAACATATAAATTTTGCAGGGGGCCACTATTCCACCTGTATCATCACCTCATTTCACTTTTCCAACAATCCATTGAGAAATTTGTTGTTATCCCCATTTCACAGAGGATGAAACTGAGGCTCAGTGAGGCTAAGTAAGTAACTCAAACTAGAACAATCAGTGAGTGACAAAGCTGGAATTCAAAACATGGTCTATCTGATTCCAAACCCCAGACTCTTCTCATTATATGAGCAGAACACTTTTATTTACAGTCTCTGTCTTATTTCTTCTCAGCTTAGTAAATATCTGCCAACTGATAGAGTCTGGGCCCTTTCACTGTTACAGAATGGTTTAGTTCCATTTCAAAATATTTACTGAGTGTCTGCTACTGTAAGTATTTCAGGCACTGGGGTTCAAAGATGACTTGAAACATGGACCAGGCTTCAAGGTACTTAAAATTTAATGGAAGAAACAGACATATAAGTAAGTCACTGTTTCATAAGGAAACATTAAGTAAGTGTTAGGTAGAGATTCAAGCCACTCTGCTGTGGAGGGATTAATATAAATCATTGGGATTCAGCCAATAACTTTTATATTCTCGCATGGATGACCAGGGACACCAGGGACCGCAGGGAGCACATTAAATACACGTTTCCCTTGCTATCACATGCTCTCCTCCTTCATGGGACGATTGCAGAAGTGCTGTCCACTGAGAATTAATTTCCGAAGCAGAATTAGCTTCAGAGAAGCCCGGTCTCAGCGTGACGCTTCTTTTTCTCCGTTGAGGTCATTCAATCTCTCTCAATGTGTAGGATCTGATTCTTGCAACATTTAATCTTAGCGTGAATCATCCTCCCTTCTCTGAGACAGATAATGAAGTTTCCACAAGAAAGCAGGAGGACATTTCCTTCTGTGGCCACGCTCACCCTGACTGTCACAAATCTGCCCTTCTCTGGGCAGGGAGATAGTGGGGGGAAGGCACACAGGAAAGCGAACAAAGCCAATTCTTTTCTTTACCCTAGCTACCAAAGTCAGTCTGCTGGATAAAATATTTCCGAAGACGGTACTTCTTCAAGCAATGCTATATACAGTCTTATGCCTTTGAAGTTCCAATAAACTAGCTACTATAGAGCTAACATAACTACACGACCCTCTCAAAATGCACACACCAGTGCACCAGAGTCTTGTAACCAACAGTGATGGAATTCCTTGGGCTTCAAAGAAAAATCTTCTTGCAGGCATGAAACTATCTGTTTAAAAAATATTCACAGGGGCCAGGCGCGGTGGCTCACACCTGTAATCCCAGCACTTTGGGAGGCCCAGGCGGGTGGATCACAAGGTCAGGAGATTGAGACCATCCTGGCTAACATAGTGAAACCCCGTCTCTACTAAAAATACAAACAAATTAGCTGGGATCGGTGGCGGGCACCTATAGTCCCAGCTACTTGGGAGGCTGAGGCAGGAGAATGGCGTGAATCCGGGAGGCGGAGCTTGCAATGAGCCTAGATTGCACCACTGCACTCCAGCCCGGGCGACAGAGCAAGACTCAGTCTCAAAAAATAAAATAAAATAAAATAAAAAATAAAAAAATTCACAGGATCAGATCATTTAGATTCCAAAACTTCCAGAGAGAGCAAGCATGAGAATCAGAGGAAGAGCAAGGAAGGAGGACACTTCATTCTTAAAAAGGGTGGTATGATACTTTTTACTCTTTGGTTTTAACTAGATGTGGCAGAAAAAGGCTAGTTAGTATTTCAGTTTCTATCTCAAAAATGGAACCACACAGATCTTCAAGTTCTCCAAATCCTCCTTGACATTCTAATTGTAACTAGAGTTCACTCATGCATTCATATAACAAACATTTGTTAAATGCCTATTATATGTGAAGCACTGGGCATATTATAGAGAAGCTTTTGGGGAGCTCAGACTGCTGGCGATGGAGATGACAATGTCAATGTCAACAACAACAAACAGATAATTAAAATGCCAGCACCTGAATGATAAAGACTTCTCTTCATTGTTTCGGTGTCTGATGTGGCTAGGACTACCATTCTGTTTTAGGCTGATGCAATAATGTCAGAACTAAAAGCTCAGTCAGGTCTTCATGAATGAGTGGTAGCTACAAAGTACTCAGTGAGACTAAGCCTTGTGGTGGAGACAAGCTGCTATGTCAGTATGGGAGAAAACTAGGAAAGGAATGAGCAAAAAAAAAAAAATCTTTCTCCCAACAGAAAAATCCCAGTACTAATGTGTATTTTCTTGGAGTAATCAGATACTATAATATGAGATATAAGGTTCTTCTAGAGTTGGTTATGGGGCTAACAGACGTATTAGTTAAGATGCTTTTGTTTCACTCTGTTGCCCAGGTGGGAGTGCAGGGGTGCGATCACAGCTCAATGTACCCTTCACCTCCCAGACTCAAGTAATCCTCCCACCTCAGCCTCCCAAGTGGATAAGACTATGGGCGCAAACCACCATGCCTTGCTAATTTTTATATTTTTTGCAGAGAGGGGGTTTCACCATGTTGCCCAGGCTGGTCTTGAACTCCTGAGCTCAAGTGATCCACCCACCTCAGCCTCCCCAAATGCTGGGACTACAGGTGTGAGCCACCTTGCCTGGCTAGTTAGGATGCTTTTGACTGTAAGAACAGAAAATCCACCAGAAGTGGCTTAGACAATAAGGGCATTTATTACCTCACATAACAATAAAGTCTTGAAGTCAGGTGATTTTGGGGTTTTAAATTCAGCTCAGAGTTCACTGGGGATCCAGATTCTTCCCATCTGTGATGGCTAATTTTTTGTGTCAACTTGACTGGGTAAGGAATACCCAGGTAGGTGACTAAACATTATTTTTGGGTGTGTTTGTGAGAGTGTTTCTGGAAGAGATGAGCATTTGAATCAGTGCACTAAGTAAAGAAGATCTGCCCTCACCATTGTGGGCAAGTATCATCCAATCCACTGAATGCCCACTGAATAGCAGAGTGAATTCTCTCCCTGTCTGTTTCTTTTTGAGATGGAGCCTCACTCTGTCACCCAGGCTGGAGTGCAGTGGCACAATCTTGGCTTACTACAGCCTCCACCTCCCGGGTTCAAGTGATTCTCCTGCCCTAGCCTCCCAAGTAGCTGGGATTATAGGCATGCACCACCACCTCTGGCTAATTTTTTTTTTTTTTTTTTTTTTTTGGTACAGACGGGATTTCACCATGTTGGCCAGGCTGGTCTTGAACTCTTGACATCAAGTGATCCGCCTACCTTGGCCTCCCAAAGTGCTGGGATTACAGGCATGAGCCACCATGCCCAGCCTCTCCCTGTCTCCTTGATCTGAGACATCCATTTTCTCCCACCCTTGGACATCACAGCTCTTGGTTCTGGGGCCTTCTGACTCTGGGACTTACACTAGCTCCACCTCCCACTGTCCCTCCCTTGACCTTGAGAACACTCCGGGTTCTCAGGCTTTTGGCCTCGGAGTGGGAGTTACATCACCAGGAGTCAATTTCCTGGTTCTCCAGCTTGCCGTTGGCAGATCTTGGAACTTGTAGGCCTCTATAATTGTGTGAGCCAAGTTTCATTATATGTCTCCTCTTACATCTCTCTATATTTCTCTCTATATATGTTTCTCTGGAGAACCTAATAAACCATCTTTCTATTACACCATCCTCATTGTGTTAGCTTTTGGCTCCAGGCATATTCACTCATGGTTTCAAGGTGGCTACAGCAGCCCTGAGCATCATATCCACACAAAAGTATCCAATGGCCTAAGAAGAAACATCTTTATATTTCTTTTGAACAGCAAACAGAACTTTCCAGAAGCTCCTCCCGCAGAGTCCTCTATGCAAACACTAATGAAGCCACCACCTTGCTGAGAAGACTTGCCCTCGATCCCTCCTGCTCACACGATCAATCGTGCCTTACTCACGAAGCCTCAGGGCTGCATGGTGCCAAGCTCGGGCACTCATCTGCCTGCCTGTCCCAGGCCTGTGGGCTGTGTGTCACCTGTGCTAAGGCCCTGGGCTCAGAGAGCTTCCATCCGAGCTGGAAGCAACACTGCAGAGAAGCTAAATAGCCCACCCCAGCCTCTGCCGGGGACCCAGGAGGAAGCAGTAACGGCGAGGTGTGCAGCCACGGGGGCTGGTGAGGTAAGAGCACCCCCATATCCAGGTGAGGACAAAGTCATCCATGGGACATGTAGCTCTAGAATAAGGCTATTTGCACCAGGAGTTTTCAAGCCATTTTGCTTCAGAGCTCGTTTTGCAGCAGCAAACTCCAGGCCAGAGCCCAGACCTCAGCTGTACTGTGTTCTGTGTGCAGGGAAGCCCATGAACTTTGACAGCTATGGAGACATACATGTCCCTGCTGTGATCCTGAAGACCTTCCTGTGAGAGCTGTCCCAACTGCTGCCCATCTTTGAGGCCTGCAGACTTCCCCTTGCAGAAGTCCCCCTGCAGACTTCCTGTCAAAACAAGAAGTATCATTGGCCAGAATTGTGGGTCGCATGCTTATTCCTAAACCAATGACTGGAAAGGAAATGGAATTATCATGATTTGTCCAACCACTGAGATTCAACCCCTGGGGCTGGGGAGAAGGCCAGCCTCCCCTGAAGAATTTGGCTGTTTGATTCCTGAACAAATGGGAATACCTATAACAAGAAAACGGGGCAGTAGTTGATGGTAGAGGGAATGGATGTAAGGTGGGCAACTAGAGGGTCTGCCACAGCAGAGGTACAAGGCAGAAGCACTTCCATGCAAAGAGCAACTCCAGCTACGGGATCCTTCTCTGATGACCACTGGGCTTGACCTTGCTTCACAGATGAGCTTCTCTTACAGGAATGAGTTTTGCTGATCTTTAAGATAGCTTCTGAGGACACTCTGTGCTGTATATTCTGCTTGTTCATATTACACCACCTTGACCTGAAGCCAAATTATGCATAAGAGTTATAAAATGGTTTATGGCTAGGCAGGCAAGCTGATGTCATTTGTCAAATGTGGCACTCTAGAATTATCCTACCAGTATAAAACCATACAAAGGCTTTTCCACAGAATATTTATAGGAAAAATGTGCTTTTGCAACAAGAATGAATCACCCTACAACTTACTCCATTTGGAATAATGAAATAAGGAACCAGCCTGTTGGGCAATGGTGAGGGGAGTAAGAAAATGGTAACCAGTGAAGATGTCTTTCAGGTTTAACCTCAGTGAACAAATTTGGGTGGTGCTTCTTGAGTTGGTCCTTCCTTGTAAAACGGAAATTATAAGCTTCTTCGAAACGGAGAAGTTTGATTTCCCATATGCAAACTACTCAGAAGTAGATGGGACCATATAAATACGCTTCAAGAAAATATTTCCAGGATACCTAACTTGGTGCTTTATATGTAGTACTGTATAGTCATCCTTTGATTAATTGATTGTCGTGGAATTCCTTCAAGAAATTATCAAAACAAGAAGATTCTCAAGTATTGCATACCTTGGCAATATTATTAGCACTAAATCTTTCTTTGCAGATACAAAAACTATCTCTCAGATTTATACCAGTGGTTTTCAGCTATGGCTGCCCATTGAATCACCTGCAGGACTTTAAACAAAGGATGCCTAGTCCCGCCCCCAGAGTTTCTGATTTGATATAGGGTAAAGCCTGGGTATTGAAATGTTTTAAAGGTGATTTTAATATGCAACCGCTGTTGAATGCCTGCATCAGAATCACCCAGAAGGCTTATTACTATACGGATTACTGGGCCCAACTTGAGAATTTCTGATTCAGTAGGTTTGGGATGGGGCCCGAGAATTTGCATCTTTGAACAAATTCCCAAAAGACGTTGATGCTGCTGGTTAGGGGACTACACTTTGAGAACCACTGATCTACAGCGGGGTTCAGCAAACTGCAGGTTGTGGGTCCAGTCTGGCTAGAGGCTTTTGTATAGCCCATGAGCTCAGAATGATTTTACATTTTAAAACGTAAAGAAGGCAAAAAAAGGTAAAGGTGTAAAGAAACAAAACCAAAACAACAACAATAGCAAAAACAAAGAAGAATATACAACAGATACCCTGCAGCCCACAAAGCCTAAAGTATTGACTATCTGGGCTTTTACAAAAAATGTTTGCTTGAGCCCTGCTCTAAAGGATCATGAGTTCTCATGGAAGAAAAGTAAGATTCTTAAGGAGAAGGGAAAAGCTTTGGTGGGAAAATTTGTTTTGGTAGGCATGGGGGAAACTCTAAACCCAGCTGTGAGATTTTTAACCCCCTACTATGTGCCAGGGGAGTGGCATAATTTCATTTAATCTTGACAACAATACAGTTAGTATCACTCCCTCTTTTATGGATCAGAAAATGGAGGCTCAAGAGATATTAACTTGCTAGTATATAAAGTTACTAAAGTCATAGAACTATTGAGGTAGGAGATGAGACACGACTCTGGAGGTTGGGCTCAGACACCAGACCAAATTGAGGACTAGCTAAAACAGGGAAAGGGTAGAAACAGCTTTCCATAGGACATGCCCTCCAGTGTGCCATGTCAGTTTACCATTGCCATGCAACACATCAGAGTTACCTCCCCTTTCCATGGCAACAACCTCACCACCTGAAAGTTACCACCCTTTTCCTAAAACTTTCTGCATAATCTGCCCCTTAATTTGCATGTAATTAAAAGTGGGTATAAATATAACTACAAAACAGCCTCTGAGCTGCTCCTCTCCACACACTGCCTATAGGATAGCCTGCTCTGCAGGAGGAGTCCCGGAGCTGTAATACTGTCACCTCCATAAAGCTGATTTGTTCTACCACTGGCTCACTCTGAAAAGAGGGGAACAACACCACTGAGGCCTTTCTGAGAGTGGAAGGTGGAAGGAGGGAGAGGATCAGGAAAAATAACTAATGAGTAGTAGGCTTAATACCTGGGTGACAAAATAATCTGTACAACAAACCCCATGACACAAGTTTATCCATGTAACAAACCTGCACTTGTACCCCTGAACTTAAAAGTTAGAAAGCAGTTCTTTTCTGAGCAAAGCCAAGAACCCTTTGGGGCTAAGCTCCAATTTGGGGCTCACCTGCCCTACACTACTATGAAAAAGCTTTCTACTAATCACACTATGTCCTAGAAGAAGCTTATATTTCTGTATAGAAGTGGTTGTAACTCCCAGAGTGAGTCTAAAAATATAGTAAGCATCTAAAAACATCCTTTTCCCCAGTGGTTCAATTCAATTTATTATTGACTGTATTTCAGGCATGTGCTAGGCACTCATGCCACAAAAATATATGAAATATTGTTCTGACCTTCAAGGAACTTACAGGATAGTGAAAGAAACAGACATGGGAAGAAGCTTATCAAAGTCGGTTGGGGCTCAAAGGAGGGCATCAAGGTGGGCAAGGTTTCACAGACCAGAGGGCCCTTGTAGGATGCTGATTCTCTAGTTGGACAAGGCTTGGTCCTACAGAGCAAACAACACTGATGCTCCAATATAGGCAAGTCCCGGATGGAAGGATTTTACCAGTTCAAAGAGTCTCTCAGGATTCCTGTAGGATGTAGAGTTCAACCTCATCTTGGCCTCTGGCTGAACAAATAAGAGACTGGGAGATAGCAGAGAGGAGGCCCCTGCCCCACCAGCAGTTAGTGCGTGAAGTCAATGTTGGTCCAATTTCAGTGAAACAAGAAACTTTCAGTTCGATTTCATGGTTTTACATGATCATTTCCAAGCAAAGTTATTAAAAGAAAGCTTTATTTAAGTTAATGCTTAGTCTGCTGATGGACAGGGAGAGTTGTAATAGAGCATGTGATAATGATGCAAGGGTTGGGTTTCATACCACCACTTTTGGGCAGAACAATCTGAAACCACCAATTTTATAGATGTGTGATTCGCCACGCCAAGTTGAGGAAGCAGGCAGGATTCTGCATCATTCACCGATGTTAGTTCAAGAGACTAATATTTTCACATCTCATTTGAATTCATTTTTAAGGGTCAAGTTTCAGGTGAAATCACTAGACAAGAAATATCATTCAGACTGCCTAGGGCTGTGTTCTGAAGCTACAGAGGTGAGTAAAACAGAGGTTTGTGTGTAAGGAATTCACAGTTCTGTTGGAGCCTGTGGGTAGGGGGAAGGAGGAGTGGGAGGCGGGTGAACAGATTAATTCAGTACAATGCAGAAAATGCTGAGGTCAAGTCAGGACAGCACGAGAACCCAAGAGAGGCACCCTTCACCTTCCAAGGGACTTAAGGAAGGCTTCCAGGGGAGACTGCAGAGCAAAAAGTTTGCTTCTGAAATCCAGTGGTGACACGTTTAGCTATTTCTTTGGGACAGGCTATTTTTTTTTTCTTACTGTAAACCACATATCCAATCCATCAGGTCTGGCCTGACTTTTAATAATTTAGGTATAGTCCTAAGGAATTCTATCATCTATCACTGAAGTACACCTGCCCCTGGGTGAGTAAGTTGAGAACAGTTTAAGGGTACAACATAACACCAGACCACAGAATCCAGAGGATGTTCTGGGAAACAACTCAACCAGAAAAAGCTAAATGTTTACATGGAAACATTCTAGAATCTGCCATTTAGGTCAGGCATTGCATTTTAAAATTTCATATGCTGCTTTTTAAAACATGGGAGAATCATGTATGATAATTGTAGATTTGGAAAATAAGGAAAAAGTACAAAGAAGAAAAAATTATTTATATTAGTACAACCCAAAGTTAATATTTTACTATTTTGGTATATTCTAAATTTTTTCCATGTCTATATAGATACATAGGTCTTTTTAAAAAAACTTAAAAATTTTTAACAGAGACTAGTGTTTCACTAGGTTGCCCAGGCTGGTCTTGAACTCCTGGGCTCAAGTAATCCTCCTGCCTTAGCCTCCCAAAGTGCTAGGATTACAGGCATGAGCCACCACGCCTGGTGATACATAGGTTTTAAGTAAATGAAATTGTAGTGCATATATAGCTATGTATAGTTTTTTATTTAGGATTATTTCATACAAATTTTTTCATGATTTCACAGTTTCATCAACATTTCTTCCACTGAGGCCAAGGGCAGTGGCGTGTCACGCCTGTAATCCCAGCACTTTGGGAGGCCGAGGTGGGTGGATCACTTGAGGCCAGGAGTTCAAGACCAGCCTGGGCAACATGGCAAAACCCTATCTCTACAAAAAATACAAAAAATTACTCAAGTGTGGTGGTGCATGCCCGTAATTCCAGCTACTCTGGAGGCTGAGGTAGGAGGATCGCTTGAGCCTAGGAGGCGGAGGTTGCAGTGAGCAGAGATTGCCCCACTACACTGTAGCCTGGGTGATAAAGCCTGACCTTGTCTCGGAAAAAAAAAAAAAAAAATCTTCCACTACACATTTTAATTATTTGAACCTTTTACTTTCTCTTTAGAGATCTATTTTTCTTCCCAGTTTTTGGACATGGTAAATAATACATCTATTTTTCTCCCCAGTTTTTGGCCATTATAAATTATAATATAAATATGGTCTTTCCCTGTTTGACTGGGAACTTTAAAGATTTTTGGAACATATTGCCAAAATGCTTTCCAGAAAATCTATTCCCTTGCCAGTGTTAAGTATTATTATTTTTGAAATATGTAGTAAAGTGATAGATCAAACTGAGTATCTTACTCTAATTTCCATTTCCACACTACTAGTAATACTGACCGCTTAAACAAGGTTTTAAATGGCTATTGTTATTTTTTCTTCTTAAAATTGTCAGTGCCCTTTGCCAATCTTTCTATTGAGAAAATAATTTTCTTTTTGATTATATTAGTGCTTTATAAGTGAAGGTTATTAAGAAGAATATATTCTTACTTTTTCTTTGCCTTTAGTTTTTTTTACATGAAGAGGAATTTAACTTTTATGTGCCGAAAACTTTAATTTTTTTCTTAATATTTTAATGGCTCTATTTCTCAAATGTGAGAAAGATAAATATTCATCTAAATTTTATTTTAGTTTTAAAAATTATTGTTGTATTTTCTACAATTACTTCTTAAATCATTCTGGAATTTATTTTGGTTTATGGTGTAAGGTAGGATCACACACATATCATCGAGAGAAGCTCCCAAACTAAGGCAACATTCCATGACTAGAAAGTGTGTTTCATTCTCTGTAAGAATGAACAGGACCAAACATAATCTCAAGAAGCTTTTCATTTACTTGAGATGACTGAGATCAGGCTAAAATGTCATGTTTCTTTGCATTTTACTATAATTATATTGAGTCCAGGAGCTAAAACTAGTTATACTGATCTGTAAAAGCAAATCCATTATTATTCAAATGCAAATTGTCTACTAGACAAACTTGCAAAATCTGAAACACGTGGGAGAAAATAATACAAGTGTCCTTGATACTTATTCATTTGATGAATATATATTTTTTATTTTTATTTTTTGAGACAGAGTTTCACTCTTGTTGCCCAGGCTGGAGTGCAATGGTACAATCTCGGCTCACTGCAACCTCCGCCTCCCAGGTTCAAGCAATTCTCCTGCCTCAGCCTCCTGAGTAGCTGGGATTATAGGCATGCACCACCACTCCCAGCTAATTTTTTGTATTTTCAGTAGAGACGGGGTTTCTCCATGTTGGTCAGGCTGGTCTCAAACTCCCAACCTTAGGTGATTCGCCCACCTCGGCCTCCCAAAATACTGGGATTACAGGCATGAGCCACCACGCCTGGCCTGATGCATATTTATTGAGCACCTATGTCTACAAAGAACTGTACTAGATTGTGAAATTACTGGAATCACAATTTCTGTGTTTGAGGACACAGCACCACGTCTTACACTGTATGGACAAATGTTGTCAATTTAATATGTTTCATATGTTTGCAAGAAGCAATTATTTTAAAAGATAGTTGATTCAGAAATGCCTTAACATGGGACATAGCAATGTTATGAGGGAATGCAATGGCAGAAGTTTCTGGTGAACCCTCAGGACTACTTAAAAGGGAGAGAAGAATGATGTTTTGTCTTGGCTTACCCAAGAATGACACTAGTTTTTGGTATTACAGTCATTAGAAAGTTATACTATATAGTGCGTTGGCAATAATATCCCAGGCTTCAAAAATTCTACAAAATGATCACATTCCCTTTGGTATTACCCACCTATGCGTCTCAGTAGTCTAGGTTCTTTTTCTGAGATTAAATTAGAACACATTATCTGGACCCACTCTGGAACTGTCTTTATTGAATTATGCCCGAGGCTTATGCCCTTGGCATTTACTAAGGGATATTACATAGTCTTATGAATTATGAAGTTCATTGCTTCATTTGTCATAGAAATAAGGACATTGTCTAACATATCACTTGCTGTCCCTCCTGTGACAGTCTATCCAAAAACTTTTCCTTCTTTCTTTCTTCCTCCCTTCCATCCTCCCTTTCTCACTGCTTTTCTTCTTTCCTTCCTTCCTTCCTCCCTCCCTTCCTTGCTTTTTTCCTTCCTGTCTACCTTCTTTTTCTTTCTTTTTTAAGCTTCTGATGCCAGTAAACCTATATTAAGTTCTAATGACATTAGCTACACAGAACCATGCCCCTTCCCCCATCTTGATGTTCTAATTTATTTTATAATTCCTTAGTTCTAATTTATTTTCACTTGTGTTATTTTTTTTCCTAATTTTTTTGTAATTGGTCATTTGCTTTGATTCCATTTTTGCCAAACAATATTCTAATAAATTATTACTTCCTAGGTACCTTGATGTCAGGAAGAATAGCAATGGCAGAAAATGTTTCATCTTGCATGCCAGCACAGACCAATGGCAATGGATGTCTGAATCACTGGGTTAACAAGGAAAAGAATGCTGTGCTTAAGTAGCAATGTCTGCTCTGAGCATGGCAGGAGAAATTATTGGCACCTCTGTCAGATATTTGATATCTATTTCTTAAATAGAATACATACATATTCTAAGAACAAGAAAAGCATAAACAAATTAATAAATTACTTTCTGACTTCTAAACCAGTAACTTGTGAGTTTCATTAACCCACATCCATTCCCCAAAGCATGAATATACCTATGTGAAATGAAAAACCTGAGTTTTTACACCTCACATCGAAATGAGATCTTTTTCCTAAATCTTACTAGCCCTGGCCTCAGGAGTAGGTAAAATAGGCTCTAGAAGGGGAGATTTAAGGAGCCTGGTTGTGAAATCTCCCACTGTCTATTGAAGATCAGAAAGTTTGCAATTAGAGATCCATTTCTTTAGATTTTAAAAGTTAGCTCTTCATGAATCCTTTACTAAAAGAAACATAGTCCTAGATGGGTAATAATTTAGCTCTTACTGGCTAATTGGTTGACTACTAGTTAAAAGAAGATGGGAGAGTGGGGATGGGGGATAGGATGAGGATATGAACAGTCCTAAGGAGGGATGGCAGAGCCAGATTTTGCTTATTTCACAGTCTTGTCTGGGCTTCAAGCAACAAGTAAACTTACAAATGCATCATTGTTGGCCATAAATAATGAGGCATGTGGCAGTTCTCTGACAAGGCGTAGAAAGGAACATGCAGACAACCATTAATGACACAAATAAAACACCTCCTCATATGCAGATGGAGAATTCTTAATTTTTTGGTAAATAATTTGTTACTCAACTCCTCTCAAATCCAATAGACATGTTTCTGAGAAGAGCTTATTTTTTAAATAGGCAGATTAGGAAAAAAGGTACTCCCCCCTCATTCTTCATTCATTGCATTCTGTGAATCAATAAGTATTTCTCTTCTGTGCTTACAGGGTTCTAGCATGGTAGAGTGCTACACAGGAGGTGAAAGTAATGGAAGACGCAGTTCCTGCCTCTGCAGAGGTTATATCTGGGCTGGGAGATGAGTGATATGTACTTGAAACAACAGGTGAAAAATACCTGCCTGGATAAAATCAAGCATGAGGGTATTTGGTTCAGACTGCAAACACTATTGAATTCAGAGACAAGAAAGATCATAGAAGGAGAGAAATCAAAGAACATTCACTTTGAAAGGGATTACAAGAAGCCGTTTTTCCTGTCTCAGGTGTCTGTGGTAAACTGTGGCTGTTATCACCCTGGGAAATCCCTGAAATCAAGACTGTGTGATATTCCACACCTGCCCTGGACAAAATTCCACTCCAAGAATATCCTATTAACCACCTAGAGAAGGAATTCAACCATGGCCTCTTTAAAGTTTTATTTTAGATCACTCACAGGCCAGGCACAGTGGCTCAGGCCTGTAATCCAAGCACTTTGGGAGGCCGAGGTGGGCAAATCACCTGAGGTCAGGAGTTTGAGACCAGCCTGGCCAACATGGTGAAACCCCGTCTCTACTAAAAATACAAAAAATTAGCTGAGTGTGGTGGTGCATCCCTGTAATCCCAGCTACCTCGGAGGCTGAGGAAGGAGATTGCTTGAACCCAGGCGGCAGAGGTTGCAGTGAACCGAAATTGCGCCACTGCATTCCATCCTAGGTGACAGAGTGAGACTTTGACTCAAAAAAAAAAAAAGGAAGAAAGGAAGGCAGGAAGGAAGGAAGGAAAGAAAAAGAAAGAAAGAAAGAAAGAGAGAGAGAGAGAGAGAAAGAAAGAAAGAAAGAAAGAAAGAAAGAAAGAAAGAAAGAAAGAAAGAAAGAAAGAAAAAACAATTCCTATTCTTGGTGTGTAAGTTCTCTAAGGTGCTGAACCTTCACTATTCTGGTCTTCACCATTCTGAAAAAGTGTTAAGCATAAGGATATGGGTATGGGCATAGCAGGTACGGATCTCAATTCACAAAGCCATGTTCATTTTTGTTCAAATTTAGAAAACTATTGATATAATGCCATAATCTAAGATGCAGGTGACCATTAATGACAAAAATATAACACCTCATCATACGCAGATGGAGAATTCTTAATTTTTTGGCAAACAATTTGTTTACAGAATATACATATTTGTTTACCAAATATAAATATGTATATATATTTGAATGTATAGGCCAGCTGTTTGAAAGAATGTCTCTCCATTTGAATTTTACCAATTGTTTCTTCAAAATTAGTCATTTTATGTTTTATGACTCAATTTCTATTTATTTATTTATTTATTTTAGAGACAAGGTCTTGCTGTGTTGCCATGACCTGCTCCATTTCTGACCTGGTCCAGTTCACTCATCCTTAAGCAACCTAGTGGTCCTCTTCTCCTGGAGGTCACCATATTGATGCTGAACTTAGTGCAGACACCCAGTCAGCATAGCACACTGCAGCCCAGAACTCCTGGCCTCAAGCGATCCTCCTGCCTCAGCCTCCCAAGTAGCTGGGACTACAGGTGCTCACCACCATTCCTGGCTATGACTCAATTTCTATTTGATGCCCCCCATCAGGGAAATTGCTTTGGTAGGGCATCTGAGGTGACCATTTTGGGTTCACGCTTGAAGGGTAACCCTATCGTGAGGCACCGTACTTCACTTGTGTTTCCTAAGAATTACTGAAATAACATTTCAAAATTTTTGTCTTTCACATTATTCTAAAGAGCCTATGAAAGGTGCTAACAACATAGCCTCCTTTCAAATGCACCATCTTGGTTTCTCCACTTTCCCTCAGTTCATGGTTGAGTTCTGGAAGCTTCCCATTGCTACATTGTCAGGGCGTTTGGTGTGAGGAGGATAATCTTTTCTATGAATTTATCTCTTCATTCAGGTATCAATGAACATGTCATCATCATGATTGGGCATTGGTTCATGCAGGCCACTTTGAAGATTGTTCACTTGGCCTATTCTGGACAGCATATCCCTACTTTCCAACCATTCCCACACCTGGAGAGTAGGAAAGTCAATTAGTGATTCTAAAACCCTGACTGCCTAAAGCAGCAGTCTTACTGCTTTGCTGTCTCCCTAGAGCCCGAAGGAAGCAGAGCTTTTTTCTATATAAATTACTAACATGTCTATGTAGTTATTACTTATCCTCCTCCCCTGCTTTCCAACCCCTTAGACCAGAAAATCCTTTTCTAGTCTTGAGCCAGGAAAGTTTTCTACTTGCCTAAATCTTTTATGTAGACTGGTGGTTCTCCAAGTGTGGTTCTGGGGCCAGCAGGATCAGCACCACCTAGGAATTTGTTAGGAATGCAAATTCTCCCCACCCCAGCCCCACTGAATCAAACATTCACAGAGTAGGATCTAGTGATATTTGTTTCAATAAGCTCTCCAGGGGATTCTGAGGCAACACAAAATTTGAGACCCACTGATCTATGCCTTGAGTTATTTTCTTCCCCCACTACACTGGTTCTTAAATTTTAACATACATCAGAATCACCGGGAGGGCTTGTTAAACTCGGTTGTGGGGCCCCCACCCTCAAAATGTTTGGTCCAGCAGGTCTAAGGAGAGGCCCGAGAATTTGCAATTCTAACAAGTCCCCCGGTGATGACTATATTTTAGAAAACCATTTTCCCAGAGATTTCAGGTCCATAACAGTCCATTTTCTTCCTTCCATGGCTCCTGATAGGATTCATCTGATTCTTATTGCTAAATCAATAGAACATATTTTCTAAGAATATGTTTATATATAGTTACTTGCAATCCAGAGCCATCTGTCACCAATTTGACTTGGGCATATACTAATGTTTCCAAAAACCAAAGTTTGATGTTAGGCCAGCAGTTCTTGAGCTTTTTCATCCCAAGTCCCTTCCCCAATTAAATGGCTCCATAGCTAGTGCATCTGTAGGACATCCCAGAAGATTCAGAAAGAGGAGAAGAGCCCACTGTTCACTTTGCAAGCTCAGTTTTATAAATAGCAGGTCAGAGTCCCATTGGTCTCTACCTAGAACCCAGAGGGGAGAAGACACTGAGGAAAATATGGCCCTTGAGGACATACAGAGGAGTCAGGGAAAAGGGGATGGGCAGGGAGGTCAGCAGCAAATGAGTGAGCACATGCTTTGAGAATCAAATACTGCTTCCTTGGGGTGAAGACTTTTTGTCATGGTTTGGGGCAGAAGGCAAAAGCACTTTAACTCCATAAATTATTGAAGTTTAATTTTTGGTGTCAATATCCCTAGATTTAAGGAAAATAAAAAGTGGCCACTACTTCTCCTTTCTGCTTAGTTATATTTAAATTTATTTCCTTGCCTACTGCATCATCGGGGGCCCTAAAGCCCTTGGTTTTATCTATTTTTTGTTTTCTGCCTGGCCTCCTGAAGAGATGCAATGTCTCCTCCTTTCCTTTCCTTTCCTTTCCTTTCCTTTCCTTTCCTTTCCTTTCCTTTCTTCCCTTTCCTTTCCTTTCCTTTCTTCCCTTTCCTTTCCTTTCCTTTCTTCTTTCTCTTTCCTTCCTTCCTTCTTTCTTTTCTTTTCTTTTCTTTCCCTCCCTCCCTCCTTCCTTCCTTCCTTCCTTCCTGCCTTCCTTCCTTCCTTCCTTCCTTCCTTTCGCTAAATTGCCACAGTACAATTACTTTAAGTCTGCGGGGCACAGCTACCCTCTCAACTAGGCAACAAGCTACTCCAGATAATGGCTTATTCTATACTTGGTCTTTTTTTTAAAAAAAAAAATGAAATTCTATTTTGTTAAGTGACCCACATGGGTCTGCATGAAAGTACCTACCAAAGAACATGCTGAATATTAGTTACCATAATTATTTGGATAGTTCAGCATCCTTTATTAGTACTTACAAGCATTGCTATTATTAGGGTGGTCCTGAGGGCTCCCAGAACATAAATAGGACTATTTCACTTAAGACAAAGTTGCAAAGACTTTTCTGCTGAAACAACAGAGCACTCCTATTGCCACTATAGAGATAGGTGAAGATTTCTTTCCTTCTGTTTGTGTTCCAGTACAATGGGATTCCTTGTGTTCTTTAAATATTTGCCATAAGTTTTTTTACTCTCATCTTTTCCCTCTCCTCAGCACTAATCACGGAATCTTATTTTTCATGGGCACTCAATAAATATTTTTTGAGTTGAATTAAATTAAAACAGAAACTTCCAATTAAAGATAGGAAAGAAGGCTTTTTTGTTCTACTCTTCTCTGTCAAACCAGTAATAACAAAACAATAATGAACCACAGAGAAGAAAATGAAATAAGGAAGGCACGATGCCAGGGAATGATAGTTTATGAAGAATGCTATCAAATGTAGTAATATGTAGACCAAACACAGGGAGCAGAGCAAGAGTGGACACATATCTTAACATATACCTTAACAGTTCCTGGAGGGGCAGACAGATTTCCTTAGAGTGTTTGCCTATACTGAGGGCCAACCATTACTTGCTGACTTGTATCGGTAGGTCTGCAGGGCGTGGAGATTGGTGTGAGAATATCCCAAGCCTGGTTTATCACCCTAGAGCAGCAGGAGAGGAGGAGCTGGATGATCATCTGATTAGACCTGCCATTTCTGGAAGAATGGGTGTCAGTTTGATGGAGTAGATGAGAGGAGGCAAGTGACAATTAGCTTAGTGCTGATGATAATTGAGAAAGAAAAATAATCAGCAGTAGTCATCATTTAATCACCATTAAAGAAAGCCATGGCATACAGGAGACAAGTGGACTTTCTGCTTATCCCGAAGGGGGCTCCAGAATACAGAATTTGAGACATGCATTTGGTAAGATTTGAGAAAGTCCTAAGCCCAGGCTACTTTCTGTCTCTACTCACTTCATGGAGCCTTCCCACACAACCTTTTATAAACAACTGCTGCAGAAAAGCCCTGGCCGCATTCAGAGTTGAGTAGTAATCAAAAGCAACCATAAAGAAAAAAGGTACATAATGAGCAAAAATCAGATAAAAAATATTCACAAAACAGAAACATGCTACAGTAGATGTGTTTCCCTTCTGATATCAAATAAGTTAAGGAGGACAGGGTCCCTAGAAATAAGAAGTTAAAGAGGAAATAATGGTGTTCAAATATAAGGTGAAAAACTATTAAAGGAGATGACAAATGAGCAGACATAGCTTTGGAAAGAATGGGTGAGAAAAATGAAACCACTGTAGATACAGAAGCCACAAGAGAAGCAGCAAAAGGAATCTGTAATAAGGGAAAGGAAGACAGGATATAGACAAATAGAAAAAAATGTGCAAGAATATAGTTAAGGAGGATTTGAGACAAAAAGGAACCTACAGAAGACAACGGAGGGCTACTTGCTACACCAGAAGGAAGGAAGAGACTTAATAGAAAGGAGAAATGTGCTAAAGGTGTCATAGAAACAGCTTTGGAGAATGATGAAGACCTGAATATCTTCACTTCACCTCCTTCAGGTTTTTACTCAAGTTTTATCCTATCAGTAATTCTTTCCTTAATGGCCTGATTTAAAATGTCCATCTCACTCACCTGGGTTCTATTTTCCTTCCCTACTTTATTTTTCTCAATGCAATATCTGAAAGAAAGTTATACTGACTGGGATGAATAGCAGCTTAGACACCACAGAAAAAATATCAGTGATCTTTGAAGACATAACATTAGAAACTAAGTAAAATAAAACACAAAAGGAGGAAAACCTGGGGAAATAAGGAGCAGGATATCAGTGTTGTGAGATGATATCTAGAAGTCTAACGTGTGTTATGTGAGCCCTGGCAGGTGGAGGGAGAGAGAAAAGAAATTCAAGAAATAATGGCTGGAAAATGTCTAAGTGATGAATACTCTAAACTTGCAAAACAACAAGCCTAATGAACCACAAACAAAGGGAAAAAGAATACCACACCAAGGCACATGATAATCAAATTGCTGGAAACCAGTGATAAGCAGAAAATCTTAAAAGCAAGTGCAGAGTATGGGGCCACAACACACAGAGAAGAACAACAGTAACAACAAAAAAGGCAGGCAGCAGACTTCCTGTCGAAGCTAGAAGGTAATGAAGTGAAGTCTTTAAAATACTGAAAGAAAAAAGCATCATCCTGGAAGTCTACAACCTACAAAAGTATCTTTCAAAATGTAGGCTAAAGAGAGACTTTTTAAAAAGGGAAACAAAACAGAGAGAATTTATTGCCAGCAGACCTATGCTACAAAAAAAAAAAAAAAAAATGTTAAAAGAAGTTCCTCAGGCAGAAGGAATGTGATACTAAAAGAAATTTGGATCTACACTAAAGAATAGAGATTGTTGAAAATAGTAAATATGTAGGTAAGCAGATACATTTTCCTCACTTTTAAAGTCTCTTCAAAAGATAATTGTTTAAGGAAAAGTATAATAAGCATGTGTTGTTAGGTTTATAACATGTAGAATTAAAACAGGTGACAACAATAGCACAAAGGATGGGAGGGCAGAAATGGGAGTACACCATTGTAAGGTTCTTAAAATATATGGGAAGTGCTATAAAACTATTCGAAGGTAGACTGTGATAAAATGGATACACAGTTGGCCCTCTGTATCAGTGGGTTCTGCATCCATGGATTCAACCAACTGTGAATTGAAAGTATTTGAAAAACAAATGGATGGTTGCATCTGTACTGAGCATGTACAGATCTTTTTTTGGTCATAATTCCCTCAACAATACAGTGTAACATCTGCTTATATAGCATTTACCTTGTAGTAGGTATTACACGTAATCTAGACATAATTTAAAGTATATGGGAGGATGTGTGCCAATATTATATGCCAATAATATATTATTTTATATAAGGAACTTGAGCATCCATGAATTTTGGTGTCTGTGAGGGGTCCTGGAACTAATCCCCCATAGATACCAAGGGACAATTCAATTGTATATTATAAATCACAGAGCAATAACTACAAAAGAAAAAGAGAAAAATTTAATAAGCCAATAGTGAATAAAATGGAATTATAAAAAAATTTTTTAAGAAGAGTAAGAAGAAAAAACGAACAAAGGAGAGATGGGATGAAATAGAAAACAAATAGCAAAAAGATATATTTAAACCTAACCATATTTATAATTGCACTACATGTAAATGGCAGAAAATGTTTATATAATAAACCCACCTTACATATAAAGATATGAATAGGTCAAAAGTAAAAAGATAAAAAATGCTAATCTAAAGGATGCTGAACTGGCTATGTTAGTATCAGACAATAGGGATTTCACAGCAAGAGATATAACCAGGAGTAAATAATGCCCTTCAATTTTTTGCATGCTTTGCTTAATTTTTAGAGTTTGAAATGGTTGTTGGACAATTTTCTCTAGTTTTGTCATTGGTTTTTGAGGAGAATATTTGCTGAGCTTCTCACGCAGTTCCTCTGGAAGTTTCACCCCCTACCTGGAGTGTCATAAGAATGATTACTGAGTTTCTTAAATAGCTTTTCAGTACTTTTGATATATCACATATTTTTCTTTTGCTGTCCTAATGAATTACCTGGATAGACTTCCTAATGTACAATTACCTCTGCATTCTTTGAATAAATCCTAATTATTCATGCTGTTTTTAAAGGCAAATGCTTATTCTTTCATTGATTCATTCAATAAATATTTGAGTGGCTACCAAAAATTATTTAATGAATTAATTTCTTTTGTTCCATGCCAGTTTCCATTTGCTAATTTTTAAAAACAATTGTTGCATCCAAACACATAAATGAAATTACAGTTATCTGTTTCTGTACTTTCTTTAAAAAGTTTAATACAACTTTTTTTTGTATTAAAGTTGTACTGGTTTTGTAAAATGAGTCAAGAGCTTCTGTATTTTTTTCTGACTTAGAATCATTTGAATAACATAGGAACTAGCTGTTCTTTAAAGGTTAGATTTCAGCTATGAAGCCAGTAGGTAACATTTTTAGTGAAAGGTCTTTTTAACCTTTCTAGTGTCTTCTGTGGTAATTGGCCTATTCAAAGTTTTTCATGTCTTTTTCTTGGGTCAATTTTGGTCATTCACATTTTACTAAGAAATTATTCATTTCTTCTAGATTCACAAATTTGTTGCCATGGAGTTGCATATAATTCCGTCTTGTAATTAAAAAAAATTCTCCTGTATTGTAGTTTGTCTCTTTTCTCACTCCCGATCCTCTACGTTTTTATTTTTTCTTTTATCTCCTAAAATAAGTTTGTGATAGGTTATGTATTTTATTGGGTCCTTTGAAATACCAGCATTTGGATTAATTTATCATCTGCTAATTTTTGTTGCTCATTTGGTTAAATTCAAGTTTTGTTTCTATGAATTCTCTCTTCCTAAAGCGGCTTTCCATTTTTCATTAATTTACTGGACAGGTACCAAGTTTCTTCATCTTTTATTTATTTATTTATTTATTTAAATTAAATTAAATTAATGAGGTTTTTGTTTGTTTTGTTTTGTTCTTTGGGTTTTTTTTTGGGTGGGGGGAGGGTGGCAGGGTCCCGTTTTGTCTCCCAGGCTGGAGTGCAGTGGTGCAATCACAGCTCACTGCAGCCACAACCTCCTGGCCTCAAGTGATCCTCCCACCTCAGCCTCCTGAGTAGCTGGGATTACAGGCATAGGCCACCATGCCCGGCTAATTTTTGTGTTTTTGTAGAGACTGGGTTTCACCACGGGGTCCAGTCTTTTACATTTGAAATCTTAATGGCATTATGACTATTTTTTCAGATCTCTGAGTATATCTTTGGCTGTCTCTCATAAGTTCATCTATGAAGTGTTCCTTTTATTTGCTTCTATAGCATGTATAATTTTAGCTTTGAAATTTTCTTGATCTAATGGCTATTTGGAAATGTCTTTCTTAATTTCTAAATAGTTAATGCTTTTTATTTTTGGTCAACATTTTATTATTTATTCTTAATATAATTGGGTTATTTTATAGCCTCAATTTATAAAGTCTACTATATGTATATACACATATATGTGTGTATGTGCATGCATATATATACATATATATGATTGATTTTGATAAATATTTTATGGTCATATGAAAATTGTATATTTTACACAAGGCAAATACCAAACAAACAAAAAGGGAAAAGGGAGTGATAATATTAAAATTAGGCAAAGTTGGAAAGTACTAAAAGTACCAAAGTTATTCTAAATATTTTATTACTTTTTATTTTTGATATATTAGTTAATCTGTTTTTCTCCTTGTTTTTATTTGAGTACAGTATTCTTTGATTCTGAAAGAAATATAGAGACATCTCACACTTTAGTTGAATTTAAAATAGCTTCCTAATTGGTTTGCTTTGTGTATATTTAGCTCCCGTGCTGTTTGGTTTAAGTAAGTTTATGACTGTTAGAACTTCTTCACAATGTTGTGCTTTTTTATTATCATATTATGCTCCCTTGTGTCCTTTGAGTACTTTTAACCTTACTTTCCACCTTGCTTAATTTTAATATGACCACTCCTTTTTTTGTTTGTTGTTTAGTGTTTGTCCTGTATCTCTTTGCTAATGCCTTTATTTTCAACCTCTTGAAGTCACTTTGTTTGGAATGTTCTTACCATGTGTGGGATACTCCTAAGGCTTTTAGTTATTTTGTTGTGACAGTCATTGTCTCTTATAAACGTTTGATTGCAGCATATTATATACATAGAAAAGGGCACAATTCATAAGTGTACAAATAGTTCACTGAATTTTTACAAAGTAAACACATCTTTGTAACCACTACCCAGATCAAACCATAGAACCATAGAACCCTTCCTCATGCGCTTCCCAGCCCCTGTCCCCCTCCTCACAAGTTAACCATTATTCTAACTTCTATAACCATAAGTTAGTTTTGCCTCTGTTAAAGGTTATATGAATGAAATCATATAGTACATTCTCCTTTGAGTTTGGTTTCTTTGGCTTAACATTGTGTTTGTGTGTTTTATCCATATATTTGTGTGTGGTAGTAATTTATTATTTTTTATTGTTGTATAATATTCCATAATATAAATATGCTAACATTTCTTTATCCATCCTGTTATTGATCGTTGATAAATGTTGATATTATTTTCACTTTTCTCAGTTGTAAATTGTTACTGTGATAATTTTTATACATGCATTTTTGTGCACATATGTAGGCTTGATCCATAATTTTTATTTATAGATATGTATGTCACAGAGATACACAAAAATTCATAGAGCTATATACCTATTATATATGTTTTTCTGTATGTATATTATACTTCAATAAAATGTTTATTTAATAAAAGATACAAGAGAGATAATGAAAATTAAACACAAAATTAAAAAGCAGAAATAACATCAGCCTCAACAAAGATTTTTAAAAATAATAAAAGAGAATTATAATATTTGAAAACTTATATATAATAGACAAATGCCTAGAAAAAGGAAGCTGTCAAAATTGGCATAAGAAGAAATGGAAAATTTAAATAGGCCAGAAAATACCAATAATTACTAACTGAAATGGTATCTGAAAGACAAGCCATCACATGAAATCCCAGGCACAGATGGTTTTACACATTAGTATTACCAGTATTTCAAGAAACAATCAATTTCTATCTTATAGAAGTAAGCATAGAACACAGGAAATGAATTGCCCAGATCGTTCTGTGAGGCAAGTGTAATTTTGACATATAAGTAGATAGAAAGAACACAAAAAACATACACAAAAGAAAATAATAGGTATATTTTACTTATGGTCATAGAGAAAAAAAATCCTTAATAAAAGATTAGTTATCCTTTACATCCCTGGAATGAAAGGATGGTTTAACAAAACGTTTCTAGCCACATAATTCATCACATAACTAGTCTAATGTAAAAATAAATGATCTCAGTTGATGTGGAAAAAACATTTGATAAAACATAAATAAGTCAATACCTATTTAGGATAAGCCTATCAATATAGAAGGAACTGAAGGGACTCTTTAACATAGTAGAGTTCTATACTGTACTTATGGAAAAACTCAATGTGCAGTCCCTTTAAGATTGGGAATAAAAAAAAGATACCCACTGTCACTGCTACTGTTAAAATAACATTGGCAGTTTCCCAAGCAATATGAAAAGGGAAAAAAAGAGGTCAACTATAGAAAGGGAAAAATACAAAACCCTCATCATTTGCATCTTGGTAGTGAGAAAGGACTTCCTAAAAAAATTCAGGAGCACAAATCACAAGAAAAAATAAAATAAAAATAAACGGGTGAATCCAATTTTATCAAAAGATTGCTATTCAGTATGGAATAACACGGAAAAACTTAACAGACAGATGATAGTTTGGCAGAAAATATTTTCACTGTCTAATGTCAATAAAAGACCTATACAATAAAAGACCTATACCTAGCATTTACAAGAAGTTCTTGTAAAATCAGCAAGAAAAAGTAATACTAGTTGAAAAAACAGGCAAAAGCCATGAACAGGCAATTTAGAGAAGAGGAAACCTAAGTTATGGCACATAAAAGGTGCTCAAATTCATTAGCTATCAAAAACATCCCACCTCTTTAAGTGACAAAACTCAGAAAGTTGGAAAATGCCTAATGTTCACTTGGATCAAATTGCTTGGATATTTGTATTGAGGGGTGCAGATATTGGCTCCCTTATGCACTACTGGTAAGAACATAGGCTGTAGGCCTTCTGGAGAGCTATTTGACAGTACATTTTCAGATTAAATACACAAGATTACCCAGCAATCCCACTGATATATGTTGCAAAATAATTCTCACACATGACTACAATAATGGGATGCCTACTGTTTGTGAGTGGGAGCCAATCTAACCTGGTGTCCATCCCAAAGGAGGAATTGTCAAAAGGCAGTGGATGCACCAGACAGTACTATGCGGCAGTGAGAAGACATGGACTAGATGAAAAATGCTACTTAGATGGATCTTCATGACACCATGTGTAGAAAGCAAGAAGCAAAATGTGATTTATTACACAATATCATTTATATAAACTAAAAATATAGAAAACATCAATATAAAATTTATAGTAACACCTACAAACAAAATGGTAGGCTGCTTACAGTAGGTGAGGAAATGCAGGTGGGGAATTTGGATAAAAGGAAATAAACAAGATAACCAACCAACATACAAGAGAGGGATCTTATGTGGATCAAAGATGCTGATGCTCCACAAACTAAGGAATATGACTGACACGATTCTGCCTCTGGGTTCCCCTTCCCATACAACAGCAGCAATAATAACAAACAATGAGAGGCTGAAAACTGGCAGGGATGCCAGATCAAGTATGATTACAAAGGCTGTGGTCAGGAGTTTGGCTGTCATTCTTCACGTTGTGGGAAAAAAATCACTGGAGGGTTTTAAGGGGTAAGTGACAACTCTTTCTAAAGACCACCAGGCTACGTGTGATGAGGCGGGAGAGGAAGTAGTGAGGCCTATTAGGAGACTTGCAGAAGCTCATGTGGGAGATGAAGACGGCCCAGTTTAGGGTAGCAACAACAGAGATGGAGGGCAGTGGGCAGATACTGGTTATATTTTCAAGAGAAACATGATAAAAGCTGCTGAGAAATTAAATGTGGGCAGGAGAGCAATGAAAGATGACACTGAAGCTTTTGTCTTTGGCAAGCGGGTGGTGCCAATGACCGAGATTGGAAAGATGAGGATGAAAGGGGAAACCAAAACTTCTAATTTGGATTTACTTAGCAGGTTATGTTTGATATGTCTGCTAGACATTCAAGTGGAGATATCAGAGGGACAGCTGGATATATGGTCTGAATTCAGGGAAGATACACATTTGGAAGTTGAATCAGTATATAGAGGTTAAATAACTGACTCCAATATTCAGTATTTATGTCACCTTGGCCAAGTTACATGATTTCTGGGTCTTTATTTATTTACAAAATGGCAATGATATTATCTCTTTCCCAGGGCTGTTATGAATATTAAATCGGATAATGCATCTAAAGAACTTGGCGCAGGGCCTGGCACAAAATAAGTGCCTAATAAAGGCTTCTGTGGCTGGAGAATAGTGAAGGGGAAGACAATATCAGATGAAGGAGGTTGACAGTCAGGAGATCATGCCAGAATTTCGAGGCCGTGGTAAATAGCTTGCAATAAGTGGCCATTAGTGGGTTTTATGCAGGGAGTGGCATAATCTGGCATTACTAATAGTATTAGCAGATCATTTAAGTATTAACATTTGACACTGTTTTATCAGACTATAGATAAGTGGGTTGTCATAAACAACCAATAAACAAAGAAATACATTTTTAAAAACTCTGATTCTATGAGAATACACTTTGTAAATTATAGCAAATGGAAGCATTTTTATCTGAAAGGCAATAGTATAGTCTCAACAATTCTTGAATCTACAGTACTATCAAGGGCTTCTCTGCCAGTTTGTGCATAGTTCTATTTTGTACATTGACTCCATTCTTGAGTAGTAAGCAACTGGAGCCATAGGGACAGCTGGCATTTTGTAGCTAAGCAGAGTTCCAACCCCATAAAGTGAAGCATCAGTACTTTATACTTACTGAAGTGCATTAACACAGATGCTAAAGTCAGACATTGCCCAACGTTTCAAAAAATATCTTCTTTCTGATGCATCCAATTTCTTACCTGTATCCAGTAGGTGATTTGGTATATCAGAAAAGACTGACTTTCATAGAAGAAGAATTATATAAGTATCTGACTGCTACACAAAAACTTGAGGTTGTTTAATTTTTGGACTAGGTGTGCTGAGAATTGCCTATACCTTACCTTAAATGTGGTGAATAAATAACAGTAGTCCAGATACAGTAGCCTGAGCAGAGGATGCTGGTGGTTCTGAATTGACATTACTGTTTATTTACAGACTTGATGTAACTAGTGAGAATGGGCTCCATAATTCTTTCAGCTGTTCATCCTTTATTAAGCCCCTAAGTGGGAAAATTATGGTATCACATCTGGAATACTAGAAAGAAAGTTTATCATGAAGAATTGAAATATCTCAGTGGCAACAGAAATGGGAATGCCCTTTGATCAGTTTTCTAGTTAACTATTGCTTCCTGACAAAGTATCCTGAGAATGAAATGTTTTAAAACAGTATCTTCTTATTATATCTCATGATTCTGTGGGTCAGGATTTGAGTTAGGGCTCAGCTGGCTAATTCTACTGCCCCCTGTGGTCTTGTCTGGATTGATTCAGTAATACTAATTCAGTGAGTTGTCTGGTCTGTAGGATCTAAGACATTTCTACTCACATATCTGTTGTCTTTTGGAGGGTGCCAGGAAGCTGGGCTCAGTTGGCCCCCTCTCCTACTCTATGAAGTTTCAGAGCCTCTCCATGTGGTGTTCAAGCTAGGTAATGGGCGTTCTTATAAGGCATCCCAGGGCTTTGAGAGACCAGTGTCAAGCTGCTAGTCTCTTAAAGGCGAGGCCTGGAAATGGAATAGTTCCATTTCCACTTCATTCTAGTGGTCAAAGTGGTCACAGCTCTGCACAAAGTGGACCTAATAGACATCTACAGAACTCTCCACCCCAAATCAACAGAATATACATTCTTCTCAGCACCACACCGCACTTATTCCAAAATTGACCACATAGTTGGAAGTAAAGCACTCCTCAGCAAATGTAAAAGAAGAGAAATTATAACAAACTGTCTCTCAGACCACAGTGCAATCAAACTAGAACTCAGGATTAAGAAACTCACTCAAAACTGCTCAACTATATGGAAACTGAACAACCTGCTCCTGAATGACTACTGGGTACATAACGAAATGAAGGCAGAAATAAACATGTTCTTTGAAACCAATGAGAACAAAGACACAACATACCAGAATCTCTGGGACACATTCAAAGCAGTATGTAGAGGGAAATTTATAGCACTAAATGCCCGCAAGAGAAAGCAGGAAAGATCTAAAATTGACACCCTAACATCACAATTAAAACAACTAGAGAAGCAAGAGCAAACACATTCAAAAGCTAGCAGAAGGCAAGAAATAACGAAGATCAGAGCAGAACTGAAGGAAATAGGGACACAAAAAACCCTTCAAAAAATCCATGAATCCAGGAGCTGGATTTTTGAAAAGATCAACAAAATTGATAGACCACTAGCAAGACTAATAAAGAAGAAAAGAGAGAAGAATGAAATAGACACAATAAAAAATCATAAAGGGGATATCATCACCGATCCCACAGAAATACAAACTACCATCAGAGAATACTATAAACACCTCTATGCAAACAAACTAGAAAATCTAGAAGAAATGGATAAATTCCTCGACACATACACCCTCCCAAGACTAAACCAGGAAGAATTTGAATCTCTGAATAGACCAAAAACAGGCTCTGAAATTGAGGCAATAATTAATAGCTCACCAATCAAAAAAACTCCAGGACCAGAAGGATTCACAGCCGAATTCTACCAGAGGTACAAGGAGGAGCTGGTACCATCCCTTCTGAAACTATTCCAATCAATAGAAAAAGAGGGAATCCTCCCTAACTCATTTTATGAGGCCGGAATCATCCTGATACCAAAGCCTGGCAGAGACACAACCAAAAAAGAGAATTTAGGCCAATATCCCTGATGAACATCGATGCAAAAATCCTCAATAAAATACTGGCAAACCAAATGCAGCAGCACATCAAAAAGCTTATCCACCATGATCAAGTGGGCTTCATCCCTGGGATGCAAGGCTGGTTCAACATATGCAAATCAATAAACGTAATCCAGCATATACACAGAACCAAAGACAAAAACCATATGATTATCTCAATAGATGCAGAAAAGGCCTTTGACAAAATTTAACAACTCTTCTTGCTAAAAACTCTCAATAAATTAGGTATTGATGGGACGTATCGCAAAATAATAAGAGCTCTCTATGACAAACCCACAACCAATATCATACTGAATGGGCAAAAACTGGAAGCATTCCCTTTGAAAACTGGCACAAGACAGGGATGCCCTCTCTCACCACTCCTATTCAACATAGTGTTGGAGGTTCTGGCCAGGGCAATCAGGCAGGAGAAGGAAATAAAGGGTATTCAATTGGGAAAAGAGAAAGTCAAATTGTCCCTGTTTGCAGATGACATGATTGTATATCTAGAAAACCCCATCATCTCAGCCCAAAATCTCCTTAAGCTGATAGGCAACTTCAGCAAAGTCTCAGGATACAAAATCAATGTGCAAAAATCACAAGCATTCTTATACACCAATAACAGACAAACAGAGAGCCAAATCATGAGTGAACTCCCATTCACAATTGTTTCAAAGAGAATAAAATACCTAGGAATCCAACTTACAAGGAACGTGAAGGACCTCTTCAAGGAGAACTACAAACCACTGCTCAAGGAAATAAAAGAGGACACAAACAAATGGAAGAACATTCCATGCTCATGGGTAGGAAGAATCAATATCGTGAAAATGGCCATACTGGCCAAGGTAATTTATAGATTCAATGCCATCCCCATCAAGCTGCCAATGACTTTCTTCACAGAATTGGAAAAAACTACTTTAAAGTTCATATGGAACCAAAAGAGAGCACACATTGCCAAGTCAATCCTAAGCCAAAAGAACAAAGCTGGAGGCATCACACTACCTGACTTCAAACTATACTACAAGGCTACAGTAACCAAAACAGCACGGTACTGGTACCAAAACAGAGACATAGACAAATGGAACAGAACAGAGACCTCAGAAATAATGCTGCATATCTACAACCATCTGATTTTTGACAAACCTGACAAAAACAAGAAATGGGGAAAGGATTCCCTATTTAATAAATGGTGCTGGGAAAACTGGCTAGCCATATGTAGAAAGCTGAAACTGTATCTTTTCCTTACACCTTATACAAAAATTAATTCAAGATGGATTAAAGACTTAAATGTTAGACCTAAAACCATAAAAACCCTAGAAGAAAACCTAGGCAATACCATTCGGGACATAGGCATGGGCAAGGACTTCATGTCTAAAACACTAAAAGCAATGGCAACAAAAGCCAAAATTGACAAATGGGATCTAATTAAACTAAAGAGCTTCTGCACAGCAAAAGAAACTACCATCAGAGTGAACAGGCAACCTACAGAATGGGAGAAAATTTTTGCAATCTACTCATCTAACAAAGGGTTAATATCCAGAATCTATAATGAACTCCAACAAATTTGCAAGAAAAAAACAAACAACCCCATCAACAAGTGGGTGAAGGATATGAACAGACACTTCTCAAAAGAAAACATTTATGCAGCCAAAAGACACATGAAAAAATGCTCATCATCACTGGCCATCAGAGAAATGCAAATCAAAACCACAATGAGATACCATCCCCCACCAGTTAGAATGGCGATTATTAAAAAGTCAGGAAACAACAGGTGCTGGAGAGGATGTGGAGAAATAGGAACACTTTTACACTGTTGGTGGGACTGTAAACTAGTTCAACCATTGTGGAAGTCAGTGTGGTGATTCCTCTGGGATCTAGAACTAGAAATACCATTTGACCCAGCAATCCCATTACTGGGTATATACCCAAAGGATTATAAATCATGCTGCTATAAAGACACATGCACACGTATGTTTATTGCGGCACTATTCACAATAGCAAAGACTTGGAACCAACCCAAATGTCCAACAATGGTAGACTGGATTAAGAAAATGTGGCACATATACACCATGGAATACTATGCAGCCATAAAAAATGAGTTCATGTCATTTGTAGGGACATGGATGAAGCTGGAAACCATCATTCTCAGCAAACTATCTCAAGGACAAAAAACCAAACACCGCATGTTCTCACTCATAGGTGGGAATTGAACAATGAGAACACATGGACACAGGAAGGGGAACATCACACACCCAGGCCTGTTGTGGGGTGGGAAGGGGGAACGGATAGCATTAGGAGATATACCTAATGTTAAATGACGAGTTAATGGGTGCAACACACCAACATGGCACATGTATACATATGTAACTAATCTGCACGTTGTGCACATGTACCTTAAAACTTAAAGTATAATAAAAAAAAAAAAAAGTGGTCACAGACCAGCAAGATTCACAGGAAGGAGAACTAGACCCGAACATATTTTTTTTTTTTTTTTTTTTGAGACAGAGTCTTGCTCTGTTGCCCAGGCTGGAGTGCAGTGGCGCGATCTCGGCTCACTGAAAGCTCTGCCTCCCAGGTTCACACCATTCTCCTGCCTCAGACTCCCAAGTAGCTGAGACTACAGGCACCCACCACCACGCCTGGCTAATTTTTTTTTTTTTTTGGTAGAGACGGGGTTTCACCGTGTTAGCCAGGATGGTCTCGATCTCCTGACCTCGTGATCCACCTGCCTCGGCCTCCCAAAGTGCTGGGATTACAGGCGTGAGCCACCGTGCCCGGCCATTAGACCCGAACATCTCGATGGAAGGAGTGCCAAAGAATTTTGACCCTTACAATTAGGGACAATTATTTGGGTTGTTACAGTGCCCAAATAGCATGGATAGAAAGCTATCTACTGGTGAGAGCACAGACACTAGAGTTGGACTGCCTGGTTTCAAATCCCAGCCCTATAACTCTAGCTGTGTGACTTGGTACATTTTTTGAAAATAAATTTTATTGAGAGATAACTTATGTGTAGTAAGAAGTACTCATTTTTAGAGTTCATTTCTGTGACTTTTGACAAATTTTTATACCTTTGTAACATTTCTATCACACTAAATGCTTCCTTGTACCCCTTTGCAGTTAATTTCCCTCAAACCAGGCAAACATTTATCTGCTATTGCTATTGATTAGGTTAGTCTCTTCTACCTAATTATGTAATACCATAATTACATAAATGGAATTAAACAGCATATAATACTCTTGTGTCTGACTTCTTTCACTTAGCTTTTTTTTCTTTTTTTTTTTTTGGAGACAGGGTCTTACTCTGTCACCTAGGCTGGAGTGCAGCAGTGGCACAATCTTGGCTCACTGCAGCCTCGATCTCCGGGCTCAAGCAATCCTCAGCCTCAGCCTCTGAAGTAACTGGGATGGCAGGTGCATGCTACCATGCCTAGCTAATTTTTGTATTCTTTTAGAGACAGGGTCTCTCTATGTTGCCCAGGCTGGTCTTGAACTCCTGGGCTCAAGTGATTCTCCCACCTTGGCCTCCCAAAGTGCTGGGATTACAGGTGTGAGCCACCATGCCCAGCTTCACTGAATCCACGTTTTTGAGATTCATCCACTTTTTTTTTCCTATTTCAGTATTCCTTTTTCATTGTTAAGAAGCATTTAATTTAATGAATATACCAAAATTTGTATGTTGACATGTTGATGGACTTTTTGGATTATTGTGAATAAAGCTGCTCAGAACTTTTGTATACAGGTCTTTGTGTGAACATATGTTTTTATTTCTCTTTGGAAAATACCCAGGAGTAAGAATGCTGGATGTTTTTCTTTTTTCTTTTTTAAAGACAAAGTCTCACTATGTTGCCCAGGCTAGAGTGCCTTGGCTATTCATAGGTGCAATCCCACTACTGATCAGCACAAGACTTTTGACCTGCTCCGTTTCTGACCTGGGTAGGTTCACCCCTCCTTAGGCAATCTAATGGTCCACCCACTCCCAGGAGGTCACCATATTAATGCTGAACTTAGTATGGATACTCAATCGGCATAGCACGCTTCGGCCCAGAACTTCTGGGCTCAGGTGATCCTCCTGCTTCAACTTCCTTAGTAGCTGGGACTACAGGTGCATGCTGGGTATTACAATGAGTATATGTTTACCTTTTTAAAAATTTGTGAAAATGTTTTCATAGTGATTTTTATATTACCCCCACACCAATAATATGTGAGAGCACCATTTCTTCAACAGCCTTGCCAATACTTGATACTGTCTTTTTAATTTCAAAATCTCTAATGCATATGTAGAGTATCTCATTATTTGAAGTAGCATTTCCCTGGTGACCATTAATATTGAGCATCTTTTCATATGCCTATTGACACTGTCTTCTGTAAAGTGTCTGCTCAAATATTTTCTGTGCCTCAGTTTTCTCATCAGAAAAATGGGATAATAACATACATACCTCACAGAGTTTTTATAAGCATCAAATAAGTTAATATATATAAGCACCTAGAACAATTCCTGACATACAGTGTATTAGTTTTCTATTGTTGCTGTAGCAAATTATGTGAAACTTAGAGGCATAAACAACATAAATTTACTATTTTACAATTCTCTAGGTCAGATGTTCCTCACAGGTCTCACTGGGTTAAAACTGAACAGCAGGCAGGACTGCTTGTTTTTGGAGGCTCTAGGGAGGAATCCATTTCCTTTTTTTCCCAGCTCCTTAAGGGTACTCATTATTTCTTGGCTCATGGTCCCCTTCCTCCATCTTCAAAGCCAACAATACTGCATCTCTCTGTGCCTTTTTTTCTGTTGTCATGTCTCCCTCTGATTCTCTTCTTCCTTCTTCTTCCCTCCTCTACTTTTTTCCCTTCTTTCACTGGGTGATTGTATTGGGCCAGCCAGAAAATCCATGATAACCTCTCTGTTTTAAGGTCAGTTGTTTAGCAAACTTAATTCCCTCTGCAACCTTAATTCTTCTTAGCCAACCAATCTAATATATTCAGTGATTTTAGGGACTAGGACATAGATATCTCTGAAAGCAACTATTCACCTACCATACATAGTAACTGCTATATTAGGGTTAGCTTTTCTTGGTATTATTTTTATTATTATAAGGTCCTGAGATTTAGAGTTAAGGACTTGCACTCAAATCGTGGCTTCAAAACTTACCAGCTGTGTGGTCTTGGGAAAGTTAATTGCTGTCTTTGAGACATGCAATTTAGTATGTTATTTGGAAATACGCAGCAAATAGCAAAATCATTAGTTATCAAAAATTCACTTTTAAATGGAAGTCCTTGGACTGTAAAACTGGGAGTTAGTTAGAAATTGGTGGTGGGGGAGGGGGAATAGAGGAGGCAGGAGTGTGATGCTTTATTGACTTTACAAACATTTAGCTCTATTTGTCTTAAATTTTCTTTGTGGTAAGATATACATAACATAAAATGTGTTATTAGTGACATTCACAATGTTGTGTAAACATTGCTACTGTCTTGCTCTAGAACATTTTCATTAACCCCAAAGGAAATCTTGTACCATTAAGCAGTCACTTGCCATTCCCCACTCCTCCTGGCCACTGGCAATCACTAATCTGCTTTCTGTCTAAGGATTTGCTGACTCTGGATGTTTCCTATAAATAAAATCACACAATATATGGCCTTTTGTAACTGGCTTCTTTCACTTAGCATAATATTTTCAAAGTTTATCTACCCTGTAGAATGTATCAGTACTTCATTCCTTTTTAAGGCTGAGTAATATTCCATTGCATGGATACACCACATTTTGTTTATTCATTTACCAGTTGATGGACATTTGGGTTGTTTCCACCTTTTGGCTATTGAGTGTAGTGCTGCTGTGAATACTTGTGCACAAGTTGTTGTTTGAACACCTGCTTTACTTCTTTTGGGTATATAACCAGACGTGGAATTCCTGGATCATACAGTAATTCTATATTGAATCTAATGTGGACCCACCAAACTCTTCCACAGCAGTTATGCCATTTTACCTTCCCACCAGCAATGGACATGGGTTCCAATTTCTCCACATTCTCAGCCACTGGTCCATTTGTCTTTTAATGAAACTAAAAATGTATGGGACTTTTAATGGAACTAAAAACTCTGTATATAGTACTATGATAAATTAAAATCACTAAAATAAAACCATAAGGCAATACTAATAGTGGGCATAAGGATGAAAGAAAACAGAATGTGGGGACTGGCATAGCCTTACCAGGTATATTATTTCCTATTGCTGCTGTAACAAATCACCACAAATTTAGTGGGTTAAACCTACGGAAATGTATTCTTTTATAGTTCCAGTGGTTAAATGTCCAAAATGGGTCACACTGGGCTAAAATCAAGGCTGTGTTCCTTTCTAGAGGCTTGAGAGAGAATCCACTCCTTTGCCTTTTCTGGCTTCTAGAGGTTGCCAACCTGTCTTGGCTTGTGGCCCCTTCCTCTGTATTCAAAGCCAACAGCATAGCATCTCTTCTCTCCTCTCTGACTGCTGTTTCTATCCTTAGATGTAACAACTTTCTGACTCTGATCTTCCCCTTACCAAGACCCCGTAGTTACGTGGGCTTATCTAGATTATTCAGAATAATCTCCCCATCTCAAAATCCTTACCTTCATCACATCTGCAAAATATTTTTGCTGTGTAAAGTAACATATTCGTATGTCCTGGGATTCAGATATGGATGTCTTTGGAAGGCTATTATTCAGCCTACCAGCCCAGGGAAATTTTACTCATGAAGAACTCACTCATGGAGAGGTGGGCAGAAAGGGCTCTGTCAATTAGAAAGTGGCAAAGTTACCTAGTGAAGTCAAACCCCCTAAGCCTTAGTTTTCTGTTCCATAAAGGGGAGGTAATAACAGTAAACATGTTATCTATTATGTATTTTTTTGGGTGGAAGTAAAATACGAAAAAAATGTTTACCTATGCTAACTCAAATTTCTACCAAGCACCTTTAGTGCTTTTAGAAGACTGTAGGTAAAGCTCGTAGCTGCAAATTTCAGGCATGACTTTCTTTGAAGTCTTATGTTTTATCTGAGAAATTCATGTGAATTATACATTGTAGTTAATAATAGATGTGTGTTTGTTTTACTACATAAATAACGTTTCAAGTGTCTCGCCGGCAGGAACAATACATTGATGCTCTGTTCTTTCATGTTGCATACCCCCATCACATCTTTGATTATCTCTGTTTGAGAAATATTGTTAAATAAAAGAAAGCACATTGTAAACTATAATGAGGAATGAAAACTCATATGATCAGATTCAAATATCAAATATTAAAAGAATAGCAGTGGTCTTAGCTCCATGTAGTGAACCAAAGGAGGAATAAAGGCATTTTCTAAGAAGTGCAACAAAACAGAACTCTGAAAACACATATGATTCCTGGAATTTACCTTTTGATAATACAGCATGATCTGTTCTTCAAACTGTGGTGAAGTACGTTTTTCAGTCTGACTGTCAGAGAGGTGGGAAGTTTATTATCAAGGAGAAATAGGTAAAGAAGAATGAAGCCAGTGGGAGATACCAGGGTCTCTGTGTCCCCTCCCCATAATATGCATAAGCTTCTCAAACATCATTCTTTGAGATGGTCCAGTGATGCTTCCTCAATCTTCTTTGACAATATATGCAGCCTCAAAAAGCATCACTTTCTCCATCCACATCACTGCTCTCTTTAGAAATTCCAGTACCATCTTTTTTTTTTTCTTGTTTTTGAGATGAAGTCTCACTCTGTCACCCAGGCTGGAGTGTAGTGGCCTGATCTCGGCTCACTGCAGCCTCTGCCTTCAGGGTTCAAGTGATTCTCCTGCTTCAGCTTCCCAAGTAGCTAAGATTACAGGTGTTTGCCACTACACCGGGCTGATTTTTGTATTTTTTGGTAGAGATGTAGAGACAGGTTTCACCATGTTGGCCAGGGTGGTCTTGAACTCCTGACCTCAAGTGATCTGCCCACCTCGCCCTCCCAAAGCGCTGGGATTACAGGTGTGAGCCACTGTGCCCGGCCACAGCGCCATCATTTTTAAATCAATAAGACCAATATTCCCAAGGGCACCTCTAAAGAGGATCTGGGTTCCCTGAAACCTCCTGGGTAATGGGACAGGACTAGATGATTAGGAATGTTTGGGGCCCTTCTAGAGATTTCTGGAAGACCTGTGCTGTGTTTCTTTCACTCAGCTCATAAAGTAGCCTTAGATCTAGCCACTCTGTTAGCCAGGAAATCAAGTGAAAAGATTTCATAAGAGGCCCCAGAAATAACTTCCATAATTAACATCATTGGAGGGATATCTCATCTGCTCACAATTTCTTTTTATCTCACCTATTTCTGTTGGAGAGTGTAATAAGGACTCGGAATATGGCTCCTTCTCAAGAAATTCTTAAAGAAAAATAGAACTCTTCCCCTCCCCCAACAACCGTATAGATGCCTGCTAATATTTTCCTTAGAAGAATATCACTTTAACACATATACATGCTTGAGGTATGTCGAATTGTATCTTTTATTGAGAAATTTACCATGTAATTCTGGCAGGTAGATGACCTAGATAATATTCTAAAATATGTAGTTTTCCGCATTTAAGTGGCTGAAAAGCTTAGGTCTAACGAAGTCTAATGAAGATTTGTTAGTGGACGAAAGGAGCTAGGGAAGTGCACACAGAATTGCTAAAAGGAAAGTGTCAAAACAAGCATTCATGAAGGCTGATTGAGAATCTGCAGAGTAAAACAAGTAGACACAGGCCTTTGTGGGTTCATGTGATTCCACAGCTACAGGGGAATCGGGTAGGCTTAGAAGGTTAAAGTGATGTAGTTTAAAGCAGAAATTTAAAACATAGATTCCCACTAAATAACCCTTTGATAATTTTTCAAAACAGGAAAAATCTTGCACATTTTTATTCCCATGCCATGTGAGAAATCAAATCCCAATTCTTTTACCTTCTACTCTCTAATAAATTTTTGTTTGCTTTTACTTCTTTTTGGTAAAATGAGCAAGTCCTAAAATGAGATGAACTCCATTCTAATTCCAATTCTGTTCTCAAACAAAATAAACTTTTTGTTCTTTGTCCTCCAATAACCTGACCAGTATTCTATTTTTACCTCTCAGCCCTGAAATGCCTTTGACTCTTAATTTGAATTTTCCTCATCTTGTAAATGTTCTGAGCGAGCTTTGGAGAGGTCTGCATTTGGTTCACTAGGCACAGTACAATTCTTACAAACTGTTGAGCTTCAGTTCAGGCTTCCATTATTCATACATCAAATTGCTTCTGGGGGTATGACACTTTGGACGTGATTGGAAGGCCAAGTGAAAGATACTTAGCGGTCTCACATGACAAGGCCACTTGGACAAAAGGACTTTGTACACGTGATTCACACAATGGGAAATCATGAACTTTTTCTCACCCTGTAAGTGGCATTGCGCCAGAGTAAACTTAGGAGCTACCCTTTGGCATGATTCTGGAAATCTTTTCGGCTCTGATATTTGGAGTTTTAGTACTAAAATAAAAATTAGCATTGGGAAGCACTTAATTATTTGTCATGGATTAAAACTATATAAGCTCCTACATTTTATCCAAGAATACTACCCTCTTATAGGGTAGAAGTCTCATTCATTACTAACATTTTATTTGTTTACACAATAATTTGTCATATAAGAGAATGTATATAAAAGATAAGTGTATGATAGAGCAATAAAAATGGAAAAAACAAGATAATAGACTTAAATTCATTGTTTATTTAAGTCATAGTTGTTCTTTGAGAGAACATTCATTTAAGTGAATGTTGTCCTTCCGGAAAACAAGCTTTTTCATTTAAAAAAGTGTTTTTTGGGCTGAGCATGGAGGCTTACACCTGTAATCAGAGCATTTTGGGAGGCCGAGGCAGGAGGATTGCTTGAGCCCAGGAATTTGAGACCAGCCTGGGCAACATGGCAAAACCCCATCTCTACAAAAAATACAAAAATCAGCTGGGTGTAGTGGCATGTGCCTGTAGTCCCAGCGACTCAGGAGGGTGAAGTGGGAGGATTGCTTTAGCCCCAGAGGAGGGTGAGGCTGCAATGGACTGTGATCGTGCCACTGCACTCCAGCCTGGGTGACAGAGCAAGACCCTGTCTCAAAAAAAGAAAAAGGAAAAAACAGTATTTCTGAAGCTCCCACTTTATGCTGTGCACTGTGTGTTGGCTGTTATGGAGAACGTAGGGGACTATAGAATGTAGGATCAACATAGATCCTGTTTTCAAGCAGATTACAGTCTTGTAGAGAAGCAGGGTAGTAAAATTAAGAAAGAAGTGGGTTCCCACAGTTACACTTAGTATGAGTCAGATATTTTATCTCTTTATATCTTATCTTCACAACAATATTGCAAAGAAGATATTATCCTTGTCAATTTATAGTATGGGAGCAGTGATTGAGGAAGGTGAGTAACTTCCCTGAATTTCCTCGGCTAGTAAGTTGTCAATGCGGGATTTACATTCAGATGTTTCTCCCTTTAGAGAAACAAATGTTTTTCACTATGCCCACCAACTTCCTATTTCTAGCACGCTAACCACTTTGTTTCTTAGAAAGAGTCACTCAATCATTCTATATCTTAGTTTCTTGGTCTATAAAATGAAGAGGTTTCTTACCTGGAGTGGACATTCATTCTGTTGCCTTTCCGCTAACCAAGACCAGACAGGATGTCCAGCTGAGGCCACAGCTTCACACTTGGGATCAGGGCTGTTGGAGTGCCCTACATTTGATGGGGGGAACACAGTCAGAGTGGCGGAGCCCTGAAGAAAAGTAGGATTTGGATGGACACAGAGGAAGTGGAGGGTCTTCTAGATTGAGGCAGAAGTCAGAACAAAAGCCAGCCTCCAGAGCCAGGAGTGAGGCTGGGCTGTTTGCCAGAGAGTGAGAGTTTGCAGTGGTGGAGTGAAAGGGGCCTGGGGTACAGTATGGGGAGGAGGGTTGTTGGGTCTCAAGATGAAGGAGAACCTTGATACCAGGTGTTTGCACTCAACTGAAAGGTTCACAGAGCCATTTTAAGACTTGCCAAATCACTGTGCCGCTATTTACTGCTTCAGAGTTTGAACTTAATACCTCAGCTGGTTGAGATGTTCAGACTTTGTATGATAATAGCAAATATAACTCTTGGACTCCGCAATATTAATGATGTGGTAGTGCCTGACAAGTGATAGGAACCCACAAATTCTTGGTCATAATGAATGCTTAATGAAGCATAAATGAATGCTTTTTGAGAGACCTGTGGATTGGCTCAATTTCCCAGGTGGGTTCTTGGATTTGCTCTGAACTATCCAATGTCACCTGATTCTCTCAGACAAACTCTCTTAGACCAATAGGTGTGAGAGAGGGAACTGTTGGAGGGTGCCATGATTGATTATAAATATCCTTGTCAGCTGGCTAAGTTCCATTGTCTTTGGTGGTCTGTAAGGAAGCATAGCCAGGAGTAATTTGATATTTTAAAGGACACCAAAAATTAGAATCATGCTGTTGGAACTGTCTGAAAGAAGCCTTAATACTTGTTTTATTAAAATTCTCATAAGAGATACAGATGAGCTACCTTACTTGGCAAAACAGACATATTCCTATGGCTTTATGGGTTGAACCATATTTTAATATAAATATTTAAAGGGAACCTGTGATATCTGCAGCATACAAAAATCTTTGAAATAAACAACAATTTCCTTACTTTGTTTAATAATTTTGAATATTGGAATATAGAGTTTTATTAAGGGGGCAAACAAATTTAGAGTTTATTATTAAATAATTGCATCTGGTGTTGAGCTACCATTTTGCTATATCTAGCTTTCAGTGACTTCCTTGGGCTCTTGGGAAAGAAATACACACACACACACACACACACACACAGACACACACACAGAGAGAGAGAGGGAGGGAGGGAGGGAGAGAGAGAGAGAGGGAGGGAGACAGAGAGGGAGGAAGAGAGAGAGGGAGGGAGGGGGAGAGAGAGAGAGAGAGAAACATTTTTTCCAAACCTTCATAGAAACTGTAAATATTTTGTTATATAATAATAGGAAAAGCAATGAAAACTAATAAAATGGATTTTTCATTTAGTAGTTCAAAAATATCTACTGAATAACTACTGTATGCCTGAGTTATTCTAGACATTGGAGATGCAGCTGTGAAGAAAACACACCAAATCTCTGCTCTCATGGAGCTTACCTTCCAGTGGGACAAAGAGAGTAAATAAAAAGAATGTTTTAAAACATAAAGTCAGTTATCTCAGCACATTATATCTTTTGCCCACTGTTTTAAATGCCTCCTCCGTCCTATATCAAGTTTTCATGTATGTGTAGAACTATATATTAAATATTAAATATTTATCCTATTTCCTGATTCTACTTGTCTATCTCTGTCTACATTCTTGATTACTATGGCTTTAGAATAAAATTTAAAATCTGATATAGCAAGGCTTCCAAATTATTCTTCTACAAAAGTGGCTTAACTATATTTATGCTGTCTTCTCAATATAAGTTTTAGAATCAGTTAAGTCCCACAAAAACTCTGTTAGGTTTTTGTTGGAATCGAATTGTAATTATAGGCCAATTGGGGAAGAAACAACACTTCAATGATAATGAATCTTCTCTTAGATAATCATGGTTTCTCTGTTCTTAGGTCTTCTTTAATGTTTCTCGTTACATTTTAATAAATTTCTTCATAAGTCTTGCCCATACTTTGTTAGATTTATTCTTTATAATTTTAATTGCTATTGTTGATATTATTTATTTTAAAACTACATTTTCTAAATGTTTACTACTGCTATATATGAATGCTATCTTTGTATATTAATTTTATACCCTTCAACTAACTTTGCTGAATTCAAATATTAATTCTAATACTTTTTGAGGAGATTCTTTTGGATTTTCTGTGAATAATCATATCATTTTAGAGCAGTGGTTCACAATCGGGAATGATTTTGTCTGCAAGGGGACAGCTGACCATGTCTAGAGACATTTTTGGTTGTTGCAACTGGGACTGTTGAAATTTTGCAGCCATTTACTCAATAGTTATTTAATGCAATCCTACTAGGTATCAGGTCCAGTACTAGGGGCTAGATATTTAATGGTAAGTCAAACAGTTACATTCTCATCCACTGCAGAATTTAATGTCTAGTTTATATCCTGCAAACAGAAAACATAACTTCTTTCAAAGTACTCACGGGATATTTACAGAAAGTAATTGTATGTCAAAAGAAAAAGAAAAACCTGACAAAGTTCCAAATAGCAGAAGTTATATAAGGTACACACTTTTACTGCTATGTTATAAACATGGAAACTAATAACAAGTGTTTAAACAAACTAAGCTAGTCGGGATGATTCACGGCTATAATCCCAGCACTTTGGGAGGCTGAAGTAGGCAGAGCACTTGAGCCCAGGACTTTGAGACTAGCTTGGGCAATATGACAAAACCCCGTCTCTACTAAAAGTACAAAAAAATTAGCTGGGTGTGGTGGTGTGCGCCTATAGTCCCAGCTATTCAGGAGACCGAGATGGGAGGATGGCTTGAGGCCGGGAGGTGGAGGTTGCAGTGAGCCAAGATTGTGCCATTGCACTCCAGCCTGAGTGACATAGTGAGACCCTGTCTCTACAAACAAAAGTCAAAACAAAACAAACAAATAAACAAACTAATAACTCCTTGCTAAATGGAGATCACATGTCCTTAAATGCTTTATGTATTAAAAAATAACAATAAGTAAACCTAGGATTTAACTCAGGAAGTTGGAAAAAGAACAAAAAAGGAACCACAACGATGACAGAAAGAATTAATCAACATAAAGTAAGAAATTAATTAATCATATAGCAGAAAAAGAGTGGAACTGACAAGTTTTAAAAAGCGCCTTTTTTGCTGTAAAACAATAGACAAAGGAAGGGAAAGAGTAACTTTACAGTGGAGAAGCTGACAAACACTACTTGAGTCAGGTGATCAAGGTCAACGTCAACAATAAGCCACGTTGACAGTATGTACCCTTGCTATAATGTGAGGACAACACACTTTGTCTCTGTGATCATCATTCCCCCAAATCCATACTTCAGCCTAATCATGAGAAAAACATCAGACAAATCCCAGTTGAGGGACATTTTAAATAATGCCTGACCAGCATTCCTCAAACTATCAAGCTCATCAAAAACGACGAAAGTCTGAGAAAGTGTTACAGCTAAAAAGAACCCAAGGACACATGACAACTAAACACAGATAGTTTCCTAGATGCACTCCTGGAACAGAAAAAGGACATCAGGTAAAAACGAAAGAAATCTAAATAAAATACGGACTTTAGTTAGTGATATTGGATCAATATTGTTTCATGCCTTGGGACAAATGCACCATGTTGACAATAGGGGAAACTGGGTATGGGGGATATGGAAACTCTGTACCATCTTTGTAATTTTTCTGTTAATCTAAAACTATTGGTTTTAGTTTCCTAGTGTGGCAGTAACAAGTTAGCACACATTTAGTGGTTTAAAATACAAATTTATTTTCCTACAGTTCTACAGGTCAGAAGTCCAAAATGAGTCTCGGGGACTAAAATGAAAGTGATGGCAGGGCTGGTTTCTTTGGGAGGCTCCAGGAAGATTCCATTCCTTGTCCTTTCCAGCTTCTAGAGGGTGACAGCATTTCCTGACTTGTAGCTACATCACTCCAATTTTTGTGTCTATTGTCATATTGCTTTCTCCTCTGTCTGAACTTCCTGTGTTCATCGTATAAGGATCCTGTGATCACACGGGGCCCACTTGGAAAATCTGGATAATCTCCCCATCACATGATTCTTAATCTAATCACATCTGCAAAGTATCTTTGCCTTATAAGACAACATTCACAGGTTCTGAAAATTAAGACATGAACATTTTTGGAGAGCCAATATTCAGCCAACTACATTATTCTAAAATTTAAAAAAAATGGTTTAAGAAAAAATAGAAAAATCTTTGGAAAATCTAGTTAGGATAAAAAGAGAACACACAATTAAATACCAAAGACCAAGGGGACAGGACAGCAGCCACAGAGATTTTAAGACTATCAGAGAATAATACACATGAATATGAAATAATACTTTTCATTATCTAGATGAAATATATTACTTCCTGGGGCAACAGGATGTTATGGGAAAAAAAATTAGAAAATGATCCAGGCACAGATGGAAAATGTTGTCAAAGATGGCGCTTGGATAAGATGTTTTTATAATGATTAGTTTCTATTGAGTGCTACGAAGTAACAGACAGAGCTAGATTTTGAACCAGCATTTGTCTGGTTTCAAAGCCAATGTTCTTTCACAGCATCATTTTGCCTCCTGTGCATGTAGAAATCTGTCCTTTCATACCTTCAAGAAGCAGATTTTTCCTATTCTATGTACTATTCCATTGCACAGCAGGAAAGCTACCCAACTCATTTTTAATTCCCCAATACTATGTAGCAAAGGCTGTACAGACAGGCCCCCCCCCTCACAAGCTATATGATCTTAATGGAGTTAAGATCCCCTCTGGAGCTTGGTTCCTTATGTGCAAAATGTAGATAATGGTACATCTAATTGTAAAGTTATTATAAGAATTACATGAGAAAATTTGTGTAAGAATTTAAGTGCAGCAGAACATGGTATGAGATTGTGAAATTATCCCAACTGCCATTATTATTATTAATAATAATAAAACTTAATAAAGATAGAATAAAAGAAAAAATGAATATATTTAAACACTCTAAATAATTTATCAGTCAATTGAATTAAAAATATTTGAAAAGAATAATCTACCACAACCAAGTAGAAAATATCACTTTGGTTGTATCAATAGATCAAATAAGAAAAACCATATGATCATTAAATTTTGAAAGGCATTGATAAAAATATTACAATCATTCCTAAAGGGAAAAGTCTTTTTACTAGCCATGAATAGAAGAATAATTCCTTAACACATTAAAGAATATTTTACACTGATAGCACATACTATTATTTATTGGGAAAATGCCACTAGAGACATTTCTATTAATATTAAGAACAAAACAGGATTTCTGTTATCCTTTCTATTGTTTAATATTATTTTTACAAGTTTTGATCACAGAAAAAAATAGAAATAGAATGTGTGACCACTGGAAAAGAAGGAACAAAGTTATTATTTGCAGACAACATGATAATATATATACCTAGAAAAACTCTAGACAATCAGCTAGAAGATCATTAAAATAGAATTCAGCAAGATGAAGGAATCTAAGTACAAATGGGCCTCAAACATACTAGCAATGATTGGAAAATCTGATGAGGAAAAATCTCTTTCACAATACAAATAGAAATATAAAACACCTAGAAATACAAGCTCAGTAAGAAATGTGTCAGACCTTGTGAAAAATACTACAAGGCTATATCAAGAAACATAAAATAAGGCTTAAAAAAGACATACAATGTGTCTGTGCAGACTATTATAAAGATTTCAATTTTACTCACATTAATTTTTAGGTTTAATGCAATCTGGTAAATCTCAATGAGATTTTTTTTCTTGGGAGTTTTGCTGGAAGAATGAATACATTAGAACAGCAAAAGAAAATTTGGAAATGCAAGCTAATAAGAGGGGGTGAACTTGTTTCACCATACGGAAGATATATTGCAAAGCTACAGTAAAGGGTAGCATTGCCACAGTATGGATGGGTAAAAGAGAATAGCCCTGAATAAGGAAATGCTCTATTATATATAATGGCTTGAATGCTAAAAAGGCAACATCACAAAACAAAGGAAGGGACAGATTACTCAGTAAATGGAATATGGAAAATATCAAGCTGGATTCTTACCTTATCCCATAGGTCACACACAATCATCAATTCCAGCGATGTCTAAATAATACAACATATGTAGAAAATGAAACAACACAAATATACAGAGAAAATAAGGATGACTCTTAGGAGAAGGATCCTTTGGGCAAGGAAAAGATCAATAGATACGATGACAGGAAGTTTCAAAGTGTGTATATCAATACTATCCTTTTTTAAACTAAAAAGAAAGTATCACTGACATATAAAAATGACAAGTTTGAAAAACTGTTTCCCACTGATTATAGTCAAGGAGTTAATATCATTTGTTTTCAGAGTTTTTTTTTTTTTGGTTTTTTTTTTTAAACAAACCTGTAAGAAAAATACTAACACTTCCATAGAAAAAAATGGGTTAAAGGGCACGGGCGATTTATAGCGGAATTACAGATGGTCAACAAAGATGGGGAAAAGTGCAATTTCCTCCCAAATCTCACAAGTCTAAACATCACATTTGACCTATTGAATTGTCAACTCAGGGCTAGAGAGGGTCAGGGGGACGCTGTCATGTAACCTGGGGATGGGGGGAGGTGGCGGCGGGGGCATGCAGTGCTGCTGTCTTGCTGGAGAGTGTTTTGCATCAGGCTTCAGGAGCCTCTTCTAGAATTCTGTCATTAGGAATGACAAAGAGATGCAGACAACCCTTTTTGCACCAGAATGTTCTTTACATTTTATTATATCAAAAACTGGAAAGAAATGAAATGAGAAATTGTATTGGAGCAGTTAGACCATAGTATGTTGATGGTTCTGAAGAATTCTGATTTTGACGAAATTAATAATTGTATGATAAATGTTTACAATATAATTTTTAAGTAAAAGTGTAGAATTCAAAACTGCATCCTAGAGAGATTATCTCTGATATTTAGGATAGAGTATTTTAGCTGGAGTCTTTATATGCATTTTCAATACTTTCATGTTTTCTATAATAAGGTGCAATATTTCCATAATCTAAAAAATAGTATATGTGAGTCTAAATATATTTAAGATGCAACATTTGTAGTTGATCAGTGTGCTCTTCAAGCAATTAGTCAAACTTTGAAAATTAGTAGTGGATTTAATTGGTATTTCTGAATTGTTTTGGTTTTATTTTGAAATGTGCGCCCCTCTTTCTCTCTCCAAACTTGTTCTACATTCTCCAAGAAACATGGTCCTATATGCTGCCCATTGTACTTATTACCCCCATGTTTCTTTTCTTTAAGGCAAGGAGTATATTTAAGTCTGGCTTTTATTTTTACAAGTTTATTAAAAGATTTTTAAGATTTCATTTTGCTAAAAATGAAAAGATGTTAGCAGCAGAACCATATTTTGTTGCCTAGGTAGCAGAAATGCTAACACCTCTATCAAATATAAGATTTCTAAATAAACCCAGATCTACATTAAAGTGGTATTTCCAAATGGTTAAAAAGTGAAAAAAAAAAGTAGAAAGCTGACGAGGAGAATCAGAAACTTGGAATGAAGAGGAAGTGCTGAATAGATATTCACATGAGCAGTTCACATTACCCAGCACACATACATAATCCTCACTGCAGCATCTTGAAAACATATTTTGTTAATTTTTATATTATTGTAAATTTTTACAATAATATAAAAATTTGAAATATACAGGAAAATATGGGGATTAAAAATAACCACCAATAATACTACTGTCTATTTCAGTGGAGTCACTTCCGATTTCTATTCTTTCTCTCATTCTCTACCCTTCATCCCCCATCTCTCTCTCTCTCTCCACACACCCCCCTACTATACACATATATTATTTTTATTTTATTTAGTTATTTATTTATTTATTTATTTATTTATTTTGAGATGGAGTCTCGCTCTGTCGCCCAGGCTGGAGTGCAGTGGCGAGATCTCGACTCACTGCAAGCTCCTCCTCCTGGGTTCACCCCATTCTCCTGCCTCAGCCTCCCGAGTAGCTGGGACTATAGGCATGTGCCACGATGCCCGGCTAATTTTTTGTATTTTTAGTAGAGACAGGGTTTCACCGTGTTAGCCAGGATGGTCTCGATCTCCCGACCTCGTGATCTGCCCGCCTCAGCCTCCCAAAGTGCTGGGATGACAGACATATATTATTTTTAAAGATATTTACTCATAACCCTAAATAAAATTTTGTATCTTAATTGTTTTTCACAATGAACTATCTCTGAGCATGCAGAAACTTGGATGTCTGCACCCTAGTGTAAATAATTCTCCAATCTCTCATTTGGGGGTCCCACAGGGTGATAGCCAGCTCTCCTCATGGACAGCTGCCTGTACACTCAACCTGAGAGCTAATGAGCCTTACACATGCAGATGAAGCTTTTATTGCCTCTTTCTTAAATAAGAAGCAAAAACACTTTTTGTACTACATAATTTGATTTTATTTCAAAAATTAGAGTATTATCTCAGTGTTTCTCCTAGTGTTCCTTTTTAAAATTTCTTCTTCTAAAAAAAAGGAAAACCAGGATACATGTGTAGAATGTACAGGTTTGTCACATAGGTATACATGTGCCATGGTGGCTTGCTGCACCTATTGACCCGTCCTCTAAGTTCCCTCCCCGCAGAAACATTTTTAAACAAATATTTATTAAATACCTACGAGGTGCTGAACAGAGTTCTTGGCATTCAACAGTGAACAAAATAGACCAAAATTCCTGCTGAAGTGAAGGAAGAGGGAAAAAAACATAAGTAAGTTATTCAGAAATTAAGAGATTGATATGTGCTATGGGCAAATATTAGGCAGGAAAGGAAGAGACACTGAATGCTGGGGCAGGTGTGCAAATTTAATAGGGTGGTCAGGAAAGGCCTTACTCAGATGGTGACACCTGCGCAAAGACACTAGACAGTCACAACATTCCTACTAAAGGAAACTACCGGGCACCAGGAAGGGTTAGTGAAGAGTTATACACATCTAAGCATATCTCAGTGAAGTATAGGGTGTGAGATCATAGTTTGCAGCAGTGGGAGCAGGACTGGAGGGGTGGGGGAAAGGTCACATACAAATGGATGAGATCCAGCTTAGCAGCAAATTTTTCAACAGTAACTGTGAATGCTAAAAGAAAATTGATCAACGTCTTTAAATCATGAGGTTGAAAATGCCTTCAATCTAAAATATAATGCTCTGCCAAGTGATTAACCCAATAATAAAATATATTCAGATATACCAGTATGTTAAAAACCTATCTTTCATGCACCCTTCGTAGGAAGTTACTTGAGTATGTGCTCCTCAACAAATTGAGGGTATAAATTAAGAAAGCATACTGATGGGAAAATAAGTTAGGTGGATCCAACAGAGAAAATATAAATAATAAGTGTACAGGGAGGAGGAGGGCCAAGAGATGAATCACAGCCCAACTTCAGCAGAGATCCAATAACTAATGTCTAATGCAGATCAATCAAGAAATAATGGTATAACCTGAGAGACGATGGTGACCATTTCCATCTCCAATGTTTATGATCTTGTCAGTAGAAACTGTAGAGCAATGTTTCACCATCCAACTGGCTGTCAATAGTGAAGGAATAAGGGAAGAAGGAGAACATAGAATAGAGATGAAGCAGAAATGCTAGAAATCATATCATGGTTGCTGGTTTGAAGTTAAATAGAACTGAGAGGATTTCCCAAACTAAAAGGGACAGTGCTTGCAAATATCTCATAGAGTGTGGGACTAGGAAAGGAATGAAGTCTTAAGGGCATTTTCCCTGCCAGCCTACCATGCTGATGGGAATGTAGAAAACATAAAACACACTCATTATTTTTGCTTGTAGTTTAAATTTATACAATACTGTGAAAGTAAATTTATCAACATTTCATTCATTCATTTAAGGTTGTTTTTTTTAAATACCTACTATATATCAAGTAGTATTGAACTAATGGAACTATAAATATTTTTAAAAATCTCCCCCAGTATAGAAAACAGTAATCTTCTTAAGGATTCACAGGTAGAATCCAATAAGAGGGGGATAGGCAGATAATGATTACATTCCATAAAGTGTAACAGGTGCTGTGCCAGAAATTCAGGCAGGGTCCAAAAAAGATATTAGAAAGGAGTGGCTCATTCTGTTCGTGGGAAGATACATTCAGGAACTGCATGATAGATGGAGTGAGAATTGTGCTGCCTTGGAAAAGAATTCATCCTCCTATCTTTGAAAATACAATTATTCTCTAGTGAATTTAGCCTCAGGAAATATCCCTCAATAAAGAAAAGAATTAAGCAAAAAATATATATGTATTAAAAACTTTTTTGGTGAATCAGCTTTGAAAATGTCATATAGGCCTCATATTCAAATTGATCTTCAATATTAAATGACTCTTAAACTAGTGCAATTTCTTCATCAGTCGATTGGAGAAAATAATGCTTACTTCAAGGATTATAGCGAGAATTAGAAATACTACACACACAGTTATTACCATATAACAGATGTGGTTGTTGGGATGATGATGATCATGATGATGATCATGATGATGAAAATTTATGTATAATTCTTTGCACTGGTGCAGAAGAATCAAGAACAAATCCAGCACTCCATACACTGACCTTTCAGTGAACCACAAAGGGCTGGAGCTGGCATGTGCCTTGGAGACCAGTCCATCTTTCTCATTTTATAATGGAAAATAACTGAGGCAAAAAGAAGTTAAATGATTTGTCTAACATTCTTCAGAAAAGTCTTCATGAAGCCTCAGAACATTGTCTTAGAGACCCTGAGAAGAGAATTGTGTGTCTTGAGGCAAGAGATGCTGGTGAATTTGAGAGCCTTTCACTTTTTCTAAATTATTTAAAGGATGTGTCAGCAAAGTCCTGCTTACAAACTGCAGACAAAATGCACTTAGGAGATTTTGTCTTTTCCTAAAATCAGTTATTAGCCCAATCAGTCATAGCACTGATTGTTCTAGAAGCTAAAATCAGAACAATAAAAACTTACATCTTGGTGTATGACACTGCCCCAATCAAGGTGATGTTTTCCTGCTTTTTAGCATCAACAATATTAGGCCATTTTCTATTATAATTCTATAATCTGTTACATCCCACAATTGGTGAGAAGGTTCAAGGAGACATTAGTGTAATAATTAGAACTTACAGAGGGAAAACACTCTATTTCCTGCTATCACTTTTTCCTTTGCCACTTCTGACAGATAGGAAAGAAATTAACTTCAGTCAACACTAATCCAGAGCCATGAACAGGGTCTATGTAACTCACTGGCCTAACTATGATCTCTTCATTACAGTCCTGTAGTCAAAGGTAGGAAGCATTTACTAAGTGTGCATCTGTCACTCACAGGCTTTCTCTTGTCCCATGTCCTGTTAAAAACAAATTCTATCTCTCCTATCAATGCCTCTTTCCTCCAGTGTGCTAAAAATATATGAGCTTATATTCTTTGAACTTCAATTTCCTCAACCCTAAGTATGGAATATTAGTATCTTTATAAGTGGTTGGCTGAGATAACTTAATTAGCTACTCTAAATAGTGAAGGCTATTGGCAAAAATATATATATTAAACAATACCAATACTCACCTTCTTGTTTTTTCTTCCCTACTTCCCTCCCCTCTCCTTTCTCCCTTTCTCTCTGTCTTTCCTCTCACTTCCAAACCACTGAAACACGGCGATACTACTACCAGTATTCTACAATGATCATGTGTCACGTAAGACACAGTCCCTACTCTTTTTGTGATATAACTTCTGTTTTGTTAACTAGAGGAGAAACATCCAGTTAGAGGTTTGGACCAAGATACTTCCATCTCTAAAATTTTACAATTCTTTGTTATGGAACCAGACTATCTAGTTCATGGTAGATGTATTTCTAGGGACAGTTTGGTTATAAAAAATTTTGCTTTGGGATGTGGGCTTGAGACTGTTTCTGATCAAAATCACTAATTTCCTTTTCTTAAGAGAGAATTAGAAAGCTGCCTAGGTTGGGGAGAACATACATTTCCAATGTAATCTTTCACACTGTTCTGGAGGCAAGAAACTCAAGTTGATTTATGTTTCTTCATTTTCTAAAGAGAAGGATGGACATGTCATGTGCTCTTTTTACCTACAGCAAATTTTGAGTTGAAATGATTCTTCAGAAAGATACATGTCTTGAGAACCTACCGAGAAGTTTGATGTAAGTGGTTGTATCTGTCTCCAGATTTTTTATTATTTCAAATTCCTATTGAACTATACAATATTGTGCTGTGGTATTTGGTGTCTCACTATTATTTTTTCCCCTAGGATTTGGAGCCCTGAAGATACAAAGCCAAATGAAGAAAAAAAAAAAGCAGAATTTCTCAGAAACATTTTTACAGTAGAAAAATTATTTAGGTAAATGGTATGTTTCTTTGCATTAGCCACTGATTTCATGGAAAGAATATAGACTCACATATATCACAGCAAAATAAGTATCATGAGTATGGGAAATAAAAGAGGGGAAGAAAGAGGGAGAGAAGGAGCAGAAAAGAGAGAAAGAGGAAATAGATGAATAAAAATGGATTATTTTCTGATCTCAAGGGTGCAAAAATCCTGAACCATCAAAATCTAAGCTTTGCTTAGGGTACAGTAGATATTATTTACCTTCCCATCACACTGAGATGTCAGAATGAGAGCTTAGGGTTGGGGTGGGGGTTAGGGCATTGCTATCAAAATGATATGCTTGATACAGAAGAAGAAAGAGCAATACGCAAAAAGTGCTGGATCACCAAGAGGTACAAGGAGGCGAAATGGCTGAGAAGGCTTTGTCCACCCAGTGCTAAGTTTTCCTGGGGTGCTCTTCTGCTCCCCCACCTCCCTAGCTCCTAACATGAGCTACCAAAGTCCTTTCTGAAGGAAGATGATCCTGGTCACATTTTTGCCCAAACACTCATAAAATCAAAATGGTCTGTCCAGATAAATGGATAAACAAAACGGGCTTTATACATGTAATGGAATATTTTTCAGTCTTGGAAAGGAAAAAGGCAAACTAGTGGAAGAATTTATTTTTTCTCTTTCGTTAACAAATGTTTAGCATTAGTACCAATTACAGGGGATGAAGACTGATGTGGCAAATGAAGTTCTCTATGAATTATGGTAAAATTATGTACTTACTTATTAATAACAGCATTTAAGATCAACTGGAAATTTGGTAACATACCACTGGTTATTTTTAATAACAGTATCTTACTTTTAGTTTTGACATTTAAATTTTCTAGGAGTCTTAGGGAGGGGAAAAAAACAAAAAATTAATACTGTGGGCATTTTCCTCTCTCTCTCTCTCTCTCTCTCTCTCTTTCTTTCTCTTAAAGACTAGTCAAGTACAGTAGTGGGAAGGGAGAAAGCGTAGAACAAGGACTTCGATCTGTGACCGTGAACAATCAACTGAGATAACTCACTACCCTTGGATCAGCCTGATATTAATTTTTATAGACCAACATGTTCCTGATAAAATTAGGCTCTTCTCTTTCCTCTTACTCCCTGCTTGTTTCAAACCCAGAGGTTGATGGTGAAACACTGCAGGACATGAGTTGAACGTGACATCTTAATTTGATCATCTTAGTCATCTGGAATCTGCTGACTGACAAAATTCCAGTGATAATTTGGTATGTGTTTAAAAAGCCAATAATAAGGAAAAAATTTCTTCTATTTCTTCTTATCCTCCCCTCTTGCCTAACTGGACACTCAACTAATGGTTTGCACGTCTATTCCATTCTAAGACCCAGGGCCACATCTTAAGCCCTCTCTGGCAGCTCTAGCTTCCTTTGCCAGTTTATTTTACATTTAAACAGACATCAGTGATTTCTCTTCTATACCCCTGAAAGAATCTGTGTTTTTAACTAGATGCCAAATGATGAAACTTAATGTCACCAGCATTTTTTTAAATGTTAACTGCTCATTCCTTACTGTAGTTTGATATTGTTATTCAACTATTGTAAATAAATGCTAATTAACAAAATGTCAGTTGACTTTCAAAGCAGCTGCAGATGTCTTTTACTTTTCAAAAAAGAGTTTCATCTTTATCAGCAACAGTTGAAGAACTGCCATATCTGACAACACAGCAATCCATTATGGCTCCAATATATGCCTTTTAAATTAGGCTCAATGCACTGCCTACTGAATTATATATTTTAATTGACTTAATAATGCCTAATGCAGTTGTAATAAATGGGCATCATTGGATGAATTCCAAATATAGTTAAAAGATACTTTTTAAAGGAATCACAAAAGACAGGGAAAATAGTAATGGTATATGAACAGATTTATATAGAATTGTCTCATATTTTCCTCATTTTGAGGAATTTTATAGCAAACATGTAGGCTCAAAAAGGAAATAACCAAGAAATTGTTGGGGTCAAATAAATGTTTGCAGAATAAATAAGGAAACTCTACTTCTGAGCAACAGGAAGAACTTCACTACATCTGCAAAACTTGGAAGTTAGCAGAGGTTAACCTGAAGCTTGAAAACTCAGATTAAGGAAATATGTCTTCCCAGACATTAGATCAGAAGTTCATAACTCAGGAAATATGTGACAGCCACATTCTCTTATTTGAAACTCTGGATATAATCAGAAGTATGAACTAGGGAGGCTCAGCCTTAACGTGTCAAAGTCATTAAACATTTAAGTAGTATTGGAAGATAATTCTCATGTATCTGAGAAAGAACCAAAAGCCAATTTTGGAAAGATGGAAGCAGAAAGAGATAAATTATATATTTCTATTATAGGAAACATTCTAATTTGGTCATGATAGAGTATCTTGTAGCAGAACAAGTCTGTTACTGAAAACACCTGGAAAATCCATATAAAATACAAAATACATATGTCTTACATGGCATCAAAGAGCAGCCAGGACATCCAGGATGTGAGTAGCCAATATCCCAGAGAAGAGAGAAACTAATTGAGAGGACCCTGATATCCTCTGTGTCACATTCAGGGATTTTACTAATTTTGGGCAAGAAAAAAGGTTGAGAATTGAGCAGAAGGTGGATGTTAAGAGGCAGAGCCAGTGAAGCTTTCAGCAGTCTCATAGAGAGAAAAAAAATTAGAGTTTAGGACTGCCAAGGGAGACAGGACCTGAGGACCCAAGATCTCTGAGAGAAGAGAGCATGAGGATACTCTGGCTCTCACCTAGAGGTGCTAAATCTGTTGTTTCACCTAGAAGTGTTAAATTCGCTTTCACCTAGGTTGTTAAATTTGTAAGATGCATAGATAAGCGGTTAAAAGGTAAAGCAGAAAGCAGGTGAAAAACAAAAAAGAATTTGGGGCAGTCTCATGGGGATATCTCCTTAGGAGATAGAACATGGAGCTCTGCAGGATCTGCCAAGGAGGAAGAGCTTTAGTCAGAGCCCTAGGCTCTCAGTTGGTGTGCCAGAGATATACAAAGCCTTACAAAGGTTACAACAGACTTGTGTCAGCTCACTCCTTGCTTTTATCAATGTGATCTCCTTTCCTATAGCTGTCTGTAAAGGATAGGATAAATTTCTCTGGGTAAAGACAACATAATTCTAATTGTCTACAGTTTCTCATTAAAAATTCTGTACATTCAATAAACTATTACTATACATATCAAGAAACAGAATTTAAAAACAAGACAAGAGAAACATATTCATAGTTAACTCAGATATTAGAATTATGAGATATGGACTTTTAGAAAACCGATTAATATGCTCAAGAAAGATAGATGTCACAACAAAAATAAAAATAGGCAAATAGAACTATATCAAACTGAAAAGCTTTTGCACAGCAGAGGAAACAGAGTGAAGAGAGAACCTACAGAATAGAAGAAAATACTTGCAAACCACACATTTGACAGGGGGTTATATCCAGAATATATGAAGAACGGCAACAACAACAACAACAAAACAAAAAAACCCAACTTAAAAATGAACAAAAGACCTCAATGGACATTTCTCAAAAGAAGACAGACAGTTGGCCAACATGTACATGAAAAAATGCTCAACAACACTAATCATCAGGAAAACACAAATCAAAACCACAGTGAGATACCATTTCACTCCAGTTAGAACGGATTTTATTAAAAAGACATAAGAAAACAAGTGTCGGCAAGGGTGTGAAGAAAAGGGGACACTTACACACTATTAGTGGGATTGTAAATTAGTACAGCCACTAGGGACATGGTATCAAGATTCCTTTAAAAGTTAAAAATAGAACTTCCACGTAATCTAGCAATCCCATTACTGAGTGTATATTCGAAGGGAATCAAATTTGTATGACAAAGAGATATCTGTGTTACCTGTTTATTGCAGCACATTTTACAATCACTAAGACACGGAATCAACCCAAGTGTTCAATAACCGATAAATGGATAAAGAAAATGTAGTAAATGTAGTATACATACACAATGGGACACTGTTCAGCTATAAAAAAATAAAATAAAATTTTGTCACTTGTGACTATATTGATGGTAGTGAAGGACCTCATGTTAAGTGAAATAAGCCAGGTACAGAAAGACAAATACTGTATGATTTCACTCATGTGTAGAATCTTAAAGAAAAGAAAAGAATTGATTTCATAGTTGCAGAGAGTAGAACAGTAGTTACCAAAGACTAGGGAGGAAACAGGGGAGCAGACAATGGGGAGAGGTTGGTCAAGGGGTACAAAGTTACAATTAGATAGAAGAAATAAGTTCTGGTGTTCTATTGCATAGCAGGATGACAATGGTTAACAGCAAGGCATTGTATATTACAAAATAGCTAGAAGAGAGCCTTTTGCATGTTCTTATCACAAAGAAATGATAAATGCATGAGGTGAAGGATACACTAAATACCCTGATTTGATCATTATACAACATACATGTCTCAAACCATCAAACTGTACCTCATAAATACGTACAATCACGTGTCAAATTTTTTTTAAGAAAGAAAAACAGACATCAAGAGGGAAAATTTCACCAGAGAACTAAAGTCTATAACAGCATCAAATGAGAGATGGAGCAAGAGGGTGGAATGGAAGGCTCCACAGATCTTCTTCCCACCCCTACAAGGATGCCAAGTTAAAAACTATGTACACAGAAAAAACACCTTCATAAGAACCAAAAAATCAGGTGAGCACTCAAAGTACCTGGTTTTAACTTCATATTGCTGAAAGAGGCACTGAAGAGACAGAGAAAAACAGTCCTGAATCGCTTACACCAGTCCTCCCCAACCCGCAGCAGCAACAGAGTGGTGCAGAGAGCACTGGGGGAGAGAGAACACAGCAGCTGTGAGACATTGAACTCAGTGCTGTCTTGTTACAGCAGAAAGGAAAACCAGACCAAACTCAGCTGACACCCATCCACAGAGGGCACATTTAAACCAGCCCTAGGCAGAGGGGAATCAGTCCCAGCTGTCAGAACTTGAGTGCCTGCAAACCTCACCATGGAGGGCTACAGTGCTCTGTGTCTTCAGTAAACTTGAAAGGCAGTCTAGGCAATAAGGACTGCAACTCTTAGGTGAGTCCTAGTGCTGAACTAGGCCCAGAGACAGTGGACTGTGGGGGCATGCAACATACTGAGACAAAAGCTGGGACAGCCAAGGGAGTGCTGGCATCATCCCTCCCCTAACCCCAGGCTGCACAACTCGTGGCTCCAAAAGAGACCCCTTCCTTCCACTTGAGGAGAGGAGAGGAGAGGAAAGAGTGGGGAGGATTTTGTCTTCCATCTTGGATACTCGCTCAGCCATAGCTGGCCAAATAGGGCATTGGACAGAGTCATGACTCTCCTCCTCGTTCCAGGCCCCAGATCCCAGATGACATTTCTAGACACACCCTGGGTCAGAAGGGAACCTGCTGCCTTGAAGAGAAGGATCCAGTCCTAGAAGCATTCATCACCTGCTAACTGAAGAGCCCTTGGGCCCTGAAAAACCAGCAGCGATACCCAGGTACTACACTGAGGGACTTGGTGAGCCTCTGAGACTTTCTGGCTTCATCTACCAGCATGGCCACAGCAAAGCAGAGCATCAGGCGTGCTCTTGGGGTCCCCAATTCTAGGACTTAACTCTCAGATAGGATTTCTGGACCTGCCATGGGCCAGAGGGTAGGCCTCTGCCCTGATTGGTGAGTCCCAGGCCAGGCAGCATTCACCACAAGCTGACTTAAGAGCCCTTGGGCCTTAAAGGAACACTATCTGGTAGTCTGGCAACACTCCTGGTGGTCTAGGGTGGGTAGATATGGGGTGAGGCTCCTCTGCTTTTGGTAAGGGGAGGGAAGAGTGGAAAGGACTGCATCTGGTGGTTTGAATGCCAGCTCAGCCACAATGCAATAGAACACAAAGGAAGACTTCTAAGGCTTTTGACTCTTATCCCTGATTCCTAGACAGTACTTCTGAACCCATCCAGGGCCTGGGGGACCTCACCATCCTGAAAGGAAAAACACAGGCCTAGCTGGCTTTGCCATCTGCTGATTAGAGTCCCAGAGCCTTAAGCAAACATTAGCAGTAACCAGGGAGTGATTACAACAGTGTTTGGGCAAAACTTAGTGCTGTACTGTCTTCAGGTCAGACCTAGTGCAGTCATAGTGGTGGTGGCCACAGGGGTGCTTGTGTCACTCCACTCCCAGCTTTAGGTGGCTCAGAGCAGAGAGACAGAGACTCTGTTTGTTTTGGAGAAAGTAAGGGAAGAGAACAAGAGTCTCTGCCTGGGAATCCAGAGAATTCTCCCAGATCTTGTCCAAGGCCATCAAGGTGTACCTCTGTGAGTCTGCAAGAACCATAGCGTTACTGGGCTTGGGGTGCCCCCTAAAGTAGATACAGCTTAGTTAACAACATGCAAGTTCTTTCAAATATCTAGAAAGCCTTCCCAAGAAGGATAGCCACAAATAAGCCCAGACAGTGGAGACTACAATAAATAATTAACTCTTCAATACCCAGACACTGAAGAACATCTATTAGCATCAACACCATCCAGGAAAACATGACCCCACCAAATGAAGTAAATAAAGCACCAAGGACCAATCCTGGAGAAACAGAGATATGTGACCTTTCAGACACAGAATTCGAAATAGCTGTGTTGAGGAAACTCAAAGAAATTCAAGATAACACAGAGAAGGAATTTAGAATTCTATCAGATAAATTTAACAAAGAGATTGATATAAAAAGAACCAAGCAGAAAAATATAATTGGAGCTAAAAAATGTAATTAGCATACTGAAGAATGCATCAGAGTTTCTTTTTTTTTTTTTTTTTTTTTTTTGAGACGGAGTCTCGCTCTGTCGCCCAGGCTGGAGTGCAGTGGCGGGATCTCGGCTCACTGCAAGCTCCGCCTCCCGGGTTCACGCCATTCTCCTGCCTCAGCCTCCCAAGTAGCTGGGACTACAGGTGCCCGCCACTACGCCCGGCTAATTTTTTGTATTTTTAGTAGAGACGGGGTTTCACCGTTTTAGCTGGGATGGTCTCGATCTCCTGACCTCGTGATCCGCCCGCCTCGGCCTCCCAAAGTGCTGGGATTACAGGCGTGAGCCACCGCGCCCGGCCATCAGAGTTTCTTAATAGCAGAATTGATCAAGCCGAAGAAAGATTTAGTGAGCTTGGGCCAGGTGTGGTGGCTCACACCTGTAATCTCAGCACTTTGGGAGGCTGAGGCGGGTGGATCACCCGAGGTCAGGAGTTTGAGACCAGCCTGACCAACATGGTGAAACCCTGTCTCTACTAAAAATACAAAAGTTAGCCGGGCATGGTGGTGGGTGCCTGTAATCCCAGCTACTCAAGAGGCTGAGACAGGAGTATCACTTGAACCCAGGAGGCAGAGATTGCAGTTAGCTGAGATCGCACCATTGCACTCCAGCCTGGGCAAAGAGGGTGAAGTTCCATCTCAAAAAACAAAAAGGAAAGAAAAAAAGAAAAAGATTTAGTGAGCTTGGAGACAAGCTATTGGAAAATACACAGTCAGAGGAGACAAAAGAAAAAATAATAAAATGCTGGGTGTGTTGGCTCATGCCTATAATCCCAGCACTTTGGGAGGCGGAGGCAGGTGGATCACCTGAGCTCAAGAGTTTGAGACCAGCCTGACCAACATGATGAAACCCCATCTCTACTAAAAATAAAAAAAAGTTATCTGGACATGGTGGCAAGTGTCTGTAATCCCAGCTACTCAGGAGGGAGGCTAAGGCAGGAGAATCACTTGAACCCGGGAGGCGCAGGTTGCAGTGAACTGAGAACATGTCACCGCACTCCAGCCTGGGCAACAGAGCAAGACTCTGTCTCAATAAAAAAAAAAAGAAAAAAAAGAAAAGAAAAAAGAATAAAAAACAATGAAAACATGCCTATAGGATCTAGAAAATAGCCTCAAAAGGGCAAACCTAAGAATTATTGGCCTTAAAGAGGAGGCAGAGAAAGAGATAAGGGTAAAAGGTTTATTCAAGGAGATGATAACAGAGAATGTCCCAGACCTAGAGTAAGATATCAATATCCAAGTACAAGAAGGTTATAGAACACCAAGCAGAATTAACCCAAAGAAGACTTCCTGAAGGCATTTAATATTCAAACTCCCAAAAGTCAAAGATAAAAAAGGATCCTAAAATCAGCAAGAAAAAACAAACAACATACAATGGAGCTCCAATATGTCTGGCAGCAGACTTTTCAGTGGAAACCTTACAGTCCATGAACGAGTGGCATGACATTTTTAAAGTGCTGAAGAAAAAAAAACTTCTACCCTAGAATAGTATATCTGATGAAAATATCCTTCCAATGTGAAGGAGAAATAAAGGCTTTCTTGGACAAAAAAAGTTGAGAGATGATTTTATCAATACTAGACCTGTTCTACAAGAAATATTAATGAGAGTACTTCAATCAGAAAAGAAAGGACATTAAGAAGCAATAATCACCAGAAGAAACAAAACTCACTGGTAATAGTAAGTACACAGAAAAACACAGAATATTGTAACACTTTAACTGTGGTGTGTAAACTACTCTTATCCTAAGTAGAAAGACTAAACAATGAACTAATCAAATATGATAACTACAACAACTTTTCAAGACATACTCCGTACAAAAAGATATAAATAGAAACAACAAAAAGTTAAAAGCAGTTGGATGAAATTAAGGCATACAGTTTTTATTAGTTTTCTTTTTGCTTGTTTGTTTGTTTATGCAAATAGTGTCCAGTTGTTATCAGGTTAAAATAATGGCTTATAAGATAGTATTTGCAAATCTCATGATTATCTCAAACCAAAAAACATACAATGGATACACAAAAAATAAAAAGTAAGCAATTAAATCATATCCCCAGAGAAAATTACCTTCACTAGAGGAAGACAGGAAGGAAAGATGAAAGAGAAGACCATAAAACCACCAGAAAACAAATACTAAAATAGTAGGAGTAAATCCTTAATTATCAATAATAACATTGAATGTAAATGGACTAAACTCTCCAATCGAAAGACAGAGACTGGCTGAATGGATGGAAAAACAATATCCATTGAGCTGTTGCCTACAAGAAACACACTTCACCTATAAATACACACATAGACTGAAAATAAAAGGATGAAAAAAGACATTCCATGCAAATAAAAACAAAAAAAGAGCAAGAGTTGCTATACTTACATCAGATAAAATAGATTTTAAGACAAAATCCCTGTAAGAAGAGACAAAGAAGGTCACTGTATAATGATAAAGGGGTCACTTCAGCAAGATGATATAACAATTATAAATATATATGCACCCAGCATTGGAGCACTCAAATATATAAAGAAAATGTTATTAGTGCTAATGAGAAAGATAGGCACCAATACAATAATAGCTGGAGATGTCAGCACCACACTTTCAGCATTGGATAGATCTTCCAGACAGAAAATTAACAAAGAAACATCATGCTTAATCTGTACTATAGACCAAATGGATCTAATAGATATTTACACAACATTTCAGCTAAGAGCTGCAGAATACACATTTGTTTCCACAGCATATGGATCATTCTCAAGGATAGACCATATATTAAATACAAAACAAGTCTTAAAACATTAAAACAAATCAAAATAATATCAAGCATCTTCTCTGACCACAATGGAATGAAACTAGAAATTAATAACAAGAGGAATTTTGGAAACTGCACAAATACATAAAAATTAAAAAATATTCTCCTGAATGACCAGTAGGTCAATAAAGAAATTAAGAAGGAAATTGAAAAATTTCTTGAAACAAATAATCATGGAAACATAATATACCAAAACCTATGGGATACAGCAAAAGCAGTACTAAGATGGAAGTTTATAGCTATAAATTCCTACATCAAAAAAGAGGAAAAACTTCAAATGAATAATCTAATGATGCATCTTTAAAAACTAGAAAAGCAAGAGAAAACCAAACCGAAAACTAGTAGAAGAAAATAAATAATAAAATCAGAGCAAAAATAAATGAAATTGAAATTAAAAAATACAAAAGATCAATGAAACAAAAAGTTGTTTTTTTGAAAAGTTAAACAAGATTGACAAACCTTTAGCCAGACTAACTAAGAAAAAAAGAGAGAAAATTCAAATAAATAAAACCAGAAATGAAAACAGAGACACTACAACTGATACTGCAGAAATTCAAAGGATCATTAGTGGCTACTATGAGCAACTATATGTCAATAAATTGGAAAATTGAAAAGAAATGAACAAATTCTTAGATACATGCAACCTACCAAGATTGAACCAGGAAGAAATTCAAAACCTAAATAGGCCAATAAAAGTAACAAGATAGAAGCTCTAATATAAAGCCTACCAGTAAATAAAAACATGGGATCTGATGGCTTCACTGCTGAATTCTACCACACATTTAAAGAAGAACTAATACCAATCCTACTCAAACTATTTCAAAAAATAAAGGAAGAAGGAATACTTCCAAACCATTCTATGATGCCAGTATTATCCTGATACCAAAAGCAGATAAAGACACATCAAAGAAGAAAACTAAACGCTAATATCCCCGGTGAACATTGATGCAAAAATCCTCAGCAAAATACTAGCAAATCAAATGCAGTAATATATTAAAAAGATCATTCATCACGACTGAGTGGGATTTATTCTTGGGATGCAAGGATGATTCAACATATGCAAATCAATCAATGTGATACATCATATCAACAGAATAAAGGACAAAAACCATATGGTCATTTCAATTGATGCTGAAAAAACATTTGATAAAATTCAACATCCCTTCATGATAAAAACACTAAACAAACTGGGTATTGAGGTAAAATACCTCAACATAATAAAAGCAATATAAAACAGACCCACAGCTAGTATCATACTGAATGGAGAAAACCGAAATTCTTTCCTCTAAGATCTGAAACACAACAAGGATGCCCACTTTCACCACTGTTATTCACCATAGTACTGGAAGTCCTATTTAAAGCAATCAGACAAGAGAAAAAAATGAAAGGCATCTGAATTGGAAAGGAAGAAGTCAAATTATCCTTGTCTGCAAATAATATGATCTTATATCTGGAAAAATCCAAAGACTCCACCAAAAAAAAAAAAAAAACCTATTAGAACCAATAAACAAATTCAGTAATGTTGCAGGGCACAAAATCAATACGCAAAGATCAGTAGCATTTCTATATGCTACTGATATAGCATATAGAAAATATGCATATATTCTGAAAATATAGCACATATTCTGAAAAGAAATCAAGAAAGTAATCCCACTTATAACAGATGCTAATAAAATTAAATCCTAGAAATTAAATTCACCAAAAAAGTGAAAGATTTCTATAACAAAAACTAAAACATTGATGAAAGAAATTGAAGATGACACACACAAAAAGGAGAGAGATCCCATGTTCATGTACTGGAAGAATCAATACTGTTAAAATGTCCATACCATCCAAAGCAATCCCACAGATTCAATGAAATTCCTATCAAAATACCAATGACATTCTTCACAAAAATAGAAAAAAATATCCTAATATTTATATGAAACCACAAAAGACCCAGAATAGCCAAAGCTATTCTAAGTAAAAAGAACAAATCTGGAGGAATCACATAACTTCGAATCATATCACAGAGCCTTAGTAACCACAACAGCATGGTACTGGCATAAGAACAGTCACAAAGACCAATGGAACACAATAGAATACCCAGAAATAAATTCACATACCTACAGTAAACTCATTTTTGACATAGGTGTCAAGAACATACACTGGGAAAAAGACAGTCTCTTCAATAAATGGTGTTGGGAAAACTGGATCTCCATATACAAATGAATGAAACTAGACCCCTATCTCTAACCATACACAAAAATAAAACCAAAATGGATTAAAGACCTAAATCTAAGACCTAAAATGATGCGACAACTAAAAGAAAACACGAGGGAAACTCTCTAGGATGTTGGACTGGGCAAAGTTTTCTTAAATAATACCCACAGGCACAGGTGACCAAAGCAAACATGGATGAATAGGATCACATCAAGTTAAAAACCTTCTGCACAGCAAAGCAAGTAATCAACAAAGTGAAGAGACAATGCACAGAATGGGAGAAAATATTTGCAAACTCTCTGACAAGGGATTAATAACCAGAATATAAAAAGAGCTCAAGCAACTCTATAAAAAAATCTAATAATCCAATCAAAAATGGGCAAAAGATTTGAAAAGACATTTCTCAAAAGAAGACACACAAATGACAACAGGCATATCAAAACGTGCTCAACATCACTGATTATCAGAGAAATGCAAATGAAAAACTACAATAAGATTTATCTCACCCCAGTTAAAATGGCTTATATTTCAAAAGACAGGCAATAACAAAGGCTGGCGAGGATGTGGAGAAAAGAGAACCCCCAAACACGTTAGTGGAAATGTAAATTAGTACAACAACCATGGAGAACAGTTTAGAGTTTCCTTAAAAAACTGAAAATTGAGCTACCAGTGGAATCCAGCAATCCCACTGCTGGGTATATACTCAAAAGAAAGGAAATCAGTATATTGAAAAGATGTCTACACTCCTATGTTTGTTGCAGCACTATATACAATAGCTAAGATTTGGGAGCAACCTAAGTGTCCATCAACAGATCAATGGATAAAGAAAATGTGGTACATATACACAATGGAGTACCATTCAGCCATAAAAAGAATGAGATCCTGTCATTTGCAACAACATGGATGGAACTAAAGATCATTAAGATCATTATGTTAAGTGAAATAAGCCAGGTACAGAAAGAGAGACATCACATGTTCTCACTAATTTGTGGGATCTAAAAATGAAAACAATTGAAGTTATGGACATAGAAAGCAGAAGAATGGTTACTAGAAGCTGGGAAGGATGGTGGGAGGGGAGGGAAGAGATGTGGATGGTTAATGGGTACAAAAAATATAGTTAGAAAGAATGAATAAGACCTACTATTTGATAGCATGATAGGGTGCCTATAGTCAATAATAACCTAACTGTATAATTTAAAATAACTTAAAGAGTGTAATTGGATTCTTTGTAAATCAAAGGATAAATGCTTAAGGGGATGGCTACCCCATTCTCTTTGGTGTGCTTATTTCACATTGCATGCCTGTTTCAAAACATCTCATGTACCCTGTAAATATATACACCTACTATGTAGGTACAAAAATAATAAATAATAATAATAAAATAAAAGTATCAAATGAAACTTCTAGAACCAAAGAATGAGACAACTGAAATTAGGACCAAACCGCTTATTAGACATAACAAAAAAGGGGATTTGTGAACTAGAAAATACTTCAGTTAAAATATTAAAATTGAACTTCATTGAGCAAAAAGACCAAAAAATGCAAAAATAGCATCATGAGGGCTATACAGAACACAGAGAAAAAGTCTAACATACATATAATTGGAGGTACAGAGATAAGGAGAGAGATAATAATGCAGAAGCAATATTTGAAGATACAATGGCTGCGATTTTTTCAAAACTGATGGAAGATATCAGAGAAGTACCACAAACCCCAAGTGCGACAAATACAAGGGAAATCACAATTAGGTTCATGATTATAAAATTTCTGCAAACTATAATCTTAAAAGCATCTAAGGAAAAAGACACATTATCCTTAAAGGAACATCAATAAGACTGACAGCTACTTTTTCCAAAGAGAAATAGAAGCCAGAAGGCAATGCAATGACATCTTTAAAGTGGCAAAAGAAAACATGAAAAACAAAAATTCCAACCTAGAGTTGTTTATTCAGGGAAAACATCACTGATGTGAAAATGAAATATGTATCTTTAGCGATAAGCCAAAACAGAATTCATCACCAGGGGACCCACAATAAAGTAAATGCTTAAAGGAATTCTTTGGACAGAAGGAAAGTTATCCTAGCAATCCAAGAGGGAATGAAGAGCAATAGAGAAAGCAAATGGTAAATCTAATGCATAGTTACTGCCTTATGGGGCTTAAAATATAGAGATAATTTAGATTCATGAAAATCATAACACCAAATTAAGAGGGGAAGTGTAATTGGAATTAGTGTCATATTGTCTATTATAGGAAACAACGAAAATCCTATTGAATTTGTCAAGCCAACCCTCGGGGTTCTTGTGAAGGCATCTGGGCAGAACTCAGCCAAAGTGAAATTAGTTAAAAAGAGGTTAGAACAAACTGAAACTGAAGGTAAAAACTTGAATTCAGCCACGGCAGATCAAGTGAATTTGACCATAAGACCAAAATCCTAAACAGGACAAAGGTATCAATGTCCTGGTTACTTGAAGAGCTTTTAGTTAAGAGGCAGAATGTAGCACCAAAACTGGATTGAAAATAGAAAAAACAAGATATATTTTCCTCTTATCCTTAGCAATATAAACACATATTAACCACAAAGTTGGCCATGAATTGAGAAGTCTGTGGAATTTTAGGTCCAAGGAAGTTAACTTATCATTTATTAGGTACTTGCTAATTGTGAAATATTGAACACCTCTTCTCCAAAAATTGGGCTACTGATATCTAATTCTCTCTTTTGGTATGTCTAATCTGCTACTAAAAATATTTATTAAATTTAAAATTTTTTGATTTTTCTATTTTCCCTTTGTAGATGTTCTATTAGTTCTTCAAAGAAAAATCTACCTGTGATTATGTTATGGTTTTCTGCTACTAAGCTGATCTTTATTTTTTTCCTTAAGAATCATAAACATTCTTGCTCTATAACTTGTATATGATAATTGTAGTAGCTGAAGTATTTGGAAATTTGTTTGAGTCTAATTGTGATTTCCTTTGTATTTATCCCATTTGGGGTTTGTAGTACTTCTCTGATATCTTTCATCAGTTTTGAAAAAATGGCAGCCATTATATCTTCAAATTTAGGTGACATCATGGTGTTTTGTTTACTTATGTACCTCTTTTATTAAAAAAATCTATTAATATATTATTGTTCCTTGTGTTTACAAAATCATTTATAGGGGTACTTAAGGCCCAGGATGAACTGAAGTTGCCTTCCTTCAGAAAGAATTTATATTTGCTTCTGAAAGATATCTGGAGGAACTACCACTTAAGCCAAATTCAAGGCTTGAGAGTCCTTGACCCACCAGAGAATGTGAAAGCCACCTGCTTATATGCAGGAAGGCTGTGTCACTTCTGATTCTTTTTCACTCCTGGGATTGGTCCTTTGAGGTTCAAGTTTATTGTATCGACAATTTCTTAGTAGACTTTCAGACTTATGTAGCCTTTGGCTTTAAATACTGAGCATCCCATGAAAACATCAAAAGGAAGTTCAGTTTTGCAGGATCAGCAAATATATCAGGGCAAAAGTTGTTTATGTGATTCCTTAATATTTTCCTCCCATTTAGGTCAGGTAATTCCTTTCTATCTTGTTAGCTCCTGGATGCTTTAAGGTAGATGCTTTTTGTATTATATTCAGCATTTCAGTAGGATAATGTACCTGCTATTCCCAGAAACTGGAAGTCTAGTATAAGGAATAATCTGCATTATGCTGACATTATCTCATGGAATTGGAAGTTCAAGTGGTTAATATGTTCCTTGTAAGCTGAAAATAGCTGCAAAATTGTCACTTACTGTTAAAAAGTAGGAGAAATAAACCAAATTTTTCCATGCTGGCTCTCATGTGGGGATGTGCCATCTCCCCAAAATGACTCTGATGTGGCAAGTTCCCACTCACTACTTAACCCAAGAAGAAAATTTATCAGGGCTTTACTACAAAGCAGAGATCAACAAATTGTGAGTCAAATCTAATCTGCAACTTGTTTTTATAAATACAGTTTTGCTGGAACACAGACACACCATTTCTTCATGCGTTGTCTATGACTGCTTTTGTGTTACAAGGACTGAATTGAATATCAGCAACAGAGGCTGTATGGCTCACAAAACCTACAATATTTACACTCTGGCCTTTTACAGAAAAAGTTTGCCAATCCCTGCTAAAAAGTATTATTCCTCAGATGTCCTGCTTGATCAGTTTAAGTTCTGGGAGCAAGTCAACGCTAGCAAATTATTTTCTGCATTATTTTCATGCAGTTTTAAATACTGGGAGCATGAACTCAGTATGATAGACTCTTGAGTCACACTGAGAAATTTAAACAGGAAATAGCACTAAAGAGCAAAATAAGGCCGGGTGCAGCGGCTCACATCTGTAATCCCAGAACTCTGGGAGGCCGAGGCAGGTGGATCACCTGAGGTCAGGAGTTCAAGACCAGCTGGGCCAACAAGGTGAAACCCCTCTACTAAAAATACAAAAATCAGCTGGGCATGGTGGTGCATGCCTGTAAACCCAGCTACTTGGGAGGCTGAGGCAGGAGAATTGCTTGAACCCGGGAGGCCAAGATCATGCCACTGCACTCCAGCCTGGGCAACTGAACAACACTCCACCAAAAAAATAAAAAAGCAAAATATGAATATCTTCAGACAGTAACACGGTAATGTAATGTAATTATTACTCTTAAACAGCTCGAAACAATTTTCTTTTCTTGCACACATATAAGTTCACTTAGCTGCAACTTTTTTTTTAAAGAGTGCATTTTCCTCTTCATTTGTAAAGTCAAGCTTTTCATTTTTTCATTAACCAGTACTTCTCTGGGCTATGTAATATAGAGAAGGCTTAGAGGAAATGAAATTTACAAGCAGCAAGGAACGACAAATTCAGGCACAGATCACTGGTGATGGAGGGACTTTAGCAGATGCTCAGCTCTCTTCCTCTACACTGGGCTGGCAGAGTTTGTGGGGCAGGGTGAGCCAGCAGGGCGGTTATGCCAAAGAGCAGGATAACTTTCTGAGGCAATTCCTGCTTCTCAGGAGTAATCATATAAACTTTAGCAGAAAAATCAAAGAAACTGGAAAAGGAAGTGATGTGCAGGATCCAGTACTGTGCTGCTTTTCTCCTCAGTACCAGTGCTATTGAACAGATCCTGTTTCTGTCTATGATATCAATGAGGCTATGGCTCCAGCTCCCAACTGTGCACCTGTTTTACGTATGTAGACAGGTGGTGATGCCATTTACTCTACCATTGTTAAGACCGCATCAGTGTTTCTATGTGGAATATTGGCTTAGTGAATGCCACTTAGTCAACAGGATGGCTGGGTTGATGTGCATTTTTCTGAGATGAACCAGGAGCCATGAAAAATGCACTAACCCCATAGTGAAAGTGTCTGTGCTACTAGATAAAAACAAGGAAGAAAATACTTTCCCCTGACTCAGAGCCCTGTTGGACAAATGCCTTCCAAGATGTGAAAGAGACTGTAAAATAGTCCTGGGTCCAGGAATGAAGAGTAAAGAAATAATACTATCATTTCTTTGTAGAGAATCAGCTGCTTTACACATATGCCATTTTGTTTATTAATCCATCTGAAAATTCCCTGGGGATTTTGAGCTGGCTCTTTGCCTGCAGATGAGTCTGTAACTCTGTGACAATTAACTGTAATGACTTCGAGACAGACTCTTCTCAATCACCGCCCAGTACTGGGCTGCCAAAAGCCATCTGCACCTGGGTGGCTGAGTAACAGCACCCCCATTTAATTTGGCTTTTCATGTGGAATCTACTGTCCTCTGTCTTAGCCGGAGAGCCAAGACGACTCTAAATTCCCTTCTGTGATGTGGAGTGGTAGGAAAGGAAGGGGGAGTATGTGGGAAAATCTGAGGGGCTCCCTTCTTTAAGACCAAGACACAAAAAGCCCCTCTATTCCTGACCACCTGGGCTCACCAGGCTCATTATGTGAAAGCTTAAGGGTTGACCAGGCAGTCAGAGGAATGCAGAGCATCAGAGAAGAGAGTTCCTATGTGGCCAGTTCCTGGTGCCCCCAGAGAGAGAGGCAGGAGACCTCTGGTAATTTTCCAGGCATTCAGCATGCACTGCAGTGCCCTTCACACAAGCACAGTGGCCAGGGAGCCAGATGGGCTCTATTTCAGGCAAAGTCAGAAAAGGGACCAGAGTCTGGACTCACTTAGCTCCATAGTCTTGCTGCTGGCCCTCTGTCTTTTGACACTGGATTTACCTTTCATTAGTCCCCAAAGGGAGGGCACATCCCAGCTGGGGCCTCTGGAAGCTGTGGACTTGCTGATTTGCACCCTTCTTGTGCATATTTTTATGTGGGCTGGGAACACAGATGGCTCCATCCAAGTTGCTGAAAACCCAGCTGGTTATTGCTGCACTAGAACGACCTGAGTTTGGGGATCTGAGTTTTCCCTGCCAGAGCCTTGGGCAAGTTGGGAAACATATTTGTCTTTGAATTAGAGCACAGGCGGATGAGGTCCAAGATGCTGCATCCCCACCGTGTCCTGTGTGCTGTGGGAAATAAAAGAAAAGCAACATTAAGCACAGCACATTACACACAGCACCCCTGCTCCCTTACATCCTTTTTTTTTTTTTTGAATTAGGCAGGTTAAAAATTGATTATGAAACAATATTATCATCTTCCTTTTTCTCCCACTTTTAAAACCAAACTTGTTCTATCCAATTCTAAGTAATGCTGAAATAGACTTTCATAAACTAAATTCACAAATCATATCAATCCAACATTTATTGGGCACCTACTTTATCCCAGGAATTATGCTAGGTACTGGAAATTTTAAAAATGAGTAACACATGGTCTCTATGATCTCATAGTCTAACTAGGAGAGATATGTGTAAAAGAAGATAGGCGTGAAAAAATATGTAAATGTTGTAATAAAGGTAGATATAAGAGTGGTTGGGAATATGAAGAGGGATATTTCTTTTGGGGGAACAGCAAGACCCAGACCTAGAGTAGCAATACTTAAGGGAAAATAAGACTTCATCTGGGGCATGAGGTGGGAGGGAGGGAAACTACCTCCGTGAAATACGGAGGCCTGCGTAGGACACTGATGGCTGCTCTACTGTGTCTAGTCTCACCAGCCCTTCCTTCTTAACTCTGATTTATTCGGGGATCTACCTCTATTCACTTGATTCAGGGGAAGTTGACCCTATCCCCGGCTGAGGGGCAGATCCCAATTAGTCCAAGATAAACACGGCAGTCACATTCCTGTGATTGATGGATTTAGAAATGGGTACATGATCAAATGCTGGCCAATGAGACATGAAGTCTCTTGGTTATCCAGGAAAGCTTCCCCTCTAAGAAAACAACATGTGAAGAGATAGTTGCCTTTCTTCCCACAGATGTTATCCTGTTTACTGCAATTAAGGGGGGTTTTCAGCTGCAGAGAGACATAGTTTGACTGTAGGTTTAGGGTAGCCAGAGCAGGAGGCATCACTGGGAAGTAGCTGGAAGTATCTGGGGAAGGACCTTGAGTTCGTCAAAGTTTCCATCTCCCAAGGTAAGCAGATGGGGTTATTCCCACAGTCATGGCCATGGCACAGTGACAACAAAACTGAACATCTTGACTCAAGGTGACCTTGTGCTAGAAAACAGGGTAGCCAGGTGAGGTGATACAGCTCTTAAGGACAGGGGTGGCTCATTTTAGTAAAGATTCTGCTAAAACGACACCCTCTATGGAAACTCTGAAGCTGTGTACCAGTCTTTTCAATCATGTCCATATACCTGAGTTGTAATCACTCATGATTGAAGTAAAGTGTGTAAAGTGTTTAGCGCAGTATCACAAATGTGGTAAGTGCTCGGTACACGTCAGTACCAGCATTATCACACACAGCAAAAAATCATTTCTGGAAGCTAAAGATAGCAGACTAATCTATAAAAATAATCCCAGGGAGATTTCTCTCTCCTCTGCCAGTTGGGAAGTTGGTTTGCCTAGTTGTATTTTGATTTCATTCCTAACAATTACCTTAGTCATCTCATAAGTTTTTCCTTGCACCCTTGGGACCATCGGGCCCATGACTCCAGCACCGCTCTAGCTGCAGGCTGCAGTTGGTCTTACTGATCCGAATTCTCAAATTTAGGTTGCTGATCCCACAAGCGTGAACTTCTTGGCTCTGTGTCTGGGCTCTCTGCTTTCAGTTAGACAGGAAACCGGGGCTGGGCAAACCTCCAAGGTTTTAGATTGGCCTTCTGTTCAGATAAGCTGCTAAGGATGTTTCTACTTGGGAACAGTAACAGCTCAAGTTTTTTCCTGGGTTTTAACTTGTGCCTTTGTGACATACCAACAGATTTAGAACTGACGTTATGATTGGAGTGAAAATACCCACATGTGACTTGAGTTAAACAGACCTCCACTGATCAGAGCCACAAGGCCAACTAATCTCAGGGTGTTAAACGGAAATTCTCTGAGAGGCACCAAGCAATCTATGCTATGAGAGATAAGTCAGGGAAAAGAGGTCTTTAGCCCGTGTGCTTATTTTTAACTGAGTTCAGTTTCATGTTGGGATACAAAGCAGTTTCTTTAGGATCTTAGAGAACTAGCCCAGTAGGGTGGGAGTTCAAATCCCCGCTCCATTGCTTATTAGGTATGGCCAAGTTATTTCTCTGATCCTCAGTTTCTTTACCGAAACTGATGATAATAACTTTCTCATAGGATTAGTGTGAGGATCAAAGTAGACATGTGCCAGAGGACTGGAACATAATAAATGCTCAATAAATAGTGGGTACTATTTCTAAATCCCCCAGGAGAGGTGACTGCTATTGTGTAAATGTATTTTACAAGTTCAGAAAAAATTAGATTAAGAAAAATAATGAAAACTAGCATTAATCAAAAATTTACTATGTTCCAGGCACGCTTCCAAGTATTTACATGTGTAACTCATTGAATCCTCACAACACTCTTTATTATTATTATTATTATTAATTTTTTATTTTTTTTGTCTCGCTGTGTCACCCAGGCTGGAGTGCAGTGGTGTGATCTCAGCTCACTGCAACCTCCGCCTCCCAGGTTCAAGCTATTCTGCCTCAGTCTCCCTCCTGAGTAGCTGGGATTACAGGCATGTGCCACCCTGCCTGCCTAATTATTGTATTTTTAGTAGAGACAGGGTTTCACCATGTTGGCCAGGCTAGTCTGGAATTCCTGGCCTCAAGTGATCCACCCCCTCGGCCTCTCAAAGTGCTGGGATTACAGGCGTGAGCCACCATGCCTGGCCTATTATTCCTATCTTACAGACAAGGAAACTCAGGCACTAGGAGATTAAGTAGCCCCTCTAAAATGGTGAGCAAAATAGGCCCAAGCTATTAGTCCTTCTGATAGACCAGTTTGCTTGAGAGAACAAATTCTTTCAGACATTCTCATTATATTTGATTCTTTCTGGATCTTTCATATTGGCTACCCAGGCTTAAGAATTTCCCCATGTTCCCTAGAAGCACTATATTAGGGAGAAGATGGTTCAAGTACTGCTAAAACTAATACTGGAATTTTCCACCTCAGTTGGGAAGAATGAATATAGCCCTGGGAAAGGAAATTCTTATTTTACCTTTGCAATCAATTCAGCTGTATAAAAAACATAGTACAACAAACAAACCAACCTTCAAAAAATAGATAACTATGAACAAATCAACAAAGAATCTCTGGCTGCATCCAACTTTTGCCCCTTTTGGAAACAAACCATGGACCTTATCCAGACATGGAGATCTCTTCATTCAGGTTCAGCTTTATTTAAATAGGTGAGTTGAAGTATCTATGAAGATTTGTTCAGCAAACCATTAAGCATTTAATATGTGTACAACACTAACAGACTCAGTGGTTGTAAAGAAATAACATGTGTCTTAGGTCAGGTCTGAACCTGAGGGACTCTAAGATAAGGTGTTTCCAGCCAAGAATCTGAAATAGAAGATTCAAGATTGTTCATCTCTAAGAAGAACCACAAGCCCAGCCTTTGGGGGCTGGCACTCTCCAAAACATGCTCTTGACTGTGTCTTACCCATTCCTTCAGCTCTCTTTCTTGCCTCATTTGAGTTGTTTGATTTTGTTTTCATTTATCGATTATCTGATAAATGGCTCTCAAAATATAATTTATGGGACTCAGGTAAGACCAGTTCCTTAAAGTTTAAAGCATTCGTGCTTAAAATTGGACAGTAATAATATATTTTCTAGACATATAAATAACTGCTTATTTCATCCCATGCTTTCAAATCCCAGGCAATTTGCTTCTCTTACCATTATTACTCTACCTTTTCCCTCATTCCTCAATACCCTGCAATGTCTTCTCTCTCCTTGTCAAAATCCGGCATCTTCTATCAAGGCCCTGATGCCATGAGTCAATTCCGTGAACCGTAAGGCAAAATCAATTTCTAATCATTTTACCACTATTATATTACTGTATTCTCACCAGTTTAGGCAAGGTGTTGAAATGCTTTTGAGGGAGAGCAGTTGCAGAGCAGTGTCCTTTCCCCCTCAAATCTAAGGCTAGAAACCCAAGAACCACTAGTCTAATAAATACCCTCCATGTGCCAGGATTGCCATTAGTAACTGTAATCAAATGAACCTTTGCGAGATGCTACAGGGGAGCTGTGATGCAATTATCACTAACTGAATTGTTCCAGTTGATTCCTGGGCATTGCTGGCTTTGTTTATGGCTCAGATGAGTACATTTTAATGATCCAGAGAAAATGAGCATAAGCTGCCACTTCCAGTAAATACTAATTATGAATAAATAAATGCAAATGGAATTGTTGGTGACAATTAATTCCTTTTGATTTTAGTCTCCCTGATTTACTTTTACATTAGTGGGCACTCTTGCTAAAAGTGGAAAGAACTGTTCCTGTTAGAGACGGTGGCCACCTTTCACCTAAAATCATTTCAACCCTGCAAGGTGCAAGTGAACCCAAGTTAGGGCTCCAGACAGCCAACCTTCCAAATGAAAGTACATCCTGTACTAGCCAGGAAACATCTGAGGAGATCTACATTCTCAAAAGCATGCCATTTGCTTGTATGACAATGGTGAGAACATACAAATATTATACATTTCAACAAAGTTCCACACATTAGAGAACAAACTCCTGGATATCTGAGATGTTCAACACTATTCAGTTTTATTTGACATATTTCTTTCAAGTCTAGCATTTCAAACAAAAAGGAAATTCATTGCCTTAGGCCAAGTTTTTACTTCACTGACTTCCTAAAGAGAATTATCCTGCAAAATTTTGAAGAATTTGCAATCAAGACTTTCTCAAGAACTTTCAATAGTTTCTTTTTTTCTTATGTAAAATGTTCAAACCTTCAGGCCTATACAATCTGGCACCAATGAACCTTTCTAACCCTCCATATTTTCTGATACTCTTTCCCTTTTCCCAATACCTCATGTTCCAACTAAATATCATATAACTGACTATTGTCTGAAATAATCCATACTTTCAAATTCTATGCAATTTGTTCCACTGAGCACTATCACTCTATTCTATCCTTCCTCTCACCCCCCAGTACCCTACAAGGTCCTACCTCTCCCTTTCAAAAATCCTGCATCCTCTATCAAGGTCCGGATTTCATGAGTCATTCCATATACTATAAGCCAAAGTAAATTTTTAAAAATGCTATCACTATTATAATATTACCCATATATAACTACCTGAATATAACTACCTGATACAGTTATTTTCTGCTTATAGTTTATTCCCTTTTGAGGTCCTCTACCAAGTCCCAAGGCTGCCACATGGTACATTCTCATTAAATGCTCTTAAGTGTGTTGAATCATATTGAAATAATGGCTATAGTTTACTGTTCTTATTATTTATAGCATTATCAAAATAATTGCTCTAACAAGTATCTTAAGATCTTAAGTATATCAAAGTTATCATATACATGATTCTTCCTTTACATGGCCTAATTTTATTTTCCCTACATGAATTCAGAGCTTGTTTCTCAGTGTTTTATACCCTTTCAAACTGGCCTTTTATAACAACCCTATCTATTAAGGTGAATAAGGTATGTTTTCTTTCTTTCTTTCTTTCTTTTTTTTTTTCAAGACGGAGTCTTGCTCTGTCACCCAGGCTGGAGTGCAATGGCACGATCTCTGCTCACTGCAAGCTCCACCTCCCAGGTTCATGCCATTCTCCCACCTCAGCCTCCCAAGTAGCTGGGACTACAGGCACCCGCCACCATGCCCGGCTAATTTTTTGTATTTTTTAGTAGAGACGGGGTTTCGCTATGTTAGCCAGGATGGTCTCGATCTCCTGACCTTGTGATCCACCTGCCTCGGCCTCCCAAAGTGGTTTTCTTTCTTAACAGATGATGAGCATCAACACGTTTGCTGGATACAATGTGATAGGCAAAGTGAAGAATGCAAAAGAAATAGTATATGTTGTCTCAGGAGTATGCAATTTTTAGGGAACCATAAGGAGTCATGGTACCAGCTTATAGTGCAGAAGAAAACCGAGGAAAGAAGAGACAAGTGGGAGTTGCAGTGGTGGGGTAGAGGTCCTGGAAGAGGTGGGGTTGGGATATGCCTTGAGGACAGGCAGAAAGTCTGGCATAGCATAGAGAGGAGGGCATTGTCTGCTGAGTGAGGAGCTGTACAAAGCCACATGCTGGCATGCGCAATGAGGAAAGTGGGAGGGATGTGGGCAGGCTAATGGGACAGGAAGGGAAATAGCCAGCTAAACTGGAGTGAACAATCTGTGTTGGGTAGATGGGGCGAGAAGGAAAGTAGTAGGTAGATATAAGTTAAATAGTTTGGATGCAGTCAGCCAATGAGGCATTTTAGGAAAGGCATTTTAAGAAAAACAAACACAGAACACAAAACAAAACAAAAAGGCCTTTAAGGAAAAAAAAAAAAAAACTAACAGGGAGCCATTATAGATTCTTGAGCAAGCGCAAGGCGAGAGCAAGCCTTTCCCTTTATGAAGATTAGTGTGAACACTGATTGCAAAATTGGTTGGAGAAAAGAGACTAAAAACAGGGGAGGGAAGTGAGAGGCCAGCACTGTGTTGCAAGGGGGAGGTGAGGAGGTGAAGCCCTAGGATGTCAGGGAAGGCCTGGAGAGTTGAGGATGACCACAAGGCATTCCAAAGGAAGAGGGAGTCACTGTAAGCTTACTCATTTCCGAATTCACAGCACTTAACAGTTTATAGACACTTAATACATTTTTGATCAATATATAAACTCAATATATAATTGTCTAGCCACCATCCAAACATGTTCTGAGAAAAAATGTTTTCTCTCTCTCCCCTAGTGAACAGAAAAGTCTATCTTCCTTGCTACAGAAGTCACCAGGCTAGAACCCTGGGTCTTTCTTTCACTCCTCCGTTTCCCTATAGTGAGGCTCTCTTCTTCAATAAGTTCAAATTCAATGGTAGGTGTGGTCACAGGGAGAAACAGTGGATACCATCAGGACTCCGAGGTCCCAAGGAAGACTTTCTGAAGGAGGTAACCTAAAATTGCCAGAAGTGAATGAAGAGGGTGGTTGTGAGTGAAGCCTTTCAGGTAGAGGCAGAAGCTTGAACAAGATGAATAGGAGTGAGAAACAGGTTTGTAAGTGGGTACTGATGAGTGGCATTATGTGTCTTGCGATCTGTTTGCCAGCATAATGCTTTGATAAATTGCGTTCCTGCCCCATCCATCACCCAGCACCTACAGGGGAACTGCAAAGGTATGCTAAACAGCAACAATAATCCAGGTATAACTGGAATCAAAGAACCCAGCTCTGAAATTTGCCATAAACTCTGAAAGAGATTTTCACTGTTTCACTATTTATCTACTCTGCAATTGATCTTGAACTATTTAATGATGCATATGCAGACAAGGTGAAAACATCCTGCAGAGAGAATACAAATGTGAGCCCTTTGTCTGACAGGTGAAATAGGGCAGGAAAACTGTAGATGGAAATGAAATTCTGTAAACCCATTCTACCGCCAGTAGCCCCTATGAATGTGAAACATTGATTTACTGCTACCACCATTCTAAATTCTGAATAAATTTCCTTAATACCATCTAAGCCTCTGGTGGGCTGAAATTTTCAGGGGCAAGGTCAAAGATTGTCCGTCAGTTATCAAAAACATACTGAGCTTCTACTAAGTGCCAAGCACTATGACAGAATCACAATGGTTGGGAGAAACAGCAACAATAGGTGGATATCAACATTAATCTGCCACTATTTTTTTTTTTACAGACAACTCATTGAGGGTAGGTATTCTTCATATGGATCAGGTAATCAATGGATACTGCACAAAAGAATGCTTAACATAGGAGTGAAGAAACAGCATCTCCACAAGAAGAGAATTTCTTAAGGAGTTCTTAGGTTCTAACTGAGGTCCATTGGGAGTCAGTGGACAAGTGGCAGGTAGCTGGAAGAACACTGAAGGAATTGTAGACAGTTTCAACATGGCTTTTCCTCTCTTTGGGTGCAAGCGAGCTGTGGGTGCAAACAAGCCATGGGTGCAAGCCATATGTACAACGTCATCAGGGTAGTTATACCTTTTAGAGACAATAGTGGCTCCGAGCCAAGCACCAGCTCATGTGGGTGATCACCTAATGTGCTCACATGGCATAGTTACATAACTTGTGGAGTTGTGCGCCTGTGCTCCAAACTTGCTGAGTCATGCTGTACTGGATATCTACCTTGGCCTATTCTTGACTGCAGCACATCCATTTTTCTTACACTCCATCCCCTAGGCCGAAGGAGACATAGGCCTTGGACACTGGTCTGACACATAGGCCTTATACATAGGATCTGGGCACACAGGCCCCAGACACACAGGTTCAACACATAGGCCTTACATCCCACCCCCTAGGCTAAGGGAGTATTCTAGTGGGGAGACACACCCACAGGGTGGAATTGTGTAACCAGAGGCCACAGCAGTAATACAGGGAGCAACAACTCCAGGTTATAGCAGGCAACCACCCCATGGTGATGTTACCCCAATGTTGCTTTATACACTAAGCCAGGTTTTTATTTCCCTACTGTATGAGTCAGAGTTCTCTAGAGGGACAGAATTAATAGGATATATATGGGAGTTTATTAAGTATTAACTTACATGATCACAAGATCCCACAATAGGCTGTCTGTAAGCTTGAGGATCAAGGAGAGCCAGACTGAGTCTCAAAACTGAAGAAATTGGAGTCCAGTGTTCAACAGCAAGAAGCATCCAGCATGGGAGAAAGAGGTAGGCTGGAAGGCTAGGCCAGTGTAGACTTTTCACATTTTTCTGCCTACTTTACATTCGCTGGCAGCTGATTAGATGGTACCTGCCAGATTAAGGGTGGGTCTGCCTTCCCCAGCCCACTAACTCAAATGTTAATCTCAAGGTTAACCACAAGGTTAAGCCTCAATAAACTGCCCAGCTATCGGTGTGGATTGTCATAGGTGTCACTTCCTTGGTGATCTTCATTCATATTGCTCTAAGTTCAGCCCATTGGCTACTTTGCCCACACCCAGTTTCAAAACATAGGGTGGCAGTACTAGGTTGGACTGCAACAGTGGTCTGGTCCAGGCAGCAGCAGCACCTCGGCTAGACCCATCTGTGTACCACGCACCATTGGGAATGGGGGGACACCTTTCCTTAGATGGTGAAGGCTCAGGGTCTAGGGGTGCCTCAGGCCCCGTGGCCTTATCTTGCATTAGGACCACAGGTCCCAAGACCTCTTGCAACTCTGCTGCAAGGGGACTTGTACTCAGTGTGCTCTGCTGCTCCAAGTAGGCACTCCACTTTGCTAAAGTGGATGTCTGTGCCATCCCAGTCCAGGGGGTCATTAACTGTTATCCATGAATGCACCCATCCACTATCAGGTAGGTCATCTGCATGATGACTATAGCTTGTCCTGCCACAGTCTCATGAGACTGAAGGGCAGCATATACAGTTGCTAACTGCTTTCCCTGTCCAGGGAGTTATTATCCATGAATGCATCCGTCCCACTATCAGGTAAGTTGATGACTGTAGTCTGTCCTGCCACGCTCTTGTGAGCCTGAAGGGCAACATATGCAATTACTAACTGCTTTTCTATCAATGAATACTGGAGTTCAGTTCCTTTCCTTATTTGGGACCAAAAGCCTACTGGTGTTCTCAAGCGCTCCAAGTGCTGCTATAGGCCCCAGCCAAAACTATCTGTGGTCACATGCACATCGAGTTTAAATGGGCGCCCCTGGTTAATTACCCATAGGGCTTGTGACTGTTGAATAGCCCACCTAGCTGCTAGAAAGGCTGTCTCAGTGTCATCATCTTAATTTTAGACAAGGGAAGCATTACTGCTTCTAAATCTGCAAGAGAATCAGAGGTTAGCATAATATCATCAACAAGACCATGACATACGGTAGGGCTATGCACATAGCCCTGCAGCAACACTGTGAAAGTCCATTGTCACCTTCCCATGAAGGCAAACTTCCTGGCTTTCTGGAAAAGAATGCATTAGCCAAGTCCACGACATAGTGATACTGTCCCAGTTCTGTCAAGTGGTCCATCAGGTTGGTGATAGATGGCACAGCTGCCAAGCCATGTAAAATATCCCCCCAGAATGTATCTGCACTGGTGTCTAACAGCCCAGCACTTGCTGTACACTGGTAGGGGACCAGTAGATTGGTAATTCCACATGTGGCCTCTGGTCTTCCAGTGTCCCCCCAAGCCAGGCACCTCGGCCAGTTCCCTAATCAAACAGGAAAAGCTCTACATTTCTACCTGGCTGCAGCAAGTAGTCTTTGAGCTGAAGCACCCGGGTGGGACAGGGTCACACAGCAATGTCCTTCCCCTTGGGCATTTTCTGGAATTGCTGCTCTGTCTCCACAAAGTTAAGAGTACTTCATTGGGCTGCTTATCAATTTTCTCTCAGTCAACCCAGGCCAAAATCAAATATCTCTCCACATCTGTGAACATGTCACTCACTGGGGCCTCCTTTTCTCCCATGTTGGGGGGGCCCCTGTGGGTGAGGCAGCGTCCCCTTCTTTATGGTGCAGACTCAGACCAAGTGGGGGTCTCCGGCTGAGACAACGGACCCTGTCCTGCATTCACAGCAGCCTCTAATTCCATTTCCAAGCTCTGTAGCCAGGCCTTCAGGCGCCCTGCCTGCCCCATTCACAGCAGCATCTAATTCTTTTTCTGAGCTGTGTAGTTGGGCCTCCAGGCACCCCACCTGTGCCTGGAGGGCCCTTACCTGTGCTGCATCCCTCAGGTACTGGTTGTGTAGCATAGTCAAAAACACCCATCCAACTCTGCCAGCAAAGGCTCGCTACTTCTTGGTGTTCTGTGCTTCCAGCTGCTTCAGTGCCTTCTCCATGCCCAGGGGGTACCCATCTACCACCGCTCAGGTCTCCACTGGAGCCCATCCTCACATCATAGCTGTCACAGTGTACCACAACCCATGTTGTGGCCACATGGCTGACGTGGAAGCTGCGGGGACAAAAAGCTCACTCACTCTGGGATCCTGTTCATGACACTGATTGTCATGGCAAGTGTCAGCTTTCAGCCCAAGCTGAGGTCTGAGGAGAGTGGGTGGACCAGTGGCAGGTAGCTGGAAAAACAGTCAAGGAATCATAGAGTTTTGACATGGTTTTTACTCTCTCTCTGGGCATGATCGAGCCGTGGGCCCAAACAAGCTGTGGACACAAGCCGTATGTACAATGTCAGCAGGGTAGTTAGACCTTTTACGTCAATAGTGGCTCTGAGCCAAGCTCAAGCTCACGTGGGTGATCACCTAATGTGCCTCAAGTGGAGTGGTTACATAATGAGCCTCACATGACGTGGTTACATAACGTGTGGAGTTGTGCACCTGCACTCCAAACTTTCTGAGTCATGCTGGACCAGATGTCTGCCTTGGCCTATTCTTGACTGCAGCACATCCATTTTCCTTACGGGAGTGTATTGTATGTTAGGGACATGGTATTATAAGCTAGGTTTTTTTCTTCCTTTGTGATTCTCCTGATGTTTTGTGTGTTTTAAGTTAATTTGCCACTGGAAGAATATAGTGGTTCATGGCACAGTCAATATGTAAGGCAATTCCTTCTGGAACCCACTTGCTCAAGAGATTTAATTCCCCACAGATGGGGCTGGGGCATTGGCATTTTAAAAATGCTCCTCAGGTGATTGCAATGTGCAGCCAAGGTTGAATACATCAGTTCAGAGTAAGAGCACTACTAGAAGGTGGACATTTGGATGTTGGGTGTTAGCCCTGCAGGTGAAATCAGCACGGCCATGATCCTAGGCTTTCATACTCCATGCAACATGACCCTGTGCCTTTGAACCTGGCAGTGAGGAATGGGAGCCGTAGGCCCTAGGGTTCTGTTTTCCAACTATTGCCTCAGATTGTTCTGCTTTTTGTCTATTCTTGCTCCCAATCTTTGGCTCTTCCAAATAGAAGTGGAGCATGGAGGGATTAGGTCAAGGACCATGAGAGGCAGATCACCTTATTGGGCTTCTTGGATACAAACCGACTGCAGCTGGCAGGCAGCCTCTGCTGAATGGCCTAACAGGATTGAAAGGGTGGGACTTTTTTGTAGGTGTTTCTCTTCTGCTTTTAAATGGATTTAGCGTCCTGGGATGACCTGTAATCCATGCATGCACATACAAATTACTGGCATCTCTTTTGAGAGCAGATAAATTATTCCCATCCCACCCAACCCAAGAGGAGGAAACAAGAAGGTCTTATGCCAGCATGGATAGGACAAGGGGAAGGGGCTCCAGGTGGGAGGGTTGGCCTCTAATTTCTGAAGACATGAGAACCAAAATATAATTTTAACAAAAACTTTGAAGGTTAGCTACATTTATTTTTCGAATTCTGCTCTGTTTAATTGGGGAAAGCCTTCCATGGCATTGTTTTGTCTTCAGCAAAGTAGCTGTACCTACAGTCCCAGCCTTTTTACTCTTATTATATCTCCTGTAAGGAAGACAGAGATTTGTAACAGGCATATAATTGAAATGAATGACAAATTACTGCCTGGCTTCCTCTCCTCCTGGACTGTAAAAATATTGTGAGACCTGGAAGGACCTGAGTGCTTTGCCAGGTCACTGTCCTCATTTTACAGATGAGTGAACAGAGCTCCTCAAAGCCTAAGTGACTTGTCTAAAGTCACACTGTTCATTGGTGCTAGACCCATCTCCTTTAACCTTCTCTCATAGGTATGATTTTCCAGCCCTTCAATCAACTCAACAACTTTCCTCTGAAGCCTGTCCAAATTTGACTGCCCTTCTCAGTTGTAGCTCCTGGAATTAGCCCAGAGGGATCTAAAGAGAAGATTACCTGAGTATTCCTCCATTCTAGGTATGCGTTCCAATGCCACGCTTGCTCCAGGGGTTTATTTTCTGACAATGACCCTCTCGTCTATTTCTGACATGCTTGAACACATTCTCCCATCTCACGTGTCTCAACTCTGGTTTTCTTCCCCAAGTATAATGATGCCTTTATTGAGTCACACCATGCAAATGATAAGACCTCAGATGTTCAAACAACTTTCTTTCTGGAAACACAAAGCACCTTTCTAAGACTATCAGCTCCTTGATGCTTCTGTAAGGGAGGATAGGCTGCCAAATTCCAACTTTGTGGACAGGCCGAAGCCCAACATTTAATTGATTTACCCCAAATCACCTAATCAAGATGGGTGAAGATTATTCTGGAGAATGGAGAGATGACTTTATCCTAGTCAGCACTCAACCAATTAGTCCACACTTCATACCCTGTCCCAGTCGTCACCCAAAACTGCCTGCAAATGTCCCTTTCTTTACTATTGCAGGAGTTCCACCATATTCAATATTCACATGCTTTCAACTCCATGATAGTTATGATATAAAGCAAGTCAAATAGGCTTAATCATTGCCCTTGCAGGGTTTTGCAATTCAGCAATTTTTTTTTTAAAGCATCAGGGGTCTACTTATTTTCTAGGTCTCACCAAGCTACATTCCTATAAATAGGAATTTTAGGCCCCTTTGGGATCAGGATAAACTGCCACTTGTGCTCTCTGAGTGTTTTGTACATTATTTTCTGTTACTGCAAATATCCCATTGCCTTGTATTTACTGACTTACCTGTCTCTCTTGCTCTCCTTTTCCCTATTCCAGGCTTTAGATCAGGAGCTCCAGGCCCCATAGGGATAGTCTATGTATGTTTATGTTTACAGAAGACCCCCCTCTGTAGGTCCTCCCACCTGTGTGGGCCATGACTCTGCTTTTCCAGGTGTGTCCCAGGAAATCACAAAAACACTCTTTGTAGGGGAGCTTATGAGTTCTGCTGAGCAGTCTGGGTTCTGCCTCATCCTCAAGCCCATGAATTTGGTGGTTGACTATATCAGGGAGCAGTCATCTCCAACATTGAGGGCTGATGCCTGTCCTCACTGTCTCATGTCAAAGGGTCATCAAATATTAAGTAGTGTGACCAGAGTGGAGCGGAAGTAAGTGACACTAGGCCGACCCCAAGGATGGAATCATTTTTGCATCTAGCAAACTGTCCTGGAGACAGGACATGTTAAGCCAATGCTTATTGATGATTGTGATGGTGATGGGCTCATTATCTCCCTAGAAACACTCAAAAGAGGGCTTCTGTCTGCTGCAGTTTCTCTTAACTAATAAAGTCTGAAGCCAGACTGCTGAGGACACAGCATTCTAAACACTGAGCTCTCTTGGGACAGTGCCCAGAGTGAGGTTCTGGGAACACAAAATATTTATGTAATCCCTGGGGTGAGGCTACTGATGGAACCAGCTGAGGTGAAATCCCAGCAAGGGGCTTGTGATTCCCCAGCCTTCTGTCCTCCTCCCTTCCAGCAGGAATAATAAATAAAGCCAGCAGCCAGCCTTCTGGAGTTCCTCCTCCAAGGGAGGGATAGCTATAAATGTTGACCAAAGCAATGACCAGTTCAGCACTGCCACAAATTCTGGTGTGGGAAGATAATGTCGCTAAAATAATCCCACAAAGAGCTCACACTCATCAGGCAATTGTTATGAATCAGGCTCATCTTGCCTTGGCTGTTTTATTTAACACAATGCTATGAAGTGGTATTTTTATGCCTGAGTTACAGATGAGGAGGGTACAAGGATTTCCAAGTGTTACACAGTTTAGTAAATTGTAGAATCAGGAATTCTGACCCAGGATAGGCTCGGTGCCCACAGACCATGTCTTCATTTCCCAACGCTCCCTCCCTGATGATTGGCAGGGGCTTTTGGAAGGACTGCACCAAAGGACTCTCCAATGCAGCAAGATGGCAAAGTGGTAAGACCCAGAGAGGATGCTTCAAGTGAGAAAGTCTTACATTTTTTTCCTGGAAAGCACCTCAAGAGAAAAACAAGATCTTCTTAAGCCACTTGAACTAAACTATGAGACTGTAAACTAGGCAATACAAGACATCAGATGAGAGAAAAAGTTTTCCCAACTGCAAAGAGTCACATACCACAGTCCATCCCCTCCATCTTAGAATTGATCACTTTGATTTTGGCCCCCACTGGAGCTTATAGATTCTTTTAAAATTGTTTCAATAATACTTTATCACACATATTTGTCAATATCTATCTTTCACTTCTTAAACTATAAGCTATCTAAGGGGTGAGTTTGCCCCTCCAATACTTAACACGGTGTCTACAAACATAGGAGGAACTCATTACTCATTTGCTAAGTTAGTCCATTAATTTATTATTTTTGTTGCCCTCCATCTATTAAGCCAGATAGAACATGCTGCTTCTTCCTATGTCTGAAACATATGTTTCAGTTGTCATGAACTAATGGGAACCTAGAAGTTGTTCTTTCAAGGCAGTCATAAAATGAGTTCAGGCTTAGAATTCAGACAATTCTTGGTTTGGGTTTGATTCCTGGCTCTACCACTTACTCAAAGATTACTTGATTTTTCTACCCTTCGACTTCTTGCTTGTAAAATGAGAATTATAGGAATTTCAGAAAATGATCACACTAAATTATACATGTAAGGGAGAATATTATTTCAATACAACAGCCATAGTGATATTTTTATTTTTTAAAAATAATTTCAACTTTCATTTTAGATTCAGGGGGTACATGTGCAGGTTTGTTACATTGGGTATATTGTGTGATACTGAGGTTTGGGGGCTGAATAATCCCATCACCCAGGCAGTGGGCATAGTACCCAATAGGTGGTTTTTCAGCCCACGCCCCCCTCCAGTAGTCCTCAGTGTCTATTGGCCCCATCTTTATGTCTATGTGTATGCAATGCTTATTTAGCCCCCACTTAAAAGTGAGAACATGTGGTACTTGGTTTTCTGTTCCTGCATTAATTCGTTTATGTTAATGGCCTCCAGCTGCACTCATGTTGTTGCAAAGGACATGATTTCATTCTTTTTATGGCTGCATAGTATTCTATGGTGTATATATACCATATAGTGATGTTTTTAAAATGTACATCAGACCATGTCACTTGCCTGCTCATATCTTTCCAATGACTTAGCATTTCACTCAGAATAGAAGACAGACTCCTTTCATTGCCCTGAAAGGCCCTGCAGGATCTGGCCCCAGTTACCTCTCTCCCCTGTCCAGCCATGCTGGCCTCCTTGCTGTTCAGCGAATACTCCAGCCATCTTCCTGTTGCAGGGCCTTTGTGCTGGCTGCTCCCATTGCCTGGAGCCCTTTCCTCCAAGACACTCATGTGGCCAAACTCTTTTTTTTTTTTTTTTTTTTTTTGAGATGGAGTCTCACTCTGTTGCCCAGTGGCGTGATCTTGGCTCACCGCAACCTCCGCCTCCCGGGTTCAAACGATTCTCCTGCCTCAGCCTCCTGAGTACCTGGGACTACAGACGTGCACCACCATGCTCGGCTAATTTTTGTATTTTTAGTAGAGACGGGGTTTTACTATGTTGGCCAGGCTTGTCTCGAACTCCTGACCTTGTGATCTGCCCACCTTGGCCTCCCAAAGTGCTGGGATTACAGGCATGAGCCACCCGCCGGCCAGCCAAACTCTTTAGCTGCTTCAGGTATCACCTTCTCAGTCAGGGCTACTACCACCACTTGATTAAAAATTGCATCCTGAACCCCATGCCACAATCCTGACCTGCTGTGGTCTGATCTATTATTTTTCCACAGCACGTATCCCTTTCTAACATATTCTCTCAGTTCCCTACTTATATGTGTATTATCTGGGAATGTCTAGTGTCCCTTTCACCCCCAAATGTAGCTTCATAGGAGCAAGAATTTTTGTGTGTTTTGTACATTGATATATCTCAAGTGCCTAGAATAGGGCCTAGCACACAGTATGGGCACTGAACAAACATTTGTTGAATGAATACAGGTTGAATGAAGAGAGTATAGTGCCTAGCTTACAGACAGCCTCAAAACTGGTAATCATTACCACCAGCACCACCATCATCTCCTTCCTCACCATCACTGGGACACTAGCACCCATTCATAGGGCCTTGAGGAGAACAGATGAATTCAGGTATATAACATATCTGGCACAGGGTTTGTATACACTAAATACATGGTAAATGACATTTCCTTTCTTCTTCTCTTTTGTGTCTTTCTTTTTGCTTCTTTTTTATGGAGGCCCCTTAGGACATAGCTATAAAGCAAAACCAATTGCTCAGTCCACGTGTAAGTGTCATGTAGGGACATCGACAGAGCACTTTAAAGCTGTTGATTGATTATTATTGCTATTATTATTAGCCAAGTGTCAACATAGAATTTTTGTGACTTCCAATTCTACAGATTATGATTCTCTAAGCACACTTTCTGCTACTTTTACTACAACTCACTAAAAAAAGAATAAGGAGGAGGAGCAGAAAGAGGAGGAAGAGAAAACACACAAATAAAAACATACATATTTGCTTTTATAATGTTTGGGTTTGCATTTATATTAGGGGAAAATACATAGAAAAAGAAAATCCTATTCCCAATTTATTTATGTGTGTATGTATATATGTATTTTTGGACAGGGTCTCACTCCATTGCTCAGACTGGAATGCAGTAGTGCAATCACAGGTCACTGCAGCCTTGATCTCCTGGGCTCAGGTGATCCTCCCACCTCAACCTCCTGAATAGCTGGGACTACAGGCGGGCACCACCATTCCTGGCTAATTTTTTGTATTTTTTTGTAGAGACAGGGTTTCGCCATGTTTCCCAGGCTAGTCTCCAACTCCTGGGCTCAAGCAATTCATCCGTCTCGGCCTCCCAAATTACTGGGTTTACAGGTGTGAGCCACCGTGCTCAGCCCCATTCCCAATTTAAAGTTAAGCTTTCTGTAGAAAATTTGGAAAGTACTATAAACATAAAAATGATACTGAGAAATAAATATTTCTATGCTGGTGGCTAGAAAATCAGGCTATAAATGTTTTCAAACCAGCAAAAATGTTCACTTTTTGTTTTATCTTTTCTTTTCTCTTTCCTATGTCAGCCTAAAGGGAATTATTTTGGATGCTAAGCATGCGACGGTTCACAAATTCCGCCTATTGATAGTTAACATAAAACACATTAGTGACAGCTCATTTTCTTTGCCTCTTGGAAATGCAGAGAATGTGGTTGAGATCTTGGGTAGGACCAATCATTAAGATGAGTTCTCTCTGATTGTCGAATCCAATGTTCACCTTAGGCTAGTAGGGAGTTCACCCTACTCCCGTCCTTTCCTTAAAACCCCAAGCAATCAGCACATGGCTCTGTCGTCCTTACACTTCCGTATAGCTTGTTTCTTATTTGTTTTTTCCAAATCAAGGAATTCTTGAATGCTGCATGGAACAGCTCCAGCAGTTGTTGACAGAATTGTCTGTACCGCCAGCCCGTCATGCTATTCTATTTTTCTGTAAAATGTTTTTACAAGAAGGCATGCTTATCATGTCACATTAGAAATTCAAATGAGTCTCTTATAAATTTAATACTTCTTTGGTTGGAACTCATGCCCAGATGCCAACTCTTTTATCATGCCAAAAATTATATATTCTGCATAAAATGTAAATTATCTTAACTTCCTATGCACCACCCATTCCCAAACTTAGGGGACAGCCAGCGTTGGCAAAGCCATGGTGACAGCCAAGAGCTTGTCATCAGGGGTGGTTTCCTGGGGACAAAACTAGATGGAATTCATACCTATGTTTAAGTATAATCAAGGTTCAAGTAAACAAATATAAACATTAGTCCCAAAGAGCTAGGGTTGAAGTTAGAATTCTAAAGCCAGGCATAGGACTTATGCGGAGCAACAGTGAACCAAGGAAAAAGGGTGTGGCCAGAAGGGCAATTTTTGGAAAAGCTGGAGAGTGCACATGGGTGAGTGCATCGGGCTGTTTTAATGGGCAGGAGGCAGGGCACAGGTAAAGGCAAGACCCAGTGGGCAGAGTTTAAGACTAAAGATGGACAATTTTTATTTTATTTTTTTAAAATAAACTTATTGTATGCCATACACAAAAATAAACTCAAAATGGATTAAAGATTTAAATTTAAGGCCTGAAACTATCAAACTCCTAGAAGAAAACATGGAGGAAAAGATTCATGACACTGGTCTGAGCAATGATTTCTTGGATGCAGCACCAAAACACAGGTAACAAAATAAAAAATAGATAAGTGGGACTATATCAGACTAAAAGGTTCTGTACGACAGGGGAAATAATCAACAAAATGAAAAGGCAGCCTATAGATTGGGAGAAAATAATTGCAAATCATATATCTGATAAAGAGTTAATATCCAAAATATCTAAGGAACTCACACAACTCAATTGCAAAAACAAAAAAATGGGCAAAGGACTTGAGTAAACATTTCTCCAAAGACATACAAATGGCCAACATGTATATTAAAAGATACTAAATGTCATTGATCATTAGGGAAATGCAAATCAAAACCACAATCCTGTATCAGCTCACACCCATTAGGATGGCTATTACTGAAAAAAAAAAAAAAGATAGTAAGTGTTGGCAAGGATGTGGAGAAATTGGAATTGGAATCCTTGTATACTGTTGGTGGGAATGTAAATTGGTACATCATTACTAAAAACAGTATGGAAGTACCTCACAAAAGTAAAAATAGAACCACCATATGAGCCAGCAATCCCACTTCTGGGTATTCATCTACAATAATTAAATTCAGGATTTTGAAGAGATATTTGCACTTCCATGTTCATTGCAGCATTATTCACAACAGCAAAGATATGGAAGCAACCTAAATGTTGGTCAATGAATGAATGGATAAGAAAAATGTGATATGTACACAAAATGGAATATTATTCAGCTTTACACAAGGAGGAAATATTGCCATGCAAGACCACATGGATGAACCTGGAGGACATTATACTAAGTGAAACAAGGCAGGCATAGAAAGAAAAATACTGCATGATCCCACCTGTATGAGGTATCTAAAATAGTCAAGTACATACAAACAGAGAGTAAAATGGTGGTTTTCAGGGGCTGGGGGTAGATAGAAAAGGGAAATTGATATTTATCAAATATAAAGTTTCAGTTGTGCAAGATGATTAAGTTCTAGAGATTAGCTATACAACATTGTGCCTCTGGTTAACAATACTGTATTTTTAACTTAAAATTTTGTTAAGAGGGTAGATTTTGTGTTAAATGTTCTTACTACAATGAAAAAAACATGGATTTTTCTCATCACACATGCATGATCTTTATAAATATTTGGAAAATACTTTAAGTATAACAAAGAAAATAAAAATTACTCATAATTCCACCAGGAATTTCAATCATCAGAGAAAACCACAGGTATCATAGGAAAAATTACATGCCTTTAGAGAGCAGCAGCATCATGACTACCTTCATGATTTATTAAGCAGTTATTATATGATGAACACTGATTTAGTGGCTGTACATGTATTTAGCTCATTTAATCCTCAAAACATTCCTTTGAGGTATAAACTATTATCAGCCCTGTTTTGCTCATGAGGAAAGTCAGGCACTGAAGAGTTAGGTAATGTTACAATGCTACACAGCTAATAAATGACGGAGTCAGGAATCAAGATGATGTGTTTAACTCTAGTGCCCACTTCATATAATTTAATTTTAGAATAAATGACACATTCATATGTCTCATAAGCCTAAAGACTATTAAAAAAAGGTATAAAATAAAAGGTTAGCCTCCTACCACCATCCCCATCTGCCCCATACCTCCAATATCATAGGTAACTGCTTCTATTAGTCTTCTGAGTAACTTTCAAGGGTTTCCTATATAAATGCAACCAAATGCAAATATATTCTCTACTTTGTTTTGTTTTAAACAATCAACTTTATTTTTTAGAGCAGTTTTGGGTTCACAGGAAAATTGAGTGGAAAGTAAAAAGGGGCTCCTATGTATCTCCTGTCCCCTTCCACACACAGAGCCTCCCCCGCTATCAACATCCCTGCCAGAATGATACATTTGTTACAGTTGACATATCATTATCTCCCAAAGTCCATAGGTGATACTAGAGTTTACTCTCAGTGTTGAATATTCTGTGGGTTTTGACAAATGTATAATGGCATGTATCCATCATTATAGTATCATATTGAACAATTTCACAGCCCTAAAATTTCTCTGTGCTCTGTCTACTCATCCCTCCATCCCCCAACCCCTGGAAACCATTGATCTTAGTTACTGTCTCTATAGCTTTGCCTTTTCCAGAGTATTATAGAGCTGTAATTATACAGCATGTAGCCATTTCGGATGGGCTTCTTTCACTTAGTAATTTGAACTTAAGTTTCTTCCATGTCTTACATGGTGTCTTAGTCCATTTATGTTGCTATAAATGAATGCCTGAAGCTGCATAATTTATAAAGAAAAGAGATTTATTTGGCTTATGGTTCAGCAGGCCATACAAAGATGGCCCAAGCATCTGCTTCTGGTGAGGACTTTAGAATGCTTCCACTCATGGAGGAAGGCAAGGAGACATGCAGAGATCACGTGGCAAGAGAAAAAGCAAGAGAGAGAGGGGAACAGGAGACGCCAGGCTCTTTATAACAACCAGCTGTCAAGGGAACTAATAGAGTAAAACTCACTCACTCTGTCCTCCACCCAGGTAGGTCATTCATCTATTCATGGGGGATCTGCCTCATGACACAAACTCCTCCTATTAGGCTCCACCTCCAACATTGGGGATCAAATTTCAATATGACATTGGGGCAGGGGGCAAATATCCAAATCATAGCACATAGCTAGATAGCTCATGTCTTTTTAGTGCTGAATAATATTCTGTTCTCTGAATGTACTAGAGTTTATTTATCCATTAATCTACAAAAGGACATTTTGGTTGCTTCCAAGCTTTGGTAATTATTAATAAAGCTGCTGTAAACATCTGTGTGCCAGGTTTTATGTGAACATAAATTTTTAACTCACGTGAGTAAATACCAAAGAATGTAATTGCTGGATCATATGGTAAGTGCATGTTTAGTCTTCTAAAAAACTGCCAGACTGACTTCTAAACTGTTGTGTCACTTTACATTCCCATCAGAAATGAATGAGAGTTCCTGTTGCTCCACATTCTCGTCAGCATTTAGTGTCATCAGCGTTTTGGATTTGGCCATTCTCATAGTTGTGTAGTGGTATATCATTATTGTTTAAATTTGCATTCCCTAATGACATATGACATTGAACATCTTTTCATATGCATATCTGCCACTTGTATATTTTCTTTGGTGAAATGTCTGTTCCGATCTTTTGCCCATTTTAAAATTAGGTTGTTCATTTTCTTTTTGCTGGGTTTCAAGGGTTCTTTGTATACTTAATTTTGATTTTTAATTTCTGTGGGTACATAGTAGGTGTATATATTTATGGGGTACATGAGATATTTTGATGCAGGCATATGATGTGTAATAACTGGGGTAAATGGGATATCCATAATTTCAAGCATTTATCTTTTCTTTATGTTACAAACAATACAATTATACTCTTTTAGTTATTTTTAAATGTACAATAAACTATTATTGAGTGTAGTCACTCTGTTGTGCTATCAAATACTAGATCTTATTCATTCTATCTACCTTTTTGTACTCATTAGCCATCCCCATTTTCCCCCACCCTCACCCCACTACCCTCCTAAGGCTTTGGTAACCATTATTGTGTTCTAACTCCATGAGTTCAATTGTTTTGATTTTTAGTGCCCACAAATAAGTGAGAACATGTGAAGTTTGTCTGCTGTGCCTGTCACTTAACACACTGACCTCCAGTTTTATTCATGTTGTTGCAAATGAGAGTATCTCATTCTTTCTATGACTGAATAGTACTCCATTGTGTATATGTACCACATTTTCTTTATTTATTTGTCTGTTGATGAACACTTTAGTTGCTTTCAAATCTTGGCTATTGTGAATAGTGCTGTAATAAACATGGGAAAGTAGATATCTCTTCGATATACTAATTTCCTTTCTTTTGAATATATACCCAGCAGTGGGATTGCTGGATCATATGATAGCTCTGTTTTTAGTTTTTTTAGGAACTTCCGAAGTGTTCTCCATAGGGGTCGTACTAACTTACATTCCCACCAATAGGGTACAAGGGTTCCCTTTTCTTTGTGTTCTTGCCAGCATTTGTTTTTGCCTCTTTTTGGATATAAGCCATTTTAACTAGGGTGAAATGATATCTCATTGTAGTTTTGATTTGCATTTCTGTAATAATCAGTGATGTTGAGCACCTTTAAATATGCCTGTTTGTCATTTGTGTATTTTCTTTTGAGAAATGTCTATTCAAATCTTTTGCCCATTTTTAGATCAGGTTATTAGATTTTTTCCTACAGAGTTGTTTGAGCTCATTATATATTCTGGTTATTAATGCCTTGTCAGGTGGATAGTTTGCCAATATTTTCTTCCATTCCGTGGGTCGTCTCTTCACTTTGTTGATTGTTTCCTTTGCTGTGCAGAAGGTTTATAACTTGTGATTCCATTTGTCCATTTTTTTGATCGGGTTGCCTGTGCTTATTGGGTATTACTCAAGAAATTTTTGCCCAGACCGATGTCCTGGAGTTTTTCCCCAATGTTTTCTTATAGTAGTTTCATAGTTTCAGGTCTTAGATTTAAGCCTTTAATCCATTTTGATTTGATTCATATATATGGTGAGATATGGGGTCTGGTTTCATTCTTCTGCTTATGTATATCCAGTTTTCCCAGCATTTATTGAGAATGTCTTTTCCCCAGTGTATGTTCTTGGCACCTTTGTAAAAAACGAGTTTACCGTAGGTATGTGGATTTGTTTCTGGGGTCTCTATTCTGTTCCATTGGTCTATTTGTCTGTTTTTATACCAGTACCATGCTGTTTTGGTTGCTATAGTTTTGAAGTATAATTTGAAGTCAGATGATGTGATTCCTCCAGTTTTGCTTTTTTGCTTAGGATGGCTTTGGCTATTCTGGGTCTTTTATGGTTCCATCTAAATTTTAGGATTGTTTTTTCTACATCTGTAAAGAATGTCATTGGTATTTTTATAGGGATTGCATTGAATCTCTAGATTGCTTTAGGTAGTATGGACATTTCAATAATATTGATTCTTCCAATCCATGAACATAGAATATCTTTCCACTCTGTATTTTTTAGATAATAGCCCTTCATCTCATATGTCTTTTGCAAATATTATTGTACCCTGTGGATTGTCTTCTTATGCTCTCGAATATTCTTTACTTTTACTTTTTTTTATATAAGTGGTAGCACTTGTTATACATTTTTCTGGATCTTATTTTTTCACTTAATGTTATATGTTGGAGATCCTTTCATCTAAGTCTGTAAATAATTTATCATTATTTTTCAGCTGCATACTACTCCATTGTGTGGTTATATCTTGATTTATTTAACCAGTTCCTTACAGAGAGACACTGAGTTGTTTCCAGTCTTTTGCTAGAATAGTCAATGCTCCAATGAATAACCATGTATACACAACATTTGGTATGACTGCAGGTGTGTCTGGAGGAGAGAACTACATTTCACCACCATGCTGTGCTATGGCACATTGGGAAATGGCTGCTTATTTACTGCATGCCTAATAGCAAGTGGATTGCAAATGCTGTATAACCAAGTTTCACTCTCTGTGGTCAGACAATTATCTGATTTTCAAAGACTTCCTGGGGATCCCAAGTGAAGAACTTCAGGCTCTGCTCTGAAGACACACTGGCTTCCCGGTTCCTTCTCACTTCTGGGCTTTCCCACAGGCTGTACTACTTGCCTCTCACTCTTCCCCTGGATAACTCCTGCTTATCTCAGCCTAAGTTATCACCTTCTCAGGAAAGACTCCCCTATATCACCCAAGTGGCATTGCATCCCTCTGTTACTCAGTCTCATAGCTCCCAAACCTTGCCTTTGTAGGACCTACATCAATCATAATTCATGTTTACTTATATAGTGATTGTCTTCCATTGCCCCATGACGGCAGTGGCCATGTCTGTCTTATTCTACTTATTCCACTGTATCCCTGGCATCCAACCCAGTGGCTTACAGGTGGTAAGTAATTGATAAACATTTGTAGAAATTCTGATTCACTGGGCAACCGTCTCTTTGTCCTCCAGATCAATTCAATTCCACCTTTCAGAAAAATGTTTTAAACTGTTTTTTTTTTTTTGACAGAGTCTTGCTCTGTCGCCCAGGCTGGAGTGCAGTGGCACAGTCTCGGCTCACTGAAAGCTCCGCCTCCCGGGTTCACGGCGTTCTCCTGCCTCAGCTTCCTGAGTAGCTGGGACTACAGGCACCTGCCACCACGCCCGGCTAATTTTTTGTATTTTTGGTAGAGACGGGGTTTCACCGTGTTAGCCAGGATGGTCTCGATCTCCTGACCTCGTGATCCGCCCGCCTTGGCCTCCCAAAGTGCTGGGATTACAGGCATGAGCCACCGCGCCCGGCCAAAATGTTTTAAACTTTTAAAGTCTTGCTTGTATTAAGTCAGGTTTGAGAAAAATCAAACACTTTGATTGGCTCTGGATTAGGTGATATAACACTTCCAAAGAGATAACCTAAACATTAGTATCTGGCATCAAGAGTATCAGCTTATATGTTTCCCATAGTCCCTTAGATGGGCTACTAACTGAAATGGTGCTTAGGCACTAGTCAGCCTTGGTTTCCAAAGATGATTTGCATGCCAGACTCTTATCCATGTCACAGCCCAATTTTAAAGACTGGGATCACCACTTTATATTCTGGGGTTATGACTGCTAATCCCCAGTATCTTCTGAAGAGAAGAAGTAAGGGAGGTGAATGTGCATGTTACGGCTTTATGGTGGTAGAAACGATTAGGAGAAAAACAGGGGAATTTTGCCTTTAAATAACTATGCTATTGTTGGGGGAGGGAGGAGAGTCACATATTCACCTCCTGAGCAAACCCTGAGCCTCTGTTAAAACAACAGCTGAGTGAAAAATTGTAACCATTCATGACAAGCAACCCCCGGTGAGCTATGTATAATCACAAAGGAATTCTAAGGACAAAAGGGATAACCTTTGTAGTTATAAAAGTTCATGTTTCTGAACATTGGAAAAAAGAGATCACAAAATATGCTGTCAAATCTCCTGTGCATATTTTCCATGTAAACGGATTTATTCTGATTTTGCCCCAATGACATTTTCTTTTTCCCAGATCCTTTACTTTCACATAAATAAAACCGACTCCTGGGCTACTCCAGAAGGGGTCAATGATTTGGTTTAATTACTTCTCCAGGGGAATGGGGAGAAGCTTAGATAAATAGAGCTGGTTTTCTCTATGAGAGCAAGCACTCATATATTGACACACTACCTCCTCTCCCACAGAGTCCCTAAATGACATGCTGTAAGAGGGAAAATAAGAGACTTCATATGTTCTGCCTCTTAACAAGAAGGTATATTTCTTTTTTTTTTTTAATTTTTTTTTTATACTTTAAGTTTTAGGGTACATGTGCACATTGTGCAGGTTAGTTACATATGTATACATGTGCCATGCTGGTGCGCTGCACCCACTAACTCATCATCTAGCATTAGGTGTATCTCCCAATGCTATCCCTCCCCCCTCCCCCCACCCCTATATTTCAAAGATAAAAAAGCACTTACTACTAGAGCTTCACAGTGTCAGGGAACTTCATGTAAAATAAAGGATTTGGTATTGGTAAACGATGTGCTTTCTCCTAGCAAGATAATTTTTGAGAATGTATGAGGCTTCCACAGCCCTGCATATTCATTCGTTCCCCATCACAAATCTATAGAACACATATTATAGGACAGTAAATGAGATTTCTATTACCTATTTGTCTATAGTTAATAGCAGTTGTAACTCAACCAATGGATTGACAGCTATTGAGTGTCCTCTGTGTGTCAGGTACAGGGGGAGGCAGTATTGGATATGATAGAGAGCATAGATTCTGGAGGAAGGCAGACATGTGCCTCATCCTAACTGTGGGACCTTGGGCCATTTACATGACCTCTCGGAGATTTTGTGTTTTCACATGAAACAATAGATACGAAGTGTTTACCACCTTACCTGGCTAGGCATATAATTAGCACATGATAAACAATGGCTCAGCTCTTATTATTGTTATTATTATGAGGCACTAAAGATAACACACAGTCCCTGTCCTCAAAAGTCCTAAAATCCAGTGGCAAAACAAGACTTGGGCAAGTGCTGGGATAACTAAAAGTGCAAGGCACTGCATGATTCTTGGTGCAAATGATTTGAATGAGGCTGTGGCATATCTTGCCACAAAATCGGAAAATTGTATGCAGTAGCAGATGGAAGAAAGTCATGCTTTCATCTAATATTGCCAATTTTTTCATTTTTTAGAATTATTAAAAATGTTGCCGCCTCTGGAAAGTTGGGGGAAAAGTGCACCCAGTCTCCCCCTTTACCTTTGTGACGTACAGATGACATCTTTTTGTCTAGTTAATTTCGGCTTCGTACAGTGCAATTTGAGCCCACTAGTTCACTACACCAGGTTAAATGTCCCCTGTTAGATGTATTGGGTGTTATAAAAATAAGTGAAATAGAGAGATGTAGGAAGCAAGTATGTTCGTAAAGCAAGATAGGATGCTCTGCCAGTTCTAGTTCCCTAGGAAGCAAAAGCTAAGACAATAAGTTTAAGAGATGTACTGGGGGCAATGACTTTGGAAGATAAAGGCGAGAGGGAACAGGAGTGAGCAGAGGAATATACTTTCAGACTGTGATGCAGGTCTAATAGGCTGTGAAAGAAGAGGGGAAGGAAAGAGGACTGGAAAGGAAGAGCTCCAGAGTGTAGTGTAGCTCTAAGAAAATCTCAGCCAGCACTTTGGGGTATCCCAATTGACAGAAACCACCAGGCTCTGGAGTCTCCACCATGCTCATTCATTGGCTGGGGCTTCCCAGGGAGCGAGGGCATGGATTTAACGCAGCAGGGATTCCAAGCATACCACACTTGGAAGCTGTCAGTTAACTGAATCATTTCTAGCAGATTCTGCTTGAAGGGAGATCTGAGGGTGCACCTCCATAGTTGCCACAGATGTTCTACAAAATCGGACAGAGAAGAAGAAAGAGCTCTTAGAGAACAGAAGGGTTATTACTGAAGTTAGACATTCAATTGAAGGATTGACAATTAAAGTGGAAAAATCTCTCAGAATATATGATGTCAAAGAGATAGAAATATGAAATATACAAAATAAAAAAGAGACATTAGAAGAGCAATCCATTAACATCATTATCCTATTAATAAAAATTTCAGAAGAAAAGAAGGAAAAAAAATTTCTAGAACTGAAAACCAGGTAGAATGTTCAGTGCAATGAATAAAAGAGGGCCTGTACCTGGATACAGCCTCATAAAATTACAAAACATTAAAAAGAAGCTTTCAAAGAGACAAGACAGTTCACTTACAAATGAATAAGAATCAGACTGTCATCAGACTTCTGAAGAGTAACAGCGGATGCTAGTAAACAAAATATGTCTCTACCAGAAATAAAAATATATTAGCTGGGCCTGGTGGTGCGCTCCTATAGTCCCAGCTACTGGGGAGGCTGAGGTAGGAGGATCCCTCAAACCTGAAAGGTTGAGGCTGTGGTGAACCATGATCACGCCACTGCACAGAGCTTCATCAACAGAGTGAGACCCCATCTATTAAAACAAAACAAAACAAAACAAAAAGTAGAGTGCTTTAAAGACTCCTAAGAAAATTATTTTCACACTGAAAATTCTGTCTGGCCAATATAATGAGAGATTAAAGCATGCAAGCACTCAGAAAATGTGATTTGCAAGCAACTTGTCTTAGGTACTAGAGGACATTACTCCAGTGTCATTGAAAGCAAAAAGAAAAAGGAAGACCTGAAATTCAAGAATCCGTGAATTCAAACCAGTAAAACAATGATGAGAATCTTCAGGATGACATTTGCAGCAGATTTAGAGAACTTCAGTCCAGACTAAAGCCAGAAGCAGAAGGGACCAGGAAGGAAGTCTGAATGCAGTAAAATGTATGATCAAAAACTGGTAATTATTGAGGAGATAATAAAAGCCTGGGCTGGGTGCAGTGGCTCAGGCCTGTAATCCCAGCACTTTGGGAGGCAGAGTCAGAAGGATTGCTTGAGGCCAGGAGTTTGAGACCAGCCTGGGCAACACAGCAAGACTGCATCTCAAAAAAAAAAAAAAAAAAAAAAAAAGTCTGAAATGACCCTCTTCTCTCAAATAAGAGAGGGGCAAAAAGAACTTCAGAAAAATAAAAACCCTATTATAAAAGTATGGTACATTAACAAGCAAATGAAAATGTCATACCTATTTAGGCAAATGAAATAGTGAGGAAAAGGAAAATATATTTGGTTTTAATGCTAGGAATACTTTTTTAAAAAAATGTGACTCAAGAATCCTGGCGTTGAAACAATAGAAAATCAAAAGTAATCCTAATACACTACTCGACCAAGCAGTAAACTACATTTACATCGTGATAGTAATGTAAAGATTATTCATGTTCAGATTTAGAGTCAATCCATGGATAAAGTAAGAATTTTGGTGAAATTTTCAGACATAATCTAATTGTTAATAAATATTTGACAATGTGAAATAATATAGAGCTGACGGAAGATGCAATGTGAGGGAGAAGAGGAATGTAGAGGAGTGAGGACACTTTCCAACTTGGAAAGATGCAGAGAAAGTTGATGGAAACAAATAATTTTAACCATATTATTTAATAGTATGAAACTAACTAATGGAAAAGTTAAAAATAATATGAAATACTGGGAAGAGGATGAGAAGGAAGAGATTACTGTGAGATAAATTTTCATTTCTCATGAGTTAATTGATAATGACCATAAATGAAAAATCAGGATACAGAGTTATAATTATATTAACTACATTTATGAAAATAACTAGCCAAAGAATTAAATATGGAAACAATCAGAAGAAATGACCATATGTCAGACTGAATGGGAAAATATCAGTTTTCCTGAGTTCTTCCACATTATTTTATTTTCACCAAGTATGAGTATTGTTTTGATAAAAATTAAAATTAAAAACAAAAGAAGGCCAGGCGCGGTGGCTCACGGTTGTAATCCCAGCACTTTGGGAGGCTGAGGCTGGCGGATAATTTGAGGTCAAGAGTTCAAGACCAGCCTGTCCAACATGGTGAAACCGCGTCTCTATTAAAAGTACGAAAATTAGCCAGGTATGGTGGCATGCACCTGTAGTCCCAGCTACTTGGGAGGCTGAGGCAGGAGAATCACTTGAACCCGGGAAGTGGCAGTTGCAGTGAGCCGAGATCACGCCACTGCACTCCAGCCTGGACGGCAGAGCAAGACACTGTCTCAAAAAACAAAACAAAACAAAAAAAGAAACCCTTTTAATCTTATATTGTTTAAGGCAATAGTGGTTGCCATAGCAATTTTATACCATGCCAATTGCCTAAGATGGTGCATGGCACGTAGACACTGAATAAACTTTTGCCCATCCCTTGACATCAGACTATTTTAAACTATATCCTAGAGGAGTTGACTTTAAACTTTTAGATTCTCTGTTCCTTTAGTGAGGGCAGAATGTTGTGTGAATCATCTGTGTGATTCTTCTCTTCTTGCACCCCTCCTTTCTTTCTCTCTATCTGTCTCTCTGTCTCTCCCTCTTTCACTCAAACACACACACACACTATGCCATATGCCAGAATAGATGAGAAAATTGGTCCATTTCTCAAGGAAACACAAAAATAGCGGTCATCATTTTAAATTGCCTGTCATTATTATTATTTCATGCTCGAAATAAAAATGTACAGACACTGGGACATTGTGGGCATTAAATCTGAGGTGACATAAGAATGAGGAGAGTTTTCCATAGCTACTGATCTGAACATTGCCCAGTTTCTCGAGCTCGTTGCTTTTCCTAGCCTTCTCTTCAGGCTTTATGTGGCTCTGGAAAAAAAAAATATCGTTTTTATCTCACTTTCGGGTCAATAATAAATTTGGTTAGGGAAATAACTTCCTTTGTTAACATTATCATCGTAGTACACAAGGACAGTTTTTCTGTTATTCACAAGCAGCTTACTTTGCTCCTGGCCTCTTCCTACAGCATAAATGGTTGTATCCTGGAAAATCTAGAGTATAAGCTTCCCTCTGGGGGCATTCGTGTACTTGAAGCAATAACTAGCCCAATGCCAGACGTCCTTTCTGTAAGCTTTGACTTATACAAGTTTCCAGAAGCCAGAGCAAAAATCCTCTGCCACACCCTGTACCAAGATTAGAATAACTACCCTTTTCTTTTATTCTGATGTCGAGGGATCAGTAAATGTTTACTGGGTGTCTATGTGCCATGTACCATGTTAGGCAATTTGCATCTTACTTTATTTCTACAAGAATCCTAGGAGGCAAGGACTATTATAGCCATTTTTCAAGCATGAAAACCAAGATTTATAGAATTCATATAGGTAGTAAGCAATGAAACTTGGATTTAAAGCCTGTCTGCTGGCTACAAATCCTGCCCTGAGAAAGGCCCTCCAGTCTACTGCTAAGTCTTATGGTTTGGATTTAATCACCATTCTTCTTCTGCTCTGTATTACTCAATATAAAATATCTTTACCTTAGCAGATACTTTATCAAATCTACTATTCTGCTCTGCTTATATCATCTTGTTTTATCCCTATAGGCTCATACTTAAAAAAAATTTTTTTTAGTAGAACTGACTAAAATTAACCTCACAGGTTTAGCGTCTCCACTGTTTATACACTGAGATTCTTCTCCTCTGTCTTTTTCTAGCATTTTCCTATCATTATAACATCACAAAACCTCAGCCAGAGTCTGCTTTCATCCACAGCGAAAGCATTTCTTGGGAAAGGAAGAACTAATTCCAAACAATCATAGCTGTTAAGTAATTTAAGCTATTTTGATGCCACATGGATTATCTTAAATTTGTCTATATTGGATAAAATTCTCAGCACACTTTTTATAAATGAGATGAAATTTTACATCACATCCAAAATATCAAAGTTTTAATTTTTTAAATAATTAGGCAAGAAACAAAATGGCAAATTATAAACACAACATGTTATTTTTATAGCACTTTCATAGTCACTTATATGAATATTTTAAGGGTAGAATCTTATTTGCAATTTTAAATAATATGTATTTCAACATATAGTGTAGTAACAGTGATATATAATGCCCAATGAATAGACGCAGTAACTGAGGCATTCTATTAAGGGATTAAAGATTCAGTGGCAGCAGAAAATGTGTAGTTGGGTGGATTTCATGTGAGTGAATTTGACTAGGCTGAAGTCTGCTATTTAATAAGGAGAAAATAGCAAACAACATATGTTATAGGCATATCTCAGAGATACTGCAGTTTTGGTTCCAGATCATCACAATACAGTGAATATTGCAATAAAGCAAGCCACACATTTTTTTTTTCGGTTTCCCAGTGCATATAAAAATTTGGCTAGGTGCAGTGGCTCACGACTGTAATCCCAGCCCTTTGGGAGGCCAAGGTGGGCAAATCACAGGAGGTCAGGAGTTCAAGACCAGCCTGGCCAACATGGTGAAACCCCATCTCTACTAAAAATACAAAAATTAGTTGGGCATGGTGGCACATGCCTGTAATCCCAGCTACTTGGGAGGCTGAGCCAAGAGAATCACTTGAACCCGGGAGGGGGAGGTTGCAGTGAGCCGAGATAGTGCCACTACACTCCAGCCTGGGCAACAGAGTGAGACTCCATCTCAAAAAACAAAAAAAAAAGCTATGTTTATACTCTACTGTAGTCTGAGCCTTCAGGGAGTTGTAATCTTTTTTGCTGGTGAAGGTTTTTGCCTTGATACTGATGGCTGCTGACTAGTCAGGGTAGTGGCTGGTTGCTAAAGGTTGGGGTGGCTGTAGAAATGTCTTTTTTTGTTCTTTGTTTCTTTTGAGACAGGGTCTTACTCTGCTGCTCAGGCTAGTGTGCAGTGGCATGATCACAACTCACTGCAGCCTCGAACTCCTGGGCTAAAGCAATCCTCCTGCCTCAGTTTTCCAAGCAGCTGGACTACTTGGCATGTGCCACCATGCCTGAGCAATTTTTTATTTTTTGTAGAGATGAGGTTTCACTATGTTGTCCAGGCTGGAGGAGTGTCTTAAAGTAAGGCAACAATGAAGTTTGCTGCATCGATTGACTCTTCCTTTCATGAAACATTTCACTGTAGCATTTGATGTTATTTGATAGTTTTTTATCCATGGTAGAACTTCTTCCAAAATTGCAGCCAATCCTCTCAAACCCTGTCATTGCTTTATCAGTTAAGTGTATGTAATACTCTAAACTCTTTGTTGTCATTTCAACAATGTTCACAGCATCTTCACGAGGAGTAGATTCCATCTCAAGAAACCACTCTTTGCTCATCCATAAGAAGCAATTCCTCTTGCATTCAAATTTTATCATGAAGTTGCAGCAATTAAGTCACATCTTCAGGCTCCACTTGTAATTGTCATTCTTTTGCTTTTTCCGCCACATCTATAGTGATCTCCACTGAAGTCTTGAACTCTTAAACTCATCCATGAGGGTTGGAATCAACTTCTTCCAAACTTGTGTTAATGTTGACATTTTGACTTCCTCCCATGAATCACAAACACCCTTGACGGCATCTAGAACGGTAAATTTTTTTCGGAAGATTTTCAATCTACTTTGCCCAGATCCATCAGAGGAATTACTATCTATGGCAGCTATAGCCTTATTAAATTTGTTTCTTAAATAATAAAAATTGAAAGTCAAATTTACTCCTTGATTTATGGGCTATGGAATGGAAGTTGTGTTAGCAATTAAAGTAACATTAATCTCCTTGTATATCTCTCTCCATGAGAGGTCTTGGGCAACCAGGTGCATTGTCAATGAGCAGTCATAGTTTGAAAGAAATATTTTTTTTCTGAGCAGTACTCAATAGTGAGCTTAAAATATTCAGTAAACCGTGTTGTAAACAGATGTGCTGTCATACAGGCTTTCTTGTTCCATTTATAGAGCACAGGCAGAGTATATTTAGCATAAATCTTAAGGGCCCTGGAATTTTCAGAATGATACATGAGCATTTACTTAAATTTAAAGTTACTAGTGGCATTAGCCCCTAACAAGAGAGTCAGCCTGCCTTTTGAAGATTTGAAGCCAGGCATTGACTTCTTTCTAGCTATGAAAGTCCTAGATGTCATTTTCTTCCAACATAAGGTTATTTTGTCTACATTGAAAATCTGTTGTTTAGTGTAACCACCTTCATCAATTATTTTAGCTATATCTTCTGGATAACTTGCTGTAGCTTCTACATCAGCACTTGCTGCTTCATTTTACACTTTTATGTTATAGAGGCAGCTTCTTTCCTTAAACCTCATCAACCAACCTCTGCTAGCTTCCAATTGTTCTTCTGTAGCTTTCTCACCTCTTTCAGCCATTATAGAATTGAAGACAGTTAGGGACTTTGGCTTAAGAGAATGCTGTGGGTGGTTTGATCTTCTATGCAGACCACTCAAACTTGCACCACATCAGCAATAGGGCTGTTTTGCTTTCTTATCATTCATGTACTCACTGGAGTAGACTTTAAATTTCCTTCAAGACCGTTTCCTTTGCATTCACAACTTGGCCAACTGTGTGGCACAAGAGGCTTAGCTTTCAGCCTATCTTGGCTTTTGGCATGCCTTCTTCACTAAGCTTAATCATTTATAGCTTTTGATTTAAATTGAGATACGTGCAACTCCTCCTTTCACTTAAACACTTAGAGGCCATTGTAGGATTTACTAATTGGCCTAATTTCAATATGGTTTTGAGGAATAGGGAGGCCTGAGGTGAGGAAGAGAGGTGGGGGAATGGCTAATTGGTGTAAGCAGTCAGAACACACACAACATTGATTGATTAAGTTTGACATCTTATTGGGGTGCAGCTTGTGACACCCCAAAACAGCTACAGTAGTAACATCGAAGATCACTGATCACAGATCACCATAACAGATATAAAAATAATGGGGAATCTCTCTGAACCTATTCAGGTTTGGAGGCTGCCTGATAAAAATAATAATATTAATTATGAAGAAGTTTAAAAGTGTAATAATATTAATTATGCAAAATTACCAAAATGTGACACAAAAACACAAAATGAACACATGCTGTTGGAAAAATGGCATCAACAGACTTGCTTGACACAGGGTTGCAACAAACTTTTAATTTGTAAAAAAAAAAAAAAAAAAAAAACAGCAATATCTGCAAAGCGCAACAAAACAAGATATGTCAGTATTTGTGTGAATACAACTCTCAATTTGGAGTCTAGTACATCCTTTTACAGAAAGCAATAAAAACCAGACTTATAGGAACTAAAATGTAAAGAACTAAAATGTAAAGACATAAAAATAAGGCAAAATAATTAAGTTAGAATGTTTGAAGTATTAGATTGACTAAGCATCACTTCTAGTTTTGTAAGTCAACATTATTTAGAAATAATTTACATATAACAAAAGGTACAAATTTTAAGTGAAGTGTGATGAGTTTTGACAAATGCATACACTCATTTAACCACCCTCACATCAATGCATACAATATTTCTACCATTCCAAAACTTTTCTGTCCCTTTCTCCAATCTCCTCCCACCACTCTCACCCTAGGGAAGCACTGGACTGTTTAACACTATTAATTAGCTTTGGCTTTTCACATGCCATACCAAGTAGTCTGAGTATGGCGCATCACTTGTGATTTTCTTTGTGTTTACTCTGCTTGAAATTCATTATGCTTTTAGCCCTGTAAGTCAATATAAATCATCAAACCTGAGAAAATTGGGGCCATTGTTTTTATGAATTTTTTTCTCCATTTTTCTCACTTTCCTTTCTTTTTTAGGATTTCAATTACGCATGTTCTTAATATTTTATAATTTCTCTAAATCTGTCTTCAAGTTCCCTGATAATTTATTCTGTAATCTACTCTGCTATGAATCCTTATCAGTGAATTTTCATTTCAGTTATTTTATATTTTAGTCCCAGAATTTTTATCTCATTCTTTTTTTAAAAAAACAATAGAGTTTTCATATCTCCATTGAGATTCCCTATATGATCTCTCATTAAGACCATATTTTATTCTAAATCTTTGAAAATATGTATAACTGCTGCTTTAAATCTTTTGGGCCATTTTTTTCTCAATTATGGCTTACATTTTTGTATTTCTTTTTATTTTTGGCAATTTTTTACAACATATTGGACATTTTTGGTGACATATTGTAGATTATTTTGATTCTATGACCTTCCTCTGAAGAGTGTTGACTTTTGTTCTAGGAGGTAGTTTAATTACTGGCTTAGCACCTTGAACCTATGTATTAGTTTTATGGTTTGTTATGGCAGACATGTGCAAAGTGCAAAGTGTTTTCTTAGACTCTCTAACCTGGGTTGAGTCAGCTTCCAAACTCTGAAGCCTCACAGATCTCATTAAGTCTCATTTTTAGGGTTTGTTGGGGTGGGTCTATTGTAGGTCTTGCTTTAGAGTGGTCCTTCCTCCTAAAGCAGGTCCTTTTTGGTGCCTCATCTGGGTACCCAGGGTATTAACAAGGGCTCTGCACTCTAGTTAAGCCAGCACTCTAGTATCGTCCAACACTACTCCATCTCTGATACCCCTTTCTCCTCTCAATCCCCATGGTAGCCACTCTCCTGTAAACCTAGTATGGACTCATTCTAAACATGCACAGTCTAGACCTTAGCCAAGGATTCATGAAGAACCCCTACCCAGATTTTTGAGTCTCCTTTCTGTTTAGCTCTTTCCTCTCTGGTGCCCTGCCTTGCTCTAAAGATCCCAATCAGTTCAGCATCTCCAAAGTCTAAAGTTGTCCCCAGGCCAACAAATACAGTGATTGTGGGGCTCATCTCTTGAGTTTTCCTTCTCTCAAGTATTATTGCAGTTTTGTGCAGTCTATGGTCAAATGCCTAAAAAAATGTTGCCTCATATATTTTGCAGTTTTAGTGTTGTTTATGGCCAGAGGGCTAATCCCATAGTTAGTCCCTCATGGGTGAAGCCTTACCACAGATTTAAAGAGCTACCTGATGAAACCAAAGTTTCATTAGTAATGAAATCTGAGGGTTTATGGTGATATTCAGGTAACTGAGAAAGGAAGATATTATAAGCTTTTTTTTAAATGGTAGTCAAGAGATAAACCAGATGATTATGAGAACTCTAAAATGAACTTTGTAGTTTTGTCTTCCAGTGCATCTTCCTTGGGACAACCTCCCTCTCCCCACTTCACGGATTATGAATAGCTTTCAATTTCGGCGCTTTCCTAAGCACTCCTAGTCACAAATGTGGGCATGTTTGCGTAGAAGGAGTCAATCAAAATACTCCACTCTTAGACCTCAGTGATGAGTACAGAAAGGAGCATCCAAACCATGTCCATCAGCATCTTCCCTGAGCTTAACACATAGGTAATGGTAGAGAGACATTCTCTTTCTGTTGAGGTCGCTGGCTGGGAAGATATGAGCTGGATCTCTTGACAGACAGCTTGCTATCTAAAAAGACACAGTCTATAAAATAGGGGTTTGTCTTTCTTGGGCTACTCAATATCCAAACCCTCTTCCAATTTGAGATCTCTACTCTGTAGCCTTTAGCAGGAGGCAGGGTCCTGACACTCACTCTAATAATAAAAGAGATCAAACATTTTTTTTCTTTCTTTCTTTTTTTTTTTGAAACGGAGTCTCGCTCTGTCACCAGCTGGAGCGCAGTGGTGTGATCTCGGCTCACTGCACCCTCCACCTCCCAGGTTCAAGCAACTCTCTGCCTCAGCCTCCTGAGTAGCTGGGATTACAGGCACCTGCCACCATGCTGGGCTAATTTTTGTATTTTTAGTAGAGACAGGATTTCACCATCTTGGCTAGGCTGGTCTTGAACTCCTGATCTCGTGATCCACCCATCTCAGCCTCCCAAAGTGCTGGGATTACAGGTGTGAGCCATCGTGCCCAGCTAAGATAAAACATTCTTTCTCCCTACTCCTGAAAGCTGTGACTCAATCAGACTGAGTCTTGTCAATGTGACTCTCCTACCCACTATTTCAGATATTAAGGTTGTGATGTAAAACTGCAAAAATAGTGATTAACTACACAAAAATGCTGGAGTGAAAAATCCAATGACAGCAGGAAATGTTCAGTTATGGCACTTCCAGACATACTTGAAACAAGTATTCATCTGCAGTAGCATCTTAACTAGACCATTTCTGGGGCATGAACTTTGTTGTATTCACAGCTATCTAGAAACCCTTGGGTATTGCCTGTTTTATATTCCTACCTCTGAAGCATTCTAATAATCCTGTAAACTACTCGATATCCTTCTATAAATGTTTTCTTGCTTAAGTTTGTTTGGCAGACTGGTAGTTGTTATTCAAAATCTTTTTTTTCCTTCTTCCCAAATATGTGACCACACAGATATAAACCACATTTCCTGGTCTCTTTGCAGCTATATATGAATAACTATGTGAAAAAGTTTAGGATATGAGCAAAAGTAAGACATGCATCTACTTGTACTTGTTTAATTTTAACTTGAAAAGTTGTGGGACTGGGCGCAATGGCTCATACCTGTAAGCCCAACACTTTGGGAGGCCTAGGTGGGCAGATTGCTTGAGCCTAGGAGTTGGAGAACAGACTGGGCAACATGATGAAATTCTGCCTCTACAAAAAATACAAAAATTAGCCAGGCATGGTGGCGTGTGCCTATAGTCCCAGCTACGTGGGAGGCTGAGGTGGGAGGATTGCTTGTACCCAGGACATTGAGGCTGCAGTGAGTCATGATCCCACCACTGTACTCCAGCCTGGGTAACAGAACAAGACCCTGTCTCAAAAAAAAAAAAAAAAAAAAAAATATTTTGGCATTTCCCTCTTTACTCTGGTTTGAAATGCCCATATGGCTCTGATATGGCCTCCACTATACAGACAAGGTCAATGCTTTAGGAAATGACAGCATAAACAAAACAATATGTATATGCCAAAGCTTCCTCTGAATCATGTATAGGACAAAAAAACAAAGATTTAAGGGATTAGGAATACTGGAGTAGATTTAGACTGGGAACCTATACACCCACCCTTGAATTATATTCCCCAAGAGGGTCCAGATATCACCAAGCCCACCCAATACATTGGTGAGGGTTGCTCTTGCCAACATCTCTGAACAGCACTCTAGTGGCTGCACTCTGCAACCTCGCAATAGCCAGTGGTGGGGTGAGGAATGCCAAAATTGTCTTGGCTTCCATAATATCAGGATCCTGGGATGTCATAAAGTCAAATAATAGCATTTAACCAGCAGAAACAAAGTGAATGTGGCTACCATAATAGGCAGCAGGTCCAGTGGGAATAATTGAAGATTTGAACCATAGTGGTTAATTGATCACGGGGTCCCTGAACTGAAATACATGGACAGCAACTAAATCTCAATTTGATTTGTTTAACTAAAACCTTCCAGTTCTATAGAAAAAAAGCCTTTACTTGAACAAGGATGACTCTCCCATTTCCCAGACCTGAATCAGTTCACAAATCCCAGAGCATTCTGAATGATGGGCAACCTAGAAATCTTTACTGAAGTGCACGCTGTGACTCTATCTCCAAGCAGTCCCCAAAGGCATTCATGAATGTATACCAGGGCAACTGTATGATACTTCTTGGGGAGGAGGGATATTTGGAACCTGGCTGTGAACATTTATTCCCGAGGACCCAGAATGCCACTGTCATCCACTGGTCAGAGTGAGGTTCATGGGCGTAAAGTAAAAAGTGAGCCTCAAACAGATGCATCTCAGTAGTAACTGCAGACATTCTTTATGGCTGTTTACCTAGTTCCTGAGTGTGGAGTTAGAATATATTTTATCACATGTATCTGGAGAGAGCGATGCAAAGGTTCAGGGATGGTGAGAAGTCACGTACTCTGGCAACAGCAGAGTTGAGTTCAGCGGCTGTGTGCCAAATGCCTGGCAGTCAATGGTCTCATGGTGATGGAGTCTCTTCCTGTAGCTGCTCTTGCCTGTGCACTATGCTTCTCAGCCTCCTTTACTGGCTGCTTTCTTTCCAAAACTGCTTCTCTGCCTTTCCCCTCAATTCTGTATACTACTCAGGATTCTTCTCATCAAAACCCTTTCTGTTTCACTTAGCCAGATTTAGCTTCTGATTTTTGCAACCACAAACCCTGATATGCAGTATAGACTGCATATAAAATAAAACAAAGTGGATATAAGAGAAATTGAGAAGTGGACACAGAGGTTTCTGATGACACGTTTTTATCTCTTGGTTCCAGTTTTACACAAAGCATTCCCTGTTAATAAGCCAACAAGTACCACTTAAATACCTGAAGTACCCAGAATTAGGATTCTTTCATATAATACAGAAATAAATACGAATTACACATCCTCCTCTTTCTAGTTTCTTTAAAGAATTAGCAGATGAGGAATTATTAATGACAAGCCTTATTCCTCTAATAGGAGTGTGGGTCAGAGATACATCAACAAAAATGGGTGGAGTTGAAAGACTGAGTGAACGTGAACCTGAATGTTTTAACAATCTAACTAGAGAAAATAAAACTCGGCACGGACAAGAAATTACCCTATGGTCGCAAAGGAAAAAGATAAGAGAGAGGAAAGAAAGAAGGCAACACCCATCCTTCCTTTGGAGTCAGGCAGGATTCATTGTCTCTGTGGCAAAAGCATTAAAGAGCTTGCTCCTGTATTATATATATTCCCAAGAATTCTGAGAAAGAGGTAGAAAGAGCAGGAAAGAGAAGAGAAAATATGCCACCCTGAAAGTTATACACACACGTGCACACATACACACACATGACATACACACACACACACACACACCCCAGTGGAGGTACTCCACTTTTCATTTCTCTAATATTCCTAAATGATGGACCCATGTGTGAACCATTCAGTGATTTGCCACTATTTTGTGTGCTCTACAACATCGTGGCTTTTCTTGAACAGATAATCTCCCTTTATTTGGCATTCACTGCTCTTTGATTAAGCACTAAAGGGTAGCCTTACCCTATCCTTAAGGGTAGCCTCACCCTATCCTTAGGAATGGGCTTATGGGAAGATATTCTTTTCTACTCTCAGCCTGATATGGCCCTTTCTTTTCTCATTCAGGGAATTGGCCTTTCTCTGTCAGGGATTGATTCTCAACAGCACTAAAGAGCTTTAACGCCAGACTGAATGGGTGGTCTTCATGGAATGACAGCCCACTTCTGAAATTCTAGGCAAGTCAACACTGGCTTAGGGCTGATTCTACTACATAAGGATAACTAGAATCTGTATTGCCCAGGAGTAGCCTATAGATTTTCCTTTTTTCATTACAATAGTCTGTTAAATTAGTATCAAGATTTTATGAAAACCAGTTTTTGCAGAGCGCCTATTCAGTGTCCAGCATTGGAGGAGAAGGCAAGACTTAAAAAGAAACAGGCCGGGCATGGTGGCTCACACCTGTAATCCCAGCACTTTGGGAGGCCGAGGCAGGTGGATCACCTGAGGCCAGGAGTTCATGACCAGCCTAGCCAACATGGTGAAACCCCGTCTCTACTAAAAATGCAAAAATTAACTGGGTGTGGTGGCAGGCGCCTGTAATCCCAGCTACTTGGGAGGCTGAGGCAGGAGAATCACCTGAACCCAGAAGGCGGAGGTTGCACTGAGCTAAGACCATGCCACTGCACTCCAGCCTGGGTGACAGAGTCAGACTCCATCTCAAAAAAAGAAAAAAAAAGGTGTTATGGAAGATTTGGTAAAGCACACAATAGGTCTTAGCCCAGATTTCAACACCTGCAAGAATCTACTCGAAGAAGTTGTGATCCGTTACAAGCCTTGAGAAATAGGCAAGTTTGTGGTGTAGAGAGGTAGTCTGAATCTTAAAAAGAGCATTTACAAAGGTCCAGAGGCCAGAGAGAGTTGCAGCCCTGTGGAAGGCAGTTCAACATGATTGTTGCATGACAGAGGAATGGGGAAAGATGGGGCGGGAGAAACTGGCAGAACCCTTATATCTTGAAGGGCCTTGCATGCCATTCCAAGGTATATGGATTTTACCCTTAAAGCCCTTTGAAGGTTTGGGAGTAACATGGCCAAGTTTTATCTAAAGAAAAGCCATGTAGCTTGCAGTGTGGGTAATGGATGAACTGATGAGGGGTAAAACAAAGGGCAGAGCAATCCATTAGGAGATGGAAGATGACGGTGACTTGAACTAAGGCAGTGACAGAGCAGATACGGAAAAGTGAAAAAATTCTAGAGGATTAAGTAGGAACAACTGACAGAAATTGATTAAAAGTTGATATGGATGATGGGGGAGGGGTCTATGTTTCTGTTTTGAGCAAATACTTGCATGGTGGTGGGAATGTAGGAGATAGAGCTTGTTAAGAGAAGGAATGAGAAAGTGGAGAGCTCAGTCTGAGATATAAATTAGAGGAATCTCTGGACCATTCACATGAAAATGCCAGGAGGTCTCTAGGTCTTGAGCTGGAGTGACACCATCAGGGAGAGAATAAAGAGTTGGGAGTCATAGGCATACATTTGGTAACTGAAGCTACAGGAATGGACCAGACTACTTGAGGTGAGGTTTTCCAATGAAAAGAAAGTCAAATCTAGATACCAGGGGAACACTACTTTTAAGAAACATGCAGTGAGAAATGAGTAAGCCAAAGGGAAGACAGCAAGGTAAGAAGAAAATTACCACGGAGTGCCTGCCTGGGCAACAAGAGCGAAACTCCATCTCAAAAAAAAAAGAAAAGAAAAAAAGAAAAAGACTTAAAAAGAAACCAAGAAGAATCACATTTTCCCACTCTTGTCCTTAGACAAAGGATATTTAAATTTCTGTGTTTTCTAGTGTCTTCCTAGTTGGAGGAAGGAAACAAACAGCTGATTCCATAGCTGATGACTGAGCCCTTTTCAAGGACCCTGACTTGGGAAGCAGCTGTTCCTCATTCTCTGGGAAATTTACCAGCACCAATGGGAGGTGGGAGGTGGAAAACAAGTGATACTTGCTTTTCTCAGCACAAGGAGAAGGAGACCTTCCAACCCCAGGGACTTAAATCACTCACATTTCTCCTTAGTAAATCAATGAGTAGTTTAGAACTGATTCTTATTCTATATATTTTCTCTTCTTTTCAAGTCTTCACATGGCCTGGAAGAGGAGAAATACCTCCACAAAATGAAATATACAAACCACAGAAATGCTGGGGTTTAGTTTTTGAATAATATATTCCAAAAAAGACTTTATCTCTTACAAAACTGTTGTTTCTCAGAGCCACCCAAGTGATATCAATTATAAGCTTTTGAAATTGTCCTGGTAAGATTTTCCTGCACTCGAGATTGGATTGGCTCCCTGGAGCATATTCAATGCTCAGGATGCCAGGAACTGGGTTTCTTTCTAAACATTGAGCTAGGGGTTGGTAATTCCAGGGTGATCAAGACAACTAGGACTTCTCCCTATTCCTACCCGCTCCTGAACAAAGACACTAATCTTGGATATTTATCAGAAATACCTCCAGATAACACAATGCCTACAGCCCCTGCCCCAAAATAGCTGGAATTCCCCAGAACACCAGGAGGCTGGCTGTGTCAGGAGCCTTATTTCACAGACCCTTGTATGTGTGCTCCAGGCTCAGTCACAGAGCCTGAGGGGTGGGCTTCTCAAAACAGGTGGGCCTGCTGGTCAACCTCCCACAGCCCGGGCAGTCCATTAGTGATGTGGTTAAATAGATAAATCCTGGGTTTGGTATTTGACCATATCGCTCTCCTGGGACTCCTTATCCCATTAGAGAATTCCAGATGCTCATAGGCTCCTGCTTTTCTGAGCTTTGAGGCTCCCTCTCCATCCACCCTATACTCCAAATTAATCCTTCTTCCACAGAGCACACTAATTCCTCTTTAAAACATGCCTGCCTTGATCAGCAATTTTGAGCCAAATATTGACCAACTTAATGCATTATCCTTTTGTGAGAGAATTTCTGTTTTAATGAAGGGAGTGTTTTACAGAGTAGAATATAAAGACTAAGATTAAATCTAGGTTGTTTTAAAGACCAACAGAATTGGGGCCAATACAGTGTGAATGACAAGAAGACAGACCCATTCTGAACGTGTAAAAGGCCTTTCTAGCAAACTGAGATGTTCAAAAAAATGGGAAGCAGTGCTTTAAGAAGTGATAAGACGTCCATCACTCTACAGTGGGTATTTTTGTCTTGGTGAACTTTTGACTGGTTGAATTCTACAATTATGCATCAGAGTATCAGAAGTACATACCAGGCAAACTACTAGGATGCCTTTCAGAGGTCATTAAAAATGGTGTAGATATTCACTTGATCTGAAGAAGAGGGAATGGCATTGGGATTTCTAAAATTTATTCTTTTATCAGAAAAGTCTTAGTATCAGGGACTGCCTGGTACTGGATGATACAATAACGAATAACTGAAACACATCCCTGCCCTCAAAGGGCTTACAGTCATGAGGGAAAGAGACAGCAACAGGCAACTGCAATATAATTCAAGTGGAGGGTTTTTAGGATGTTGGTGGAACCTAGGCTGGAAACCTACCACAGCTGCAGCTGCAGCCGCAGCCACAGCCACATCCTCAGGGGTCGGGGAGTGAGTCAGGGAAGCTTTCCTTCAGGAGGCAGTGTCTAAGGTCAATCTGAGAGACTAGCTGGAGGAGTTAGTCTGGGGAAAAGAATAGACCCTGAACAAGAGACAGGTTATATATGTTTACTAACAGTTACTCTATTTGTGACTGGAAGGGCTTTTTCCTCATGTCTGGTAGGAAGGAAGGGAGATCTGTATTATGGGATGAGAGGCAATCCATGTTAAATAAGAGAGGTTTATTTGTCTTCTAGAGACTACTTGAAAAATACCAAAGGCCTCAGCTTAATTCCACCATGCACTCCAGGTAGAACCCCCACATATGTGGATCTACTGGGACCTTCCCAGATGGAGCCAGGAACATGTTCCACTGAGTAGGAAGGACAGAGGATAGAAAAGAAAGAGAAAGGGAGAAGGAAGCTATGGGATAGAGGGTCTCCCAGGCTTCAGCAGAAGCTGAATCCACAAGGACCAAAGAGCAACCCAAAAGGGAAAACCTGAAGGAAAAGTGTGGTTATATTCAGGACCACCCACTAGGAGGGCTTTTTTATTTCTGGTGATTTATTGTCCTTACATGACCACAGGGGGCACAACGGTGTTCTCCTTATCTATTGCTGTGCAACAAATCACCCCAAAACCTAGTGGCCCAGAACAACAATCACTCCGTTATTATCTCTCATGTTTTGGGGATGGACTGTGCTCAGCCAGGCAGCTCTTGCCCAAGATCTCTTATGTGTTGCAGTCAGATGATGGCTGGGGTGAGAGTTATCTTCACTCACTTGTCTGGCAGTTGATGCTGGCTGTCAGCTGAGACCTTAGCAGGGTCTGTCGTTTGGAACACTTACTCGTGGCCTCTTAATGTGATCTGGGTTTCCTCACAACATGGCACCTGCATAACAGAAATGAACTTTATGGGGTCCAGGTGGAAACTGTATCACTTTTTATAAACTATTTGGCAGTCACATAGCATCACTTCCACCATAGTCACAGGCCTTCCAGATTCAAGAGGGGTGAGAAAATGAACACCTTTGAGTGTGTGTGTGTGTGTGTGTGTGTGTACTTATATACACCTAAGGTATACAACATGATGCTTTGATACACATATCCATAGCAAAATGATTACTGCAGTCAAGCAAGTTAGCACATCCATCATCTCCCATAGTCACTCTGAATCTGTATATTGCTTTGGGTAGAATGCACATTTTAACAATATTAATTCTTCCAATCCATGAACATAGATTTTTCCATTTATTTGTGGCATCTTCAATTCTTTCATCAATGTTTTATAGTTTTCAGTGTGCAGATCTTTCACTTCTTCATTAAATTTATTCGTAAGTATTTTATTCTTTTTGATTTTACTATGAGATTGTCTCCTTGATTGCTTTTTCAGATAGGTTGTTATTAGTGTAAAGAAATGAAGCTGATTTTTGTATGTTGATTTTGTATCCTGCAACTTTACTGGACTCATTGATTAGTTTTAAAAGTTTTTTTATTTAGTTTTTTTTTTTTACTAAGTTCTGGGATACATGTGTAAAATGTGTAAGTTTTTTATATAGGTATTCATGTGCCATGCTGGTTTGCTGCACCTATCAACCCGTCATCTAGGTTTTAAGCCCTGCATGCATTAAGTATTTGTTCTAATGCTCTCCCTCCCCTTGTCCCCCACCCACTGACAGGCCCTGGTGTGTGATGTTCCCCTCCGTGTGTCCATATGTTCTCACTCCCACATATGAGTGAGAACATGCAGTGTTTGGTTTTCTGTTCCTGTGTTAGTTTGCTGAGAATAATGGTTTCCAGCTTCATCTATGTCCCTGCAAAGGACATGAACTCATTCTTTTTTATGGCTGCATAGTTTTTTATAAGGAGGAAAAAAGATGGACTACACATTTTTATGGAAGAAGTAGCAATGCCTTGTAGGAACTGCATGCAGGATGAAATGTATTGTGCCAATGTCTTTGGAAAATATAATCTGCCACACAGAGGGATTATATTTAGATTGAAATTACATTATAAAGTCGCAGCAGAATTGTAGCATGGACCCTGGTATTAACTGCTACCTCCCCATCGGTAGGGCAGGTGTGCCTGGGATAGGATGTCTTTCTTGACTCTGTCCTTCTTCTTTTGTCAATCAGGGGCTTCCCATCTTCTCTCTTCCTGTTGCTGCCTTTTAATTCTGCCTTAGTCTATGGTAGAGTCACTTCTGGAGTAGTGTGAGGAGCACTGTATCTTTAGATTGAAAGACCTGGGTTTGTTTCCTGTGAGGACCATTTTCCAGCTGTGTAGCTTTGGGCAATCCACTAAACTGTGCTTCAGTTTCTCTCTTTGAGAAGTTGGGGAAATAATAGTACCTCCCTGATAGGGCCATTGTGCATAGTACATAAGACATAATGCAAGGAGAACAGCTGGAACATTGTAAGCACCTTATAAATATTCCTTTTATTAGCTGACACATCAGCTGATGGATACTCTTAATGTTATTTAAATGTTTACATTTCAGTTTCTTACAGCAATGGTCTCCAAATTTTTAAATCAGGCACTTTGGTCAGAAAAATGTTTCATCCATGCACCTTCAATATGTGAATATTTGTACATAAGTAATTTTTATGCATATGGTATAGTACTGTCTAACTCACATAACATACTCCCAAGTAGCTATAAAATAGGATTAGTTAAAATACATAGAAATTCCCATATGGTATTCCATGCCATGGTAAATCTGGTATTCCCCTCCACTTTGATGACCATGCCTTAAAAACAGATCTTCTAAAGTTTTAGAGGAGTATCTGTAACCATATTCCTGTATGAGTAAGTAGCTGGAGATAGATATATAGAGAATAAAAATGAGAGAGAGAGAGAGAGAGCGCCAGAGAGAGGGAAGGGAGAGGAAGGAAGAGAAGGAAGGAGGGAGAGAAAGAGGAGAAGGAGAAAACTTTTGGTTTTCACTTTATATGGTTCTGTACTGCTTAGAAGTTTTAGAATAATAAGCATGTACTCTTCTTAACATTTTTAAAAAATGTACAATGCAGGAGTTTAGTTTGACCTCCATAATCCAGACTTCAGTCATTACATGTCTAAATACTCTATTTCTTTACCATTGAAATTGTTCCAAATGTATATGCCATGTGGAAGTCTTGGGAAGGGTAATTCTTCCCTGAACTTCACTTGGACTAAGAGAGCAACTGCTCTCTGTAACATCCTACCTTTCCAGACACTTTGGAGGTAGGAATTTATAGGCCTCTGTGGTTTGAGGAAGGAAAAAGAATTTATTCTGCACAGAGTTTTCTCTGGAAGACTCTCCTGTTTACTGAAATGCTCTTTCCTCTACAGTTGTGTCTGTCCCTCACTGGAAAATTCTCCACTGTGAAGGAAACTCCTTTCCCTGAGCATGTACTTGGCCGAGCTGGTGGGTTTTGTTGGGTTGGTTTGTCATTTTTTTTATGCACATGGAACATGAGTGACAGAAACATGCATATCAGCTCCTTTACTTTCAGACCTACTTTTTGGACCTATACGTGCACTGTAGTTATTGGAAAATATGGTGTCATGTGTCTGAGTAACCTTACTGGTGAGATGAAAAAGTGTTCATGTAACCTACATGCACTGCCAGACCAGCATTTTATCCTGAATGTGATGACCACCACTATGTTTATTTATAAAGTCCTTGTCAAATGATGGAAAAATTATGGTATCTTCATGGCTACATCCTTTGAGTTGGTGCTATCATCACTGTGATGGAATGAAATCCCTTTTAGTTCATGGTAGTGAAGGAATAAATCCATGTGATTCTTCCCTCATTAAAAGGATAAAATAACTGACATCCCGTATTTCTGTATAGATGTGCTACCTCTTTATTTTTATTAGTTGTTGATGTAAACATTCTATAGTGGAACTTACTATTAATAGATAGGACTCGCTTTAGGCTTTGCCGCTCAAAAATACTTCCCCATAACTTCTATTTATAGATTAATTTGAGTTTGGCTATTTTAAAATACAAATGCCATGCTGGGTGGTAGTCCCATTTACCTTTTAGTAGAAATTATTTAGTTAAATAATATGCAGTTTATAGTCTGTCGGCTCCATAGATCTATTATTCACCCTTCCCCACCTGCTTCATGCCCTACGATGCTGACTTTCTTTGGCTACATCAACTCTGCTCCTTTGCCTTCTGCCTTGTGCAGGTTTGGCCAATCGACAGCACTGGAAGGAGATCAAAGGGTAGAAGGAGAGATTCAGGTATCTGTTCCCCTGGTCACTTCCCTGCTGGGCTATGGCTTGGCACTGGCTGGGATCCTTTACCTAAGGCACAGCCATCACCTGGTCCTGCTAACTGCTTCCCCCAATCCCTGACCCTTCCTGCTGTCATTGTCTTTCGGGTGCTTCATTATCCCTCATGGATTTCCTTTCCCCTGCCCACATTTTTGCAATTGTCTCTTCAGCAAATGTTCTCCAATAATTCCTTTTGAGCATGCCATTTGTTTCCTGATAGAACCCAGACAAATAGAGTAGTACCTTTAGAAATGGCCTCAGGAAACAGACTCTTAAAATAGTATTGGGATGGTATTGTGTGGTAGGCAGAATAATGGCCTTCAAAAGATGCCTGTGTCCTAATCCCTGGAGCCTGTGAATAGATTATGTCACATGACAAAGGGGAATTAAGTTTGCAGATAGCATTAAGGTTGCTAATCAGCTGACCTAAATATAGAGATTATCTTGGTTAACCAGGTTTTGATTACCCAATGCAATCAAAAGGGTCCTTAAAAGTGGAAGAGGCAGGCAGGAGAGTCAGTGTCAGAGTGACGTGATGTAGGAAAGACTGAACAGCCATTACTGACTTTGAAGATGGAAGGCCATGAGCCACAGAATACAGGCAGCCTCTAAAGATGGGAAAGTCAACAAAACGGATTATCCCCTAGGGTCTCTAGAAAGAATGCAGTCTTTTTGATACCTTGATTTTAGCCCAGTGGGACCTGTATCCAGACTTTTAACCTGCACAGCTGAAGGATAATAAATGTGAGTTGTTTTGATCCAATAAATTTGTAGTAATTTGTTACAGCAGCAATAGAAAACTGATACAAGTTGCTAACATATTTGATGAGAACAAGGAGGCTTCTTAACAGAAGAAAATGGGATATGGATAATCCACGCTATGTTACTCAAATCATTCCTAGTAGCAGAGATTGGGATGCAATGCAAGTAGAGGGCAAGGTGTTGAAAGATCAATTAGCTAGGGTCCTTAGTTGCTACGGTGACAATGGTAATTATCAAGATTGTGGTGTGACTGGTGTTTCTGTGAGTCCTAGATAATGTACACAGATGAAAGGAAAAATTAAAAGCTTTGTAGGTCCATTCAGGGCACAAGTATAATATCAGAAAACTTTAATGGCAGCTTTAAAAGAGCTGCTTACCAACCACCTTGAAAAAGATATGAGTGAGGACCAGCCCAGCATCTGAGAACTGCATCAACATCTGTTTTGTTATGGAGCAGAGAAAAGAGCCAAAATTTGAGACATAGGATGGGAACATTTAGGGGAACACAGACAAGACTAAGAACTTTGAACCCTCAAATTGTTTCAAAACTTTCCTGCAAATAAAGAACCCCATCCTGCAGAGGGGCTGGGAGAGCATGGGATGGAGGTGACCTGTGTCAGGGACACATGTTTTTCACTTAGCTAAGAGTATGCTGTGGTGAAGTATCTCCAGGTTGAATATCTACCTTTCTGCAGCCTGCTTTTGTCCTTAGACATTGACTTGCATGGACTGCATCAACCAGACTTCTTTGTCTTTAGCTTATGGTTAGGTTTGGCCAATTCAAGGCCCTGGCAGGAAAATAGAGGGTGAACTGAGAGGGCACAAACAGGGTATTTATTTGCCTGGCTCCCACTTTGCTGAATCACTGTTGGCTGTGTCTGCCATGGCCACTAATTTAGAAATACAAGTAGAGATGCCAGCCTTGTTGGGCAGCCCTTGTCCACAGCTTGCTGCTCTTTCTAGCCCTGGGGTCCTTCACCCATCCCTTGTTCATCTCCTTCACCCTCTCCTCGCTTTTCTAATTAGCCTTACATTAAACTCTCCTCAAACACTTCTTTTTTTCTTGCCAGAACCCTGACTGATATCATCATCATCACAGCTGACATTTATTGAGCACTTATGTGCCAGACACATGCCCAAACACCACCCATAAATTAGCTTATTTTATCCTCTCCATAGCTCTGTGAGATACATGACTATTTTTACTCCATTTTACAGATCAAAAAATTTAAAATTTAAAACTGGCACACAGCTTACCCAAACTTATCCAGCTAGTAAGTGCCAGAGGCAGGAATTAAACCCAGTCTATAGAGTTAGAGGAAGCATAGTAGAGTCAGTATAAAAGATGGACTTTGTAGTCCAGAGGGACTCAGGTACAAACATCAGATGTTGACATGAGCCAAGACACTTAATTCCTCTGAGCTTGGGTTTCTTGATTTCTTAAATGGGAGCTACATTCCCTCCTTCAGTTAAGAGTTTTGTTTGTAAGTAACAGAAGCAACACTGCCCAATCAAAATTACAGGAATTCAGAGAGTTCCAAAGGATCCAGATAGCAGGCACTAATGAAAACATTCTTTGAGGTCTCTATGTTGTCAACTCCACAATTTTCAATTCATTACCAACTGTGTTCACGATTAGAATTTCCTGGAGAGAGTGCCTACTTGACCTCGTTCACTCGGGTTATTTGTCCACACCTTTTATCAGGTAGGATAGGGCATCAAGTCTATATTCAGTGATGGTGGGTGAGTCTCCCTAGGAGAACTAGTGTGATTCTAGCTGGAAAAGGGGTAAGCAATGCTGTGAATGCAACAAGCAAATAAATGCACAGTATAAATAAATACACATTCTTCCTGCAAAAAGTGAAGGGGATAATCCAGGCAAAGTGCTTGGCACAGGGTTCAGACTTTCTCTTCCCTCCTGACAGACTGTTAATAGGATTTTGATTGTAATGGGAGGAACAGTGATAAAAGGCATTTATATGCCACTAGCTGTACTTCTGACAGTTTCTCACAGGAACTATTATGTCTATTCTTCTCTTGTTTTGCCCAATTAGAGCTTCCAGTCTTCACCCCGTAATGCCATGCTTATATGGACTTCTCCCTATTGTCTGTAGGCTTCTTCCAAAGGTGTGTCAGTGTACCACCTCTCCCTCAACTGGTCCATCTCTTTTTTCTTCAAGATTCTTTTGCTCCCCAACATTTTATTTTGAAAATCTTCAAACATAGAAAAAATTTAAAAATTAGACAGTGAATACCCATAAACATACCATCTACATTTTAACATTCATATTTTAGTTTATTTGCTTTTTTGCATTTCCATCCATCCATCTAGCCAGCTATGTATGCATCTAAGCCCCTGTTTGACAATATTGTTTTAATGGGTTTACAAAGACCTTTTTTTTACAATGAACTCAAATCTCTTATATCAATGTTAGCAAAGAACCAACTGAAAGGAGTCTCAGCAACTCTTAGGGGCTGGACAAGTTTCCTTAGTTAATGCTGTGAATAGAAGTTTTAAAAGCATTTATTTCTCACAAAAAGTAACCATCTGTTCTTTATGATGGCTCCTATCATTTCTAACTACGTTTCTAAAAGAGATTTTTCTGAGAGCTGCTTTGGAATGATGGGGAAGAGTTCTTAGGAAAAACTCACTGGCTGAAGTGACCCAAAACCAGAGGAGTATCTGGATGGAGCATATCCTAGATAATAATAATAATAACGGGTTTTGAAAAAAATGCCCAAAATATGTTCCAAAATTACCAGAGATTTTTACATCTGATCATCAAATCCTGAGATCCTAAGGGGGGAAACTTCCAATCTTGAGAATCAGATAAGCATCTCAACTCCTGGAGGCTATTTGAATACTAAGATAATTTTCATATCCCAAGTTGCATTAGATTCTCATGGGACTAGGTTTTACTATGAGATTGGTGGTTCTGGTTTGAGCTGCTAAATTCAAGATTTAGGCACTGGAGTTCTTGGTGATTTGCTTACTTGTTGAAATAAAGTTTTGAGCCAGTGCTGGTCAAATTGTAAGTGTAAAGGGGATAAAGTGAAAGAAACATACCATATCCATTTTGGAAGCATAAACACAAGTCAATTTACATTCGCCTATACAATATGGAGCATCTACTGTTGGTGCCATCTATCTGTGTTGTGGGATGTGAACATGGGACTTCATCACATGCATTTTCTCTTGATGGATGAGTAGGAATGGAAGGGTGTGTTTGGGGAGTACCATAGGGAAGGTGGAAATAACAGGTGGCTGGGGAAAGCTTGCAAAAAAAAAAAAAATAAAAAGCAGAAAAAGGAGATTGAGGAATAATCCTACCAGTAGGGGAGGGAAGGTCTAATCTCTACTGCAAAGAGGACTGGAAGGCAAACAGAATCCCAGGACATGTCAAAGAAAAGAAAGTGATATGGTTTGGCTGTGTCCCCACCCAAATCTCATCTTTAACTGTAGCTCCCAAAATTCCCACGTGTCATGGGAGGGACCTGGTGGGAGGTAATTGCATCATGGGGGCGGGCCTTTCCCATGCTGGTCTCATGATAGTGAATAAATGCCACAAGATCTGATGATTTTATAAAGGGGAGTTCCCCTGCACATGCTCTCTTGCCTGCCGCCATGTAAGTTTAAGACATGCCTTCACTTCTCTTTTGCCTTCTGCCATGATTGTGAGGCTTCCCCAGTCATGTGGAACTGTGAGTCCATTAAACCTCTTTCCTTTCTAAATTACCCAGTCTCGTGTATGTCTTTCTTAACAGCATGAGAACAGACTAATACAGGAAGTAAAGATGAAAAGTAGGTAACTTATCAGAGAGAAGTGTGGAAATTCCTAGGTAAATGAATACAGACCAAATAGAGAAGAGGCATTTGTGAATTCAGCTGGAAAATTCTCAGGTAACCCAAGGATGATGTGATAAGGCCTGGCCTGGGGCCTGGGATATGATAAAATAGGGATGTGTATTGGAGACGTTTGGTCTGTTGGTTGCCTACCTAGATGTTTTTAACCCCTCTCCCCATCTCTTCCAAGTAGTATCCTACATTATTGTTCAAGTGTTCACCTTTCCCTCCTGCCTTATGTTATATATCTGGGAAGAAGCTCTTCTCACCCAAAGTTCTAGAGATGGGCTCTCATTTGCTTCAGCTGATCAACACCCCCCACTGCCTAGCCATGGTCATTGATTTAGCGATGGCTATGTGGCCTTTTCTGAAATGGTTGACAAGAAAAATATCTCTCCTGGATGGTTTGCTTTGTGGATGTAAAGCTTGAAGCAGTTCAGCCACATTGACACGATGGGGATGACAGCCTTAGGATGAAAGGCAGAAAAATCTGCTCATTGCGGACAACATTGAGCCACTGGATCAACCTTCTCTGAAGTTCAAACAACTCCTGAACTTATCAAATCTGACCTCATCATTAAGTAGCTAGAAACTGATAACAATGTTGTTGTAGCCCAGAAGGTATTACTAGCATAGTTAACAATGCAAATTTTACTCCCTTATTAGAAAATAAGCTCTGACCACATTATTTGGCACATAGGAAATGCTCAATTAAAATATCATATGCCTATAATCCCAGCACTTTGGGAGGCTGAGGTGGATGGATCACCTAAGGTCAGGAGTTCAAGACCAGCCTGGCCAACATGGGGAAAACCTGTCTCTACTAAAAATACAAAAATTAGCCAGGCTTGGTGGCATGCGCCTATAATCCCAGCTACTCTGGAGGCAGAAGCAGGAGAATTGCTTGAACACAGGAGGCAGAGGTTGCAGTGAGCCAAGACAGCGCCACTGCACTCCAGCCTGGGTGACAGAGCAAGACTCTATCTCAAATAATAATAATAATAAAAGTTTAAAAATGGAGGGAAAAGGCCAGGTGCAGTGGCTCTCGCCTGTAATCCCAGCAGTTTGGGAGGCCAAGGCGGGTGGATCACGAGGTCAGGAGATCAAGACCATCCTGGCTAACATGGTGAAACCCCGTCTCTACTAAAAATACAAAAAATTAGCCAGGTATAGTGGTGGGTGCCTGTAATCCCAGCTACTCAGGAGGCTGAGGCAGGAGAATGGCGTGAATGTGGGAGGCAGAGCTTGCAGTGAGCCGAGATCTTGCCACTGCACTCCAACCTGGGTGACAGAGTGAGACTCCGTCTCAAAAAAAAAAAAAAAAGGAAGAAAAAATCTCATTCCACTCAAGACATATTATTGCTAAAAAGAACCAAAGCTAGAAGCAAAGGTAAAATATCACGTTTGTATTAGCAGAGTGGTGATGCCGGGGAGGGAGGGCAGGGGGTGGCAATTACTGCCTTGAGAGTTAAGGAGGAGTTGAAAGAAAAACTTATTTGGAGTATGTTTTCTCCCAATCACTCTTTGTGGCCAGAGATAAAAAACCTGAGAAGATAGGAACAGTTATCAGTAAACGGGTTTTCTCACATTTTCTCATCTACTCTTTCAAATTCTATTTCTGACAGCCAGAGGCACACAAGAGGGGCAAGCTAGTATACTTCTCTTCCTACTTTTTTTTTTTAGGACAGAGGAAACTACCTAATAGAGAAAAGAAATTAGATAGGGTCATATTAGAGCTCACGTCTGATACTGACTCATCTAAGAAACCATCGTGGCCCCAAAAAGCCTCCTACTATTGGTAACTGCCTTCCCTTTTGCAAAATGGGGTCAATAAACTAATATAGTCTTGCTGAGATGTTTGTAAAATCTGAAAATATAAATTATTTGAGAAATATTCAGGTACTGGTTGGAGAAAGAAAAAATTATACCCTAGAAGGAATAAAAACTGCGGTTTCCTTGGTCTCATTTCTAGGACTTGTGTGCAAGGCTAATGTATAAGTTGTCAGTGACACCCAGGAGCCCATTGCTAATGATCCTAAACAAATTTTAGAAATCAAACAAGGCATCATTCTGGCTAATAAAGGAGGTCATAAAATGAATACACCAATTTTCAAGCTACCATTGTGTGTCAGGAAGATTTTTCTTTATGGGGTGAGCACATTAACTTTTATGGTGGTTGATTTCCTTCTGAGAGTAGTAGTGTATCCCATTTAGCAAGACTTTGTGTAGCCTCAAGATGTGTGTGTTGTGTTACTGGAAGATAGAGAGTTAATAAATATGATACAAATTAGAAAGAGTGGCTCATCTGTGGGGAGAAATAAATGAGATGAACAGGGTGATTAAGAAAGGAAGTAGCTTATTCAGTGACTCTGTACTATGGTAAGATCCTCTAGAGCTAGAAGGAGGCCTGGATGTAAGCAGCCGGAAGGCCAGAGATTAGCCACAAAGTAAATACAAGGAAGAATAAATGAAATGAATGAGGTGATTAAGAAAGAAAGTAGCTTATTCAGTGACTCTGTACTGTGTAAGATCCTCTAGAGCTAGAAGGAAGCCTGGTTGTAAACAGCAGGAAGGCCAGAGATTAGCCACAAAGTAAGTATCTGGTGACCTCTAGGGCTTAGCCGGGGAGAACAAGGGTCAAGCTTATCATGGAAGTAATTAATCAAAGGCCAGTTACTATATGCACAAAGTGTGTAAAGAGGCAAATGAGAGGATCTCTGCACTCCAGAGACTTATAATCTATTAGGGAGACAGATATGCACATAGAAAGATGATATTTCATACTCAATATTGGCAATTAAAGGCTAATGGAGTTATAGTCCTGATGTTGCAGGAGCTCAGAGGATTGCTCTGGGCTTGGGTATCTGGGGAAGGAGAAAGGCTATGGTTTTGAGCTAGACTTTACAGAGATAGTGCTAAAAGGTTGGGTGGGTGAGAATGTGTGCAAAAGGAAGTCAGAGAGATAGAGGGAAAAGACAGGAGAGATGGTGCCCTGTGGATTCTGGGACATCTATGGACTCCCTGCATATTCACAAATTGTTCCTTCATTTCTTCCTTTTAAACAACTATATTTTATGTAAGGGAAGATAAGTTCAATGAACAAAAAGAAGACAAAATGTTAAGGAGGCCTTCTAAAAATACTTAACAAGAACAATTCTATTGTGTTGGCTTTCTATGACTTCTATAATTATACTTGCTACCTCAATGCAAGAGATAGGAAAGAAAGAAAAAGTAGCTCTGACTATGACAGTAGCCCTTAGTTGACTAAAATGTGGCAGCAGTCATTCCTGAGAACTTAAGAATAGCAGTAACATCATTATCTGAGATTTGAATTCACTTCAGGCACAATAGAAAATATATTTTTTTAATTTTCTGGACATCTTAGGAGGATATTTTAGATCAGAAATCATGTTGAGGAATTAGACATTAAGCCCCAGGACAAAGCCATTCACATGTCAATCTTTGTTGTCATCTGTCCTATTGCCAACACAGGCCTCAACATTATCAAGCGGACAGAGGGAAAGAATGATAATGTGGAAATGATGACTATATTTTCTGGAAGTGTTAAAGATTGCAGAGATCTTTCCTGGAATTGCTGAATGGTTTCTATCTCCTTAATGAGCAACACCTTTTTAGGAAGGCAGTAGTTGATGTCATCTGGACTGTCGAGTCCTATTAAAGATGAGATCAGTATCAACTCAACTCCTTTTAAGGTAAAATCTTCTCAGCCCTTGGAAAGTTCAAGCCCAGTGTACAAAGCTTAAGTCATGATCTTATCCTTTTTATTTCTTCCTTCACCTACAGACCAGCCTCTGCCAACCTTCCTTCTTGGAGAATGGCATCACCATCCATCCCACGACCTAAGCCCCAAACCCAGACTCCTGTCTCTGCTGCCCACCCTGATCCCTGCTTGTCTCATGTCTACTCCCTTAGCATTTCCGCAGTCTGCCTCTTCCATCCATCTCCACTGCTGCTGCCCCTGGTCAAACCCTAACCATTGCTCAACTGGAATAGCATAACAGTCTCCCAACTGGCCTCCCTTGCTCTCCTGCAATGATTCTCCATCACAAACCAGGAGTTATCCCTCAAAAACACAATTCTGTTCATGGTACCCCGCTAACAAATCTTTCACTGCTTCTAGGATAGGGTTCCCACCATTCAGCTGGCATGGAAGAGTATTCACGATCTGGCCCTAGCCTACCTCACGAACCTTACCTCTTTCCACATCATCCATTTTCTATGCCCCACAGTCCAATCGGGCCAAATTATTTTCATGATCTCTGGACACATCCCACTTCTTCCTTCTTCATATCTTTGTTCAGGCTGCTCTTTCTGTCTGGAATGTTCTTGGTGACTGTGTCTACCTGACCAACAAAGCTTGTCTTTGAAGACTCAGCTCAAGAGTTTTCTATGAAGTCTTTCCAAGCTGCTACTGTAAGTAAGAAGAATCTTTTATTTTATTTTTTTTAAGAGACGGCATCTAATTTTGTTGCCCAAGCTGGAGTGCAGTGGTGTGAGCATAGTTCACTGCAGCCTCAAACTCTTAGGCTCAACTGATCCTCCCACCTCAGCCTCCCAAGTAGCTACAGGCACGTGCCACCAAGCCTGGCTAGTTTTATTTATTTATTTATTTTTATAGATACAGGGTCTCAATATGTTGCCCAGGTTGGTCTCAAACTCCTAGTTTCAGGTGATTCTCCCACCTTGGCCTCCCAATGTGCTGGGATTACAGGCATGAGCCACCGCACCCAACCAGAAGAATCATTTCTCATTTAGTGCTGCCCTCACATCTGTACAATCTTCTGGTATGATATATACGTATTGTGCTTTCTGGTTTACATGTCTGTCATTCCTTTTATGCTGAAGATGAGAGAAGATGCCACATTCATTCTTGTGTTGTATTTATATTTGTATTGCCAGTTGGTTCCATGTTAGGCTCTGCCAAAGGAAGTGCTAGAATGAGGCTGCAAGACTGGAGGAGAAAGAAGAGACATGCTTCTTTTTGGCTTCTGGTCTACCTCCCGTTCCTGTGAGCATCACTCTAGCAATGCTTCTTTGCCTTCCTGCATCAGCAGCTGAGTCAGGTCTGCAATGTCTCCAGCCCTTGCAGAACCAGCATCATTGTGCCCCCCAGACAGACACCAGCATGGGCCAGCACCCTCTCCTTAGAGCTGCTTCCTGCTGGTGCTACCTCCATGAAATGGCAGAGTTTTCTTATTATATTTTTAGTTACTTAGTTAACTATATCTAGCTAACTATTCTTTATATTATATTTACTCTGTTAAAATAATATTTTTGTGGTTTCCATCTTTTGCCTGAACCCTGACTGATACATTTGTTGAACCAAAGGGGAAATTCTTTAGCATGGGGATGTAAAATTCAGGTTTCTATGAAAACACAAATGGATTTTTAAAAATTCAACAAACACAGAGCCATCGCATAAAAACTTACTGATTTTTGTAATATTCACTGAATTTCACTGAATTTGTAATGTCTTAGGAGAGGTAATGTTATTCAGGATAACTTTATCCTCTAGATCTAAAATTTGAAATCTTTGCTTTAGAGAACCCCTGGCTAATTTATGTCAGTTACTTTCTGCAGGGCCTAGGCCAACTCTGTGTGACTAGTCCCACCCTGGATCAACCAAATCTTACGTCTCAGTCCAGTTCTTTTGTGACTGGGTCCACTGTCCTGAGCATCAGATCATATTCTCTACAGATTTGCCCTTTGTATGTTTTCTGTCCTTTCCTCCTTGAGACTGAGAGCAGCATCATTTTCACTATTTCTGTGAATCCCCCAAAGTTCAGTAAATATTATACAAATAAACAACTGAAGGAGTGAAGTGAAAAATCAGACAAAGAGAAATCCTATTTGCTTTGAGTTACCACTGTTTATTCAGTGAAAGACCTTGGACACAGTAGCATTTGATAAATACAGTATGGCTAATTAAGCAACACACCACTGTAATGGAGGATCCCAGTTTTTTGTGAGGACTCCTGTTTTTCTGTTGTTATTTGGAGCTAGATCTCTTCTAGGTAACATCATTTTAATTTGTATTCATGGTGACAGAGACAGTCATAACAGAAGGAGCATGAGTACAGAGTCAGAGAAGCCTAGGTTCAAATTCTGAATCGGCAACCCACTCCCTGTATGTATTTGGGCAACTTACTTAGCCTCTCAAAGCCTCAGTAACCTCATATGTAAATTGGAGTTATAATAATAATAAACATTACTGAGCATTATGTGTCAGACATGTTCTCATTGTCACACATGTGCTAAGTAGTTTAATCCTCACAAAACATTGCAAGATATTTACTATTATTATTCTCACTTTGCAGACAAGGAGATCACTCGCAGAGAGGTAAAATAACTTGCCCAAGATCACCCAGAGAGGAATTCTTGGGGTCAGGATATAGACCCAGGCAGTCAGACTCCAGAGCCCAGCTTTGTAACCATATGCTCTACTGCCTCTTTTCTTGTGTGGTGTCCATAACAAGTCTGCTTGAGCTGCCATAACAAAATACCATAGACTATGTGACTTAAACAACAGAAATTTATTTTCTTACAGTTCTGGAGGCTAGAAATCCAAAATCAAGATGCCAGCATCACTGGGTTCTAGTGAGGGCTCTCTTGCTGGCTTGCACACTGCTGCCTTCTTGCTGTATTCTCACATGGTGAAAACAAAGAGGGCATGTGCACAAGCTCTCTGGTATCTCCTTTTATAAGGACAGTATTCTCATCATGAGAAATACCCCTCAACCCCATCATGACTTCATCTAAACCTAATTACTCCCAAAGGCCCCATTTCCAAATGCCATCACAATGGGCGTTAGGGCTTCGACATACGAATTTGGAAGGGACACAATTCAGTCTGTAGCGTGTGGCTACTAGGAATCTCATTCAGTGAGCTAATAAATGTTGAGGGCATGGCCCGTATAAAAGCTGGATAAGGCCAGGCGTGGTGGCTCATGCCTGTAATCCCAGCACGTTGGGAGGCTGAGGCAGGTGGATCACTTGAGGTCAGGAGTTTGAGACCAGCCTGGCCAACATGGTGAAACCCTGTCTCTACTAAAAATACAATTAAAAAAAAATTAGCTGGGCTACTGCAGAACTTACTCAGAGGCTGAGGCAGAAGAATTGCTTGAACCTAGGAGGCGGAGGTTGCAGTGAGCTGAGATCATGCCCTCAACTCCTGGGCAACAGAGTGAGACCCTGCCTCAAACAATCAAATATATTATTCTGGAACCCTGAAAGGGAATTCAGAAAGACCTTGGATTCAGTAGCTTAATTTCGAATTAGATTTACCATTGAAATGACCTGGCTGAGCAGACTTATTTTTGTGATGAACAATTTGGCATAAGCCTCTGGCCTCAAATAGTAGCAGAACATTTTCCTGCCATCCTTAGTGGTCAACTTGGTGAAGGTATTTGGTTCTGTAATGTTTGTTCTCTGTTCTGTTGCTAAGGAAAAGGTGATGTAGCCAGATAAAAAGGTGTGAGATGAAAGTTGAGCTATGGAAAGGAGGCGTCCTGAGCACGCCATCTGAAAGAGGACCCTTTACCCTGCTTTATTTTTCTTCCCAGCACCTAACACTGCCTCATATATTTATTTACGTATTGCCTGTCCTCCCACAAAAATATAGGATTACAAGGGCCAGAACTTTATCTATTGGGATCCCTGCTGTATGATCTTTTCTTGAAACAGTATTCTGCTCAGTGTGGGTCTTCAGTATTTGCTAAACAATGGACAATGTCTTCAACATCAGTTTTTCCAAAAATGTGGAAAGATTCTCCATGTGCTATTGCTTATACCCGTTTCTGACTAGAACTGAGCATATCATCTTAAAAGGTAATCCAGAGAAAGTGGGTACAGGGAAGTGTGGAATCAGGGCTCACATTTCCTTGAGCTCTTGAGAATGAGTGCTGTTGTAGAAATGGCAGCCAGGCAAGAAATCTCAGAGGAGACATTCGAGGACAGCTCAGAATGAAACGATGGGGATAGAGTGTTGATGTTAGCACCTTTAATAGGGCCCAACTTTGGAAATTCCTTACAGAATTTAGTACCAGGAAAAAAGTTGTCTCTCTCAAAAAATAATGAGGACTAAATAACTCTGTGCTATATGTTTTTTTCTTTGGCAGCTTAAAAGCTTAAACCAAACTTAATGCTCGTTAATAGTAGTGATACTGGCTTAGTGTATGGTTTTAAACTATTGATTTCTTTCTCTATTTTTTTAAAATAATCTATTTCTATTTTAATAAATTCATTATACATATTTCTTCTATTGAAAACCATCTCGCTGGGCGCAGTGGCTCACGCCTGTAATCTCAGCACTTTGGGAGGCCGAGGCAGGCGGATCATCCTGGCTAACACGATGAAACCCCATCTCTACTAAAAATACAAAAAATTAGCTGGGCGTGGTTGTGGGCGCCTGTAGTACCAGCTACTCCGGAGTCTGAGGCAGGAGAATGGCGTGAACCCGGGAGGCGGAGCTTGCAGTGAGCCGAGATCATGCCACTGCACTCCAGCCTGGGTGACAGAGTGAGACTCTGCCTCAAAAAAAAAAAGAAAAAGAAAAAAAGAAAAAACCATCTCAAATTTAGAAAGTGGGATATAAATTTAAATAACTGAAAAAAGAAATAAAGAGCAGTCCTAAAGAAATAAAGAGCAGGCTGGGTGCAGTGGCTCACATCTGTAATCACAGCACTTTGGGAGGCCGAGGTGGGTGGATCACGAGGTCAGGAGTTCAAGACCAGCCTGGCCAACATGGTGAAACCCCATCTCTACTAAAAATACAAAAAAAAATTAGCTGGGCATGGGTGGCATGTGCCTGTAATCCCAACTAGTCGGGAGGCTGAGGCAGGAGAATTGTTTGAATCTGGGAGGTGGAGGTTGCAGTGAGCCGAGATCGCACCACTGCACTCCAGCCTGGGCAACAGGGCAAGACTCTGCCTCAAAAAAAAAAAAAAGAAAGAGCAGTCCCCACACACAGCAGGTCAGGCTGGTGGTCCTGGAAGGACATCTCCCCTTCCTAGTCCACTGCATGGCCTGCATTTCTGCCCCTTGCAACCCTACTCTGATCCTGCTCCTTGCCCTGGATTGGCATGGAGTGGTCTCATTCAGCACATTCATCTCCTTCCACCTCTTTTGCTAGGTCTTATCTGCCAACTACACATCCTACAAATCTGATTCTGTGCTCTTCTATTTAGGCTCCTTCAGGCCTCCCCACTGCCCAGCAGAGAAAAAAATCCATTGAGATGTATAAACTCTCCAGCCACATCTCATGTCATGTTCCTCTCCAAATTAATGCCATCATCATACTAAGCTTCCTGAGGTCCTCAGCCTACCATAGTGTTTCATACTTCTGTGATTTTTTAAATTTTGTTGGCTTGGAAGATTTTCCTGATCCTTACCTACCTTGAAAACTCTTCTTTATCCTTCTGAAATTTTCAGTTTAATCAATGTGATTCTGTTTAGAAAAAAGGTATTGAATGCCTGCTACATGCCTGGAATTGTATCCTGGGGTTATAGGGCTGCCCAGCTTAGCTCACTGTGAGCTATCTGTGAGCTCTCTGTGAGCTTCTCTTAATTGAATACTTTCTCCCAATATCTTACTTTACATACCTCATATATTCCTCTATTATTTTGCTTCAGTCCATAACATTGGGCAGGGTCTTGCTTAGGTTTACAGTTTATTTCCTCTGCTTAGCTCTGAGCTCATAGAAAGCGGAAAACATCATTCATTCATTGCTTCAGGGTGCAGAGGCAGGCACACAATAAGTGTTGAGTATGTGTGTGTAATATAAACATATACACATACTTTAAAAAAAATTGAATAGGGAGCTAGCCAAGATAGCCGAATAGGAACAGCTCAAGTCTACAGCTCCCAGCGTGAGCAATGCAGAAGACGAATGATTTCTGCATTTCCAACTGAGGTACTGGGTTCATCTCACTGGGGATTGTCGGACAGTGGGTGCAGCACATCAAGCATGAGCCGAAGCAGGGTGAGGCATTGCCTCACCCGGGAAGTGCAAGGGGTTAGGGAATTCCCTTTCCTAGCCAAGGAAAGGGGTGACAGACAGCACCTGGAAAATCAGGTCACTCCCACCCTAATACTGTGCTTTTCCGACGGTCTTAGCAAATGGCACACCAGGAGATTATATCCTGCACATGGCTCAGAGGGTATTACGCCCATGGAGCCTCGCTCATTGCTAGCACAGCAGTCTGGGATCAAACTGCAAGGTGGCAGCAAGGCTGGGGGAGGGGTGCCCGCCATTGCTGAGGCTTGAGTAGGTAAACAAAGCAGCCAGGAAGCTCTAACTGGGTGGAGCCCACCGCAGCTCAAGGAGGCCAGCCTGCCTCGGTAGACTCCACCTCTGGGGGAAGGGCATAGCCAAACAAAAGGCAGCAGAAACCTCTGCAGATGTAAATGTCCCTGTCTGACAGCTTTGAAGAGAGTAGTGGTTCTCCCACCACGCAGCTTGAGATCTGAGAACAGACAGACTGCCTCCTCAAGTGGGTCCCCGACCCCCGAGTAGCCTAACTGGGAGGCACCCCACCAGTAGGGGCAGACTGACACCTCACACGGCTGGGTACTCCTCTGAGACAAAACTTCCAGAGGAACGATCAGGCAGTACCATTTGCTGTTCACCAAAATTCACTGTTCTGCAGCCTCCGCTGCTGATACCCAGGCAAACAGGGTCTGGAGTGGACCTCTGGCAAACTCCAACGGACCTGCAGCTGAGGGTCCTGACTGTTAGAAGGAAACCTAACAAACAGAAAGGACATCCACACCAAAACCCCATCTGTACGTCACCATCACCAAAGACCAAAGGTAGATAAAACCACAAAGATGGGGAAAAAACAGAGGAGAAAAACTGAAAATTCTAAAAATCAGAGCGCCTCTCCTCCTCCAAAGGAATGCAGCTCCTCACCAGCAACTGAACAAAGCTGGACAGAGAATGACTTTGACGAGTTGAGAGAAGAAGGCTTCAGTTGATCAAACTTCTCCGAGCTAAAGGAGGAAGTTCAAACCCATGGCAAAGAAGTTAAAAACCTTGAAAAAAGATTAGATGAATGGCTAACTAGAATAACCAGTGCAGAGAAGTCCTTAAAGGACCTGATGGAGCTGAAAACCAAGGCACGAGAACTACGTGACGAATGCACAAGCCTCAGTAGCCGATTCGATCAATTGGAAGAAAGGGTATCAGTGATGGAAGATCAAATGAATGAAATGAAGTGAGAAGAGAAGTTTAGAGAAAAAAGAATAAAAAGAAATGAACGAAGCCTCCGAGAAATATGGGACTATGTGAAAAGACCAAATCTACATCTGATTGGTGTACCTGAAAGTGAGGGGGAGAATGAAACCAAGTTGGAAAACACTCTGCAGGATATTATCCAGGAGAACTTCCCCAATCTAGCAAGGCAGGCCAACATTCAAATTCAGGAAATACAGAGAATGCCACAAAGATACTCCTCGAGAAGAGCAACTCCGAGACACATAATTGTCAGATTCACCAAAGTTGAAATGAAGGAAAAAATGTTAAGGGCAGCCAGAGAGAAAGGTCGGGTTACCCAAAAAGGGATGCTCATCAGACTAACAGCTGATCTCTCGGCAGAAACTCTACAAGCCAGAAGAGAGTGGGGGGCCAATATTCAACATTCTTAAAGGCAAGAATTTTCAACCCAGAAGTTCATATCCAGCCAAACTAAGCTTCGTAAGTGAAGGAGAAATAAAATACTTTACAGACAAGCAAATGCTGAGAGATTTTGTCACCACCAGGCCTTCCCTAAAAGAGCTCCTGAAGGAAGCACTAAACATGGAAAGGAACAACCAGTACCAGCCACTGCAAAAAATATGCCAAATGGTAAAGACCATCAAGGCTAGGAAGAAAGTGCATCAACTAATGAGCAAAATAACCAGCTAACATCATAATGACAGCATCAAATTCACACATAACAATATTAACCTTAAATGTAAATGGGCTAAATGCTCCAATTAAAAGACACAGACTGGCAAATTGGATAAAGAGTCAAGACTCATCAGTGTGCTGTATTCAGGAAACCCATCTCATGTGCAGAGACACACATATGCTCAAAATAAAGGGATGGAGAAAGATCTACCAAGCAAATGGAACACAAGAAAAGGCAGGTGTTGCAATCTTAGTCTCTCATAAAACAGACTTCAAACCAACAAAGATCAAAAGAGACAAAGAAGGCCATTACATAATGGTAAAGGGATCAATGCAACAAGAAGAGCTAACTATCCTAAATATATATGCACCCAATACAGGAGCACCCAGATTCATAAAGCAAGTCCTTAGAGACCTACAAAGAGACTTAGACTCCCACACAATAATAATGGGAGACTTTAACACCCCACTGTCAACATTAGACAGATCAACGAGACAGAAAGTTAACAAGGATACCCAGGAATTGAACTCAGCTCTGCGCCAAGTGGACCTAATTGACATCTACAGAACTCTCTACCCCAAATCAACAGAATATACATTCTTTTCAGCACCACACCACACCTATTCCAAAACTGACCACATAGTTGGAAGTAAAGCACTCCTCAGCAAATGTAAAAGAACAGAAATTATAACAAACTGTCTCTCAGACCACAGTGCAATCAAACTAGAACTCAGGATTAAGAAACTCACTTAAAACCGCTCAACTACATGGAAACTGAACAACCTGCTCCTGAATGACTACTGGGTAATAACGAAATGAAGGCAGAAATAAAGATGTTCTTTGAAACCAATGAGAACAAAAACACAACATACCTGAATCTCTGGGACACATTTAAAGCAGTGTGTAGAGGGAAATTTATAGCACTAAATGCCAACAAGAGAAAGCAGGAAAGATCTAAAATTGACACCCTAACATCACAATTAAAAGAACTAGAGAAGCAAGAGCAAATACATTCAAAAGCTAGCAGAAGGCAAGAAATAACTAAGATCAGAGCAGAACTGAAGGAAATAGACACATAAAAAACCCTTCAAAAAGTCCATGAATCCAGGAGCTGATTTTTTGAAAAGATCAACAAAATTGATAGACCACTAGCAAGACTAATACAGAAGAAAAGAGAGAAGAATCAAATAGACACAATAAAAAATGATAAAGGGGATATCATCACTGATCCCATAGAAATACAAACTACCATCAGAGAATACTATAGACACCTCTACGCAAATAAACTAGAAAATCTAGAAGAAATGGATAAATTCCTCAACACATACACATTCCCAAGACTAAACCAGGAAGAAGTTGAATCTCTGAATAGACCAATAACAGGCTCTGAAATTGAGGCAATAATTAATAGCTTACCAACCAAAAAAACTCCAGGACCAGACGGATTCACAGCCAAATTCTACCAGAGGTACAAGGAGGAGCTGGTACCATTCCTTCTGAAATTATTCCAGTCAAAAGAAAAAGAGGGAATCTGCTGGGCGTGGTGGCTCACGCCTGTAATCCCAGCACTTTGGGAGGCGAAGGTGGGCAGATCACAAGGTCAGGAGATAGACACCATCCTGGCTAACACAGTGAAACCCCATCTCTACTAAAAATACAAAAAATTAGGCAGGTGTGGTGGCAGGTGCCTGTAGTCCCAGCTAATCGGGAGGCTGAGGCAGGAGAATGGCATGAACCCGGGAGGCGGAGCTTGCAGTGAGCCAAGACTGTGCCACTGCACTCCAGCCTGGGTGACAGAGCGAGACTCAGTCTCAAAAAAAAAAAAAAAAAAAAAGAGGGAATCCTCTCTAACTCACTTTATGAGGCCAGCATCATCCTGATACCAAAGCCTGGCAGAGACACAACAAAAAAAGAGAATTTTAGACCAATATCCCGGATGAACATTGACGCAAAAATCCTCAATAAAATACTGGAAACCGAATCCAGCAGCATATCAAAAAGCTTATCCACCATGATCAAGTGGGCTTCATCCCTGGGATGCAAGGCTGGTTCAACATATGCAAATCAATAAATGTAATCCAGCATATAAACAGAACCAACGACAAAAACCACATGATTATATCAATAGATGCAGAAAAGGCATTTGACAAAATTCAACAACCCTTCATGCTAAAAACTCTCAATTAATTAGGTATTGATGGGACATATCTCAAAATAATAAGAGCTATCTATGACAAACCCACAGCCAATATCATACTGAATGGGCAAAAACTGGAAGCATTCCCTTCGAAAACTGGCACAAGACAGGGATGCCCTCTCTCACCACTCCTATTCAACATAGCGTTGGAAGTTCTGGTCAGGGCAATCAGGCAGGAGAAGGAAATACAGGGTATTCAATTAGGAAAAGAGGAAGTCAAATTGTCTCTGTTTGCAGATGACATGATTGTATATCTAGAAAACCCCATGGTCTCAGCCCAAAATCTCCTTAAGCTGATAAGCAACTTCAGCAAAGTCTCAGGATACAAAATCAATGTGCAAAAATCACAAGCACTCCTATACACCAATAACAGACAAACAGAGAGCCAAATCATGAGTGAACTACCATTCACAATTGTTTCAAAGAGAATAAAATACCTAGGAATCCAACTTAAAAGGAACGTGAAGGACCTCTTCAAGGAGAACTACAAACCACTGCTCAATGAAATAAAAGAGGACACAAACAAATGGAAGAACATTCCATGCTCATGGGTAGGAAGAATCAATATTGTGAAAATGGTCATACTGCCCAAGGTAAGTTATAGATTCAATGCCACCCCCATCAAGCTACCAATGACTTTCTTCACAGAATTGGAAAAAAACTACTTTAAAATTCATATGGAACCAAAAAAGGCCCACATCGCCAAGTCAATCCTAAGCCAAAAGAACAAAGCTGGAGGCATCATGCTACCTGACTTCAAACTATACTACAAGGCTACAGTAACCAAAATAGCATGGTACTGGTACCAAAACAGAGATATAGACCAATGGAACAGAACAGAGCCCTCAGAAATAATGCCACATATCTACAACTTTGACAAACCTGACAAAAACAAGAAATGGGGAAAGGATTCCCTATTTAATAAATGGTGCTGGGAAAACTGGCTAGCCATATGTAGAAAGCTGAAATTGGATCCCTTCCTTACACCTTATACAAAAATTAATTGAAGATGGATTAAAGACTTAAATGTTAGACCTAAAACCACAAAAACCCTAGAAGAAAACCTAGGCAATACCATTCGGGACATAGGCATGGGCAAGGACTTCCTGTCTAAAACACCAAAAGCAATGGCAACAAAAGCCAAAATTGACAAATGGGATCTAATTAAACTAAAGAGCTTCTGTACAGCAAAAGAAACTACCATCAGAGTGAACAGGCAACGTACAGAATGGGAGAAAATTTTTGCAATCTACTCATCTGACAAAGGGTTAATATCCAGAATCTACAAAGAACTCAAACAAATTTACAAGAAAAAAAACAAACAACCCCATCAACAAGTGGGCGAAGGATATGAACAGACGCTTCTCTAAAGAAGACATTTATGCAGCCAAAAGACACATGAAAAAATGCTCATCATCACTGGCCATCAGAGAAATACAAATCAAAACCACAGTGAGCTACCATCTCACAGCAGTTAGAATAACGATCATTAAAAAGTCAGGAAACAACAGGTGCTGGAGAGGATGTGGAGAAACAGGAACACTTTTACACTGTTGGTGGGACTATAAACTAGTTCAACAATTGTGGAAGTCAGTATGGCAATTCCTCAGGGATCTAGAACTAGAAATACCATTTGACCCAGACATCCCATTACTGGGTGTATACCCAAAGGATTATAAATCATGGTGCTATAAAGACACATGCACACATATGTTTATTGTGGCACTATTCACAATAGCAAAGACTTGCAACCAACCCAAATGTCCAACAATGATAGACTGGATTAAGAAAATGTGGCACATATACACCATGGAATACTATGCAGCCATAAAAAATGATGAGTTCATGTCCTTGTAGGGACATGGATGAAGCTGGAAACCATCATTCTCAGCAAACTATCTCAAGGACAAAAAACCAAACACCGCATGTTCTCACTCATAGGTGGGAATTGAACAATGAGAACACATGGACACAGGAAGGGGAACATCACACACTGGGGCCTGTTGTGGGGTGGGGGGAGGGGGGAGGGATAGCATTAGGAGATATACCTAATGTTAAATGATGAGTTAATGGGTGCAGCACACCAACATGGCACATGTATACATATGTAACCTGCACGTTGTGCACATGTACCCTAAAACTTAAAGTATAAAAAAAAAATTGAATAAAGACATGATAAGCAGAAACAGCTATCAAAAGGGGCCATAGTACATGCTCACCAATTATATGTTTAATGGAAGAGAAAACGAGGTTCAGAGATATCCAGTAACTGGGTAAACGAAAGGAAAAAGTGGTGGATGAGATGCATGAGTGATATGTATACATAAGTGAGAATCACACATATTTTGCATGAAAATGTAGTGACTGAGCCTTTGAATGTGTGCACTTAGGTTGATTCAATAAATATTTCTTGAATATCAACTATAAACAGGGAATCTGACCTATTTGCTGAGGTTTGACCTATTTGCTGAGGTTTGAGTTATGCAGTTACCAGCTGCATAACTTTGGGCAAATTCACCTTTTTGAGCCTCTGTTTTCTGTATAAAAATTAAAAATACCCAATTCACAGTGTTTATGAGTTTGAAATGTGACAATTTCTCTAGAGTCTAAGGTACATAGGAAAGATGCTATCAGTTCTAATGGCCAAATAAGATGTCAAAACTATGCTCTAGATTTATCTTCAAATCCAAAGAAAAAGCCACATAAACTTTTCAAGTAAATATAAAAAATATTTACCAAATCCTCAAATGTTTAAGTTGAAATGATCAATATTTAACTATGTTTGACTTATTAAAGTGATGACATCCTTTGATGGCCCAATATTTCCTGTATAGTACAGTTGGTCATTCAGAGACAAATTCCTTAGATTCCCTCTATTCCCTCTGTCTGCTTGGATCTCCTTCCCCTCTGTCAGCTTGTTCATTTCGGCTGGCTCGCAGTGCATGATCTGCTTACTTCCAGAGAGGACCTGAGGAAGCTCCACTCCTATAGCAACAGGGCTATGCAGTTCATTTGGCAACTCATCATGTACTGCCTCGTGATCAATATTCTGTTGCCATGAACTGTTATGTAAATCTTGAACTGGTTTCTGCATTTTTGTGGGCCAAAAGTTTTTAACGGACAGGGAACTACCAGGCCACCTTCGAGGGAGAACGGAGAAAGTACCCATCCTGTGCTGCAGGACATTGACTTAAGGGGCCTGGTGAGGAGAGTCAAGAGCAATGGGCTGTCACCAGCATGCAGACCACGGGCCCAAGGAAGAAAAAGGACTTGTTCTATTCAACTTCAAGATGTAAAGAAGCAGCATCCACACAGAGAATTTTGAACAAGAGGGTGGGAGATCCCTTGATCTAAAAAGAAATCTGAAGCATGTGGTTGTGCTTCATCTCCACTGAGAAGAGAACAGAGTGGTGTTCGAGAAACAGAACGGCAGATCAATATAAACTGTACTTTCTAGACCTTCAGCTGCCCAAGAGGACATGGCATTTCCAAAAGGTTGAAAACAACTGGACTAGAGAGTGCTCTATTTCCTTCCCTTGTCTTCTTTTTTTGTTTGTTTGTTTCTAGATGGCTCATTCTCTAGGGGCAGAGATTGTATTCAGTCTCTTCTTGTATCCTCTACAATGTCTAGCCCAGTGGTAAAAACACTACCAGTACTTAAGAAAGGGCTGGCCAGGTGCGGTGGCTCATGCCTATAATCCCAGCCCTTTTGGAGGCCTAGGCAGGCAGATCATTTGAGGTCAGGAGTTCGAGACCAGCCTGACCAACATTGTGAAACCCCATCTCTACTAAAAATACAAAAAAATTAGCCAGGCATGGTGGCGCATTCCTGTAGTCCCAGCTACTCGGGAGGCTGAGGCAGGAGAATCGCTTGAACTCGGGAGGCAGAGGTTGCGGTGAGCTGAGATCGCACCACTGCACTCCAGCCTGGGCGATAGAGTGAAACTCTGCCAAAAAAAAAAGAAGAAAGGTCTGTGGAGGTGATGGGCTGTCTCATCCCAGTCCCTTCACCTGACTGGGCACAGTAACACAAGAAGGGCAGCACATCCTCAAAATTATGAGAGTTATGTATCATCACATAACTCTCTCTTTATGCCTTGGGTCCCTAATGGGTTCTGTTTTCGTTTTTGTTTTTTTTTTTTTTACGACAGAGTCTTGCTCTGTTACCCAGGCTGGAGTGCAGTTGTGCACTCATGGCTCACCGCAGCCTCTTGACCTCCGGGCTCAAGTGATCCTCCTACCTTAGCCTTCCGAGTAGCTGGGACTACAGGCGTGTGCTACCATGCCTGGTTAATGTTTGCATTTTTTTGTGGAGATAAGGTCTCACAATGTTCCCCAGGCTGGTCTTGAACTCCTGGCCTCAAATGATCCTCCTACCTTGGCCTCCCAAAGTGCTGGGATTACAGGCATGAGCCACCATGCCTGGCTAAGGGTTTTGTATCTTAGTACTTCAGTGTGTGACTTTAAAGGTATACCTGACAAAGTTGAATATGAAAATCACCATTATCATTCATATTTGTGGAGCATGCTTCTCTCTACAGTACTCATAGTTCACTGGACCATGCCTCATAGGTAAGATGTGTATTCTCATTCTCATTTTAACGAGGACTCAGAGGTTCAAAATGATTAAGGAACTTACCAAAGGCTACACAGTTAGTAAGGAGCAGGCAACCATCAGGATCTTCTGACTTCTGTCCCTGACCTTGGATAAGTCTCTCCTCACGCGCACTCGCAGAAAGCCAAGTCGGAGGAGGGAAGTGGGTGGCAGGGGCGGGGATGGAAGAGAGACTGTGATTTGTACCCTGGCCCAGCCGCATTTCCAGGTGAGTGTTGGGCCGGGCTACTCTGCGCACGCGCCCTTGCTCACCGCATGGGGCATGCTATCCTTTCCCTTGGCCTTGCCCAGGTTTTTGTTGAGCGAAAAGGGCACGTTACTACTTCTTCTCTAAAGAGGTATGATGAGTTCAGCTTCTGCCTTCAAATCGATCTCTGTGGAGGCCTGCCACCCACAATCGGCTCGGCTTTTCCAACCCTCCCGCGCGTCTCAAGGGCTACAGAGCAGGGGATGAGAACTTTCGCTGGGCCCAGGAAGCTTCTGGTTGCGCGGGAACCCAGGGCAGCAAGTGACTGCACCTGCGAGGCAGGAGGAGCGGGGCCTGGAGGGCCGCAACATTCTCTTAACGGATTCATTCCCGGTGTCTGAGCCGAGAACCTGCATCCTAAACCCTCCATTTAGCTACTAGCTGCACTCCCTGCCTCCTGCGTGGCTGCTGCCGCCACAAATGGCCCCTGGCTTAGAAATGCTACATATGCTCCTCCTAATTAATATGTGACACAGCGTCTCACAGCCACCACGGCAGCAGTCTCGGGCTGTCTCTCCTAGACTGAAAGGCAGATGACAAGTGAGCTTTTTTGTCTTTCATATGTCTCTAGACCGTGACATGCCCCAACGGACAATACAGGCAGCTATGGGTCTCTCCCTTCAGTAAGAGATGTGACATATGCCAGGAAAATGAGATGGCTCCCTCTTCATTTCAAAAGCGTGCTTCTTACCATGTCCAGGCATAGCTACCAGGTGGCTCACTTTGTCTGATGGGCACACAAAGGTGAGGCATATGTCCCAAAGCTGACCCTAGAGCAGCCGCCCTTCTCAGGGAGATGAAGATCTGTGCCTCCTGGTCTCAGCTTGACTCTGAGTTTATCCTGTAGCCTTAAGCAAGCTGTCAAACCTCTGTGTATACCTCCGCTTCCTCTATTGAAAAATAACAGTTCTGGATTTTGTTAATAGTCCTGGAGGAGAGTTATTAACATGAGGTGTGATACACAGAAATAAATATTAATTAAAGCTGACAATGATGATGGTTTTGCAAACATAAAAGTGCTGTAGGAAAAATCTTGTCTGATTCTACTGAATGATTTCCATAAAGCTAGGCTGGGCTCCCAGATAATATTATGGAAGGATTACACAAAACGACTGACATTTTCAATTTATTCTTTTAGCTCATACTGCTTTATATTTAGGCAGCTGTCTAAGGAGACACCATCAAAATGCCATTAGTCACCATGGGGAAAAAGTGTTCATAAGTGAAGGCATGCCATTAATCTACAGCATCAGTGTTATGGGTTTATCAGCATGGCACACCAAGTGGGATGTCAGAGGAATGGGCTTCATCTCACTGCAGAATGCAGTGGATCAAAAATGGACCAAGAGCTTCCCAGCCTAAGAGTCTAGTAAACTCCAGAGGCTCGATGTCAGATTCAGAAGAATTAAGGCAGAGCTATGCTCTTTGAGGAGAAACACATACAAGAAGTTCAAATTTTGTCCCCAAGTCTTCTTAAAGTTCAAGAAAATCTCTTCCCACTGAATTTAAATTAAGGCCTTATTTCCATGACATTTGATAATCCTTTATTGAGTATATCCTATGCACTGTGGGCACTTCTGTCCTCAACACTGGAGATGTTGCGAGTGAGAAGACACAATGCCTGCATTCAAAGAGCTTATGATCCACTCAAGAAGTCAGACAAGAGATAAACAATCTTAGCACAGGGTGTTACATGATCTGGAGAAGTAAGCCCAGGGTGCTGTGGGAGACAGAAGGGGAATCTGGGTGCAGCTGGAGGAAGCCTTCTGCCTAAAGATGGCTGATCAGCTCCTTCTGGGTAAAGAGGGTGGTCAGTTCTGTGTGGTTAACTTCTCTCTCTCCTTCCTGACAGAGAGGAGGCAGAGACCTGGGGGAAAGAGAATTGATTACAATCAGTGATTGTAATGGAAGAAAATTCTGCAAAAAAAACCCATGGTGATGTAGAAAGGGGAGAACTGCCTTCAGACAAGATGTTTTTAACGAATCTATGGAAGAAAAAAAGGTGGATGGAGGAGCAGTGCTGGGGAAGCAGGATGAAGCTGAAGCTTCCCAGACGGCCAGAAGGTGGGTGGAGAGAGAGGGAAGGAGGGGAGGCTAAGACTGAGAAGAGAGGCTCAGAAAGGCTCTGACGCTGGAACTCAAGCCTAGCAGAATTGAGAGCTGGAGTAGGATAGGCCAGAGAACACAAGAGGAGTCATTGAAAACCTTTGAGAAAAACTCTCGATGGGACCACCCACCCATGCCAGTGTATTCAGCAGTTAAGTGTCCATCTCCAAAATAAATCAGGTGTCCTTCAAAGCACTGAGTGGCCCCAGAGAGCAGACCTGCACCTTCTGGCACTTAGAAGTCCTTCTGAGTAGAGCAGGCTTTCTACTCCATCACCCTAATGCCATGGTTCTCCGCAGTGAGTGATTTTGCCCCCCCAGGACATTTGGGAGTGAGTAGAGAAGACATTTTTGGTTGTCTGTGAGGACAACAAACTTGGGGAAGGTGCTACTGGCACGTGGAGGGTAGAGGCCAGAGGTGCTGCGAAACATACTACACCGTGGAGGAGAGACTCAGACAACAAAGAATTATTTAGCCTCAAATGTCAATAATAAGAAACTCTAACATAAAGTTCTCCAGTTTACAAACCCCACCCCCACAAACTCCAAACAGTACTCCACAGCCATTTCAGCATTGTCACGTTTCAGTCATCAAGGATCTACTTAACCAAGTGCCTGGCCCCGCTGGATGCTGTAAGACGGGGGTCCCTAACCCCCAGGGCCACGGACTGGTATCTGTTAGGAACCGGGCTGCACAGCAGGAGGTGAGTGTGGGCCAGCCAGCATCACCACCTGAGCTCCGCCTCCTGTCAGATCAGCGGCAGCATTAGGCTCTCATAGGAGCATGAACCACACTGTGAACTGCGCATGCGAGGGATCTCGGTGGCTAAGATTCTGAACCATTCTACAGCGTAACACTGATGCTGTAGATTAATGGCAGGCTCTTTATGAGAATCTAATGCCTGGAAATCTGTCACTGTCTCCTACCACCCCTAGATGGGACCTTCTAGTTGCAGGAAAACAAGCCAGGGGCTCCCACTGATTCTACATTACAGTGAGTTATATAATTATTTCATTACATATTACAATGTGATAACAACAGAAATAAAGCACACGATAAATGTAATGGGCTTGAATCATCCCGAAACCATCCCCACACCCCGCTGGTCCATGGAAAAATTGCCTTCCATGAAACCGGTCCCTGGTGCCAAAAAGGTTGGAGACCACTACTGTAAGAGATGCTTTACGGCAGATCCATGACATGGTCACTGGGGACATGGAAAGAGAAAGGGTGTTTCCGTGTTGCTTTGAAAAACTCTGAGGCAATGCAACCAAAATTTTAAAAAGAAGAAAAAGAAAGCGTCTGAATTAGGAAAGAGCAAACAGCTTCGGTACATGCTACTGGGAAAAACGGCTTTTCAGGGTTGACCGCAGTACCTATCGATGGCCAGCAGAGGGCAGATGGGGCAAAAGAGCAGGAGAAAGGGAATTTCTGCCCTTCAGGGAGGCAATTCCAGTAAGAATACATGATTGTAAGTCAAGAGTCAACTGGAATTAAAAGCAGGAAATAGAGAAGGCAGTAGCTCACTGACTCCAAGACAATGCAGGTTTCACACAGTTGGGAGTCGAGGCCACAGAAGAACTAGGGAACCCAGGGCACCAAGGCTGAGGGGTAAGGGGCCAGAGTGGGCATGGGGCTTGGGTGGGAGAGCCCGATCCATTGCCAGGTGCTGTGCTCACCATACACAGGGGGAATAGGCCTCTGAAACACCTTCAGTGTTTGCCTCTGCCTCCTCTCAGCCTCCGCTTTGCTTTTTATAGGCCCAGTGCCTGGTATGACAATCAGAGGAAGCTGAAAAGCCTACCTGCAGGCCATGCAATGATGTGGGTGGATTTGGAAGAGGTGGATTCTGCTGGTGGGAAAGATGAAACCTGGCTTTGGTTGGTAGCAGGCTATTCTATATGTGAGTTTCTGCCCAACAGTTCCATGGTCGCCCTGCAAACCCAGCATCACACTGTAGTGTGTTTTGATCGCATAAACCTCCTTGAAAAGTCATTCTATAAGCACTTCTTGTTTTGTAAAAATAAAGTGTATTAGGGTTCTCTAGAGGGACAGAACTAATAGGATAGATGTATATATAAAGGAAAGTTTATTAAGGAGAATTGACTTACATGATCACAAGGTAAAGTCCCACAATAGGCCATCTGCAAGCTGAGGAGCAAAGAAGCCAATTTGAGTCCCAAAACCTCAAAGGTAGGGAAGCTGACAGTGCAGCCTTCAGTCTGTGGCCGAAGGCCTGAGAGTCCCTGGCAAACCACTGGTGTAAGTCCAAGAGTCCAAAAGCTGAAGAACTTGAGTTTGATGTTTGAGAGCAGGAAGCATCCAGCACGGGAGAAAGAAGATGGGCGGAAAACTCAGCAAGTCTGCTTCATTCTAGCCATGCTGGCAGCTGATTAGATGGTGCCCACCCACATTGAGGGTGGGTCTGTCTCTCCTAGTCCACCGACTCAAACGTTAATCTCCTTTGGCAACACCCTCACAGACACACCCAGGAACAATACTTTGCATCCTTCAATCCAATCAAGTTGACACTTAATATTAACCATCAAAGAAGAGTTAAGACATCTCTAGGGGAGTTTTCAGGGAATACCTGGAAATATTCTGGTGTCCAATAAAGGTAAAATTCTCATCAGAATCAACACACAGGGTATCTTCCCAAGCTCATTTTTATCATCACTGATGATAGTTACTCATTCTCCAAGTTTATTTCATGAATGTTTAGAATCAAGTCTAAACATCTCAGAAATCTCATTTATTAATAATGTATATCTAGCCGAGTGAGCAATGAGGAAAAGGTTTAATGTCCAAGATTTGGGGCTGGAGATAATATAACCTCTACCATGCTTACAGAATATAAAATGCTGGCCTAGTCTAGAAACCCAATCAAATGGCAACACAAAATGCAGACTACAAGTGTGGAATATTCTGATTTATTTGCTGTTTTAAAAAACCCTTTTTGCCTGATACCTATCAAAACCAAAAATAATCCTCTCACACAAGATAAGCGGGGATAGGAACTACACATTATTTAGGAGCTGGGCATTGTTGTAAGTACTTATTTGTTCTGGCATTTAATCCTCAGAACAGCCAACTGAATTAGTATTATTATGCCATTTTATAGATGAAGAAACCAATGTTCTAAGACATCACTGTAATAATCGAACAAGTTTTGTTGTTGTTGTTGTTGTTTTTAAGTGTCTTCTGTATCAGGAACTGAGCCATATTCTGGAGAAAAACAGAAACAATGACAGTGTCTCCCCCGTCTGCGGGATGTAGATATGTACACTGACAATTACATACTACAAATACTGTAATGGAAGTGGGAACACCTGGAATCTGCCTGGGTCAGGGACAATTTCATAGCGAGGTGACTCCAGCTGATTCCTAAAAGAATAGAGATTTTCCACTTTTCCCGTCTACTTGATGCTGTGATCTTATACTGTTGCAAAGTGATATCTCCAATTTCCATGGAAACTCCCTGCAGGCTAATTAGAATCCAGTTTATAAATTTAAAATAGGTAGAGTTTGATATTCTCTGATGCACACCGGTGTCTACTTCCTGCTGGCAGAGTTCTGTGGCCTTTTTGGGGATCCTTGGGATGGGACAAGGCTGATAAAATAACTTACCAGCTGGAGGTCACCACTCTTATCTAGCAATGGCATTCAATTGCTAGATAAGACACAAGTTGATAAGACTCAATTGACCCATGTGGCCCACCTGAAACGCCACATGGGGCAATTGAACCACCCGTCTCTTCCACCTGCCCTAAACTGCTACTACTTTTGGGGCTAAAGTGCCCTCTGCCCTTCACTGGTGGTTCTCAGAGCAGCTCTGGCCAGCTCGCCAGTGGCCCTGCCTGAGAATCCTCAGTGGAGTTCCATGTCTAGAGGAAGTCAAGGAAAAGAGGCCCACATTAGTGGAGAATTGCGCTCGTCTGTGATTGGTGGAGCCTCTCTAAGATTTTTCCAGCGTCAATATTCCCTTTCAAACATCATTAAAGCTAAAAGGAAAAGTCAGCACTAGATGTGAGGAAGCAGATTGGAGTCCTGTGTGTTATATGGCGACAACTGCCTCCATCGCAGGGCTGACTCACCGTCGTGTTATTGACCGGAAGAATATTTATTATCACAGGTCAAAGAATGAAGCATACTTCTCTCATTTCACTCAATTAATTTGTATAAAATGTTAGTTCATAATATGTGCTGTAATTTTCTTTAAAAACTTTTTTTTAAGTCAAGCTTTGTCAGCTATAAGAAGTGATGGACAGCAGCTAGGTGCTTAAGGCAGCCTGTGGGTTCTGGCTCAAAAGAAATAAGAAAAAGCCAAGACCCCCTTGACTTGCCTGGAGACCTTACAGAATATTAACATGGAGGGTTCATAACAGGCAATATAGTTCATTTTAATTAGGATCCCACAACCCTAGAAATTAAGTTACAGAAGATCTATTAGGTCATCTGGCCTATCGCTTTCCCTATCCCCTGTGCAATGCAGGATTGTTCCCTGGGGTCTGCTCACAAATGCATGGTTCAGTCTACATTTAAATGACTGCAACTATGAGGCTTACGTCATCCCCCTTGGGGATGACTATTACGTAGTCTAATGGATTTCACCATGATTATTTTTCCCTCCAGAGATTCTGCCCAAATTTCTCTTTGCTTGAATTTGTCTCATTTTTCCTCATTATATACCTTCAGGTTCAGAAAAATCACAAAAATGACAGTGAGAATGACCAAGTCTCTATTTCTTACTCTTTAGCAATAAAGATGGAAGTCGCCCCAGTGGGCTTTCTCAGTTTCACATTTTGTAGGTAAGCTGGAACACTGCTAACCCTTCTTACTCTTAGAAGACACTCACCATTCCTCTTAAAGGAATCCACAAAAATCACCAGCGTGGGGGCAGGTTTGAGTTTCAGTGGTGGTGGTCCATTTGACACGATTCACTCCTCCCTGCCTTGTCTGATCAACCATGTAACCAATGATATATTTGCCAAGATTTGTGATGCTCTCTGTGTCAGCAGAACAGAGGAAATCATTCTGGCTTTTGGGGGATGGTACCTATGACTTTACAATCATTGGCACCATTTAAGCTACCAGCCAAGCCACCCACTCCCTATTACATTTCTCAATGACACTCAAGGAATCTTACAACTTCAAGTTGACTAGGCGAAGAGATTTGGATCTTCTTTATGTCATCAATTTCACATATGTGCATACACGTGTACAGAGAGAAGCAGCAGCACCAGGAGAAGGAAACAAAGGAGAAATAGCAGCAGGGCTGCAAAAGAAAACACATCCCACATTCACAATCCCCTATTTATAAAGGATAATTGAGTCCCATGCATGGTGAGACTGTGACTCATTAGAACTCCTTAATTAAAGAGGAAAGCCTCCCTGGTGATTTTATTTCCTTGGGTTTGTTTTTGGTTGTTATTGCTAAGTATGAGAAAGACAGCAATGCCCTGCTTGGAGAGAGGATCATTCTTCTGAGCAGGACACGAAGCTGGAAAATGAATTCACTAATGAATTCAGAGCACAGCCAGGGCTGAATTGCAACTCCTTGCTATCCCACTAGCAATCGTCCCTAAGCACAATTACCCTGAATCATTACACTGGATGGCAACTCAGGCTGAGTGAGATGGTTGGAAAGGAAAGTGTGATTTAATGACAGAAAGGGCACAGCGTACATGTGGCCACACCTCTATTTCCAAGGACAGGTCCATTCATTCTTTTATTCTTTCCGTCTACTCTTCTGGGGCCAGGCACTGTGCTAAGTACTAGGAATAGTTGTCCAGGGCTGTTGAAAGAGGGTGGCAGGCCATACATCAAAACTTTAACAGCATATAGTTATAATTTCATCTTTCTTTGTATTGGAAGTAAAGGACAATTTAGAATCTTTTAAAATGGATTACAAAATTCTGTAAATACGTACAGCGTGAGAGAAAATAACATAATTAAACACTTGTCTGCCCACCATCTAACTTTATTGAATCTTAACATTTTGACATATTTGCTTTAGATTTTGTAAAATAATAAAACACTATAAAGTAATTGAAGCCTCCTACGTGCTCCTCCTCTAAGCCACCCTACAGGTAACCATCATGTTAAATTTCATGTTTACCATTCCTATTCATGCTTTATACTACTCTTCACATATGTGTCTTATGTGTGAATCCATAAATAACAAATAGGCTGTTTTATATGCTTTCAAACTTTATACAAAAGGTGTCCTATTGTACCTATTTTTCTGTAATTTGGTTTTTTAAAATTCATTATTTTTGAGATTTACCCATGTTAATGATACATGTAATCCTAGTTCATTCATTTCAGTTCTTACACAAAATTTCATTATACTTATATGGCTATAGCACAGCTTATTTATCTACTGTTGATGGTCAGTTCGTTTCCTCTTATTTTGTTCTATTGCTAATAATGCTGTAGTCAACATTCTTCTATACACCTTCTCTGCAGATGTGACAGAGTTTCATGAGATTATATGCCCAGAGGTGGAGCCTCTAGCTCAAAGTGATTATAACTAAGTTCAAAGTAATGTGGAAGAATTCTCACCTATCTAGACTCTTGCTTATACTTTTCAATTCTCAGTTAACTTGATGAGTGAGCAATGGTGTCTTATTGTGGTTGTAGTTGTAGTTTATTAGTTACTGGGGACCTTGAGCATCTTTTCATGTATTTATTGACAATTAACAACTATTAAACATTAACCTATGTTTTGCCAGCTTCTTTTTTTTCATTATTGAGTTGCTCTTTTTAAAATCCAGGTTCTAGGACTTTATCAAATATTTGTATTTCTTATCCTTTCTCCTGGTCTTGGGCTTACCTTTAATTTTTGTTTATGGTATCTTTCATTAAAAGGAAATTTTAAACATAACTTTCATGCAATCAGATTTGTCACAATTTTCCTTTATGGTTTTTGTTTTTTGTGTGTTATCTAAGGACTCTTTTCCTAGCCCTTAAGTCCAAGATGCTTTCCTATATTTTTTTCTAAAGTATATTTTTGCTTTTCACATAGTGTATTAATTTTGATACACCTGGATTTGATTTTGTGTGTGTGTATAATGTGTTTCAATTCTTCTCCATATGGATAACCAAGTCTATTTGTCTATTTTTCTATTCCTACATTGGTACCATCTGCCTTGATTGCTGAAACTCTGTGATGGTTAACTTTATGAATCACCTTGACTGGGCTAAGGGATGGCCAGATAGGTGGTAAAACATTATTTCGGAGTGTGCCTGGGAAGGTTTTCTGAAGAGATTAACATTTAAATCAGTAGACCAAGTAAACAAGATTGTCCTCATCAATGTCAGGGGGCCTCATCCAATCTGTTGAGGGTCTGAATAGACCAAAAACACAGAGGAGGACAAATTTTCTCTGCTGAGCTGGCACCTCCATCTTCTCCTGCCCTTGGACATCTGCACTCCCAGGTCTCAGGCCTTCAGATTTGGACTGGAACTACACCACCAGCTTTCCTGGGCCCCCAGCTTGTGGGCAGTAGATTATGGGACTTCTCAGCCTTCATAACCCCATAAGCCAATTCCTCATAATAAATCCCTTTCCATATATCTTGATATATCTTCTTGGTTCTGTTTCTCTGGAGAACCCTAATACAAACACTATAAAAAGTCTTGATGCCTGGTGAGGTAAGTCTCCACTTTGTTCTTTTCCAACACTGCCTTTGTCCATTGCTCTTCCATATAAAATTTTAGATCAGCTTGTCTAATGCCATGAGGAAATCAATACACTAGACTCAAAACCCTAGACATTTAAGCTGGGTCATCTTTGCTCCGACTGTGAGGACTGTACTGAGGCACTAGAGAAATGCAGGCATACATTAAGTGCTTTATAAACAGTGACTCATTTAAACCTCACAACAATGCTATGAGGTAGGTACTAGTTTTTATTCCCCTTGTTCTGGTTGAAGGAACTGGGGATTGATGGACTCAGGTAATTTGGCCAAGATCTCAGGATTAAGAGGCATAGCCAGAGCGCAAAGGCTTAAATCCATTCTAATCATATGCCAGCACTTACCTGGACATCCAAAACCTTAAAAATATATTTTGTTCTTACTGACAAGGCAAGCAATTTAAAGTCATTATCCTCTTCATTATACCAAAGAAGAAACTAAAACACAGACAAGGTACACGCTTTGTCTAATACCCTATACAATGTTCACTGCAGAATAGAACTTACGTCCCTTGACCTTCCCTGTATGAAAACTCCTTCTTCCACTCCCACCCCGACAACTGCCCACTAGCTCTTGCTCCTATGCCCGTCCAGGCCAGGCACCTGGAATACACAACCACGAGGCTGCAGTGACATCCTGGTCTCACTGAACACTCCATGGCACTGAGCAAGTGAAAACCAATTCTAAAGATGAAGTGGCTTCTTCAGCTTGTGGCTTCTGGGAAGCTTCCTTTTGAAGAATTAGTAGTGGTACGGGAGTATAGATCAACACACCAGAGAGCTCTCCTACCTATGACAATATTTACCTAACGTCAGGACATGAGCATTTTCTAGGAAATGTGTGGAAAAGGCTGTAAATGCTGGCAACAATGAGGGCAAATCTGCAGGAGCAGATTACATGGAATGTAATTAGATAAGAAAACATTGGTTAGGGGCTGTCAAGGGAGCCAGAGAAAAGCATGTTATAAACAGATACCCATCGGCCCAGACTGGTGGTTGGAGGACAGATACTGTCATTAGCAGCTTTCAGTATAAATCTTAACTGGGCCACCAATGTGTTCAGTGACTTTGAGCAAGTCATTCCAGACAGCCTGGATGTTTCAGTTCTTGTACCTGTGATAGAAGGCCCCCAGAGGGCTTCACTAAGGGAAAGGAATTGCTCTGGTCTGGAAGAAAGAGCGCAAGCCTGTTAGTGGGCTCTTGCCCTGCTAGGGATAGGGGGAAACCTCATTTTTCTGCAGGCTGGGGGTGAGGAACTGAGGGGGGTCAGTGGGAAATGGTCACAAAATAAGGTACATTTACTGTGGACTTCTTCAAGGGCAGCTTATGTGCTGAGAGCTTGATATTTTCCTGCTTTTCTCTTTACTCTCTTGTATTGCAAAACAGCTATGGCAAATCATGTAATTTCTCCATGTCAGTCCTTCATGTCTAAGGTAGGAATGGCTAGCATAAAATGGGGTAACAGACATGAAGGCTAATGCGAGGTACTGTTATGTCAGCACCCCTAAAGCCATTAGAGGAAAGTGAGGATGGGAGGTCGGATTAGACGAGGGTTCCCGAGTGGTCGTGGCTCCTCCTGCACAGCTACAGGGACTGGAGAAATATAGCAAGAGAGGCCAGGCGCGGTGGCTCACGCCTGTAATCCCAGCACTTTGGGGGGCCGAGGTGGGAGGATCACGAGGTCAGAAGATCGAGACCATCCTGGCTAACATGGTGAAACCCCGTCTCTACTAAAAATACAAAAACTTAGCCGGGCGTGGTGGCGGGCACCTGTAGTCCCAGCTACTCGGGAGGCTGAGGCAGGAGAATGGCGTGAACCCGGGAGGAGGAGCTTGCAGTGAGCCGAGATCGCACCACTGCACTCCAGTCTGGGCAACAGAGTGAGACTCCGTCTCAAAAAAAAAAAAAAAAAAAAAAATATATATATATATATATATACACACACATATATATATACACACATATATATACATATATATATACATATATATATATACACACATATATATATATATATATATATATCAAGAGAGCCCTGTGCCTCAGAGGAATTGCAGTGCTGGCCAGAGGCTCCAGGAAGGAGCCCGGCCCAGCCCCGCCCTCTGGACTGAGAATGTTTCACACTGGTTTTGATATTAATGAAGTAATTATTGTGCAAGTTTATGCACCTGTGCCTTATTCTCAGCTTCTCTGCATTCCTTCTCCAAGCCATGTGGTTCCCTATGCCTTTACCTTCCTCTAGCAGGAGGGGACGTACGAGAGGGGATCCTTTCCCTCAAAGACTTTTCTCACTAGTGGTGGGGATCACACCCACACATACACATGCGTAAAATCTAACCATACAAGCCAGAGTGAGATGTCTGATAGGCGGCGCAAACCAAGTGCTCTGGGCCTGAGGAGGGGAGGGGGGCAGGGGCAGCACCTGTGGAAGGAAGGGCCTTTAAGCCTCGAAGAATGAGAATTCAGAGCGGAAAGTGGGAGACACAGACCAAAGAAACAACCAGAACACAGAGTTCGTAAAGAAGAGAGGTAAGAATAGAAATAAGTTAGAAGGGGCTGGGCACGGTGGCTCACGCCTGTAATCCCAGCACTTTGGGAGGCCGAAGCAGGTGGATCACGAGGTCAGGAGATCGAGACCATCCTGGCTAACATGGTGAAACCCTGTCTCTACTAAAAATACAAAAAATTAGCTGGGCGTGGTGGCATGTGCCTGTAATCCCAGCTACTCGGGAGGCTGAGGCAGGAGAATCACTTCAACCAAGGAGGCAGAGGTTGCAAGCAGCCGAGATCGCACCACTGCACTCCAGCCTGGGCGACAGAGTGAGAATGCATCTCAAAAAAAAAAAAAGAAAAGAAAAGAAAAGAAAAAAGTTAGAAGGGAGTTGCTTCCATGATGGATTAATGACTCTGGTTTTATGAGATTGGTTGTAAGGAGTCATTGCAAAATCTTAGGGAAGGGAAGTCACACAATTATAGTATGTTTGCTGAGGGACTGAGGAAGAGAGAAAGCCATCACCTCCTCTACCCTCCATCAGGGGAGACTGTCAAATAAACAGAAGCTTTAAAATATATACTTTGTAGGAGACTAGGGCGAAAAAGGAATACGGCTGTGGAAGGACTCCTAGTGTGTCTGAAGCTACTCTGTGGTGGGAGGCTGGTGTGGAGCCAACTGGGAGGAGGGAAATGAGAACTGGGGGAAACACGGGGGAGACTCAACCTCATAGACCCAAGGAGGCCAACTAGGGAAGGGAAGATGGGCCTGAAAGTGAAAGGCCAGACTTAAGTCCTAGCTCTGCCCTTTCCCAGCAGGGAGGCCTCAGGCAAGTCCTGAAAGCTGTGGGAGGTTTTGCTTCCTCATTCCTAAGATGGCAGTCATGGTCCCTGCTTCAAAAGCTGCTGAGGTAAAAATAAATGAGGTCACGTGCATGAAATCCCTTGACAAATGCCAAGTTATCTGGGAAATAGTAGAAGCGGTGTTTTAATTATTTTTGCCATGCGGGTGGGGCAAGGGGATGAGGTGGGACATGCTTGCTGAGCACACTTGACATGCAGGGCAGCCCAGCCTTGGTCCATCTTGCATTAAGTTTGCAAAGCTTCTTGGGATAGGGTGACTAGAAATGCCGTGGCAGGAGGGTGTGTGGGGTCAGAGCCCCTTCCACAGGGAGCTCCCTCCCTTGTGAGTAGGAGATAGGCGATGCCAATGAAGGGGAAGAGAAGTGGAGAGCTAGGTGATAGTTGCTTGGTGGCAGGGAGGGCTTTGAGGAACCCCTTGTCGTCATGTTCCACCCCTGAGAAAAATTTACTGCAGGTCTTGAAACCTTAACATTAGGGAGGTTGCAAAAATTACAAGCCAAAGCTGGGGGCAATAATTTGGTGCCTCTAGGTGAGGGTTTCTTGGCAAACTGGATAACATCTGGCCTCACAGCTTCTACCCCAAAAGGTTCTTCTGAGCTCTTCTCCACCCCTAGGAAGTTTCTCCATGACCTGGTGGTCTCTAGCTTTCTTCATTCTGCATCAGTAGACTCTCTTTAAACACACACACACACACACACACACAGAAAGTTTTAAGTCAATGGAAAAGATGTCTACTCTCCAATGGAGCCCCATCATAAGCCTACGTTCTCTTTTTCTCTTCTTTCTTTCTTTCTTTCTTTTTTTAATAGGGTCTCACTCCATCACCCAGGCTAGAGTGCACTGGTGCCATCATGGCTTACTGCAGCCTTGACCTCTTGGCATAAGCCTACTTTCAAAAAAGGAGTTTGAGTTCAGCAGAGAACACAGGAAATGAAAATGATAAATGTATAGTGGGGTTCCAAAGCAAAGACCGTTCCACATAGCTTGCCTGCCCTCAGATACTGAGCAACTGACATGGCATCCCCAAATTCTGGAGGATTCCATTGTGTATTTGCAGCAGCAGCAGATTTCTAACCAGTGACCCAGCTTTTGCCCCACATCAACATCTCCTAAAAGGGGATGTATCAGCTAGCAGGCACTTAGTTTAGGTAATTCTCCTTCAAAGCTGTCTGATTGTTTATGGGACATTGAGGTGGAGATGCCTTTTAGATGGATAAAAATTCCTTTGAAGCCCAAAAGGATGACCTGAAGTTGTATCAGACTAGAGAGTCCAAAATTAGTGAATGATGCCGAAGTATAAAAATCCCAACTCTGGGAGTTTAACTTTGTATACCATAAATGTTCTCTAATATGAACATAGTTCATAATTTGTATATAGATAATACTAATATGCATACTAGTATTATCCATGTGCAAATTAAACCTTTTTCTTACTTAGGAATAAACTACCTTTGGGAGGCTGAGGCAGGAGGATCACTTGAAGCCAGGAGTTCAAGACCAGCCCAGGCAACAAAGGGAGACCCCACCTTCACAAAAAGTTTAAAAATTAGCTGAGTATGGTGGCTTGCACCTGTAGTCCCAGCTATTCAGGAGGCTGAGGTGGGAGGATTGCTTGACCCCAGGAGGTCGAGGCTACAGTGAGCTACAATGGCACCACTTCACTCCAGCCTGGGTGACAGAGCAAGACCTTGTCTCTAACAAAGAAAAGAATAACTAGCATGCCTACCACAAAATGGTTAATCAAGGATTGAAAGGGGCTGATGAACATTGACATTACAAACTGAAAAATGTAAATTAAAGCAATGCCAGAGGCCAAAGGATGTAAAAGGTAAACATGAAAGTAGATATTGAGGTTAATTAGATTTGACTGCTTCCAAGAAACCAGCACATGCCTCATGATAACTGATAGCATTAGACTGGAAATCTGTGTATTAGCAAAATTGCTCATAAGGCCTGGTTTGGCCCCCTTTTGAGTAAGGCAGTGGACAGATTACTGGTGGTCAGGAGACTCCGTGATAAACTGACTGCCTCTCAGTTCTGCCCTTAACTAGCTGGCAAATCCCCTCCGGCCCTGACCCGTTTGCCACCTCATCTGCCTTTGCATCTGTCAGATGGTGATAGTCATGCCTAACCTGCCTCCTAATGGAGAAAGTGAGAAAGAGATGCCGTTTTTTACGAAACTAGCAAAAACTAGAAATCACTAGTAATCACGTAAGGCTGACAGAGCATTTTCAATCAAGGTCATTTGATCCTCACAATAAGGTAGTGGGTAAAACCCTATCAGATGCCAGACTCCCTTTGTATAACAATATCTATATTCTCTGCTCACTGTTAGAAATGAAATTGACAGATACTACAACTTCAATATACACAAGAAGTTTTTTTAAAAAAAGATAATTATCTTTAATAAAAGGAACGTCATTCAATATTTTATAACATGGTCATAAGTGTGGATTCAGGAATCCAACTCAGTTATTTTACTGCCAATGCCATGATTTTTTCAGAATCCTGGAAGTTATATTTTTAAATTGAAGGAAATTAAAATTAATATTCAGGAATTTCCTAATGCTACCTAATTTTTTCTTCTCAGAAAATAGAAAAATGCTGCTTTAAAAAAAAAAACCTCAGTATTCTTTTCTATAAAGACTAGTCTTGCTGTATTGGTCAGCTTTACTGTGGTAATGAATAACCTCCAATTCTCTGTGGCTTACAGCAACATTTGCTATTCACTCATGTTACTGAAAGCTGTGGGTTGGCTGAAGCACTGCTCCAGACTGTGGCTCAGCTCCAAGCTGTAAATCAGCTACTAGCTCCATGTGTCCTTTTCCTTCTGGGATCCAGGCTGAAGGATCATAGGGTGTGCTATTCCCACAGCAGAATGTGAAAGCGCCAGAGAGGTGGCGACAACTTATGATGCCTCTTAAAAACTTCTGCTTGAATGATCTGCACATGGTCACATGGCAAAGGTCAGAGACATGCAATCCTCTTAGAGGGAAGGGGGGGTGCACAATTGCAAAGTACACAGCAATCTACCACAGCTGACCTCAGATTCATTTTGGTGCTACAGGCAGTCTTGCTAATAGACCTGAGTTGGCACATAGAAAAACTTGTTTGCCATCTTTCTTGAGATCAGGGGTTGCAAATTCAACCACTAATGGGAAATGGTAAGAACCATGGTTAAGAGGCCATACTTCATTTGAAGGACTAGCCACTGTCATCCCCAGTAAGGGGTACAATGTGCAGATGAAAGCCCAAGTCTTCAGATCGCTGAAGAGAAGTCAGAAAATCTTATGTTTAAAGGAAGAAATAAGGCTGGGCGCAGTGGCTCACCCCTGTAACCCCAGCACTTTGGGAGGCTGAGGCTTGAGGTCAGGAGTTCGAGACCAGCCTGGCCAACATGGTGAAACACCATCTCTACTGAAAATACAAAAATTAGCCGGGCCTGGTGGTGCACGCCTGTAATCCCAGCTACTCAGAAGGCTGAGACATGAGAATCACTTGAACCTGGGAGGCAGAGGTTGCAGTGAGCTGAGAACACACCACTGCACTCCAGCCTGGGCAACAGAGTGAAACTCTGTCTCAAAATAATAATAATAATAATAAACAAAAAAGAAGAAATTACATTCAGTGAAAGTAGAACTTGAGGAGAAATGCATGAAAACAAAGAGAAAAGGTCATTTATACTAATAAAAGGAATAATTAATCTAGGTAGTAAAACAGTTTTTACTATATTTGCATGCAAAATAGCACGTCAAATATAAAAAAAAACAGGTTTAGGTAAAACCTTCTGATTTTAAAATTTTTGCAACTCTTTTCACTAAGAAACAACAACAACAAATTTGGACCACAACTTAAAAGTTTTTATCTTCTGCTTTAGGGAAACACTTGAGATATGGCACACTGGGCAGTGGCATAACTGTCGTAAGAAGGGAATGAACAGATTTTTTTTCTCAGGTGTTTCCACGACTCAGAGAGTCAGTGCTCACCTGGCCCAGAGCCCCCAGACTCCATTAATTGACTCAGGACTCAGTCCTGGGCCCACTCATGGCCTCTAGTTTTCCTTTCCTAGGCTTGGCTCTCTGAGCTGTGCCATCTCCTAAGAGAAGCCTTTCAGGCTGATTGACTTAAAACTTAGAGCTCAGATGGCAAAAGAAGAGGGAAATAATAGGGAAAGAGATTGCCCTCATTTGCCTCTTTAAATTTTAATATGCAGTGTGATTTGTTAACATGGAGGAGGTCCCGAGGTACTGAGGGGCATCAATAATTCAGCAGAGGCTGTCAGGCTGCAAATAGCCCCACGGTGCCCAGCTGAGGCTCCTGTTTGTGACATGGGCTACTCTTTTGAGCTCTAAGAGAAAGAGTCAGGTTTCCATTACCCAGCCCATTTCAGACCTGTCTTTCCTCTGCTCCCAATTCCTAACAGAACTGGAAACCATGTAGGGATTGTAGAGGCTAGCAATCCACAATGCTCAGCTGATTAAAGGTTAAATACCAAAGTTCCCAGAGGAAAACGGTGCTCAGGAGCTTCTGCCTCGGTAGGATCTTGAGTGTTACTGCCTCCTCCCTATCAGGTGCACCTAATGCCCAGGATTTAATAAAGGATCGTTCCCTTCCACCACCATCCCCAAACAAATGTCACTTCTTTCTGTTTGCCAGATCTTGTTTCTGTCCTTCACAAACTCAAAACTCACCTGAACCTATTTACTTACTTTCCAGGATGATGCTGCCCTTAATGCTCAGCTGATTACAGACTAAACACAAAAGTTCCCAGAGGAAAATGGTGGACTTGGGAGCTGCTGCCTCAGGAGGATCTTGAGTGTTAGTGGTTCCTCCCTATCAGATGTACCTAATGCCCAGGATTTAATAAAGGATCATTCCCATTCCACCACCATCTCCAAACAAATGTTACTTCTTTCTGTTTGCCAGATCTTGTTTCTGTCCTTCTTCACGACCAAACTCAAAACTCACTGAACCTTACTTTCCCGGATGCTGCAGCCCTCAGCTATGGGCAGAGGGTCACAGTGGTGGAGCCTGACTAAAATTTGGTCAAGGAGAGACTCTTTGTCACCACTATCCTCTTCCAAGGTAGTCCTTGACTTTTGGACTTCTGTGTCCTTTCTTGCATCATCCAGTTTCAGCAAGAATTTTGTCAGGTTGGTTTGGCCAGGATTTCCCACCCTCAATATCTGATCATCCTCAATATCTGACCAAATTCTTCACCACTCCCATCATCCCCAGGTTATATCTGATTACCAAGGCTTGCCTGCCCCTAACAAGAATCCTGTTAGGACAGTTTAGCAAAGTATCACCCTACCCTCTTAGTTATTCTCCATCTACTGACAGCCTCCACCCCCTTGACTCTAAATTCCCCCTTTTTCTTATGTTCAGAGTTGAACCCAATCTGTCTCCCCTACTGCTAAACCCCACTGTGGTAGTCCCTACACCTGTTACGTTTGTCTTGAGTAAAATCTGCCTTACTGTCTTAACAAATGTCACGAACATTTTTTCCTTTAACAACAGGATCCAGATAAGATATTGGAACTCTTAGGGCTTGAATCACCTAAATCCATACCTCCTCCCTCCAAGGTTTATGACCTTGGGCAAGTTTCTGGTCATTGAACTTCAGTGTTCTTATCTTTAAAACAGGGATAAAAACAATACCTACCTCATTTAAGGATCAAATAAGAGAGCACCTGTAAATGTATTAAGATTATTATTATTAAAGCTTTCTGAATTGATTTCCAGTTCTGTCCTCTCCAATTACCTGTTGCCATTTTAGGCCAGATGCCCCATTCGTAGGACTGTGCATCTTGATGCCACATCACCAATGCTGTTACTGTCTTTAACCACGAGGAATACAAATAGATGAAATTAATATCAACCAAATGTTACTGGGGGTTGCCTTGAGCCTTTGTCCTAGGAAAGTGGGTGATAACCAAACTCACAGTGTCAACACACTCAGCTTTCTTTGGAAGATCTGCCAAAGAATCCATGTCAGCACCAAAAGGAAAATGGCAGCATGCAGATGGCAGTCATTTCCCATTGCCGTTGCTGTGCACAGGCAGAGCTTTGGACCTGCAGAGCTTCTTCACATATCAGCACAGGCCAAATAACCGGGAGAGAGGAGGAGAGGAGCAAAGTCAACGCAGTGGGTTCTGCTTAATGCACCACATCAACTGGGACAGATTTCATAAAACATTAGCAGTTGAAGCTATTAGCCAGCAGTGGGTCTGGGAAATGGCATTCAATATTTTTTCCATTTCTAAGTGAAACAGAGAGCTGAGGAAACAATACTGTGATGAGAAAAGGTTTGCTCCTGACAAAGGGCATGTTTTCTCTCCAGTACTGTTCAGCCACTCACTTGGGAACAGAAAATAGAAGCAGAGCTGAGGATGAGTGTGGAGTGGGGGGAAGAAGCACTTGTCCCTTAGAGCAAGGTGAAAATTACAGTGAGTCTATTGTTTGAATAATTTTCTCTTCTTTATTGTAATTTCGTTTGTCTAATTTAGTGCTTCAGTAAAGTATGAAGTCCCCATATCAGCTTGATAAGTGCTGATATGAAGAATAAAGGGATGGAGAAATATTGGAGAGTTTTCTTTCTCCCCATTCACATCTTCACTGGCTCCTTGGCTGAGGCAGCAGACACTTGTCCTCAAGTGCAGTGAGGGTAGTGAATGGCTGGGAGATAGCTGGTGGCCAATTGCAGAGTGGCAGTTAGAACTCTCAGGAAAGACTAAAATAAGCCCTGGTCTTTGCTAACATATATCATGGGAATGTAATCAAAAAGAATAAGAGGTTGGGAGGAGGAAAGGGGAGGGCAGATGAGCTGATGCTTAGGTTATACATTCACAGCCATATAAAGAAAACCAAAATATGAAAGACAAAGTAAGTACAATTTGAATACACAATGATTTTCTACTTTAAATATAGTGACCATTTCTTCTTCCTGGAAAGTCTTCTGTATTCAGAACTATCTCCACTCACCTGTCACAGTGCTTACAATTCCACTAAGAAGTGGAATTTTTTTAGTTTACAAAAAACTTCCACGTGGAACAATGCTACATATTGTTTTTGATTCACAACAAATATGAGTGATGGGAAACACGGGCACAAATCTCCCAAAGCTATCCAACGTGTCTGTCTCCTCCCCACTGCTTCATTTGTGTTGGCCATCTCCTTCCCAGGCCAGTACAACAGCCTCCTTGCTGGCCTCCCTGCCTCTGACTGTGCCCTCTTTTATCCTCTTCACAGAAATGCCAAAGTGATCTTTACTAAAGGCTAGTCCACATCTCACTCCCATGCTTCAAACTTTAAAGGCATCCTAATGTCCTCAGGAAAAAGGCCAAACAGAATGAAAGGCACTGCAATAGTCCCCGCCTACCTTTCCAGATTCATAACACACCAACATCATCACCCCTATTGGATGAACTTGTTGTAGTTCCTCTCTCTTGCCCCCAAGTCTCTGTTCCTGTAACTCCCTCTGACCAATGGGCCCTTCTTATTCCCCTATCTCACCTGGACAACTCCTATAAAACCTCATGGTCTGGATGTGGGGTTCCATGGGGTTTCATGGGATTCTGCGCAAACCTCCATCACAGCATATTCCATTCTCATGGTTATTGTTATGGCTGTTTAATTGTCCATATCTCCCATTAGACTGTATATTCCTTGAATATTGTGTTCATTTGTCTCTATAACATCTAGACATGGCATAAAGTGGATTCAAAGTAAATAATTTTTGCATGAATAAATTTGATAAGGAAGCTAATCATTTTGATAAGAAAACTAATGATCAAAGGAGTGTTGGGCTTACCCAAGGTCACTCAAGCTATTTATGACTCAGCTCAGGCTGGCATCTGCAGCATTTCTAGTTAAGACATTAGCTTTCTCTTCCTAACCAAGACACAAAACTCTAGTTATGAAGTTTGTCTGTGTAACAAAAGATCCATAATTGGAGTTAATAGAGATGTGATTGGTTGAAAGAAAATATTTGCAACATATATATCAGGCAAAGGACTGAGAGCCATACTATCTAAAGAGCATCTGTAAGTCAATAACAAAGATCACCAAACTTGCATAAAAATAAGGAAAGATAAACATCCAATTTGTAAATAGGGAAGTAAACACTAAAATGATCCCCAACTTCAGCAACAAAGTAATAATAATTTTTCACCCATTAATTTACTAAGAAAGATTGATAAAATCCAGAGCTGGTGAAGATAAGGGAAAATGACCTTTTTTTTTTTTTTTTTTTTTTACACTGGTGATAGAACTGTAAACTGAAAAACCTTCTCATGTGTGTGTGAAAGCCATAGCCATTTTCATTACTCATCATGTTTTTAAAATATGCATTCTCCAATTCCCAGTATGTTAGTTTCTGTGACTGCTATAACAAATGATTACCAATTTAGTGGTTTAAAACAATACAAGTATATTGTCTTATAGTTCTGTAGTTCAGAAGAATGAAATGAGTCTCCTTGAGCTAAAATCAAGGTGTTGGCAGGGTTATGTTCCTTTCTGGAGTCTCTAGGGGAGAACCTGTTTCCTTGTCCTTTCCAGCATCTACAGGCTGCACACATTTTTTGGCTCATGGCCCCTTCTTCCATCTTCAAAGCCAGCAACACCAGGCCTACTCCTTTGCACTCTTCCATCTTCCTGGTTCTGTCTTTTCATTCCCTTTTCTACCTTTAAGGATGTTTATGATTACACTGGGCCCACTTGGATAATTCAGGATAGTTTCCCTATTGTAAGGTCAGCTGAATAGGAGACTCCATCCCATCTGCAATGTTAATTTCCCTTTGCCATGCAACCTACCATACCCACAGGTCCCAGGGATTATGATGTAAACATTTTGGGGGAGGGGCATTACACTACCTATTACACCCAGCAATTCCAGCTGTAGGAATATATTCTACAGAAATAGACACACGTACCCAAAACGTGTGTCCAAATATTTTTTATTGCAGTAGTGTTCCTAATAGAAAAGAAAATAAAAAGAAAGAAAAAAGAAAAGAAATAAAAAAGCTATTCATTAAAAGTGGAATAATTACATAACCTTGTGTGAGGGTTGATTTTATGTATCAACATGAATAGGTCAAAGGGTGTCCAGATATTTCGTCAAATATTATTCTGAGTGTTTCTGTGAGGCTATTACTTGATGAGATTAAAATTACACAGGTAGAATGAGTAAAACCAATTGTTTTCCATAATGTCAGTGGGCCTCATTCAATTAGTTGAAGGTCTGAATAGAGCAAAGCGTCTGACCCTTTCCTGAGTAAGAGAGAATTTTTTTCTGCATGATAGCCTTCAAACTGGGACATAAGCTCTCTTCCTGCCTTCAAACTCAAATGGAAACATTGGCTCTTCCTGGTTCCAAGTCTGCTGTCCTTCACACTGGAACTGCACCCACTGGCTCTCCTACCATTGAGTTTCTAGCTTGCAACTCACTCTGCGGCTCTTGGGACTTGCCAGTCTCCATAACTGCTAAGTCATTTCCTTATAGTAAATCTCTCTCTCTCTCTCTCTCTCTCTCTCTATATATATATATATCCTATCTTTCCTGTGTCTCTGAAGAATCATGAATAATACATCCTATTTTTTTAAAAGATGCAGCCATAAGAAACAAGAAGGCAGAGCTTTCTTGTTTCTTGTAGAATGTAGAAAAATTAATGTGGAAGGATCTTCATGGGATGGAATTATATGAAAAAGGAAAATGTATAGTACGATCAATTTTGTATAAAATTAAAAGGGACATTTATAAATATACACACATCTCTATAAATAAGTGTATAGAAAAGGGACTGAAGGCTGCATATTGAACTTATAACTGATTATCTCAGAGGCTGAGAGGACGGGGCTTGATGTTGAAAGGGCTTTTCAAGTATACTTTAATTGTTTGGATCTCTTACAATAAGAAAGTATATATGTGATATAGTTTGGATCTGTGTCCCCACCCAAATCTCATGTCAAATTGTAATCCCCAATGTTGGAGGTGGGGCCTGGTGGGAGGGATTGAATCATGGGGGCGGAACCTTCTTGAATGATTTGGCATCATCCACTTGGTGCTATTCTTGCAATAGTGAGTTCTCATGAGATCTGGTTGTTTAAAAGTCTGTAGCACCTCCCTCTCTCTTGCTCCTGCTCCTGCCATGTAAGACATTATCTGCTCTGACTTCACCTTTTGCCATGATTGTAAGTTTCCTGAGGCCTCCCCAGAAGCTGAGCAGATGCCAGAATCGTGATTCCTGTACAGTCTGCAGAAACATAAGCCAATCAAACTTTCTTTCTTTATAAATTACCCAATCTCAGGTATTTCTTTATGGCAATGTGAGAATGGACTAATACAGTATTAAGTATTTGTGTAATTTTTAAAAAACTAAAGTAATCAAAAAACTCAAATAAAAAATCTATTCATCTGTGTGCAGGAGAATTTTTCTAATTAACTAAATTTAAAAGAAACTGGTTTCAAATTTAGTTAATTTTCTAATTAACTAAATTTAAAAGAAACATTCAAAGCATGTCAACATATTATTAATTTATAATAAGAAAGTTTCTTTCTATTGACTGGAATGCCCATGTCCACTACCAAGGGAATATTTTTGTAATAAAAAATATGTAAGAAACCAAACTAGTGCACAGAAGGGGCTTGTTAAGTATGAAATCAGAGCACAGGATGTCAGCTGTCCTTGAGGGGTGTTTTATTGCAGCTAAGGTTTTAACTCCAGTGAATTATCCAATTGACCCAAACACTTGGGCCCCTAGAAACAGCCTCTCATTCTGAGAATAGCTGCCTTTCTCTGCCCTGAAGAGTCATTTGAGAATTACTGTGAACTCACACTCTCCCACTGTCATTTTGTGACTCTACATTAGATCCACATTTCCTATTTGCACAAAGCACTGTACCATGCCCATTCTCTTCTTTAACAGATTCTATCAGACCATCTTCTATCTTTTCTGGTGTTTTTAGTTTCCTAGCAGTGTACAGAAAATCAATTGCGCCCCCTGAGTAGGCACCAGTATACATAGACTAGTAGGGTAACCTCGAAGGCATTTTCTGCTAAACAACTAAGTCCATTCATGGTTGGGCTTTTTCTTAAGCCTTCCTAACTTTGTGCCTAAATCTATGATGTTCAACTTACTTTGGGGAACTGAATTCCTATTGACTATACTGAATTATCTTCCTGGCTGAGTGACTTTGGGTAATGCAATTACTTTTTGCTCTGTCTGTTTCTTTTTATCTACAATAAGGAGGTCAGTGCAGTAAGATAGGAATAACACTCCATTTCTGCCACCTCACAGGACTATTGAGAGATTGAAACAAGGAAACATTTATCCATTCAGTAAATGTTTGCTGAGGTCCTTTACTCTGCCCATCTCCATGGTTCTGGGGATACAAAAATGAATAAGACATAGTCTTTCATGACTGTGTCATGAATAATTCAGTCAGTCTTATAGGAAAGATATACAAACAATCGCAACACAAAATAATAAATGCTAACATAGGGTGTTCTTCTGGAGGAGGGATTGAGAAAGGTTTGGGGAGTCAACTCTTGAGCACAATCTTGGAGAAAGAGCAGAGAAGAGGACAAGGTGGAGAAAGGCATTCAAGACCAAAGGAACAGAATGTGAAAAGGCGTGGATACAGGGAGAGGATTGCAAGAGTTTAATTGGATGTAGAATGTGGTGGATTCAAGATAGCCTTAAATTATTTGACACTTCCCCTCAAGAGCTGGGGTCTGTATTATTCCTCTTTGAGTCTGAATGGGCTCTGTGACTACATGGCCAATAGAATACAGCAGAAGTAATGCTGTGCCAGTTTTCAGACCCAGGCCTTAAGAGACCTATATATTCCACTTTCTGTCTCTTGAAACACTTATTCTTGGAACCCAGCCACCATGCCGTGAGAAAGCCCAAAGAGCCCCATGAAGAGGCCCCAGTGAAGAGGAGCTGAGATCCCCTGGCCAAATACCCTGGGTGAACTCCCCACTGACAACCAGCACCATCTTGCCAGCTATGTGAGTGAGCTGTCTTGAAAATGGGTCCTCGGTCAAGATATCCCAACTGACATCATGTGGAGTAAAAATGAGGTTGTCCAAATGACACATTCATGAACAAAATAAACGGTGGTTGTTGTTTTTTAAGTCGCTAAGTTTTGCCTCAATAATAAGCAGTAAATAGATAACTGAAACATGGAGATAAGAAAGAGGAGAGGGGCCAGGAAAAGTGCTCATGCCTGGAATCCCAGCATTTTGGGAAGCTGGGGAGGGAGACTGGCTTGAGCCCAGGAGTTCGAAGCTGCAGTGAGCTATGATTTCACCACTGCACTCCAGCCTGGGTGACAGAGTGAGACCCTGTCTCTAAAAAAATAAATAAATAAAAATAAAAAAATAAATAGAAAGAGGAGAGAATCAAGGATGACTCCCAACCAGTTTTGATAATATGATGGAGCTTCTTTTCTGAAATATTTATATATGTTTCTAATTAACTACCTTTAAAAGAAACTGGTTTCAAAGCTGCAATGTCAACATATGAATTTATAATAAGAAAGCTTCCTTTTTAAAATCTTTTCTGAAAGATTTATAGATGTGAATGGAGGATGGGAAGGGATCATAGGGTAGTAATAATAAATTCAGTTTGGGACCTATGGAGGTTGAAGGGCAATTGGCTATCCTGGTATAGACAGATGGTGTAGTTGAACCTATAGATCTGAAGCTGGAGAAAGAGAGATTTACAAATGACTATTGGTGGAGGGAGAATGCATGATCATGAATACAAACATCTATGGGGAATATATGCAGCGAGTGAGAAGAGGGCTGAAGGGTAGCAACCACAGCTAAGGGGTATGCAGAAGAAAAGTCTATGATGAAGCCTAAAAAGAAGAGGGAGTAGGGAAGTGGGGCAGAGTTAACTCCTTCTGCTCCTATAAGCAGTGCTTCTAATCCCAAAGGAGAGGCTGCATGGAGCAACTCAGGTTCGTTGCTTGACACTAGGCCTTGGCAACAAGGAGCCTCCATGTCAGGCAAGCCCTGGCTCTTTGTGCCCCGCTTTACTGCTTACAGAGCAAAATAAGCTGAGGCTAGAGCTGGGAGTGTTACAACCAGCCAGCCAACCACATGAAGTCTTTCACTCTTCTTTCTAGCTATTCAACCTTTGCTTACATGAGTGACAGGGCTTCTCTGTGTTCAGGAGCCTAGGGAGTCAGCCCTGACTGTGCCTCTGGGAAAACGACAATGAACCAAGATGTGAATTGGTGTTCTGCCTCTGGGCTAAACATGAAAATAAGCCTCTTTTCCATTTTGTGTGAAGCTTTTCTTCTCCAAGCTGCACACCTAAACAGATGGGAAAGCAATGGTTTGTTGATGCAGTGAAGCAGTAACTCTAGGAAAGAGTGGATGAATATTTCATGGCCACCAGTAGCAGCTAATAAATCATGAGGTGCAGCAGACGAGGAGGTCGTTCATTCCACATTGGGCTGTGGTTGCTCAGCTCTGCTCAAGTGGAACCTCCTTTTCTGGCATGTCCATTTTGTCCTGAGTACTGCAGGGAAGCTTGCATGCCATTTCTATGGGGCTTGATTTCTCAACTCAGTATATACAGAGGAAGGCTACTCTTCTGTTTTTTAGCTATGGCCAAAGAGATGAAGAGATAATATAGGGGAATTCAGAGAAAACTAACTTAGGAATCAGCAGATTTGGCTTCTGGCTCCAGCTCTGCTGATGGCTATGTGGCATTCGACAATGTACTTAACTTCTCTGAATAATAGTTTCCTATCTCAAAAGTAAAGGAATGAATGGATTTGTTTTCCTGAAGTGTCCTATCTTACCATTCTATGAATCAATGGATTCATAGAAAGGACAGTCAATGACTCATGATGTTGAATCATCTGTTTCATAAGTAGTTATTGATAAAAGTTTCTGTGCCATGTGTTTTATTCCTAGGGAGCATTGACAACCCTTTTCCATGTCTAGGGACAGGGATGCACTTATGTCTAGTATTTAGGAAAGAAAAAAAGCAAAGCAAAACATAGGCCTACTCAATAGTTTTGGAACAAGCACAGACATAATAAGCACCATTTTGCCAGACTCAATATTTGGCATCTATTTATTTATCTATTCATAATTTAAAACTTTATATCCAAAATTCCAAAAGGAATTTTAGCTGATTATACTTGTAATGAAAATGGCAACAGTTGGTTACATAAACAGAAGTTTCGGCATTATTAAAATGATCAATTTTAATAGTAAAAATATACTATCACTATTGAATGCTTGCTCTGTGCTAAGCACTATACTGGGTATTTATAAACATTATTCTATTCTTCATTATTCACAAAATAGATATAATACACACTGATTAAAAAATTAGGGCTGGGCTCAGTGGCTCATGCCTGTAATCCCAGTGCTTTGGGAGGCCCAAGGAGGAGGATCGCTTGAGGCCAGCAGTTCCAGACCATCCTGGGCAGCATAGCAAGACCCTGTCTCTAAAGAAATTTTTTTAAGTTAGCTAAGAGTGGTGGCATGCACCCATAGTCCTAGCTACTTGGGAGGTAAGAGAATTGCTTGAGCCCAGGAGTTCAAGGCTGCAGTGATCTGTGATTGTGCGACTGCACCCCAGCCTGGGCAATAGGTTCTTTAAACTGGTTGTAACATCTTACTTGTTCCCTAATTTATTAAATAAAGAAACACAATATTTGACAGACGTTCATTTTCTATTTGTATGACAGTCCTGATTTTACCTTTTTTTTTTTTAGAAAAAAAATCCTTTAACAATCTATTATGCATACATATTCAGAGAGAGAGAGAAAAAAAAAACACAACGCAGGAAATAAGGTAAGGCCAGGGCATCCTCGCCAGCCTTTTCCAGCCCTCTCCTATGATGTGGTGGGGCTGGCTTGTTGCTAACTAAGCCGATTGCCATCAGTGGCTTGGCCGCTCTGCTCTTTGGGCGGCCTTTTGTCTAATGACTGCTCCTATGCCTCTCACTGCTGCAGCTGCTTCCCAGAATCAGCAAGCATTGCCTTCTACTCTGCAGGGTCTTTCCATGGCCCCCTAGAGCCCTGCTCTCTCCAACATCACTAACAAGAATAGTAGAGACTAAAGGACAGAACTAGCCAGTTCTCTGGGCTATCCCTCTTCTTTTCTCTAATTGCCTTTCGGATTCAAAGATAATGGCACCCCACATGGTGAGCACGGAACTGTGGACCATCACAATGAAATCCCCACGACAGTGTTTCTCATATTGTGTGCCACAGAATACCGGTGTTCTGTGAATAACCTGCAGGTGTGCTGTGAGTACATGGAAAACTACTTTCAAGTCTTACAATAAATAATCATTTTATCATAATCATGAAAAATACTAAAGAAATTTTATTTCCTTACCTTTCAAGATCAAATGATTTTGCTTTGTTTTTATCATATATTACTTTGGGGGTTTTTGTTGTCCTAACAAAATAGTTTTTAGAGAAATATTTTATAAGTCTGTGCATAAAATGTCATCAGTTTATGTTTTGTGACATCAAAACTTTAAGAAATTCTTTTTACAGCCCAGGAGATGCCTCACCAAGTAATTCAGAAAGAAGGGAGAGTTGAGGACTTCTGAGGAGATGGAGATCCTGGCAGCACAAAATTTGGACATTGTTCTCTCCTCTAGGTTTGGAAGCCATAAAACATTCCTGCCCCCTCCTCTACCACAGGGCAAGCTAGAGAGGGAGATGCCATGTGCCAGTTAACAAGAGGCATAGCACAGACAAGTGCTTTAACAAGAGAAACATGATGCTCCAACCACATCTCCAAAGTGGTTGAACACAGTTGTTGAAGACACTATTTTCAAAGTCAGGGCTTTCAACAATTGTAAACAAACAGAAAGACAGAGTTATCTGCAGTTGGCATTAAAATCCTGAAACAGAGAATGACTATTCTGATGCAAACCAGCTTGGGAAACAGAAAATAATACACAAAAGGAACTGAATGTTAAATGATAATGATCTTTAAGAAGTTAGACTTATTCCTTTTCTCTGTGTACCTTGTGTACTTTCTCTATGATCTTCATTCACTCCCATAATATGAGCCACCTTCTCTGTGGAACTGAACCTCAGTTCCCATCTCCAGCCTCTGTTTGTTGCCTGAGATCCCAACCCTCATATGTTTGGATGTCTTGCAGACATTAATATTTTTACCTCATCCTCCCGTCTCACCCCAGAAATCAGCTTTTCCCCTTATATTCTTTGTCTTGAGGAATGTCACCATCATTGACTAAAAACACGGGGTCATTCTCACAGCCACATTCAATCTGTTGCTAAATCGAGTCTACCCATTATGTCTGCAACGTTTCCCTTTCTCTTTACCCTCACTTGCCATTATAGCAGATCAGAGCCTCATAATCTCTTTCTTGGTTCCTGAAAGCTCATTTTAACTGGCCTCCCTGCCTGCTATAAAACTGCGTTTAAGTTAGTTCTCACAATGGCAGACTGACCTCTGCACAGTGAATATTTGATACTCATATTCTCCCACTCAAAAATCCTGTGACTTTCTACCACCTTTAAGATTTATGAGCTGAGCCAAGTTTAGCAGTTCAACCTCACATTTTACTAAGCTCCCTTCCTACCACAGACTATATTCTAGTCATACCAAATTGCTTGCAGAAATATGACATAACCTCCATCAGGCCTGCAGCCCTCTGTTGTGCTACTTTCTCTGCCTCCCAAACCTCCTTATCCACTTAGCTAACTCCTTCCTCCAGGAAGCCTTCCTGGAACTTCCCAGTCAGCTCTAAATGCCCCTCTCATGCATTCTTGTGACTCTATGGCCCACCCTATCAAAGCCCTTCACATACTCTACCAGCATTGCCTTTATAGAGAGCAAGCATTTTAAAAAACTTATACTTCTTTTTTAAAAATTTTACTTTAAGTTCCAGGATCCATGTGCAGAATGTGCAGGTTTGTTACATAGGTATATGTGTGCCATGGTGGTCTGCTGCACCTATTGACCCATCTTCTAAGTTCCCTCCCTTCGTTCTTCATCCCTCAACAGGCCCTGGTGTGTGATGTTCCCCTCCCTGTGTCCATGTGTTCTCCTTGTTCACCTCCCACTTGTGAGTGAGAACATGCAGTGTTTGGTTTTCTGTTCCTGTGTTAGTTTCCTAAGGATGATGGCTTCCGGCTTCATCCACATCCCTGCAAAGGACATTATCTCATTCCTTTTTACAGGCTGCATAGTATTCCATGGTGTATATGTACCACATTTTCTTTATCCAGTCTATCATTGATGGGCATATGGGTTGGTTCCATGACTTTGCCATTGTAAATTGTGTTGCAATAAACATATGTGTGCATGTGTCTTTACAGCAGAATGATTTATATTCCTTTGGGTATATACCCAGTAATGGGATTGCTGGGTCAAATGGTATTTCTCATTCAAGATTCTTGAGGAATCACCATACTGTCTTCCAGAATGGTTGAACTAATTTACATTCCCACCAATAGTGTAAAAGTGTTCCTATTTCTTCACACCTTGCCAGCAACTATTTTTTTTGACTTTTTAATAATCACTATTCTTTTTTCTTTTTTCTTTTTGAGACGGAGTCTCACTCTGCTACCCAGGCTGGAGTGCAATGGTGTGATCTCGGCTCACAGCAAGCTCTGCCTCCTGGGTTCATGCCATTCTCCTGCCTCAGCCTCCCGAGTAGCTGGGACTACAGGCACCTGCCACCATGCCTGGCTAATTTTTTTTATTATTATTTTTTAGTAGAGACAGGGTTTCACCGTGTTAGCCAGCATGGTCTCGATCTCCTGACCTCGTGATCCACCCACCTCGGCCTCCCAAGGTGCTGGGATTACAGGCGTGAGCCACCACGCCCGGCCAATAATCACTATTCTGACTGGCATGAGATGGTATCTCACTGTGGTATTGATTTGCTTTTCTCTAATGACCAGTGATGTTGAGCTTTTTGTAGTATGTTTGTTGGCTGCATAAATGTCTTATTTTGAGAAGTGTCTGCTCAAACTTTTGCCCACTTTTTGATAGGATTCTTTTTTCTTGTAAATTTATGTGAGTTCCTTGTAGATTCTGGATATTAGACCTTTGTCAGATGTGTAGATTGCAAGAATTTTCTTCCATTCTGTAGAAAAACCTATACTTCTTTCTCCAGCATTTTCTAATATTAGATCTCTGTCCTTCCCTGCATTTAGGGCAAAAGGGCTATCTATACTCACTACCCTCTAGGATAGGGCCCTATTAAATAAAAAATCCAAAAAGCAGGAAATGAGTTAATATTAGCTTTTTGAATTTCCCCAGATAGACTCAACTTAGTCTAGAAGTTCCATTTGGTCCTGTGTCCCATCTCTTATCAGAGGATTTATTGTCTGATTCTGATTTGATGTCTAGCTGATCCTCCCTAGAGAATACTGCTGTATCTGCCAAAGGGAAATGGTATGAAAGGTATCTGGCAGAGGGTCCAAGGGAGGGAGCCAATAAGAGCATATTGTATTACTCTTTTTGTGTTTATGTGCTAATAAATGTGTGCCTGTGTGTGAGTTTGTTGCAGGATTTGGTCTGAGATTTGCTTTCCTTGTAATTTACTTCCTGGTAGTGAGTTTGTCAGTAAGGAGACCTAAAACCTTCCCCTTCCCTTAGTCATTGGAAATCACCATTATTCACTAAAAGAACCCAACAGTTGTAAATGATCAAGTTGGTTTAGGTCAGCTGGCAACACAGTACTTGATACAATGCACATGACTGATGCACTTTCCTAATAAGATTTCAGTATGCTGTAGATACAAATATAGAAACACACACATATATTGTGACCAAAAGTTCCGACATTTTTTCTCTACTTAATATCCTGACTCGTATTTTTTATAACACGGCTGGTCCTTGGATATGCCACCCATTGGAATGCCACAGCATTCTTCATTTGAATTACTTTCTTTGTTGGACTTTGTTTATCTTTGAATGCCCCCGAGTCTACTGCAATATCTCACCTGGAGGAGGCTGGCATCATCAAATGTTTGCTGGCTGAAATGTGATAAAACACACTCTTATAGCACCCTTTGGATGACAGCTAATGCCTACAAGAAAGAAAAGAAAAAAAGCAGTGTTGTCTTGAGGGGTAGGTCAGGTGCAATTGTAGATGGGGGCAAACAGCAGAGGCAGGCACCACACAAAGACAGAGAGACACACTTTGCTGTCTGGTTGTAGGCTGCTTTCTCATCACTGGGTGGGCAGCGTAAGAGGAGCATTGTCCAGCTTTGCTGGAAGAAGACCATCATGGGAAAAGGATGAATGTCTCAAGAGAGCATCTCTAAAAGTATTATGTTTGTCAAGCTGGTAGCCATGTCTGTCAATGAAACATGAGGTTGAAGCATTACTGTTCTGCTTGCCACAGATCAAAACTTGGGCATAAGGCAGGATGGCTTGTCATCACTGGCAGGTGCTGCCGAGGGGAAGCTGGGATGCAGCATGAGCTCTGAGAGAATGAATCTAGCTGCAGAGGCACAGAAGGGGGGTATGTGAGGTGCAGTTCAGTCACAGGTCACCAAAGGCCAGCTCCTGGTGGTAGGACATAGTTTTAGGTAAAGTCATTTGAGTTACAAACCTACCCAGACTGTCTTAAGGAAAGGAGGCAATTTAGGAAAAAACCATAGGCAGGAATTGCAACCATGATATGACAGAGGGCCAGGGCTGGCTGTTATATAAGCAGTTATTCTTCCCATTTATCCAGGGTCCCATGACAGCTCATCTGGGATTGCTGGTCTCTGCCCACAAGCTTCGCTATTTGCTCTCGGGCTTGCCTCCTCTCTTCAGATTGGCATTCCTACCTCAAACACTGTGGGAATGGCGGGACACAGACCATCATACCTGAAGGAGACATTAGAAAGCCAAAGGTGAGCCCTCACAAGGGAGGCTCAACTCAACCCAGGTCACTCTCTGGATCAATGATACCTCCAAGCCCCTCCCTAACCCCTACCCCTACCCCATTACTGTGACCAACAACAACACTGAGCACATCACTGGCCAGTCACTCTAGGGCAGCATTTCCCTGACTCATTTCTTAGAGGCATCTGAGGGTGCTTCTTAAAAGTACACATCCTCAGGCCCCACCACTGGATATTCTGGGATAGGCCCAGGAACTTCTATCTTTACTAAGCACCCTTCATGCCACTCTATAGTTGGGCAAGCTTGGAAACTACACTGGAAATTAAAGCATTAACGGTAGATCTCACATGTAAACAAACACACAAGGAGTAACCTAGGTGCTTATTACAATGTATATTCCTATCCCACCACCCTCCCACCCCCAACCCTGCCCCGGCCCAACCAAAGAAAGATTCTGCTTCAAAAGCCCTGGGCAGGACCTTAGGAATCTGCATTTTAACAAAGTGATAGAGTGGTCCATGAACTTCAATTTAAGAAACATTATTTTAGAGAGAAACCTCATTTAGTTTCAGAATCTCTATCTAGAGCCAGTGTGATCTGGGAGTAGCCCTTTTTCTTTTCATTTCTTTTTTTTTTTTTTTTCCTGAGACAAGAGCTTGCTCTGTTGTCCAAGCCAGAGTGCAGTGGCACAATCACAGCTCACTGCAGCCTCCATCTCCCTGGCTCAAGTGATTCTCCCACCTCAGCCTCCCAAGTAGCTGGGACTACAGGCGCATGCCACCATGCCCAGCTAATATTTTTATTTTTTGTAGAGATGGGGTCTCACTATGTTTCCCAGTCTGGTCTTAAACTCCTAGGCTCAAGCAATCCTCCCACCTTGGCCTCCCAAAGTGCTGAGATTACAGGCGTGAGCCACCATGCCTGGCAGAGCATCCCTTTTTCTACCCCATTCTGTGATGAGTGGTCCAGGGAAGGACTCATTGGTTTGTTCCCTGGGGCAGTCCCAGAGCCTTAGAACCAAAACTGCTAGGCAGGAGAGGCAAAGGGTAGAATGATTGAAGGAGGCGGGTCACAGCATTAAAGGTAGATCTCACATGTAAACAAACAAGGAAAGCGGCATTGACATCAAATGTGGGTAAACCAACCTTTACATATAAATACTCTAATAATAAGAAAAATAAGAATTTCTTCTTAATGTGTTGAGCTCTTACTATATGCTAAGTGCCTGAGGTATGTTATCTAATCCTTGCAAAAATTTTAACTTGTATTTTTGAGAAGGTAAGCAACTATTCAAACACATTAACAACTAAGTGGCAGAACCTGGTCTCAAACCTAGGTTTTGTCTGAAGTCAACACATGTGGCTTTAACCTCCATTGTGTACGTAGCTAGGAGCAGGGATTACTTCTGAAGTCAGATAAAAGAAATCCATAAATATAATGCTATATACACCAGGAACATTATTGACTAATAAAACGGATCCTAAATTTCATCACAAAATCCTTTTGTGGTAAAAATAATCCATCCTCATAACTTACCAATTTTATAAACTTGGACTTTCATAAATTGCATTTTATTAAAAGTACACACCTATATGCTCTAGGACGGCCCTAGAACTCCCCAAATGTGCAAATAATTGAAAGACACAGAAATGATGTAAAAGGAAACCAGCCAAGGATCTCAGACTAAACAATTTCCCATTCCCCTGGAAACGGTGCCTCTGAAATAAATCAGCCAGCTGTTCGCGCTGAAACAGCCCTGTGCTTTAGTCAGCATCGCGTTCTTGGAGACCGCATGTTGGCTCCTCCGCACAGCCAAGGCTGCATCAGTTCTCTGCAGAGGAGGCAGCTCGCTCCAAAGCCAGCAGAGCTCAGGGCTGTGTTCCCCACCCTCTCCCCTGATTCAGGCCTTACTAGCCAGGCCCGTTCCATGGAGAGCTCCATTGGGTGCCCCATGGGGAGCCTTGCTGCACGGGTTTATCCTGATTGGCAAGAAGAGGCAGGATCTGATCTCTAATCTGCAAACTCGCAATGTGTTGAGAACAAATAGCTATAATCAAAATGCCTCCTGTTGACTTCGCAAAACCTTGGAGGAGGCGTTTACAAGTTGCTAAACACACGTTTCCAAATCCTCATCTTCAAAGCAGTCCTTTAAGATACAAGTGTAGGGGACTGTAAGGGGAAATCAAAGAACAAAGTAGCAATCAAACAACAATGTGGTGGTTGGGAGGGGGGCAGGGCAGGAGAAATGAAAAATATAGATATGTCTCCAGCACCACTTCATGCCCTGCCTTCTCTCCTCACCATCCCTTTGGGGCAGTTCTTTGTCACATAAAGAGCCTTAGATCCCAGGAAAAGGTCCTTATCTTGCCTTTGGTCTAATCTAATAATAAGCACAGATAAACAAGGATTCTGAGAGATTAGATGCTCTCAGGAGTACTCAGTGTGTTTCCTTAAGGTCTTTGAAAATAGATAACAAGAATGATGACATATCCCCACGATAACCCCAAACCTCCCTACTGCCAGCATAATTGGCTCCTAAACAATCGAATTCTTGGATTCTTGCACTAATCACTTTATCAACAGCATTTATGGACTGCACTCTGTAAAGCCATCATTGAATTGAGCAGGAATCAGAAATACAAGACCTCATTGTTTAGAGGAAAAGATCCAGCTAATAATTGGGGGCAATGCCGGGCAGTAGGATTTGAGTGCTACCTTGAGAACTAGAGATATGGGCTGTGGGAATTTAAAAAAGGAAAAAGATTAAGGTGGACCAGGGTTATCAAGGAAGATTCATGGAAGAGGTAGGCTTTGAACTTACTAGGATCAGAGAGGAAGAGAAAATTGTGCTGAGGGCATTCTAGTAGAATTGGAGAGGGTGAAAGGCTTCTCTTCTTTCCACCTATCAAAATCGTTTCATGCCAGAGCTTAGATTTGGCTGCCCTTTCCATCTTCCACCATGAGGACTGTGATTAATGTCTGCAGATTTCTTTGAATCTTCGGAGAAAACAAGCCTGGTATATGCACAGCATAAGGCATCAGTGTGATTAAATTACATCAATTGCAATAGAAATATTATGGACTGAAATAAAAGATAGCATCCTATATTATAAACAGGGTGAAATTAGAAACACTACCAAATACCATTCACCCTTCTCTTTGCTTGGACACATTTAAAATGTAAGTTGAAGGGGAAATATTAGGTTGGTGCAAAAGTAATTGCAGTTTTGCCATTAAAAGTAATTGCAAGAACCACAATTACTTTTGCACCAATCTAATAATTAATTGGATGGATAAGAGCAAAAACTCCTTTATATGATCTCTGTATTCAACCAAACAGCTACATTTAAAGCAAATGCATAGGATTTCATTATAATTAAAGACACAGTGAACCTGCCATTTTGGGAACATTTTGAAACACTGAACATGTAGATGAAAAGATAGTTTGCATCATATTTGATTATGAAAAGGCAGCATCCTATGATGTTGGGTGAAAGCTTTTTTGAAAGCCTACACCTGCTTGCAAATAGAATTTTAACTGGCAATTTGGCATCTAGGTAGTGTGTTATGGCTTATAAAATAATCTTTTTTCTTTCATAAAGAACACAAGGCCACAATTAGTGCCAAGTCTGTTCCCCAGAATTGTTTGGCAGTGTTCCCAGATGTCCCAACAGCCTTGTAGCAGAAGCTTTCCAATCTATTTGCTAGGTGGTGATTTTATTTTTTTCTTTCCATTTAACAGATTGCAATATGTCCCACTCTTTCTGGTATCATTGATCAATAGTATTTTCAACTCTTTCTTAATGTCTTATTTTCCCAAACCTGAGGTCTTTCTAACATTGACTCTATTGTTCTCTTCAAGCCCACATGGTTCTATTATTTCCTTAAACAGACAAACTCTCGTGAATTCAGATTTAACTTAAAAGGTGTTCCCCAAACTGTCAAGTACCTCAAGATGTTAATAGGTAATTCCATATCTTATCCGATTCCATAAGATAAGGGTTTTGATGTCACATAAACATAGGAAATGCTGCAAAGCCTCTACAGTCTCCACTTAGGGATTTATAATACACATTAGCTGAGAAAAATATAAAGAAATCAAGCAGGAAATGTTTAATTCAAACTGTTTTGAATACAGAATCCTTCGTGCGTGTGTGCGTGTGTGTGTGTCTGTGTGTGTGTGTATGTGTGTGTGTTCTTCTTTCTATAAGATCCCTGGAATATGATAATAATCATAATAATGATAAGAACTAATATTTATAGCTATTTCTATTCTTTTCGTGATTATCCTAGAAATTTTAACATGCATAATTAGCATTTTAATATTAACGGCTTTACTCTCCTCTAAATCATATAAGAATCTTAAAGTGCTGTAATGCCAATAACTACCTACCCAAAGTTATATGTTACCCTTTCTTGATATTTAGCCTCACAAATTAGGCATTAATTTTACCATTGAAACAGTCAACACATGTATTCTCTTTTCATGTATTGCAAACCTTCCTTCTGACATCAAGTACCCTCATTAGAAGTTCCTTTTGTGAATGTACAACTAATAGTAAATCCTCTTGGATTTGTGTCTGAAGATGTCTTTATTTTGCCTATGTTTTTGAAAGATTATATTGCTGAATATAGGGTTCTAGGTTGAAAGTTACTTTCAGTACTTTGGAAGTTTATTTTCTGAGCTTCTGGTTTTAATCTGGCTGCTGAAAAGTCAGCTGTCAGTCATTACAGATGATTTTTGGGTTCTTTTATATTTTGTTTCTGTTGGGCTGCTTCTATTTTCTTCTCTGTGTTTTCATTGTTCTGAATTTGGCACTCAGTTGTGTGTTTCTTTTCACCTATGGTGAAACACTTTGGGAAACTTCCTTAAACCTTTTCCCATTTAGAAAAAAAAAAATGCAGTTCACTGCCAGAGCTCATTTAATTTTACATAAACACATTCTTTGAGGCTGAAGAAAATCTGACTGATTTTCAATGTGGAAATAAAATATAAAAATGGGTCTTGGAGTTATTTCTAAACAGAACTAACATCGGAATCATCTGAATCATCAGAACCATCTGAATCATCAGAATTGTCTATTTTGGAAAAATCAGATTCATCAAATGAATCTTCTGTCAACAACTGTTCGAGAGCAATGTTAACATTACACATAGGAATGCTACATTTTCTAGGATTTGACATTTTCAGCGATAAAGAATTACCATATTTTGTAAATGGAAATGTTAGTAGTGGCAAATCCATACTGGTCTGCCGCAATCTCAATTCTTGTCTCCTTGGAAGAAAGAATTTGACTAAGGGGCCTAAGGCAGAAAAAGATACTGAGGCAAGTTTCAGTGCAGGAGTGGAAGTTTATTTAAAGCTTTAGAGCAAGAAAGAAAGGAAAGTACACTTAGAAGAGACCCAAGTGGGCACTGTGAAGGTCAAGTGCCCCCTTTAACCTTGATCCTAGGACTGTATATGCTGGCCCATTTCCGGTATCTTGCACACCTTTCCCATGATTCTTCCCTTAGGGTGAGCTGACTGCATGCAGTGCCCTCCTTATGCTTGGGAGGTGAGCATGCACAGTGTGTTTAGGAAGTTGTATGCATGACCACCTGAAGCTTTCTTCTCTTTTCTAGTGGAATGGCCCCAGAAGGTCATACCCTTCCATTATATCTCTTATGTGCATGCTTGAGCTCACTTCCCCAGTTTTCTGAGATTTTATTAGAAGCTGATTACCAATTTCAAGTGTTTTTTTCTGTTTGGGAAATTGTCTCTCCCTGGTGCCTGTAATCAGTGATCACTTCAGTGTGACAACTGCGGACCATCAGTAAATTGCCTCTCCCTGGCACTGGCTGACAATTATCATTTTTAGAGAGGCAGTGTGACAACTGCCAAACCATCACTTGATGGTCACCTGACATTCCTGGTGGGTGTGGTGGGGGGAACCCTCTCCTGCCCCCTCATGCCTGGCCAGCTATCTACAGTAACAGAAATACCACTACTAAAAACAGAATGCTATAAATGGAATGATGTCTTTGGTTTCCAAAGTTGATATACTAGGGCGATGCAATAATAATAATAAAGACAAAATATTTTGTGGCAAAGTTATCTCTGGGTAAACGCTGCAACTGCAAGTGCTGCCAGCAAGTATTCTTGGGGCAAATGGGTAAGGGTTAATTTGTGATTTGGTGTTCTTAACCCCTTCTGGAAAACACTCAGTCATTAGGTCTTTCAATATTGCATCTCCCTCATCCTTATTATTTCTTCTTGGAACAAAGATTATATGTGTGTTGGATCTACTCATTCTGTCTTTCACATTTCTTAATCTTTTTTTCAAAGGTCCCTATTCTCTGTCTTTGTCCACATTATGTGTGAGTTCTTCAGCTTTGTCTTCAAACTCACTAATTGTTTCTTTAACTGAGTTTAATATAGTATTAAATCCATCCATCCAGATTCTGCTTTCAATTATAATTTTCACTTCTGGAGATTCTTTCCAGAGCTCATTTTCAAATTTATTTAATACATGGTATTTTAATGAACTTATACATATTTATTTTATGTTCTATATTTGGTATCTAATAATTTGAATAATGTGAGTCTTTGCACGTCTGATTCTGAGGTTTTCTATTTTTGCTGAGTCTCATTCATGGTTGTGTGTTTCCTATGTGTGCAGTAAGCATGTGTAAGGCATGGAACTTTAACTATGGTATTTCTCTGAGACTTGGTTGTAAAGTTTTCCCCTTCAGAAAGAATTTGTGTTTGTTTCTACCAGGCAGGGACACTTGCTCCACCAGATGTAATACTTATTGAGACTATGTGGTGTTGGCACACAGATAGACAAATAGAGCTCAGAAACAGATGTTTACATATATGGAAAGTTAATATATGACAGAGGTAGCACTGCAAACACTTGGCCAAAGATGGTCTATTTAACCAGTGATGCATGAAAAAGGCTTTTCCTTATGTGACTACACTAGGAAAGTGTATCCTAGCCATACCTGAGTTTCAATGAGGAGAGATTGTAAGATAACTAAATTGAAGAATAGTTATTTTTATATTAAGACCCATATACTGGCTTCAAGATAGGTATAAGCCCTGAGAGTATATGAAAAGATTACATTTGTATGCACAAAAAGTAGAAAAAATAGGAATGACAGATTCAATAATGTTTTAAACTGTTTTTTAGTCATTATAATTGGTGGTGGTTGTATTAATATTGCTTTTCTCTGATTGTTATGTGTATCATATGAGAGAATGTAAATGAATAATTATACAGCATTCTAACTGTATTTTCCCCTGTATCCTTCAGAACTGGGATTGTCAGTGTGAAAGAAAGAAAATGGAGATGTAGTATAGAAGAGGTTAAATAAAAATCCGATATTTCTGAATTTAATGAAAACACCAGAATAAATAGCACATACTCACAACATATTCTACCCAACTATATCTATCCATCCGTCCACTGAAAAGGCCAGAAGCCATGACCTATTCATTAAAATGTCTGTCCAAATATTACCCCATTTTTAATTCTTCTTTGCTATTGACTGAATTGAGAGTTTTAAAATATATATTCTGGATATATCTTTTGTAAGTAGCACTAAGCATATCTGTACTAAGATTGTGGTCTTCAAATGCCATTGCATATTCAAAGAAATCAACATTTCTTGAATATGTTGATTCTAGATATGAGGCAGCAAATGAAGAAGATGAATCTGAAACATCTTGATATACTACATACCAAGGAAACTATTAAGAAAACCACTAGAGTCCTGTGTAAAGGCTCAGAAGCTAACTCAATGAGGTTCACCTATTCTGTTCTGTTCTGTTCTGTTCCGTTCCGTTCCGCCCATTCCACTCTACTCTACTCTATTCTATTCCCATTTCTTATTGCCGAAGATAGAACAATTTGACTTTCAACAAAGATAAGAATTGCAATAAATTGGAACCCATTAAATATCTTTGAGTCCATGCATTTCTACAGACATTTAAAAAAACTAATTAGGGCCAGGTGTGATGGCTCACACCTGTAATCCCAGTGCTTTGGGGGGTTGAAGCCAGAGGATCACTTGAAGCCAGGAATTTGAGACCAGCCTGGGCAGCAAATTGAGACCCCCAACCATCTCTACAAAATTTTTTTAAAAGTCAGCCAGGTGTGGTGGTGTGCAACATGTAGTCCCAACTGCTTGGGAGGCTGAGGCCAGAGGATCCCTTGGGCCTAGGAGTTGGACATGCAGTGAGCTATGATTGTGCCACTGCACTCCAGCCTGGGCAACAGATAACTTATGTTTCTAAAAAAAAAACAACAACAACAACAACAACTAATTGTATGATAAACAACTAAAGCGTTACTATGGAAACAGATTAAATAAAAAGAAAGAATCATCAAATGCTTATCCTTGCTTTCCTTTAAGAACTGTACCACTGGAGGCACATATACACCATGGAATACTATGCAGCCATAAAAAAGGGTGAGTTCATGTCCTGTGTAGGGACATGGATGAAGCTGGAAACCATCATTCTCAGCAAACTATCGCAAGGACAGAAAACCAAACACCGCATGTTCTCACTCATAGGTGGGAATTGAACAATGAGAACACTTGGACACAGGAAGGGGAACATCACACACCGGAGCCTGTCATGGGGTGGGGGGATGGGGGAGGGATAGCATTAGGAGATACACCTAATGTAAATGATGAGTTAATGGGTGCAGCACACCAACATGGCGCATGTATACATATGGAACAAACCTGCACGTTGTGCATGTGTACCCTAGAACTTAAAGTATATATATAAAAAAAAGAACTGTACCACTGGAAAATCAAATAGTAGATGAGAAGGAGTATCTCTTTATGAAATTATTCCAACCAGCATAGTGACAGATTGGAAAATCATCATTTTGTTAACATCATCCAAGAGCAATAACTAGACATTACGTGCCCATCGGTGAAAAAAAAAATGCCACCATTTGAGTCCAAAGACATCAAATCTGAGTGTGATCAAGCTCTTGGATCCAGCTTCCAATTTGCAAGACATACATGTTCATGTTGAACTGCAACACGGATAGGCAATCAGCAAAATTCAGACTCAAAGCACATCTCAAGTTTAAAAAATGAAATATGCAGTATGTGCATTTTTGTGTCTTGCTTCTTTCACTCAGGATAATGTTTTTTGAGATGCACCTATGCTGCTGTATATATCAGTAGTTCATTTCTGCTTATTACTGAGTAGTATTCCATTGTATCAATATATCAGTTTGTTTATACAAACTCTTGATGGAAACTGGATTTTTTCCCCCAGATTTTGGCTATCATGAATAAAGTTGCCATGAAAATTTGTATACAAATTTTTGTGTGAAAATATGTTTTCATTTCTCTTAAGTAAATAGAATTTTTGGTTTGTGTGGTATGTATAACTTTCCAAGGAACTGCCAAACTCTTTTCTAAAGTGGTTGTATTATTTTGCTTTCCCGCCCGCAATATATGAGAATTCTAGTTGCTCCACATTTGCAACACTTGTCAGTATTTTAAGCTATTTTAGTCAGTTTGTAGTGGCATCACATTGTGGTTTTAATTTGAATGTCCCTGGTTATTATTATTATTATTATTTGAGATGGAGTCTCACTCTGTCGCCCAGGCTGGAGTGCAGTGGCATGATCTTGGCTCACTGGAACCTCTCCTCCCAGGTTCCACCGATTCTCCTGCCTCAGCCTCCTGAGTAGCTGGGATTACAGGCACCTGCCATTATGCCCAGCTAATTTTTGTATTTTTAGTAGAGACAGGGTTTCACAATATTAGCCAGGCTGGTCTTGAACTCCTGACTTCAGGTGATCCACCCGCCTCAGCCTCCCAAAGTGCTGGGATTACAGGCATAAGTCACCACGCCTGGCCTCCTGGTTATTATCGATCAAGCATTTTTCATGTGCTTATTGAGCATTCTTATATCATTTCTGTGTGTGTGAAATGTGTGTTCAAATATTTCCCTGTTTTAATACTGTTTTTCTCTATTGATTGAGTTGAGAGATTTAAAAATGTATTCTGGATATGTCTTTTGTCATGTATTGAAAAAATATTTTCTTCTTGTCTGTGGCTTGCTTTTCCGCTTTCTTAATGATATCGTTGAAAGAGCAGGAATTTTCAATTTTGAGAGAGCCTAATTTATCTTTTTTATTTTAAAGTTTATGCTTTTTTAAAAATTATGTAAGAAATCTTTGACTGTCTGAAGGCCATGAAGATTTCCCCCATACCTCCTTCTAAAAATTTTTTCCTTTTTATTTTTTTAATATCTGAAAGACCTATAGTGATATCTACTCTTTGTTACTGATGTTGATAACTCGTAATTTATCTTTTTCAATCCTTATCCATCTGGTTAGAGGTTTATTTTATTGAGTATTTGAGAGAACTAGCTTTTGTTCTCATTGATTTTGTCTAATGCTCTGTATGATTACAATGTTTTAAATTGATTGAGATTTGTTTTATAGCCCAACAAATACTTTATTTTAGTGAATGTTCCAAGTACACTGAAAAAGAATTTGTATTCTCTGGTTGTTAGGTGGAGTATCTCTAAGTGCCAATTAGGTCAAGTTGGTTGACAAAGTTGCTTATGACTTTAATATCCCTGGTTTTTTTTTAAATATACTTACTCCCTCAATTACTGAGAGAGAAATGTTGAAATCCCCATACATTTATGTGGATTTGTCTATTTCTTTTTCAGTTTGTTAACTTCTGCTTCGTGTATTTTAAAGCTCTATCTTTGGGTACATACACATTTAGGATTGTCATATCTTCATAATGAAATTATGCCTTTAATATTATAAAATACCCTACTTTATTCCTGATAATATTTTTGTTCTGAAGTCTATTTCAGCTTCCTTTTATTAGTTTTTGCATGGTATAACTTTTTCTATCATTCTACTTTTTAAAAACTAACAGCCTTATTGATATATAATTCACACATTATACAACTAACTCATTTAAAGTGTAAATTCAATGGTTTTTAGTATATTCGCAGTTGTGCAACCATCACCAAAACCAATTTTAAAACATTTTCTCATCTCAAAAAGAAGCCACATATCCTTTAGCTTCACACCTTATTTTCCCCACCCACAGCCCTGGCAGCCACTAATCTACTTTCTGTCTTTACGGATTTTTCTATACTGGACATTTCATAAATATAGAATAATATATAGCCTTTGTGTCTGGATACTTCAGCACAAGGGTTTTTCAAGGTTTATCAATGTTATTGCCTATATCAGTGTTTCATTCTTTTCATTGCCAGATAATATTCCATCATATGGATTTGCCCCATTTTACTTATCCATTCACTGGTTGATAAATATTTGGGTTGTTTCTACTTTAAGCCATTCATTATGAATAATGTTGTTATGAATATTCATGTAGAAATTTTTATGTGGACACATGTTCTCATTTCTTTTGGGTGTCAACCTAGGAATAGAATTTCCGGGTCATACACTAACTCCATGTTTAACATTTTGAGGAAGTGCCAAACTGTTTTTCAAAGAGGCTGATCCATTTTACATTCCCACCAGTGGTGTATGAAGGTTCCAATTTCTCCACATTATCACCAACATTGTTATTGTCTGCGCCTTTTCATTCCAGTCATTCTAGTGGATGTGAAGTGATATCTCATTGTAGTTTGGATTTGCATTTCCCTGATGGCTAATGATATTGAGCATAAATTAAATTCACAAATGACCATTATCTCTTAAAAGTGCTGTATAACAGACAACAAATCTTATCATCATCCAATGATAACATGCATTGCTCTGTTATTCATATTGATAACTTACATATCTATTTAAATCAATAAAGTATGTGAAGAAATGAGTATCATGTCTTTGGTACTCATTAACCAACAAGTAATTTTATTTAATATGCAACTGATAAAATACATGGTCAGTTTCCACCCTGCCATATCACTTCACGCAGCTCAGTGGCAGCAACAGCTGCTACTTCAGATATTCTGTAGCTCTAAGTGCTTGTCCTCTCCAAGAGCAAGAGTAGGACCAGGCCACTTCAAGTAGGAACATATGCCCCACCTCAGTTTGGGTTCCCTGTAATCAAAATCTGAGAAAAGATTTTCAGTACAAGTAGTTTCTTTGGGAGGCGAGTCCAAGAAGGACATTGAGGGAGTGGGAAAATAAGACATGAAAGAGAGTAAAGCCAATACATTGGGAGTTAATGAATAGGTTGCCATCATGGGTGACAGGGTTAATATTTCTGGGTACATTCTTAGAAAATGGATGAAAAACACCCCAGAACTGTCCCCCTGAGAGGACAAAAAGCTGAGTTACTTGTTCAGCAACTCCCATCTCTGTTGGTTGAGGGCTCCTCCTGCAGCATGGGCTCGCTGGCGCATTGGGCCTGCCCCACTCCTAAGAGCATATGGGAGCGTGGCCAAATTTAGGCCTATGTCCAGACAGTGTCCTCAGGCAGAGCCATAGGAGCCAATCAGGGTGTGTGGGAGCCATTGGTAGGTGACCTCTGGGGTAGTGGAGGTGATGTGTCACAGAGTGCAGTGTCAACAGAGTCCCCTTCTCCTTGGAAACTGGAACTCATGGAAATCTGCCTTTCCTTTTACCCAAATCAAGCCCACTCACATGAATATCAAAAAGGAGAAGTGTAATACAAGTCAGATGCTCAATAGTGGAAGCTTGACCCTACACAATTCAGTCAGTCATCCCTCAGTGTCCATGGGGGATTGGTTCCAGGACGCCCTCAGAAATACCAAAACCCATGGATGCTCAAGTCCCTTATACAACATGATGTAGCATTTGCATATAACCTGTACACATCTTCCCATATACTTTAAATCATCTCTATATTACTTTTTTTTTCGAGGCAGGGTCTTGCTCTGTTGCCCAGGCTGCAGTGTAGTCGCATGATCATAGCTCACTGTAGCTCCAGTCTCCAGGGCTCAAGTGACCCTCCCACCTCAGTATCTCTAGTAGCTGGTACCATAGGCATGCGCCACCACACCCGGCTAATTTTTTAATTATTTATAGAGACAAGGTCTCACTATGTTGCTCAGGCTGGTCTTGAACTCCTAGGCTCAAGTAACCCTCCCACCTCAGCCTCCCAAAATGCTAGGATTACAGGTGCCAGTCACTGTTCCTGGCCCATCTCTAGATTACTTATAGTACCTAATACAATGTAAATGCTACGTAAATAGTCGTTATGCTGTATTGTTTAGGGAATGATGACAAGATAAAAAGTCTATACACGTTCAGTACAGATGAAACCATCCTTTTTCTTCAGATATTTTCAATACACGGTTGAATCTGCCAATGCAGAACTCATGGATATGGAGGACCAACTGTACTGTGGGGTAAGGAGACAAAACAGTTACTAACAGTTGCTGAATGGGCAAAGGTTAAAAAAACAGTCTGTAAGCAAACCAAACATTCAGTCTCTTCAGCAAATTCATTCATTTAACTGTCTGTTCATCTGACATGAGGTCTGTGGTGCAGCTGGGTCTCCATGGCAGTCACACTCATGGCTATCATATTCATAATAGGAGTGGGTATATGTGGTGTGCTTTTTAAAAGGAAGACAGCCCTTAAGTTGGTTCCCAGAGAATAGCTGTGGCCACTGTACTCTCAGGTCTTCATGTTTTTCCTCAAGGGATGTGAAAAAAAAAAAAAAAAAGATTTCCCAAAACATACAGATGTCACAAGGACTCTAGTCAAGTCAACAGATAGTTACACAGCCGCAATTATCAACACATTTTAACGCCTGAAAAAGCCCTGACCAAACCAAAGAAATATGGTCATCCTTCTATCATTGATTTTAATTTATAAGTGAATCTTTAAAGAAACAGTTTTCAGGATAAATCAATATGAAGGTAGGGTTAGGGACCCCATGAAGAATAATTCCACAGATACATTCACCCTCACCATATTTAGGTCCTGAAGTTCTTTGACAGAAGAAATGTCTTTATTTCTGCAATAAAGTAAATTGCAGATTTTATTATTTTATTATTAAGGTAAATCCTAATAACAAGTAGTCCTGTGATAGGTTACACTCTGATTTAACTTTATCCATTCACGTATTTAACAGTGACAGGTGCTGTTTGAGATGCTGGGGATATTACAGTGAACAAAATAAACAAAGTTTCTGCTTTCATGTGGTTTAGAGTTAATATGGAGAGACCAACAATAAACAATTAAACATATAATAATCAAGTGGTTATAATTGCTACGGCTCACAACAAATCAAGAGAAAGGGGATCAGGAATGCAGAAGTGATATGTTGTCATTTATATTCAGTGGCTTCTTTTCTAATCATTTTGAGTGGCTTCTCTAATGATTTTTGAGCACAGTCCTAAAATAAGAGAAGATGCTAGCCATGCGTTTATCTGGGGAAGAGTGTTCCAGACTGAGAGATAGCACGTGCAAAGACCTTAAAGTAGTGACATGACTGATACACACAAAAGCAACAAGGAGACCAAGAGCAAGTGAATTAAGAGATACTGTACGAGAAGGAGATCAGAGGGATTGTTGGGTGAGGTTAGGAAACCTGCGAAGCATGTACAGCCTATGAACCATTGAGGGAATTCAGTTATTGACTGAGTGACATATGAGGCTATTGTAGGATTTTGACTTCATGGCTTCAAAATTTCACTCTATATGCTGCAGTGGGGCAGAGGTGGAAGAACAAACTGTTTTCAGCGCTGTCACAACAATCCAGGCAGGAAGGTTGAGGCTTGGACCAGACCACAGCAATTGTGAGATGGTGAGCAAAATATTAAGTTGTGGATCTGTGTTGATTGTAGAGCCATAGGATTTGTTTATGTAAATATGGAGATGAAGAGAGGAGTCAAGGATGACTCCAAGACTCCTCACCTAAGCACCTAGAAGGGCAGAGGTAGGCCTGGCGTGGTGGCTCACACCTGTAATCCCAGCACTTTGGGAGATCGAGGTGGGCGGATCACCTGAAGTCAGGAGTTTGAGACCAGCCTGGCCAACATGGTGAAACCCCATCTCTATTAAAAATACAAAAATTAGCCTGGCATCGTGGCAGGTGCCTGTAATCCCAGCTACTCGGGAGGCTGAGGCAGGAGAATCGCTTGAACCCAGGAGGCGGAGATTGCAGTGAGCCGAGATTGCACCACTGCACTCCAGTCTGGGTGACAGAGCGAGACTCTGTCTCAAAAAAAAAAAAAAAAAAGGAATGGCAGAGTTGCCATTTACTGATACAGGGAAAGGCTGTGGGAGAAGCAGGTTTGGTAAAGGAAATTACGTCTTTGGTTTTGGTCATAGTAAGTTTGAGATGTCTCAGACATTGCTGTGGTCTGAATATTCATGTATCCCCACAAAAAATCACATGTTGAAACTTCATCTCCAATGCAATGATATTAAGAGATGGAGGCTTTGGGAAGTGATTAGGTCATGAGAGCGCCACCTCATGAATTGGGATTAGTGCTCTTATAAAAGAGGCCTGAGGGAGCTTGTGCATTCCTTTTGCCATGTGGGACCCCAAGTCTCAGCATCACTCAATTTACCCAGTTGCCTCAGCATTACTCAGTGTAACAAAACTGTATGTGTACCCTTTAGTCTATAATAAAATTTGAAATTCTAAAAAACAAACAAAAAGAAAAAAACACTGCCTATGGGACAAGCAAGAGGAAGACATTAAACATTGGGTTTTGCACCAATATCACTTAGATGTTAGTGACCTTGATGAGTAAAGGATAAATGGCTGACATAAGATGTTTTCATGAAAACAGGTTTCTTTTTTTTTTTTTTTGAGACAGAGTCTCGCTCTGTTGCCCAGGCTGGAGTGCAGTGGCGAGATCTCGGCTCACTGCAAGCTCTGCCTCCTGGGTTCACGCCATTCTCTTGCCTCAGCCTCCCGAGTAGCTGGGACTACAGGCGCCCGCCACCACGCCTGGCTAATTTTTTGTATTTTTAGTAGAGACGGGGTTTCACCGTGTTAGCCAGGATGGTCTCGATCTCCTGACCTCGGCCTCCCAAAGTGCTGGGATCACAGGTGTGAGCCACTGTGCCCGGCCAGGTTTCTTTATAAATAAAGAGAATTGTCCAGGCACGGTGGCTCACATCTGTGATACCAGCACTTTGAGAGGCTGAGACAAGAGAATAGCTTGAGCCCAGGACTTTGAGACCAGCCTGGGCAACATAGTGAGACCCTGTCTCTATTTAAAATAAATGAATAAATAAAAAGGATTGAGAACCTGAAATACGGTAAAGAGAAAAGATGAATTCATGAAGAAGGAAGTCTGAAGGCAAATAAAACAAACTTCAATAATTATATGCAAGATCTCTTTACTTCCCTTGGCCTCAATTCTAGGTGCTACCAAATAAGAGGCTGGTTTCTATCTTAAGTTTTGTCTTCTAAATAATGAGAATATTAGTTGTAGGGTTATGGTTGGAATTTGATGGGTTAAAACATGAAGTATTTAGAATACTTCCTGGGCATAGTAAGTTCTTAATAAATGTTTGCTATGATTATTGTATTATCATCACTATGTTCATTATTCTTATCTTCGCTTTAACCTAGAAATTTTATAACTCTATGTCACCACCATCTTGCTAAGAACCAACCATCCTGATGGCTAGTACCAATCCTAGATTGCCACTGTAGGGTGGATTTGCTTCCTGCCAAACTATTAGTCACATCTTCCTTGCCTTCTCAGTAGAGTCAATTTTAGATCAGAGTAAGGTAGGTAAAGAAAGGAGTTGGAAATGTTTTTCCTTTTGGGTGAGTGGTCCTTTATTGAGAAGTATGGATTGGTAAGTCCAGCAGGCTATAGGCTTGGTGCTTTAATGGTACGTCTATTTGGCTTGAGATAAAACATTCTCTTAGAAAACTCATCCGTAAGTTTTCTGTGGCTTTGGAAATGGCTATTCCCCACAGCCTATGTTTTTTTGCCTGATTGTTTTTGAAGTGTTTACATGCCCTCTCCAGCTAGAATTACTGGGCTGACTTGGTTTCATCTAGACTTTGTACTACACCATAATGATTAATCTGCTTGGTCTTTGCCAAAGTCAGCTAGCATCTAAGTACCACTTGTAATTTCCACAACCATTGAAGTAACTTATCCTAGCCTTGGAGTTTGTAATTGATAAATGTCCAGTCCTTGTCTACTCTGTCCCTGGGACCTGGGGTATAACATCAAAATAGTGAGATATTTTTAAAGTTAATTTTTTGCTGTCTTTCACCCCTATCCATTTTTCAAATTTGAGGAAGGGACTTTATGCATATGGGACTGGGATTGATAAAAGTCAGAGGAAAAGAAAGGACCAAGAGAAGGTGACAATTAGTTGGTTTCTCACTGAATTAGATCTGTCTTCTCTCCCCTGAGTCAAGCACCTCAGGATAAAGCAGGACATAGCTGCTTCCGCACCAAGGCGAGTGTTGGAGAGGGGTATGTTGTTGCAGAGAAGGAGTGAGGAAGACTTGACTGGCCTCCACCATTCTGCTTTCACAAAACACTTTCTGGCCATTTTGAGAAGCGTGTGTGTGGGGTGTGTGCCCATACACGTGCACTCCAATTCTGATATCATTATTTTTGCTTTCCAGATGTGGGAATTGAGGAGCAGTGAGAATTAGTACCTCAGTAAAGTCATACAACCAGTAAGTAGTAAAGCCAGGAATTGAACTCAGGTCAGCCTGATTCCAAAGTCTGTATTCTTAAACCCTACTCAAAATGGCCTCCTGATTCAATCTTATTTTCTTAATTGTGCAGTTCGATGATTTTTAGTATATTCAAGAGATGTGCAAACATCATCAAAATCAATCTTAGAACATTTTTATCACCAAATAGAAACTCTGTACCCTTTAGCTATCACCCCTAAACCTAACATCCTGCCCAGCCCTAGGCAACCACTAACGTACTTTCTGTCTATAGATTTGCTTGTTCTGGACGTTTCATATAAATGGAATGAAACAATATTGGTCTTTTGTGACTGGCTTCTTTCAGCTAGCATGTTTTCAAGGTCCGCCCCAATAGTAGAATATGTCCGTACTTCATTCTTTTTTATTGCCATTAATATTCCATTGAATAGGCCAGGCACGGTGGCTCATGCCTGTAATCCCAGCACTTTGGAAGGCCGAGGCGGGTGGATCACGAGGTCAGGAGATCGAGACCATCCTGGCTAACACGGTGAAATCCCGTCTCTACTAAAAATACAAAAAATTAGCTGGGCGTGGTGGTGGGCACCTGTAGTCCTAGCTACTCGGGAGGCTGAGGCAGGAGAATGGCGTGAACCCGGAAGGTGGAGCTTGCAGTGACCCGAGATTGTGCCACTGCACTCCAGCCTGGGTGACAGAGCGAGACTCAGTCTCAAAATAAATAAATAAATAAATCAAAATTCCATTGAATGGATATGCCAAATTTTATTCATCCATTAATCAATTAATAGACATTTGCATTGTTTCCAGCTTTTGGCTACTATAAATAATGCTACTGTGAACATTTGTATGCAAGTTTCAGTGTGGATGTATGCTTTGATTTCTCTTGGGTATATACCTAGAAGTGAAATTTTTGGATCATATGGTAACTCTCTATTTCACATTTTGAAGAACTGCTTGACTTTCTTAAGTAGCTGTACCACTTCTATTCCCACTAGCAATGTATGAGGATTCCAATTTCTCTACAGCCTTACCAATTCTTGTCATTATCTGTCTTTTTTATTCTAGCCATAACAGTGGTATGAAGTGATATCTCATTGTTGCTTTGATTTGCATTTCCCTGTTGACCAATGATATTAAGCATCTTTTTGTGTGCTTGTTGCTGTTTGCGTATCTTTGGATACATGGAGAAATGTCTATTCAGACTTTTTGCCCATTTAAAAATTGGATTGTCAGCCAGGCGTGGTGGCTCATGCCTGTAATCCCAGCACTTTGGGAGGCCAAGGCAGGTGGATCATGAGGTCAGGAGATCGAGACCATCCTGGCCAACATGGTGAAACCCCATCTCTACTAAAAATACAAAAAAATAGTCAGGCATGGTGGTGGGTGCCTGTAGTCCCAGCTACTCGGGAGGCTGAGGCAGGAGAATGGTGTGAACCTGGGAGGCGGAGCTTGCAGTGAGCTGAGATGGCACCACTGCACTCCCGCCTGGGCGACAGAGCGAGACTCTGTCTCAAAAAAAAAAAAAAAAATTGGATTGTCTTTTTATTAATACAAGTGCCTTGTTAAATATATTATTGGCAAATATTTTGTCTCACTTGGTGGTTTGTCTTTTTTTTTTTTTTTTTTTTTTTTTTGACAGAGTCTCATTCTGCTGCTGAGGCTGGAATGCAGTGGCACAATCTCAGCTCAGCTCACTGCAACCTCCACCTCCTAGGTTCAAACAATTCTCATGCCTGAGCCTCCTGAGTAGCTGGGATGACAAGCATGTGCCACCACACCTGGCTAATTTTCGTATGTTTAGTAGAGATGGGGTTTCACCATGCTGGCCAGGCTAATCCACCTGGCCAGACCTCAGGTGATCCAGCCACCTCGGCACTGGGATTACAGATGTGAGCCACTGCACATGGTCCTGTGGGTTGTCTTTTCACTTTCTTACTGTCTCTGTCTCAGTCTATTTGGGCTGCTAAAACAAAATACTATAAAACTGGGTAACGCACAAGCAGTTCTGGAGATTGGAACTCCAAGATCAAGGTGCCGGCAGATTGTCTAGCGAGGCTTCCTCATAGATAGTTTTGTTTTGACTGTAATCTGGCATGGTGGAGGAGGCAGGGAATCCTCAGGCCTTCTTTATAAGGGCAGTAATCCCACTCATGACATGCTGCCCTTGAGACCTAATTACCTTCCAAAGGCCCCATCTCCTAATACCATTATCTTGGGGATTAAGATTTTAACCTATGAATTTTGGAGGGACACAAATATTCAGATAAAGCAGTGTCCTTTAAAGCACAAAAGTTTTCCATTTTAATGAAGATCTAGGTTTTGTTTGTTTGTTTGGTTGGTTGTGTGTTTGGTGACATATCTAAGAAACCACTACCAAATCCAAGGAAGGACACTCACTTGAGTTGAAAAACCCCACAACTCTGCACTCTTAGACTTGTGTCTCAGAAACAAATACCCCACATGTTGAACATTTTATTTTTCAGAAGACAGAGGTTCTTGCCTAACCCTCAATTCTCAGCGCTGGACACATCCCATAATTTGAACCCAGTTACTGAGATAATATATTTAAATTCACAATTGGACTGGCACCTGCTATGACAGAAATAAAGACAAAAATAGCCACCAACTTATTCAAGACAAAAAGTCTCTTTTCAATACTTGAAAACAACAGTAATGAAACACAATTTAAGGTGATATTTTCAGTATCTTATAAGGGAAAAAGAAAGGAGATTCTGATACAAGATGCTGGGTAGGGCATACATCTCTATCTTCCTTTTTGCTCTTAAAATCTTTTGAAATGTTAGAAAAGAGATAAATAGGAATATGTTCAGAAAGACATTGAAAATAAGAGGTGGGTGCATGAGGGGGAGGAAGATTTTTACTGACATCTGGAATGGAAGACAGAAGAGTTTTATTGGTAGAAAAATAAGAGAAAGGGAGACACAGCTTAGAAGACGCGTAGAAGAAGATTGTAAAAGTTCAGAATATTTCACAAGACTGTGACACTGGAATCCATGGATATGAGACAAAATTGGGGGCTTGGTTGGAGACTTGTTTACAGGATGGTTGTCCAGATTGGCCTCACCTTCTTTCACAACCAGCTCCCAGACTATAGTGGGGGCACTGCCCTCATGCTAAAACCAAGAACTACACTCTAGAGGGTACAAGGCTTGCAGAGTGGGGACTGGCTCCTCACAGCAGAGCCTCTTCTGGCAGTGTAAAATAGGGAGGCAGTGGGGCCTAGCCCTCTGCCCACATGCCCTAAAGTGAAGCCGGGGAACCAGGACCCTGAAATCATACCCAGGTCATGAGGCCAGCCTTCTTATTGATGAGTAGGCCCTAAAAGGCAGAGGCAACCCATATCAGCTATCTGAGGCAATCAGTCCAATCCTTCATACACAGGGAGAGAAAGTGATCAGCACAAAAGGCAAAGACCCCTATGGATAGCAGAGCAAAGGACGCAAAGGAAACAGATGGTTCAAAGAAGAGAAGATAACCTTAAACGAATAAGATACTGCATCCATTAAATTAAAAAGGGCTGCTATCTGAGAATAAGAAAGAATTAATGGAAATTAAAAATGTCATTGTTAAAATAAAAAATTCAATGGAAAGACTGGACCAAAGAGTTAAATAAATTTCCCAGAACAGAGAGAGAGAGAGAGAGAGAGAGAGAGAGAGAAAGCTAAGACATGAATTATGAGAAGAGTGAATAAATATGGAGAAGCAATATAAGAAGGCCCACATCTACCCAGTATGATTTCCAAAAGGCTAGGAATTTGTCCAAGAAACAAAGAACAAAGAAAGGCTGGTCTGAGGGTAATGAGTTATTTCAATTGATTGTTCAGTCAGTTACAGATCAAACTCCTTGTTCTACTCTTTGCCTGCTTCTCACTACTGCACATGACTAGTAAAAGTTAAATAAATAGATAAATAAATAAATAGAATAAAGGGGATTTTTCCATAGCTGAAGACAGGCAAGTCTCATGAGAGGGGGCAACTATAATATACCCAGCAAAATTAGTTTTATAAAAAGACCCACACTTAAATATATCCTTGTAAAATTTCTTTTGCCAAGGCTAAAGAAAAGAATATGTAATACTTATGGGTTGATAGGAGGGCAGGATAGCCTCAGGGGAGCAAAACTCAGGTTGGCATCTGATCTTTTCTTCAGGGTGTGAGAGAATACCTTCAGAGTTCTGATAGAAATGGATTTTTAATAAATAATTCTATTCCCAGCAAAAACTATCGACCAAATGGGATAATGAAATGGTGAAAATAAAGTCCTTATCTGAATATATGATACTTCTTGAAATAATTGTTTGAGAATTTATTCCAGCAGTATAAATAAAAGAGAAAGACCTGGAATTATAAAAGCAACCAACCTAGCCATTCAATACAAAATAAAACCGGGAAAAGCAAAAGCAAGAAAACCCCTACAATAAACTAAACAAAGAATCCTTCAGCAGGATGAAATTGAAAACAGCAAATTAGATCGGCAAGTCAGGAGGCCTTGGAAAGAATATCTTTAAGAAAAAGAAATACATTTCTTCTAAAATGCTGAGGATTCTGGGTTATCATAGACAGAAAGTAAAGGCATATCTAATAATATATTATAAAAATTCAGCACCCTGTTTTCTCTACTTCCTCTCTCCTTCTCCCAATTTAAGTATGTTCATTTATTTTTCTATTGGCACTGGTTAAATGACATAGAGTTGCATCATGTTTTCTATGAGTCTAACCATACATTAAAATGTAAACTCTTTAAAGGCAGGATGTTCACCTGTTGTACTCAGTGATGTATCCTTAGCACTTAGAAGAGTGTCTGGCCCAAAGTATGTAATAAACAAATATTTTTATTGGAATTGAATGGAATTGATTATACAGTGTATAGTAATATTCTTTTAAATAAAATATAAATTCTGACTACTTTTAGACTTAACAAACAGCCAAAACACAGAAAAAGAAAGTATAATTATATAGGAAAGTATAACTTCTATAAATTTTGGCAATGTAAAATTAACTATGTGATGAACTGAAGCTGTGACATTGGGAATAGCCATTAGGGGAGGAGACAGAGACAGGAAGGTAGGGCTGTTAAATCCTTCATTGTCTTAGAGGCAAGTCAAGAGGTACTGGCTAAAATCAATGAATCAAGAAATGGAAAGTTGAAAATGAGAACTGCAGGCCAGTATCTCTGATGAACACAGATACAAAAATCTTCAACAAAATGCTACCAAACCAAATTCAGTAATACATTAAAAATACCATTCATCACAGTCATGCGTGGTGGCTCATGCCTGTAATCTTAGCACTTTGAAAGGCCAAGGTGGGCAGATCATGAGGTCAAGAGTTCAAGAGCAGCATGGCCAACATGGTGAAACCCCATCTCTGCTAAAAATACAAAAATTAGCTAGGTGTGGTGGCAGGTGCCTGTAATCCCAGCTGCTTGGGAGGCTGAGGCAGGAGAATTGCTAGAACCTGGGAGGCGGAGGTTGCAGTGAGCTGAGATTGCGCCACTGTACTCCAGCCTGGGTGACAGAGCAAGACTCCATCTTGAAAAAAATATATACATATCATCCATCATGATCAAGTGGGATTCATCCCAGGGATGCAAGGATGGTTCAACATATGCAAATCAATAAATGTGATAAATAATATCAACAAAATGAAGGACAAAAACCATAGGATCATTTCAATTGATTCCAAAAAAGCATTTGATAAGATTCAACATCAACATCCTTTATGACAAAAACTCTTAAAAAACTGAGTATAGAAGGAACATACCTCAACATGATAAAAGCCGTATATGACAAACCCATAGCTAGTATTATATTTAATGGGGAAAAAATGAAAGCCTTTCATCTAAGATCTGTAACAAGATGAGAATGCCCACTTTCTCCATTCCTATTTAACATAGTACTGGAAGTCCTAGCCAAAGCAATTAGACAAAAGAAAGAAATAAACGGCCTCCAAATTGGAAAGGAAGAAGTCAAATTATCCTTCTTTGCAGACGATATAAAATCATATTTAGAAAAACCTAAAGACTCTGCCAGAAAACAGTTAGAACCTATAAACAAATTCAGTAAAGTTGCAGGATAAAAAAATCAACATGCAAAAATCAGTAGCATTTCTATATGCCCACAGAAAAGAATCTGAAAAAGAAACCAGGAAAGTAATCTCATTTACAATAGCTACGAATAAAATAAAATACCAAGAATAAAGTCAACCAAAGAAGTAATCTCTACAATGAAAACTATGAAACATTGATGAAAGAAATTGAAAAAGACAACCCAAAATGAAGATATTCTACATTCATGGATTGGAAGACTCAATTTAGTTAAAATGTCTCTAGTACCCTAAACAATCTACAGATTCAATGCAATCCCTACCAAAATACCAATGACATTCTTCATAGAAATAGAAAAAACATCTAAAATTTATATGGAACCAAAAAAGACCCAGAATAGCCAAAGCCATCCTGAGCAAAGAGAACAAAACTGGAGGAATCACATTACCTGACTTCAAATTATACTACAGAGCTATAGTAACCTAAATAGCATGGTGCTGACTTAAAAACAGACATATAGGGCAATGGAAAAGAATAGAGAACCAGAAATAAGTCCACACATTTACAGTCAATTCATATTTTACAAAGGTGCCAAGAATGTACATTGGAGAAAAGACAGTCTCTTCAATAAATGGTGCTGGGGAAACTGGAGATCCATATGCAGAAGAATGAAACTAGACTCCTATCTCTCACCATACTAGACTCCTATCTCTTGCCATATACAAAAATAGAAATCAAAATGGACTATATAATTAATTCTAAGACTAAAACTATACAACTAATAGAGGGAAACATTAGGGAAGCACTCCAGGACATTGGTCTGGACAAAGATTTCTTGAGTGAGACCTCAGAAGCACAGGTGATAAAAGCAGAAATGGACAAATGGGATCATATCAAGTTAAAAAACTTCTGCACTGCGAAGGAAACAATCAACACAGGTAGGAGACAACCCACAAAATGGGAGAAAATATTTGCAACCTACCCATCTGATAAGGGATTGATAACCAGAATATATAAGAAGCCCAAACAACAATAGGAAAAAAAAAAACATAATCTGATTTTAAAATGGGCAAACTATCTAAATACACATTTCTTTAAAAAATACATAAAAATGGCTGATAGGAATATGAAAAATGCTCAACATCATTAATCATCAGAGAAATGCAAAGTAAAACTACAATGAGATATCATTTCACTCCAGTTAAGATGGCTTTTATCCAAAAGACAGGCAATAACAAATGCTGGTGAGGATACTGAGAAAGGAGAACCCTGGAACACTATTGTGGGAATGTAAATTAGTATAGCCATGGAGAACAGTATGGAGGTTTCTCAAAAAGAACTAAAAATACAGCTACCATAGGCCAGGTGCGGTGGCTCATGCCTGTAATCCCAGCACCTTGGGAGGCCAAGGCGTGTGGATCATGAGGTCAGGAGATCGAGACCATCCTGGCTAACACGGTGAAACCCCGTCTTTACTAAAAATACAAAAAATTAGCCGGGCACAGTGGTGGGTGCCTGTACTCCCAACTACTTGGGAGGCTGAGGCAGGAGAATGGTGTGAACCCGCGAGGCAGAGTTTGCAGTGAGCCGAGATCGTGCCACTGCACTCCAGCCTGGGCAAGAGAGCGAGACTCCATCTCAAAAAAAAAAAAAAAAAAAAATAGAGATACCATAGAATCCAGCAATCCCACTGCTGGGTGTATAGCCAAAAGAAAGGGAATTAGTATATTGAAGAGATAGCTGCACTTCCATGTTTATTGCAGCACTGTTTACAATTGCCAAGATTTGGAGGCAAACTGTGTTCATCAATGGATAAATGGAAAAAGAAAAGGTGGGGAATATATACATTAGAATATTATTCAGCAATAAAACGAATGAAATCCTGTCATTTGCAACAACATGAATGGAACTGGAGGATGTTGTGTTAAGTGAAATAAGCCAGACACAGAAAGACAAATATTGCATGTTCTCACTCACATGTGGGAGCTATAAATAAATAAATAAACTCACAGAAATAGAGAGTGGAATGATGGTTGCCAGAGGCTGGGAAGGGTAGTGTGGAGGAGGGGGAGGTAAAGAAAGGATGGTTAACAAGTACAATAATATAGTTAGAATGAATAAGATCTAGTATTTGGTAGCAAAATAAGGTGACTACAGTCAACAATAACTTACTGCATATTTTTAAATAACTAAAAGAGTAGAATTGGAATGTTCCTTACACAAAGAAATGATAAAGGCTTGAGGTGATGAATACTTCAATTACCATGATTTGATCATGACAGATTGGATACTTGTATCAAAATATCACATGCACAAATATATACAACTATTATGTACCCATAATTAAAAATAAGTCTTTTAAAAGAAATTGAAAGATGAACATATTGTATAAAGCTATAGAAGTGTCTAAAAGAATAACAAAAACAAAATATATCTGGAAGTTGCTGTTGAAGGGGAAGTATAAATGAGCCAAGAGCTTCATCTTTCACAAGGGGGTCCAGCAATCAGACATACTTTGAAGTTGATATATAAAAAGTAAAGGAATAATGTTATTATTGTAGAGGTTGGCCTTAGAAAGATTCAAAATAGAAAAATTTTAAGCTATTACCTCTGGGGAATGCCAAAGAGTAAAACCTTTACTTTTTTAAAAATTACTCTCCAGTACCAACTGAATTTTTATTACTGTGTGCTCATACTTTAAAAGTGATATTTTTAATTTAAAAATAGTTTCTCAAGAAAGAGAAGAATTTTTAGGACAGAAAAAAAATGAACCAACAGTTTGCAATTACATACTGCCTACCAGCAAGGACCATCAAACATTTTGCAAACATTATCTGATGGTGAGTGTCAGAATCTACATTTGCCAGATGGAGAAATTCAGACAAAGACGGAAGTAACTTGCCCATTTTCAGTGCATCTGTGACCAAGCCAGGGATAAAACTCAGGCTTCTTGGATTCTGAGTCCAAAGAAAGATTTGGATCGATTTCTCCTTAGAAAAACCACCACATATTGGTACAGTGATCGTTAAGGAAGAAATCCAAACTAATAGATGGCATATTCTGTGTTTAGGGCTTGGGAAAAGCTTGTATTTTTTCCATTCAAAATCTGTTGCCAAAATGCACACTGCCTGTCAAGAGAAAGGCCAGTGCTTCTCTAAAGCACCTGATGGGAATATATATCAGTTTGAGGAGTTGTGCTAGCAAAGATAAAAAAATGATAATCACAGTAACAATCACAAATAATTTTTAATTATCTTAATACAAGTACTATGTCTCCCTATATATATAAAGATTTCTGCCATTTTGTGACTACTTAGGAAACAATCTATGGTTAATTAGCTTGATAAATAATTCTGATTATTCTGCCATATGCCTCTCTTACTGATTCATACTACTAACATAGGTGGAGAGAAGAAAAAAAATGGACTGATCTGACATGATTTTTACTATTGGTTTCACTCTTAATGTGAATTTTTTAATATTCACTTTTTCCTGGCTTCTTTATTTAGTTGGAAGACTGGAGGGGAGAGGAGTCATTAAATGATTATAGTAGATTCCTCTGGTTTTGTCAGTGTGGTTCCCTTCCCCCTCCACAAACAAACTCCTCTGAAAACAGGTCTATACCATATGACCATGACACTGGCCCAAATGGCCAAAGTGAGCATTGGACCAAAGCTGCTGCAGATCTTCCAGGACAATTTGAAAGAGAGAATGATGGGAGTGCAGCACTTAGTCTGGCTGGTTTCTTTCTTTCTTTTTTTTTTTTTTTTTGAGACGGAGTCTTTCTCTGTTGCCCAGGCTGGAGTGCAGTGGCATGATCTCAGCTCACTGCAAGCTCCGCCTCCCGGGTTCATGCCATTCTCCTGCCTCAGCCTCCTAAGTAGCTGGGACTACAGGCACCCGCCACCATGCCCGGCTAATTTTTTGTATTTCCAGTACAGATGGGGTTTCACCATGTTAGCCAGGATGGTCTCGATCTCCTGACCTCATGATCTGCCCACCTCGGCATCCCAAAGTGCTGGGATTACAGGCATGAGCCACTGCCCCCGGCCATCCGTCTGGTTTCTTAAGCAAAGGAGAGGTAACTCCAGGAGCTGTTGGTGGCTGTATTTTTTAGTGTGTGGTCTAAGAAACGGAAATGAAAAAGGAAGTAGATGTTCAGAGAAGAGCAGAGATGAGAGATGAATAGAGTGACCAGGAATTCATCATTTTTAAAATTGTGGTAAAATACACCAAATATAAAATTTACAATTTAACCCTTTTTGAGCATGCAATTCAGTGGCATTATGTTCACGTTTTTGTGCAACCATCACTACAGTCTATCTCCAAAATGTCTTCCTTTTCCCAAACTGAAACTCTATAAGCATTAACGGGTAACTCCATTCCCACAGCCCCACAGCTCCTGGCAACTATTATTCTATTTCCTTTCCCTATGGATTTCACTCTTCTGGGAATTAATCATTCTTACCAGGGTACTGTTGAGAGTTGTGCTAATAATTTACTGACTTTCAGATTCAAATTCACCCTTCAATACCTGCTCTGCAATAATGGACGGAATTCCATTGGGCATTTCTTCTTTACAGAGAAAAAATGATTTGATCATTCACCATGTGAAGCTTTCTCAGTAGAGGGCCCTGATGGGACATTACAGGAGAAAGGAGCCTTCCTGGTGTTAGTGGTGGCTGCACCATCAGGCAGCAGTGTGGGTGTGGGAACATCAGTGGTGTTCTAATTCCAGCCACAGGCCCAGAACTCATGATTCCTTGATGTCCTTGCAGCTCTGTCCTGGCCTAATGCCCACTTTCCCATGGCCTTCTTACCACAGACACTGCAGGCTCCAGACCTCCTTGTCTGCAATGGTGTCCCTACTCCCTCTGCATGCTCACGTGCCAAGCCATTGGCTGCAGTTTTTGTAATGTGCCACCTGTGCCCCAGAGGGTTGCTTCCTGCTTGCCCAGTGGCTGCAGACCAGCTCTGGCCTGGGCAAATCAGCAAACTTCTCTGCCATCCAGTGGTTGCAATCTGAGCCTTGGGGAAGGGCTCATCCTGTTTTATGTTCATCCTGTTTTATGTTTTATGTTCATCCCTCCTTGGGTACTCTCTTGGGTACTCAGCCTTAGGGTACCACATAGAGTTATCTTATATATTATAATTGCTCTTTTAACATAATTTTAAAAAATTTATATTAAACTTTCTCTGTTTAAGTCACTGTGGTTTCTGCCCCCTCATGGACAAAGACTGACACAAAAGTGAAAGGGGCAGGGTGACAGATGTCAACAAGGATAGGCCGGCACATACTGGCATGTGTGGTCACCTACCCTAGAGATGGGAGGGTGGGTCCTGACTACGCTGGAGGCTCTGATTTATTTCTGAAGTTCAGCTATTTATTTGCCCTTGAGTTTTGAGACAGGCCTATTTCTTAAACTAAATTATATCTCTTTGCTTTTGGAGAGCTCAAGTGTGTTTCTGTTACTTGAAACCAAAAAAGCCATCATTAATAAATATGCAATTTCACATTCTATTAAATATGCCTCAGAAAAGGAAATAAAGGGATAAAGAAGGACTATTCTAGAAGCAGAAAAAAAAAAGGAGAAGGGAGATTATGCTGAGGATTAACATGAGAGAAAATCCTAGTTCTTTAAATATCTCAGTTGGGCTTGATGCTGATGTTAGGGCTTCAAGTTCTTCAGAGATGACTCATCCCTGTCATCTCTGACTGATGGGGAGCTCACACAAGGGAGCTAGATGGGGCACTGGCCAAGTGATTCTGCATGCAAGAGAGCATGGCTGAGGTCAAATGAGGCCTCCTACTCTTCACCCAAACTAGACTTTGGGAACTGCTCACCTCATGTATCTGAGAGAAGAGTTAGGTACGCAGAGCCCACCCAAATTCACCAGCTATAGCCAGTTGCAAGGACTAAGGCTGCTTCATAAATGAACCGCAATGGGACAGAGTGAAGGCCCACACCTTGGCAGCATGCTCCCAGTGAAGGGAATGCGTTGGGCTGGTTTCACTCTGCAGAGTCAATTCCTACCCATTAATAAAGCATGTCCTAGTAAATATTACACATTTGCCAATCAGACTTGCCATTTGTTTGCTTGTTTGCTTGTTTTTTGAGGCAAGGTCTCACTCTGTCCCCCAGGCTAGAGTGCAGTGGTGAGATCTCAGCTCACTGCAGCCTTGCCCTCCTGGTCTCAAGCAATTCTCTCACCTCTCAGCTAGTAGCTGGGACTCCAGGCACATGCCACCATGCCCAAGTAATTTTTGTATTTTTTGGTAGAGATAAGGTTTTCACTATGTTGCCCAGGCTGGTCTCAAACTCCTGAGCTCAAGTGATCCACTCGCCTCGGCCTCCCAAAGTGCTAGGATTATAGGCATGAGCCACCATGCCCAGCCCAGAGTTGCCATTTTTGTCTGAGGGAGGCAGACAAATCCATATGGGTCTGTAGCAGCCTCACTTCTTGACTCCCCAGAAGAAAGAACTCCACAGAGGGGTATAAGGCAGAGGGAAACACTGAAGCAAGTTTTAGAGCAGGAGTGAAGGTTTATTAAAAAGCTTTAGGCCGGGCACGGTGGCTCACGCCTGTAATCCCAGCACTTTGGAAGGCCGAGGTGGGCGGATCATGAGGTCAGGAGATGGAGACCATCCTAGCTAACACTGTGAAACCCTGTCTCTACTAAAAATACAAAAAATTAACCGGGCATGATGGCGGGCGCCTGTAGTCCCAGTTACTCGGGAGGCTGAGGCAGGAGAATGGCGTGAACCCGGAGGCGGAGCTTGCAGTGAGCCGAGATCACGCCACTGCACTCCAGCCTGGGCAACAGAGTGAGATTCCGTCTCAAAAAAAAAAAAAAAAAAAGAAGAAGCTTTAGAGCATGAACGAAAGGAAGTAAAGTACACTTGGAAGAGGCCCAAGGGGGCGAACTGAGAGATCAAGTGCACAGTTGGACCTTTTGACTTAGGGTTTTATATGTTGGCATGCTCCCAGGGTCTTGCATTCCTTCTCCCGGATTCTTCCCTTGGGAGGGGCTGTCCGTATGTGCAACAGCCTGCTAGCATCTGGGAGGGGAGCATGCGCAGTGTTTGTACTGGAGTTGTACACATGCTCACTTGAGGCGTTCTTCCCTTACCAGTTGCATGTCCTTAGAAGGTCATATACCAGTTAAGTTGCGCCATTTTGCCTTAGTGCACATGCTAGAGCCTACCCGCCCAACTCCTGATATCTTATCAGGAAGCTGCTGATCACCGGTTTCAGGTGTTTTCTATCTATTGGGAGACTGCCTTTCCCTGGGCTGGCTACAACCAATTATTAATGTTATGTTTAGAGAAATATTGTAACAACCACCTAACCATCACCTGATGGTCGCCTGACTTTCCTGGTGGGGCAAGGGGAGTCCTTTCCTGCCATGCTTATGTCTGACTAGCTACCTACTGTAACAGAGCCTCCCTCCCTGCACTTCCTCTCATGTTAAGATAGGACTGAAATTTTGGTGTCAATCCCCTCCTCCATGAGCCAAGATGAGAATTTAAGGAGTCAAAAGGAACACAAATATTCCTCCTTTTCAATAGTTAACTTTTACCTTACCTATTCAAATACAGGGATTTTTTAAAAATTCTGCACAGAATATTTGGTGAATTATAATAATCATGCCTGGAATCATTTTTATCTTTCAATGCACCTTTTCTTCAGAGTAAAAAAATGTTACATCAGTCCTTAGTAGAGTATGCAACTTGAGATGCTTTTGCTATGAATGGAGAGAATCTAAGTAGACTTATTCACTTTCTTTTATCTAGAAGTGCAAAGTTGGATAAGACGTGGTCTTTGCCTTTTAGAAAGAGGGGCACTTCCATTCACATTGTGTTTCTTTTGGCTCTGCTATGGAGAACAATAATTAAATAAGGTTCTGACCAATCAGAATGGATGATGAAACAAGAGTGGGTGCTGCAACCAGTCGGAGCTGATGTCACAGCTAATGACAAGGATGCTGGCTGTACACATGAAGCAGGCTGCGCAGTATGTTACAGTGGAGGTTATCTCTGGATCTGTGAGAACCCAAGTCTAAGCTGGTAGAAAGGACTGTGGGAGAGTCCCTGGCTGACTTCAGTCAAATCTTCCTGTCAAGTTGATGGCATTCAAAGATAGTAAAAAACTGGCAAGTAGTTGGGGATTTTTCAAGAATATTTCCCCCTGCAGCCTCCTCCTCCCATAGCTTTAATCATCTCAGTACATTGCAACACAGCTTTTCTAGTTGCTCTTTCCAAAATTTCTCCTCTTTTACTCTAACATCCTACATTTGCATTGTAAGCAAATCCTGACAACTCCACCTTCAAAATATGTCTAGAATCTGACTAGTTTTCAGCACTTCTATTAACTATGTTTCCTGGCCCAGCCACCCTCATTTCTTGCCTGGATCACTGGAATGTCTTTTTCACTGGTCTCCTGCCCCACTTCAGTCTATTCGTAATCTGACAGCCAGGGTGATTTCATTAAAATAGAGTAGGATTGTGTTGCTCCTCTCCTGGAAACTCTCCAATGGCTTCTCATCTTAGAGTAAAAGCCAAAGGTCTTACCCTGGCCTACAAGGCCCCACATTTTCTAGATCCCCATTATCTCTCTGACTGTATCTCCTACTAACTCAATGTGGCAGACTGATGGCAAATCTGGTCCTAATTCTCCACCCTTCACTATATTCACACCTTTTGCAATGTGACTCTGAAGCTCTTCCTATGAAGTGGAGTTTATTTCTCCATCCCTTGAAACTAAACTTGTCTTATCAATTGCTTTGGCCAATAGAATGTGGCAGAAGTGACAGTCTCCATTCTGAACTTAGGCCTTAAGAGGGCTTATGTGTGTTCTCTCTCTCTCTCTCTCTCTCTCTCTAGCCTCTCTCCCTCCCTTTCTCTCTCTGACTCTCTTTTGCTACTGGAGGATATGAGAAACAGAGATATGGAAGCAGACCTAAATCAACCCAGTCATCTTGTCAAAACTCTCAGATATGTAAGAGAGCTCAGATAAGATCAGCAAAGCTGTGCTGGCTTGCAGCTGACTGTGAAAGCATGAGTAAGCCCCACCAAGATCAGCTCAGATCAGCAAAACCATCTAGCTGATCTTGAGACTGAGGGGAAAACCTAAATGCTTATTACTGTATACCACTGAAATTTTGAGTTTGCTTGTTACTCAGCATTATTGCGAAATTGATGACTGATGCGTTACTTTGCCCATTATTCTCCAGCCTTCTGGAAAATGCCAGTCACCTCTCTACCTCAGAGTCTTTGCACTGGCTGTTCCCTCTGACTAGAATACTTCCTCTCAGTCTTCCTACCTCCAATAGCTGCATGCCTTGATCCCTAACCAACTTCAAATCTTTTCTCAAATGTCATCATCTTAGTGAGATCTTGTCAGGACATAACATATAATGCAACCTTCTTTGAACACTTAATATTCCCCCTTGTCAACTTTCAACTTTCTTTTCAGCATTTATTGCTGTCACATATATATATATTTTTTTCCTTGTTTGTTGTCTAACTCCCTTGTAAACTCCTTGGGAGCAGAGATTTTTTGACTATTTTATTCAAGATTATATTCCTATGCCCAAAATGGTATCTGGCACATAAAAGACACACAGTACGTATTTGTTGAATAAATATGTGAATGAATGTGAATTCTCCACAGAATAGTAGAAGTGATGAGAAAATGTTTTCCTCAATTTTAAAAAAATTGGTAAAAGCAAAAATAAAACATTATATCTGCTTGATCTATATAACTTCTCTCCGTCTCCACCACCATGATCCTAGTCATAGCTGCCATGAGCTCCTGTCTGCATGGTTGCAATTACCTCCTAACTAGTATTCCTGCCATCAGTCCTTGCTCCCTACAATTTCTTTTTCTCCATTGCAACCTGGATGATTTTCTGAAAGGGCAAACCGGAGAGACCAAAATCCTTAGCATGGCCCCACAGTCTCTTCTCCTCACTCTCTTTGCTCGTTCTCCAGTCTTCAGGTTTCCTGAAATAGTCATGCCTCTTCCTGCCTCAGGGCCTTTTCACAAGCCATCCCCTCTTCCTGGGAGATGTACTCTTAATCATCCCTCGGCCTAGTCAACTCCTACTCATCCTTCCATTCTTATGCAGAAAAGTTTCCCCTGAATCCACAGGCTCAAGTTTCTCTGAGAGTCTGTGCTTTCTGTTTAAGGCACACAATGCAGTTGATAATTCTGGGTTTGTGCAATTACTTGTTTGATGTCTCCTTTTTCCAATATACTGCAAGCTCAGTGAAGACCTAAAGCTATTCAACAGATCATCTGGCTAAGTTTGGCCTGAAGTTCATATAAGCCCTTTGAAATTGAGAGATTTGTAGTGTCAAACAGGAAACAACTATGAAGAAAGGGCTTTTGCATAACGAGTTGCATCTTCCAGGAAAGACTCAGCCCCGACGATATTTTTATTCCTTTCTGAAGCCACAAAGGTCTATAAACCTCTCCTCCCCCATGATCATCACCAGCCCATTAGCAGGAGAAGACAGTCGGACAGAGTATTGACAATCTAAAGGGGTTGTGTTGGAGAACAGCACCTCTTGTCATTCTTGCACTGTCATGATTTATGCAACCAAGTATTGCATTAGACAACAGCAATTAGGAACAGAAATGGACCCAGCAAGAGCCACAGAAACAATGTTGATTAACTCTGAATAGTGTATTAGTCTTCTATTGCTTCAAACAAATTACCACCTACAGTGAATTAAAACAAGACATTTATTACCTTCCAGTTCCGTGGATCAGGAGTCTGAGCACAGGTTAGCTGACTCCTCCGCTCAGGGTCTCACAAGGCTGCAATCAAGATATCAGCTATGCTGTAGTTCTTATCTGAGACTGGAGGTCCTCTACCAAGCTCATTCAGGTTATTGGCAAAATTCAATTATTTGGGGTTGTAGGAATGAGTTCCCCTTTGCCTGCTAGCTGCCTGCTGGGGACTATGCTCGGCTCACAGAGACCACTGACATTCCATGCCACGTAGTCCCCATAGGCTGCCATGGCAGGGATGTTTGATTTTCTCCAGGCTAGTGAGAGTGCACCTCTCTGACTTCTTCCCAGCACCAAGTGAAGAAAGCTCTCTGCTTTTAAAAGACTCACCTGAGGCTGGACGCAGTGGCTTACGCCGTAATCCCAGCACTTTGGGAGGCTGAGGCAGGTGGATCATCTGAGGTCAGGAGTTCCAGACCAGCCTGACCAACATGGTGAAACCTCATCTCTACAAAGAATACAAAAATTAGCCGGGCATGGTGGCAGGTGCCTGTAATCCCAGCTACTCAGGAGGCTGAGGCAGGAGAATCACTTGAACCCGAGAGGCAGAGGTTGCAGACCACTGTACTCCAGCCTGGGAAACAGAGTGAGATTCCGTCTCAAAAAAAAAAAAAAAAAAAGAAGAAGAAGAAAGACTCACCTGAAAGGTCAAGTCAACCCAAGATAATTTTCCTCACAAGAGTAATATGTCATTATATTCACAGGTTCCATTCACACTGAATAGAACTATACAGGGCATGTGCATCACGAGTAGGAATATAGGGGCTGTTTTAGAATTCTGTCTACCACAGGGCAGCTGATAATAATAGCAAACTATTGAGTGCTTATTTATTGCCAGCACTGTGTTAAGTGTTTTTTAGCATTTAATCTTTAAAATAATACAACATTGTTTCTATCTTGTGTTTCTGTTTTGTTTCTATTTCTATTACTTTATTTTACAGATGGAGAAACTAAGGCTTAGAGGTTAGGTGACTTTGCCCCATTTCACTCAATCGGTAAGAAGCATAACCTAGATTTTGAACTCTTTCTGACTCCAGAACCCATTCTTATCCACTTTGCCTCATCAAAGCTCGTTCTCCTGTAGCCAGGGGAATGAAGATTATCACTGTTTTATGGATGTAAACAGTGGTTTGGGAAGATTAAATAACATACTCAAGACCACCCAGTTAGTAAGTAATAGAGCAGCCTACAATCTAATCTTCTTCTCAGTCCCACACTGGGGCATCCCATGTAATTGAGGGATACTCCCAAATTGCTTGTCAACTAGAAGAAAATGTAATAAGAAACCCTTCCCCAGAGACAGAGGAAACCAATGTGTTTTCTGGCTCCAAGGCTTGGTAGAATTATATAATACACATTATCAGTTCTATTTATTTTACCTGTAGTGAGTGAGAAGCAGCAGTGTTTTATTCCCATGCTGAGGAAAATAATCTGAACTATGGGCACCTGACAATCACTCCCTTTGAAGTTTCATAATAGTTAGCACCAGGAGCATGTCCTCTCCTATGGTGATAAAAGGTTAGTTAGTGATTATTCACTTCCCCCTCTCTGTGCCTTTACACCTTTAAATGAAAGGTGTCCTGGAGTCAAAGCAAATAATTATTCACGGATGAGGATATGTTTCCTTGGAACTAACATTGTTTTTTTTTTCATTACTTCTTGCATGGAGACAAAACAGCTTTGACCCAGAGCTGTTAACTAATACAAATTATCCATTGCAAACGTCATCACATCACACTACCCCCACCTGTGCTTTGGCAACCAGGGGCCAATTTTCCCCTGAGAGTTGTGTCCACCTTGTTTCCCCTGTTCTTTCCCATGGCTACAAATGCAAACAGTAAACTTGGTCCACAGACAGACATTAAAAGGGCATATTGTAGTTGTCTCCAATACCTGATGTATAATCTCCCCTGTCCTGCAATTGTCTTTCACGCAAGAAACAGAAAACAGTCATCAGAAAAGTTTTACTTCATTAAAGTGCCCTGCCTGGTCATGATTTGGGTTATAACTGAATTCCTCTGTTAACAGCCACAGCTTCTGTTGGGCAGCTCCTGTCCCAGGGTTGTAGCTAGCCCCAGGCACCAGGAGGAACATTCCTTTCTCCTGCCCCCTCAGATGAGGGCTGGCGATAGCCGCCCACTGACACTAGCCCCTGGGAACTTCATGATCCCTAGATGGTTGCCTTAGCCCTGCCCATACCTGAGTAAATAGCTCTTTTATAAAAATATTCTTAAACCAGAAACTCTGGCTGAAAATTGCTCTAAACTGAAACCACCTTTGGAAAAATTCTAACAGTGAGAAATTGATGACATTGAAAGGGACCTAACCAACTCCATCTTGCCTTTAACCTTCAAGCTGCCCTTGTTCATTCCTGGGCATAGGCAAAACTAACTTTGGGAGGCATTTAGTTTATAGTTTAGAACTATTAAAACTAAAAAGATGACAACAGCCCTTTCCCAAAACAAACCTCCTTCTTGCCTGGGGACAAGACAGCCTTTGTGGGACTAACAAATTAATCACAAGATTAGAAATTATGGTTTAGAAGCCATGCAGCCAGAGGCCACAAGATTCCTAACCTCCCCAGTTGCTCTCCTATAGATAATGTTGTATCCTATAGATAATATTGTAGAACCTAAGATTGGTGCTTGAGATATTTTTCAGACCCTGAATTCTGATGGATAAGCTGGCACCACCCAGACTGGTAAACTGGCAGATCTGGTCCTGTGGCCTCTACCCAGGAATTGACTCAGTGCAAGAAGACAGCTTCAACTCCCTATAATTTCATCCTCAACCCAACCAACCAGCATTCCCCATTCCCTAGCCCCTTGTTCACCAAAATATCTTTAAAAACCTCTAGCCTCTGAATTTTTGGGCTGGCTGATTTGAGTAATAATAAAACTGCAGTCTTCCATTTAGCAAGCTTGAAGTGTATTTAACTCTTTTTCTATTGCAATTCCCCTATCTTGATAAATTGGCTCTATCTGGGCACCATGAAAAATGAACCCAGTGGGTGGTTACAAATGCCTTATTAAAAGTATTGACTTCAGCAACAAGTATAAACTGGTATTAAAGCATTAGCACATTGTTGAGGGGGAACTGAACATTTGTGCATTGCCCAGATAACACCACACAGATTACCTTGTAGTCACAGGAGGGAAAACATAATGTTTCTTGGAAGAAGAAAATTGTTGTTTGCCTTAATTCACTGGTCACTACTAGAATCTCTAACAGTGGGCGAACCAGAAAATATATATATCATGACAAAATACAATAAGAAGTACATATCTCCTATGATATAATCTAGCTAACAAGGTTTAAATTGAATCCACCATGCTTTTGCCTTTTACTTTCTCTTTTGTTTTGTTGTTTAAGAGATGAGGTCTCACTATATTGACCAGGCTGGTCTCGATCTCCTGGGCTCAAGTGATCCTCCTGCCTCAGCTCCCTAAAGTGCTGGGATTACAGGCAAGAGCCACCACGCCTGGCCACATTTGACTTTCAGTTTATAAGAAATAAGAAGGTCAGAGAAACAAGCTAAATGAACCCACAAGAAAGCAGCTTGTCAAATCCAGAAAATGGGTTGTTCCTTAGGCTAAATGGCCAAATTCATTTAACAAGCCTAATGTCATGTTTATGCTTGGAAAAGGGCTTAAGAAATATCCATGCAATGTGTAGGCCTGAATTGGTTCCTGATTGGACAAACGAACTACAAAAGACGTTTCGGGAATGATTTAGATCATCAGATATAGACTGGATATTAGGTAAAATATAGTGACATATATTGACATGGAAAGTTTTATAAAAACAGTATGTAACAATTCATAAAACGGTATTTTTCTCAGTTTGTAAAAAAAAGATATGTCTGCATATATATGCATGCCTAAAAATTTTGGAAGGATGTACAATAGGATATTAACAGTGGTATGCTCTGGATGGTGGGAATAGTGTATTTTTATTTTCTTATTTTTGTTTATCTATACATGGGCTGCTTTGTAATTATAAGAGGTTTTTAATTTAGTAAGCAGAAAGGTTATCAGTTTAAGTGTGTAAGTTTAATCAAAGCCAAGGGAGTAAATGACGTTGCCCAGGGAAGAGCATGTGAAAAACAAGAAGGTGGCTGAGGAAACAGCTTTTAGCAACATCAAGATTTCAGAGAGAAGACTGGAAGGAGAGCTGGTCAGAGACTGAGGAGGAGCCATGAGGGAACAGAAGAAGCAGGAAAGCCAGAGGAGGAGAGTGTTCCCAGAAACAGGAATGATCAGGTCCCAAACGCTGCAGACAGGTAGGCAGGATGAGGGTTAATTAACACTAGGCCTCTGACCTCACAGTGGGAAATGCATGAAGACTTTTACCCAGGGAGGGGTGAGGAACTACAGGCTGCTCTTGTAAGAAGTTGGTAATGGAGGGAAGGAGAGACACAGGTTGTTGTGGAGGGGGCAGGTGTGCCCATCTTTTCACAAGGAGAGCCGTCGCCATTCAGGTTGTATTCTTTGTGAATGAAAACCCCTGGATCACTACCAGGATATGCTATGAGTGGTACCCCCTGGGAGGAAATGAAAAGGAGGACCCTGGGAAGCACGAGGAGGAACAAGTTATTTGGAAATGGAGAAGAGTTTAGCAATTTGCAGTAAGTCCCAGGGAATGGAGAGATTTGGAAATCTAGGAGGAGAAGGAAGGATCACTTGTGCCACAGGATCCAGGCTTGTGCAGAGGTGGGAATGAGGTGGAGAGCAGAGGAAGCAGGATGGGGTTTGGGGAGGACTGAGACAGGTGTCCTGTGAATCAGAGGGCAAGGGGCCAGCCCCAGAACATGCCAGTCACGCTTCCATGGAAGCTGCCAGACTACAGTGATGATTAGCAATTATAAGTACACTTTGAAAGCAACTTTTCCAAGTGGAATGTGCTGCTATGGGGATTACTGTAGAGCCATACGTGCAGCTCTGAGATCATGTGAACCTCATACGTTACTGGGGAAGGGGATTGCCAACATGATGGGATTTAAGGGACAGCCAATGACCCGTCACCCCCAAACTATCTCCCGGGGGCTTTTCACAATGAGAAGCAATGGGATAACATGAATAGATAATGGAAGGTGTTGAGTCAGTGGATGAGTTTGCAGTCCATCTCTATTGTTATGTACCTTTTTTTGTACTTCAACGAATGCAAATCATGTACTTTTTGAACTTCAGTTTGACTTGCTTCCATGAACATTTACCAAATACCCACTGGGCAAAAATGGCACTGCCCTCAGTTCAGCCCAGGATGTTTCATTTGATCAAGAATCTATTTAGAGAAGGGGCTGGAATATTCTGGAGCTGTGCCTGCAATGAGAAAGATACAACAGTTCTCTGTGTGCCGGGAACAGAGAACTGCCTCCCCGACCCCGCCAAAAAAAAAAAAAAGCCCAATAGAAGAATGAAGGTGCCATGTTGACTGTGACAGTCCTCTTCACGCCGTCACTGAACGAAAGAGCCCCGGTGTCTTCTGTCTTTCTGTCCCATGGAGTTCTGCCTTGGTGCTGCAATCTGTTGCCTGTTGTCAGGGTCAGCAGGTCTCAGATGTGCACACAACCCTCCAAACCGGGGCTTCGAGGAGACCGCAGCTGTCTTCTGGGAGAGGAAGGGGCTGCTCAGGGTCGAGCAGCTCCTAGCGCATTAATTAGAGCCTGTATCCCAACTGCTGCACTTGCTGTGCCTGGCGGCTCTGGGACAAGCTGTTGGTAGGTTTTTTTTCTCTGCTGCCCGTTTCTAGGCACTCATCTTCCCAATTTATCTTTCAAGCAATACCTTGCCGGAGAGGAGTGGTATCCTCCATTCCCCTCACAGCTTTAGGAACTCCGAGGCTTTGTACAAATGTGTACGAAGTGTAGAGATTCCAGCCGACATGAGAGTGGGAAGGAACGCCGCAGTGGGAGAGATTGCAGGGCGGTGCTGGGCTATTAATTAATCAGCTCAGTGGGGATGAGGAAGGAAACGGTAACTCAGAGAGGGGCTCCAGAACTATAGCAAACAGGAAGATTTTAATGAGAAAGTCCCGGAGAGGAAATGACTCAGTGGTTTGGAAAGAGTGGGCTATCCAAACAGAGGGAAGGGAGCCAGTCCAAAGGGGGGCCCCTGAGGAGGGGCAGGACTTTGTTTGGTTCCTAAAACAGAAACCAGCTTCATTCTTCACTCGGGTTTGAGTAGGGGAATCCTTGGGGTGGGAGCAGCTGTTGCTACAAGATTGAGAAACATATCTTGACTTTTTCGGGCAGGGAAACTGAGACCACATGGTGAAGAATCTGTTTGGCGAAAGGGCTGGAAGATTCCGGGGCTGTGCCTGCAATGAGGGATATACAACAGTTCTCCCTATGCCTGGAACAGAGAACCTCCTCTCAAAAAAAAAAAAAAAAAAAAGCCAGACCAAAGAAGAACTAAGGTGAAGAATTTCCTGTGATCATGTTATGCTATGTGCATGCACAGCAGAGATGGAACACATTTTATATTTTCCAATTCAAAAATCAGGGCATGGCATTTAACAAAACATATTCTTTCCAGTTTCTGAATTTGTGTACATGCAATACCTTAAAATGATATGAAATGAAATTATACTTCGTCACAAATTGAAGTAAATGAATTTATTACAATTATAACATTGCATGAAATTGGAAGTGTCTTGGGAAATCTGGAATGAATGAACACTGTGTTTTCAACTGAAGCGTATCTGAGAAGAGCTGAGGAACAAAACTTTACAAATCATGAGTTTATTAGTTTCTTCCTGAATCAGTGGTTGAGGGAGGAGGAAAAAGGAGAGAACAAATTCCCTTCTGAGAGGTGGGGTCAGTGAGAGAGATGCCCTTGCAATGTATTTGAGTGTAAAGGATGAGGAAGCTGGGACCTTGGGGAACTGACCCCCTGATTTTCAACTCTGTGTCTCAGGAGAACCTCAGTTTCCTGATCTGCAAAGTGCACACAGAATTGCTATGAGCTGATATCCACTGGGTACCAGTGTCTGTCCCTGATGGGTCTTGCATGAATCTTTTCTTCCTTGACCCCATTTCAGGTGATGTATGCAAAGATGCTCCCACTTTTGCAAGGTGCCCTGTCACTGAAAACACCTTGCAATTTCGCTGGCATCTGGGGATGGAATAGACATGGGCATTTGGGCCTCCTTCAGAAGGGCAATGAGGCCAAGCCCCGTCAAACAGGACAAGCCAAGCTGCTGCTGGTCAGTGCCCCTGTGCACCAGTAATGGGCTGGGCCTTTTGCTGGCTGGAGAGGAAGCTCTAAACAGTCTGGAAGTAGAGAAATGTTTCTGTTGAACTAGGCTAGAGTGAGAGCTTGATAATTTTGGAAGAGTGAACATCAAGAGCAGTAAAGAGGGAAAAAATGTAAACACAAATGACCCGCGGAGCTCCCGGTACATTTTGTCTGCCCCGAAGAGCAGCCTTGGCAGGAAGACTGTGAGAACCTCAATCATGATCACGAGGACCTTCCCAGCCTTGGCTGATCCAGCAGTGGGCTCCTTTAGGGACTTAGAAGGGCATTTTATAAGCTACTCACCGAGGACCTCCTGCTAGGGGTAGGGCAGAGATTCTTGTCATTTCCACCTAAGCCCAGCTTTCAATGCTGTCAATTCTGGGTACCCTGGCTTCTTCTACAGAGGTCTCTGTCTTTTAAATTTTGTCACTTACACTACTTGCTTCAATGACTTTGAACTTGGCGTGCCGTTCTGTGGCTTTGCTGCTGTCTGAATCACATGCTTTTGCCTGCATTACCAAGCAGGGCTTGGAGCCCAGTCTCAGGAGGAGGTGGCCAATGCTTCCCATTCCAGTTACCAAGGCTAGCTGGGGGCTTGTATCATCACTAGCACACTCTCTTCCTCAAGTTCTCTTTTCTCATTCTAAATTAACCTTCAAAAAAGTTTCCAAGCGGGGTCTTGGGAGGAGTTCAAGTCAATTCAAATTAATGAGTATTTGAGAACCTACTATGTGGCCAGGCATGCTGTGGGATACCAGGGTGAGTCAAACCTTAGTTTGTACTCCCCTAGGCTTTGCATGCCTAGAGAGGAAACAGTGCCAACAGGCTGGGAGTACAGGCAGACTGATGGAATGGAAACAGTTCATTGTTCTCATATTCATTCAAAAAATGTTTATTGAGCACCCACTATGTGCGATGCACCTTTCAGTACCTTGGGGCTATAGCAAAGGGCACAATTATGGGATCTAAGATCAGACAGAATTGAGTCAAAGCCCAGCCTTTGACATGAGCGTGTTCTTGGGCAAGTCCCCTGAACACGCTGATCTCCAGATTTCTCATTTTTAAAATGTAAACCATAACATATTAATATTAATAATACTATTTTGCAGTGTTCTTGTGAAATCAAGATGTAGGTATGATAGGCATGCAATAAATGTGGCTGGTTGTTCTAAAATAGATGAACAACTATGTATAATGGTTGAATATGCAAGTGGAGAGGTAAAGAGAAATAATTTTAATTTTTGACTGAATGCATGGGCATGACAGAAAGAGAAATAAAGCTGCATACTGTCAGCCTTTGCCTGTGCTGTTTCCACATGTGCAGATTCAGCCAATCTTGGAAAATTGGAAAATATTTGAAAACATTTAAATAGCAATACAACAATAGAAAAAGGTACAACTAAAAATAATGCAGTATAACAACTATTTGCATAGCATTTACATTCTATTAGGGATTATAAGTAATCTAGAGATTATTTGAAGTATACAAGAAGATATGTGTAGGTTATATGCAAATACTATGCCATTTTATGTAAGGGACTTGAGCATCTGTGGAATTTGGCATCTGTGGGGGTCCTGGAGCTGATCCACTTCAGATACTGAGGGAGAACTGTATAGACAGGTGGCATTCTAGACCAGGGTATGCCTAAAGCAGTGTTCCTCAAGGTTCCAGGAGTTTTCTAAAAGAATGATGTAATTTTTCATTTTAAAACTAGACTTTGATGATTATCTCATCTACATAGATGCATACACAGTTGACCCTTGAACCACATGGATTTGAACTGTGCAGATTTATTTATATATATATTTTCTTCTGCCTCGACCACCCCTCAGACAGCAAGACCAACCCCTCCTTTCCTTCTCTTCCTCAGCCTACTCAGTTAGAAGATGACAAGGATGAAGACCTTTATGATGATCCACTTCTACTCAATGAATAGTAAATATATTTTCTCTTCTTTATGATTTTCTTATAAACATCTTCTTTTCTCTAGCTTACTTTATTGTAAGAATACAGTATATAATATATACAACTTACAAAATATGTGTTTATTGGCTGTTTATGTTATCAGTAAGGCTTTTGGTCAACAGTAGTCTATTAGTCGTTAAGATCTGGGGGAATCAAAAGTTATAGGCAGATTTTCCACTGCATGTGGGTTGGTGCCCGTAACACCCAAGTTGTTCAAGGGTCAACTGTATATCCATACATATAAATATAACATATATGTACTTACAAGTTTACATATTCTAAGTTATCTGAATGTCCAATTTATAATCCAGGCACTGCATGATTTAAGCCTCTATGTATTTACATGTATAACACAATGTGTAATAAATTAATGCTAAGTAAAGCTATTTATTTTCAAAGCTAGTGAGGAATGAAAAAGGTGGACTTAACACAAAAATGCGTTTGCACAGCAGGGTCCATTTTATACAAAGGAAGGTTTAGAAGTCGTTTGAATAGAGAGAAATTGAGAGATCAGAGAAGATGTTTGCATCAGGTACACGGTAATATGAACGGGCTAATTTCAAAAGCGCATGGGCTTGGAGAGTCAGTACCACACTACATGTGGTAGAGATTTCATTTTACAAAAACAATATTAGGTCACCTTTCATGAATGTTATTAATTACAATTTTACCGGTTTTGTGACTTTTTGGTATTTAAAACATAAATATGTTAGTTGTATATAAACACTAAAGTAAAATGAGCTAATACCTGGTTTTATACTGTACAAATTTAAATAACCTGTTAATAAATAAAAATAATGTAAGTCTAATCTAGGGATCCACTAGACCTCTAACAGGCAAGATATGTTCTTGGTTTAGGACAAGGCTGCTGGATTCTTTCCCGTGTGTAGAAGGAGAAAGGCTTATTAGAAATGCTGCCATTTTCCAGAGGAGGGCCTACATGAGCCGATTCCTGGAAACATTCCAGAAGTGAGGCTATCACAGAAGATCTTGGAAGAGTGCAAAGCAGCCTGTACTATCGAGAACAGACTCTGTTTCCCCAGCTTTCTCCCAGTTGAACCTCCTGACTCACAGAAACCTGACCCCCTATTGCTTTTCTCTACTTTTTTCACCTACTTATTCCACAAGTTGCAGAGGTACCACGTGCCAGCTGTTGTGCTAAGCACAGGGATGCAGTAGAGAACAACATGGACATGGCTCCTGTCCCCAAGGAGCTTATAGTGGAGTGGACCATTGTATTCAACTTTAACTCTCAACTCTCACTTCCTGTTCTTTTCCACAACCTAAGTCTTTAGAATCATACACCGAACTCCCACCCAACTTTTGCAAATAAACAAACTTCCTTTGATTTATTCAGTGACATATCTAGAAGACAGCATGTCCCAGGTGTGTCAGGGATATTTTCTCCAGTCTTTTTCTTAGTGCTTGTCTGATTCTAGGCTAGGTAGCTACAAAGAGCAAGGTCTTTGGAATTAGGGAGCCGTGGCAAGTTACGTTGGTTCTTTGGAAGCAGAACCTGAGGCAGGGTTTTGAGGACACGAGATGTATTGATTTAGTCAAGAAAAACTTGTAATGGAGGAGGGGAAGCAGGAAATTGAAGGGGGAAGAGTGAAACAAGAATGTGTTCTCAAATGTGATCCCCAGAGGACTTTGGAGCATAAATGATGTCACAGACTTTCTGTGGAGTGTGTATGTATGTATGTGTGTATGTTGGAGGTAAGGGGTGATTGGGGGGATAACTTCCTAGCTAAGGCAGCTCCCAAGGGCTTTAAGGATAATTTCCAGAGAAGGGAGAATCTGTGAGCTGTCAGCTTACCACCCTGTAGGATGAGCACACCAGCCTGATAAAGGGGATCTGAGTGGGACACCAAATGAACCCACCACACTGAGGTTCAAGTGCAGGGTTTGCCTTCACAAGTTAGCATGACCCTTATATGAGATGACTGTGAAAATCACCTAGTGCCATAGTTGTCCACCCCTTTCCCTTCAGGCACTACAATTAGAAGTTCTTGACAGACAAGCCCAATTAGGAAATCTACCTGATTTATACTTGTGGCTTGGCAAGAAGGTGAAATCTGTCACTGAACTCCATTATGCTTTATCCTTATTTCCTGCACCCCACTCCCGAACCACATGGAGGAATCCATCCTCCACCTGGCCCTGTGCTCACCCATGCTTGGGTCATTACCCATAAAGAATTAGTTTCTTACCTGTCTAGAATTGATACCTCTCGGGCAGTGCTTCCCAAACTGTATTCCATTAAACTGTAGTTTAATGTAGTCAGGAAATAAGGGTTGCTGTAGACAGAATAATTCACCTGCCACCAAAGTCCACATGTAATCTCTGAAACCCATGACAATGTTCACTTACATGGTAAAAGCGACTTTGCCGAGGTGACTCAGGTTAGGAACCTTTGAGAAGGGGAGAGTATCCTGGATTATCCAGGTGGGCCCAATCTAAACACATAAGTCCTTAAAAGCTGAAAATCTTTCCTGGTTGTGGTCAGAGGGAGATAAGACAGAAGGAGGAGAGATTCAAAATATGAGAGGGATTTGACCCGCTATTGCTAGCTTTGCTGATGGAGGAAGGGGCTGTGAGCCAAGGAATGTGGGCAGCCTCCAGAAGCTGGAGAGGGCCCTCAGCTGACAGCCAGCAGGGAATGGAGCCCTCAGTCCTGTAATGGCAAGGAACTGAATTCTCCCAACAACCTGAACTACAAAGGAAGCCGATCCTTCTCTTTGAGCCTCAAGAAAGGAACACAGCCCTGTGAATACCTTGATTTTAGCCTAGTGAGACCCGTATCAAACTTCTGACCTCCAGAACTGTAAGATAAATTTGTGTAATTTAGCTGTTATGTTTGCAGTAATTTGTTGCAGCAGCAATAGAAAACTGATACGGGGCTCTGCTCAGATGTGTCTGGGAAACGACGCTATAGAACATATTGATCATCTTGTTATGGAACAGTCATAATAAAAACAAAACCAATAATAAAACATTAATTGAATCAAAGAGCAGATAACTTGTTCACTACAAAGAGAAAAGCTGACACTGCACTGATTCATAATTCTGTGTTCTGATAGCATCACATGTTGTGTGCAAATAGAGGGCTGCCGCAGACTCGCAGCATCCAACTCCGTTGTCATAGTTACTTTCTGAAGAGAAAGATGCCCTGACAAAGACCAGATTGACTGTGGTACATGGTGGGAAGGTACCCCAAGGTGGCCAGATGCCTCTACATGCGTGTCAGAGATGCCTTCTGAAATCTGTATTCAGTCAGCTCTGCCCCAAATGGAAACATAGTCATTTACATTTGGAAGAGGAGGAGTTGTTCTTCCATCCTAAGACCAGGAAAACAAATATCAACAGAAGCAATGTTTTGAAATGGATTTTGCCCCCAGTTAAGCATTAACTACTCTTGGTAACTTCTCGTCGTCATTTCCTATCCTTCTTCCACTCAGTCCTTCCTCACTTGCCACACTGGGCTTCTTGTTATTTTTTGAACATGCCAAGCTTATCCCTGAGACTGTTCCTGCTCTTCCCTCAGCCTGGAATGCCCTTCTTCCAGAGGTTTGCTTGTTTCGCTCCCTCACCTCATTCAGGTCTCTGCTTAAATGTTCCCATTTCAGCAAGGTCTTCCCTAAGCACTTTATCTAAAATAGAAACCCCTCTCCCTAATAGTGTCACTCCCCTTACCCAACTGTTATATTTCTTTATGGAGCTTCTGTGTTTATTTGAGCCATTGTTTGCTGTCTCCCCACCAGACTGTAACGTGCATGAAGGCAGGCACCTTGTCTCTTGCTCACTGCTATTACAGCCCCAATTTCTGGCAAATGTTAAGTACCCAGTAAGCATTAGTTGAAACTATGAAGGATGTGCGTGGAGTCTTGGTCCTCTGCTGCCTGGCCACCCCTCTTGTATTCAAATGCCAGCTACTTTGCCACCCCAATTTGTTCACCAAATCCAGGTTCTTCCCCTGGCCCTATGTAATTGGTATGGCAGATTGCATTTTTCAAAGATGATCACCACAATCTTATATCCCATACCACATGACCTTCTTACAAATTAATGTTAATGCCTTTCCACTTAAGAAGAATATCGGTGTGCCCTCTTGCGTGGGTGCTGACCTGTGACGGTGTGACTGTGCTGTGACACTATGTAACTTCTAAGGGTAGATCACAAAAGGCTATATAGCATTTGCCGCATTTTCTCAGGTCTCTCCCTCTGGGAATGCAGCTCCCATGCTGCAGGGAAGTCCAGGCCATATGGAGAGACCGTATGTAGGTGTCCTGACAGACAGCCAAGCTGAGGTCCCAGCTGACAGCCAGCACCTATTTTAATGTATGTGAGGAGGTCTTTGAGATGGCTTCAAGCCCATGCATTATCTGACTGTAATTCAGGAGAAACCCCAGTGAGAACCACCTAGCTGAGGCCAGTCAACCCCTCAACCCCAGAGATGATAATACAGTGATTGCTTTTGTTTTAAACCACTAAGTTTAAGTGTGGCTTGTTATGCAGGAATAAATAACTGAAACAGATGGGATATGAAGTTGGCTATTAAAAGATCTAACATCTAGCCTCTATTCTATGCCACTCATATTCTTCAGTCCCTGGACAGCCCAAGGACTCAGTTCCAAATTTCCCAAACCATAGCAAACATGGAGCCATCTCTTCTAGCCTTTATCCCAGGGTGATTTAATGAAAATTGGTTATCCTTGGGAATTGTGTCTATAAAAAATATGTATATATTTTGAGATTTTCCTATGATCACAATTTAGAATTTGCCTAGAGTCAGTCGCTCTTAAGATTAATAAGTCATACAGGACAGCTGTGTTATTGAGCCCCACTCCACTGTCAGTCTTCTCAGCCCAGCCCCATGCCAGTCCCTGGTGGCAATTCCTTTTCCAGGCAGTCCTTACCATCTATAAAGCCAGAATCTGTACCTTTCCAGTCAAACTCACCTCTGCAGCTATAACAACCTGTCATAAGGCTGCTTGGTTGTTCCTACCCACCAGTTCTTCCTCAAGAGTTGGGGCAAACCTAGAAGCCACTCTCCCTCACTGGGCTATTGCTGGGGCCAATCTAGGAGGGCTTCTTAGGGAGTTAGCATCATTGCTGACTGGGGGCTGGATAGCAAACCTATGGTCAGAGCTCTTCAAATGCAGTTAACCATCAAGTCTGGAGAATAAGTTGGAAATTGAAATATATGCAAAAAATATAGTGTGTGCCTATACCTGGGGGAAGAAAACAGGGATACTGGATGGGAGGATGTATAGAATTGGTCAGTACACAGTGTTTAAGATCATAAGACCTGGTCTTAGCTGGGGCTGGGTTTGAATTCTGACTCCACCACTTACAAGCAATGTGCCCTTGGGCAAGTTCCTGACCCTCACTAAGACTCAATTGCCTTATCTGTGAGTAGAACTAGTAATAGAGCCTCCCCCATAAAGAGGTTGTATGCCAGAAACAAATATGCATATCAAAGCAAGCACTGAAAATTGGCACAAGGAAAGTCCTCAGTAAATGGGAGCCCTTGTTTTTCACTGAGATGGGTCAAGAAGGCTCTCCTGGGGGTATGTTAAGGCTGCAAGAGTCTGGACAATGATCTCGGAGTTGGAGTGGAGAACACTGAAGTGGATAAGGCCATCACTTTGCCTTGGGGCTGCTGGATAGGAGTCCTGGGCTTTTATATTCCCTTGCCCTTCCCCCTGAACCCCCAGAGCCACCTCCGCCTCCTCTACAGCTGCCATCCTTGGGTTACTTTTGAGCAGCTGAATGTGTGGGCTCCTGGGACTAACACCCTGGGAAAACTCCACCTCCCTTCTCTCCCATATCTCATTTGAAGGTTGACTGAAGGGCCAACTTGCAACACTTAACATAAAAAAACAGAAAATCCACTTAGTGCCCTTGGTTTCCCACGAACTAGTGGTGGAGCAGTCGCATTTGCACGAAACAGCATGTGCTAAAATAGGCAGTTTGAAATATTCCTGGCAGATGGCGCTAAATATAGATGCAGTGACAGATTGGCCCCACAGAACAGCTCTTCTCCTCAGCATTAAGAATCTACTGGAGCCAAGAAGCTTCTCTTCAAGCTTTTCTTTTCCAGAGGATTGTGGCAGCAGCCCCAGGATCTCACCATGCTAGGGAACTGCTAAGATTTAGAGAAGGGAGGTACCTCCAAGGGTGAACACCAGCATCATGCTGAGAGCTTCCCAAATCCCACGAGGGACAAAATAAAAAACAAAAAGGATGCAAATATGAAGGGCCAATGAACTGGATTCTATCTATTGGCCCTTTTGAAGGATCAACCCTCTCCTGAGAGGTCTCTTACATGAGCAAAAATCTGCTGAATTTTACTGCTGGAAACAGTATAGTACAATGGTTAAGGGCAGATGATTTGGCAGGGAGTCCAAGTGCTTAGATTTCAGCTCTGGGTTTTCCCCTCACTAGCTGTATGAGCTTGGTCAAGCTACTTAACTTTTTGGTGCCTCAGTTTTTTCATCTGCAGAATAGGGATAATAATATTATGTACTTAATGTGAAGATTATATAACACAACATATGTAAAGCCATGCACAGTGCCTGATCAGAATAACTATTGCATGGGTAGGAGCTATTTTACTTAATGGACTAGAAAGGAGAGAGAGAGGTATCCAAAGAAAGGAGAGAGAGAGGTATCCAAAATGACTGAAGGATTTTAAGGCTGAGAGGAATAATTTGGATAAACATCTTAAAGACCTAGAGAATTCTCTCTTAAACCTTAATGACAGTCTGCCAGTCTGTGGCAAGTACACAGTGCAGGGCCTAGAAGGTGGCCTTATGCTGTGACTCTGTCCGTGTTACATGTCATGCTCCTTTGCAGCTATGCCTCTGGCTTCCTTCTATCCAATTTTGTTCTCTCCAGATTCTTGAGTTAGAATTTCTGAGTGTTTATTTTATGCTTTGTACAGTGCTAGGACCATGCCCTAAAGGCTAAGAGAAATGTTGGCTTTTATTTTATTTTATTTATTTATTTATTTATTTTGAGACAGAGTCTCACTTTGTTCCCCAGACTGGAGTGCAGTAGTGCAATCTCGGCTCACTGCAACCTCCACCTCCTGGGTTCAAGTGATTCTCGTGCCTCAGCCTCCCGAGTAGCTGGGGCTACAGGTATGTGCCGCCACACCCAGCTAATTTTTGTATTTTCAGTAGAGACGGGATTTCGACATGTTGGTCAGGCTAGTCTCAAACTCCTGGCCTCAAGTTATCTGCCCACCTTAGCCTCCCAAAGTGCTGGGATTGCAGGCGTGAGTCACCATGCCCGGCCAAACTTTGGCTTTTAAACCATTCGTGGAGAACTAGAATACTCTTGACAGCCTGAGTCCTGCTCCTGGAGTCAGAGGAATCCTTTCTAGACAGCTTTTCAGTAGGGGATTGTGGTATAGGCAACCTCTGCAGGAGAATTACAGAACTATGTTCAGGGCTCTGGCTTCATAAATGACAGGTCAGTGCATGGTCTCATGGTATAGATTTGCCTAGATTCTTACATCTTGTATTAAAGTTAGCTAACTGCTTTACAAAAAAAAACACCCCAGCATTTCAGACGCTCAACAGAGTAAAAGTTTATTTCTCTCTCAAGCAAAGTCTATTGGCACTGGGATGGGGAGGAGACGGGGTGCGGTGTCTCTGCTCTATACAGTTATTCAAAGACCCAGGCTGACAGAGGCCCTGCCATTTCAACCTGTGGCTTCCAGGTTGCCTGGGAGTCATCATGCAGTAGCAAATGGAGAAGGCACATTGAGAACCACAGCGGGAAGATTTTTTAGGTCAAATCTAGAAGTGGCAGACATCGCTTCTACTCATATTCCATTGGCTAGCACTTAGTCACATGACCACAAGTGACACAAAGGAGGCTGGGAAGTTTCCTTTCTGTATGTGCCCAAGAAGGAGAGGAGAAACAGCAATTTGGATAAGCTAGTACTCTTCGATACACTTCCTGAAGTGTTAATTCGAAAGCAAGTGACATTTTGAAAAGACATTTTGAAGAAATTCCAGAACTTTTTTCACATTTCCGTTGCTGTTTTCACTCGGTCTTTGAGTTGGACTTGCTAAATAGTTGCTTCTATCTATAGACATCTCTTCTTGTAAAGTCTTATAATCAAAGCATATCATAGCTTCCCTACAATGGGACTTTGGTTGATCTGTTTCTTACAGCCTAAGTTTCCTTGTCAATGCCATGGTGAACGAGTATCTCCTTTTAAGAAGAAAGCAATAATTTTTTAAAAGAAAGCTTGTTTCCCACAATGCAAGACTCAAGAGTTTTGCATTTTGCATCATTGCTGAAGTCTTAGTAGGAAACTGCTATGAATATTCCTCGAATGCTGTTTGAAGCTTTGTATCAACAGGCTGCAAAAGAGCCTTGCAGACAAAGAAAAAAGAGAGAAAAGAACACTTTCATTTATAAGACAACTACTCCTATAATGACACAGTAAAGCTTTCCAGAGTTTTAAGTAGGAACCACCAGATGCTTTTCTCAGTCTTACTAAAGTAAGTTATAAGCATAGATATAATAACATTTGAATTTTTATAGCATCCTCTTACCTTTATGATCATTTTTAAGGACATTAAAAATGTCTGCAGTATAATGAAAGTAAATTATACTGCTAGGGCTTCAAAACCCTAATAAAATATTCTATTACAGTCAAAAATTGCAATAATATTGTTGAGTGCATAGTCTACTACTATAGTAAGAGACAAATGTTATAAAATGTAATATATACTCTACCCTGTGTATACTTCTGACACCTCTTATACTTTATTACATTTTATTTTTTCACTAAATGTTTTTATGTAGAGCAATAGTTCCAAGATCTTGTTGTGCATCAGAATCACATGGAAAGCTTGCTATAAATAGATTTCTGAAACCCACCCTGGATCTACTGAATACAAAAAGTGGGATGGGGTCATAAGTATTTTTAGCAAGTTTGCCATATGATTTCAGTGCACACCTAAACTTGAGAACCATGCCTCATGCATCTTAACATTATATGTCTGGCATACAGTAGGTACTTAATATATGTTTGATGGATGAATGAGTGAATGTATAAATCATATAAAATAGCACTCTTACAAATAAATTTGTTATTGAGACTAAAGCATTAAAATAAAAATTCATTGGTTATTTACTGCCACAAATATTGAAGACTGGCTGGGCATGGTGGCTCATGCTTGTAATCCCAGCACTTTGGGAAGCCAGTGCTAGAGGATGGCTTGAGGCCAGGAGTTCGCAGCCTGGGCGGCGAAGTGAGACCTCATCTCTACAGAAACATTGTTTAAATGAGCCAGGCATGGTAGCGTGCACCTGTAGTCGCAGCTACTCAGTAGGTTGAGGTGGGAGGATCACTTGAGCCCAGGAGTTGAGGGCTTCAGTGAGCTATGATTATTCCACTACACTCCAGCCTGGGTAACAGAAAGACTTTTCTTTCTTAAAATGAAAAAATTAAACACAAAAATAAATAATTTCATCATGGGAGAGCCGTAATAATAAATTCAATTTATTTGTACAGTGCTATTGCCATGTTTCACTGACGTTATTCAAATTACCGCTAGAATGCCAAAAGGTCACGGATGGATTCTGGAGTCATTGAGAGAGTATATCATACTTGCAGGGTGCACAAGGATTGAGGTAAAGTAATTTTTTAAAGAGATTGAGTCTGCCACCCAGGCTGGAGGGCAGTGGCATGATCATAGCTCACTGTAGTCTTGAACTCCTGGACTCAAGCCATCCTCTTGCCTCAGCCTCCTGAGTAGCTGGGACTACAGGTAGACACCATCATGTCTGGCTAATTTTTAAAAAACTTTTTTAGAGATGAGGTCGTCCTATGTTTCCCAGGCTGGTCTTGAACTCCTGGCCTCAAGCAATCCTCTTACCTCAGCCTCCTGAGTAGCTGGGATTATAGGTGCGAGCCACCATGCCCAGCTCTGGAGTGAAATTATTTTGATGAAAATACAGCATCTTTCTTTTCCTTCCTTCCTTCCTTTCTCTCTCTTTCTTTCTTTCTTTCTTTCTTTCTTTTCTTTTCTTTCTTTCTTTCTCTTAGACAGTGTCTTGCTCCGTCACCTAGGCTGTAGTGCAGTGGTGTGATCATAGCTCACTGCAGCTTCAAACTCCTGTGCTCAAACGATCCTCCCATCTCAGCCTCCCAGGTAGCTGGGACTACAAGCAGACACCACCATGCCTGGCTAATTTTATAGAGACAGGGTCTAGCTGTGTTGCCCATGCTGGTCTTGAACTTCTGGCCTTAAGGTGTTCCCCCACCTCAGCCTCCCAAAGTGCTGGAATTACAGGTGTGAGCCACTGCACCCAGCACAGAGTCTTATTAACACAAAAGTCTTCATGTTACCAAGTGTTATAAGTATCTCTGCATGAGAACTATTTGAGTCAAGAACAATTGCAGGATCATTCACGTAATGAGAATTTATTATTAAATGATAAGTGCTTTACCAGTAGCGAGACTCCCCCAAAGCAAGGACAATTGCAAGTTTTCAGAAAGATGATGCATACCTTCCTGGATACAATATTCTCCTCATTTTCCTCCTACCTTTCTGTGTGCTCCTTCTCTGCCTTTTCAGGCTCATCATCTTCTACTCATTAAACATCACTGTTCCTCAAAGTTTTATCCAGATGCTTTCCCCTTCTCATTCTGTAGAAGGCGTGACCCATCTCCCAGCTTTAATGACCATAGATTTATTCATGGTGCCCAAACTGTTTTCTCCAGCCCAGACCTCTTCCCTGAGTTCCAGTTGGTTATACAGACCATATGAGAAAAGTTTGTAAAACTTAGGCCTAATTTTCATAAGTAAAAGAAAAATATCAGTTAATCTTTTCTTTCATTTTTAATTGATTAAGCATATAGATTATGTAAAGTAACTGATATGCCAGATACATGAAAAGTATCTTGCTATCATATGCCAAGCACTCAATAATAAATAGTGCATGCTGGTTTTTTCTGAAGTTGTTGTATATTACAGCCCTCCAAAGCAGGATATGCATTAAATTTCAAAGCTACACCAAGACATGTATCTAAGCAGATAGTGTCAATCATGCTAAAATGGAACAATACTTGGCCGGGGTCCTGAGCACCTAATCCTGAACCAGTCACCTATGGAAACTTGTCTCAGATTCAGGAGGAAAAAGTACAGATGCAGGGGAAAACATTTTTGTGTATTGTTCTGAAGTTTTAACCCATCTTTTCCTTCCCCACTTGTGATTTAATACCTACTAAGATGTACAGGGTCACCTGATGCCTTTGCCTGGAGAAGGCAGCCAAATAGTCTGGATCAAAATCAAGCACAGTGGCATATTTCCTTGATACCTATATCCAGTTCTGGTCTTGAAGTGCCTACCACTTTGATAACTAGAAAATGCAAAGAGCAAGGAGGCCAGGTGTGGTGGCACATGCCTCTAATCCCAGCACTTTGGGAGGCTGAGGTGGGAGGATCACTTGGGTCCAGGAGCTCAAGACCAGACTGGGCAACAGAGTTAGACCCCATCTCTTAAAAAAAAAATAAGAAAAAGGAAAAAAAGAAAAAAAAATTTAAAAAAAGAAAAAAAAAGGAAAAGAAAAAGGTTAGCTGGGCAAGGTGGTGCATGCCTGTAGCCTCAGCTACTCAAGAGGCTGAGATGGGAGGATAGCTTGAGCCCATGAGGTTGAGACAAAAATAAAATAAAATAAAATAAAAATTCAAGGAGAGATAAATTCAAACAAAAAACACAAGGAGAAAGGGAAAGTTTCTCCCTGTGGCCAAAAGCAGTAGCAGTAGTTACCCCCTTATATCTCCCACCCTTTGCCCTGAATTTCTCAGGATTCCACTGGTATTGACCCACTTCAGATTATTCCAGATAGTGGGATGAGGAGTCTCACACTCACCCGAGAAACTAGAAGGTGCCATTTGTTTGGTGATGAATGCATACATTAAAAAAATATTATATTTTTGAGTGACAAGTATGTGTCAGGTACTGTTCTTGGTGCCAGGCATACATCAGTGATAAAAACTGCCTGACAGCATGGGACCTTTATATTCTAGAATATAAATAAAATATATACTAAGTCAGGTGAAGATAAATCCTATGGGAAAAAGTAAAGTAGGCATGGTGGATAAGGAGTGCCAAGCTATTTCAATAACCCGAGCAAGAAATGACAGTGCTCAAAAATGGTGGATGGAGATTTTTATACTCCACTCTCAATAATTGATAGAACAACTAGACAGAAAAGCAGCAAGGATATAGAAGACTTAAACTTACCACTTGACCTCACTGATATTTATGAAACATTCCACTCAAGGACACCAGAATAGACATTCTTTCAAGCATACATAGAACATTCTCCAGAATAGACCATATGCTAGGCCATAAAAACAAGTTTCAGTAAATTTTGAAGGTTTGAAATAATCAAAAGTATGTTCTTCAAAAACAATGCAATTAAATTAGACAAAAACAGAAGGAAGTTTAAGGAATCACAAAATACTTAAAAATTAAAACACTTCTATCTAAACTGTTTGTCAAATAAAACGGTAGGAAAATTTTTAAATTTTTGAGCTAAACAAAAACACTCAACATATGAAAAATTGTAGGATACAGCTACAGCAGTGATTAAAGTTCAGGAAATATAGAGTTATACATGCCTACATTAGGACAGAAGAGAGATATTAAATCAATAACCTAAACACCCACTATAGGAAACTAGAAATAGAGAAGCTAACTAAACCCAAAGCAAGCAGAAGAAAGGAAGTAATAAAGACAAAACTAGAAAACAATGAGATAGAGGTGGAGCCAAGATGGCCGAATAGGAACAGCTCTGGTCTACAGCTCCCAGCTTGAGAGACACAGAAGACAGGTGATTTCTGCATTTCCACCCGAGGTGCCGGGTTCATCTCACTAGGGAGTGCCAGATAGTGGGTGCAGGACAGTGGGTGCAGCACACCGGGTGTGAGCCGAAGCAGGGGGAGGCATTGCCTCACTCGGGAAGTGCAAGGGGACAGGGAGTTCCCTTTCCTAGTCAAAGAAAGGGGTGACAGACGGCACCTGGAAAATCAGGTCACTCCCACCCTAATACTGCATTTTTCCAACGGACTTAAAAAAAGGCACACCAGGAGATTATATCCTGCACCTGGCTCGGAAGGTCCTATGCCCAGGGAGTCTCGCTGATTGCTAGCACAGCAGTCTGAAATCAAACTGCAAGGCAGCAGTGAGGCTAGGGGAGGGGCGCCTGCCATTGCCCATTGCCCAGGCTTGATTAGGTAAACAAAGCAGCCTGGAAGCTCCAACTGGGTGGAGCCCACCACAGCTCAAGGAGGCCTGCCTGCCTCTGTAGGCTCCACCTCTGGGGGCAGGGCACAGACAAACAAAAAGACAGCAGTAACCTCTGCAGACTTAAATGTCCCTGTCTGACAGCTTTGAAGAGAGTAGTGGTTCTCCCAGCACGCAGCTGGAGATCTGATAACAGACAGACTGCCTCCTCAAGTGGGTCCCTGACCCATGAGCAGCCTAACTGGGAGGCACCACCCAGTAGGGGCAGACTGACACCTCACACGGCCAGGTACTCCTCTGAGACAAAACTTCCAGAGGAACAATCAGGCAGCAGCATTTGCGGATCACCAATATTCACTGTTCTACACCCACCGCCGTTCTAGAGCCACCGCTGTTCTGCAGCCACTGCTGCTGATACCCAGGCAAACAGCGTCTGGAGTGGACCTCTAGCAAACTCCAACAGACCTGCAGCTGAGGGTCCTGTCTATTAGAAGGAAAACTAACAAACAGAAAGGACATCCACACCAAAAACCCATCTGTACGTCGCCATCATCAAAGACCAAAAGTAGATAAAACCACAAAGATGGGGAAAAAACAGAAAAGAAAAACAGGAAACTCTAAAAACCAGAGCGCCTCTCCTCCTCCAAAGGAACACAGCTCCTGACCAGCAACGGAACAAAGCTGGACGGAGAATGACTTTGATGAGTTGAGAGAAGAAGGCTTCAGACGATCAAACTACTCTGAGCTACAGGAGGAAATTCAAACCAATGGCAAAGAAGTTAAAAACCTTGCAAAAAAATTAGATGAATGGATACCTAGAATAACCAATGCAGAGAGGTCCTTAAAGGAGCTGATGGAGCTGAAAGCCAAGGCTCGAGAACTATGTGAAGAATGCAGAAGCCTCAGGAGCTGATGTGATCAACTGAAAGAAAGGGTATCAGTGATGGAAGATGAAATGAATGAAATGAAGCGAGAAGGGAAGTTTAGAGAAAAAAGAATAAAAAGAAACGAACAAAGCCTCCAAGAAATATGGGACTATATGAAAAGACCAAATCTACATCTGATTGGTGTACCTGAAAGTGACGGGGAGAATGGAACCAAGTTGGAAAACACTCTGCAGGATATTATCCAGGAGAACTTCCCCAATCTAGCAAGGCAGGTCAACATTCAAATTCAGGAAATACAGAGAATGCTACAAAGATACTCCTTGAGAAGAGCAACTCCAAGACACATAATTGTCAGATTCACCAAAGTTGAAGGAAAAAATGTTAAGGGCAGCGAGAGAGAAAGGTCGGGTTACCCACAAAGGGAAGCCCATCAGACTAACAGCGGATCTCTCAGAAGAAACTCCACAAGCCAGAAGAGAGTGGGGGCCAATATTCAACATTCTTAAAGAAAAGAATTTTCAACCCAGAACTTCATATCCAGCCAAACTAAGCTTCATAAGTGAAGGAGAAATAAAATACTTTACAGACAAGCAAATGCTGAGAGATTTTTGTCACCACCAGGCCTGCCCTAAAAGAGCTCCTGAAGGAAGAACTAAACATGGAAAGGAACAACCGGTACCAACCACTGCAAAAACATGCCAAAATGTAAAGACCATCAAGGCTAAGAAGAAACTGCATCAACTAACGAGCAAAATAACCAGCTAACATCATAATGACAGGACCAAATTCACACATAACAATATTAATTTTAAATGTAAATGGGCTAAATGCTCCAATTAAAAGACACAGACTGGCAAATTGGATAAAGAGTCAAGACCCATCAGTGTGCTGTATTCAGGAAACCCATCTCACATGCAGAGACACACATAGGCTCAAAATAAAGGGATGGAGGAAGATCTACCAAGCAAATGGAAAACAAAAAAAGGCAGGGGTTGCAATGCTAGTCCCTGATAAAACAGACTTTAAACCAACAAAGATCAAAAGCGAAAAAGAAGGCCATTACCTAATGGTAAAGGGATCAATTCAACAAGAAGAGGTAACTATCCTAAATATATCAGCACCCAATACAGGAGCACCCAGATTCATAAAGCAAGTCCTCAGTGACCTACAAAGAGACTTAGACTCCCACACAATAATAATGGGAGACTTTAACACCCCACTGTCAACATTAGACAGATCAACGAGACAGAAAGTTAACAAGGATACCCAGGAATTGAACTCAGCTCTGCACCAAGTGGACCTAATAGACATCTACAGAACTCTCCACCCCATATCAACAGAATATACATTTTTTTCAGCACCACACCACACCTATTCCAAAATTGACCACATAGTTGGAAGTAAAGCACTCCTCAGCAAATGTAAAAGAACAGAAATTATAACAAACTGTCTCTCAGACCACAGTGCAATCAAACTAGAACTCAGGAATAAGAAACTCACTCAAAACCGCTCAACTACATGGAAACTGAACAACCTGCTCCTGAATGACTACTGGGTACATAACGAAATGAAGGCAGAAATAAAGATGTTCTTTGAAACCAATGAGAACAAAGACAAAACATACCAGAATCTCTGGGACACATTCAAAGCAGTGTGTACAGGGAAATTTATAGCACTAAATGCCCACAAGAGAAAGCAGGAAAGATCCAAAATTGACACCCTAACATCACAATTAAAAGAACTAGAAAAGCAAGAGCAAACACATTCAAAAGCTAGCAGAAGGCAAGAAATAACTAAAATCAGAGCAGAACTGAAGGAAATCGAGACACAAAAAACACTTCAAAAAATTAATGAATCCAGGAGCTGGTTTTTTGAAAAGATCAACAAAATTGATAGACCGCTAGCAAGACTAATAAAGAAGAAAAGAGAGAAGAATCAAATAGATGCAATAAAAAATGATAAAGAGGATACCACCACTGATCCCACAGAAATACAAACTACCATCAGAGAAAACTACAAACACCTCTACGCAAATAAACTAGAAAATCTAGAAGAAATGGATAAATTCCTCGACACCTACACCCTCCTAAGACTAAACCAGGAAGAAGTTGAGTCTCTGAATAGACCAATAACGGGCTCTGAAATTGAGGCAATAATCAATAGCTTACCAACCAAAAAAAGTCCAGGACCAGATGGATTCACAGCCGAATTGTACGAGAGCTACAAGGAGGAGCTGGTACCATTCCTTCTGAAACTATTCCAATCAATAGAAAAAGAGGGAATCCTCCCTAACTCATTTTATGAGGCCAGCATCATCCTGATACCAAAGCCTGGCAGAGACACAACAAAAAAAGAGAATTTTAGACCAATATCCTTGATGAACATTAATGCAAAAATCCTCAATAAAATACTGGCAAACCGAATCCAGCAGCACATCAAAAAGCTTATCCACCATGATCAAGTGGGCTTCATCCCTGGGATGCAAGGCTGGTTCAACATATGCAAATCAATAAATGTAATCTAGCATATAAACAGAACCAAAGACAGAAACCACATGATTATCTCAATAGATGCAGAAAAGGCCTTTGACAAAATTCAACAACCCTTCATGCTAAAAACTCTCAGTAAATTAGGTATTGATGGGACGTATCTCAAAATAATAAGAGCTATCTATGACAAACCCACAGCCAATATCATACTGAATGGGCAAAAACTGGAAGCATTCCCTTTGAAAACTGGCACAAGACAGGGATGCCCTCTCTCACCACTCCTATTCAACATAGTGTTGGAAGTTCTGGCCAGGGCAATTAGGAAGGAGAAGGAAATAAAGGGTATTCAATTAGGAAAAGAGGAAGTCAAATTGTCCCTGTTTGCAGATGATATGATTGTATATCTAGAAAACCCCATCGTCTCAGCCCAAAATCTCCTTAAGCTGATAAGCAACTTCAGCAAAGTCTCAGGATACAAAATCAATGTACAAAAATCACAAGCATTCTTATACACCAATAACAGACAGAGAGCCAAATCATGAGTGAACTCCCATTCACAATTGCTTCAAAGAGAATAAAATACCTAGGAATCCAACTTACAAGGGACATGAAGGACATCTTCAAGGAGAACTACAAACCACTGCTCAATGAAATAAAAGAGGATACAAACAAATGGAAGAACATTCCATGCTCGTGTGTAGGAAGAATCAATGTCGTGAAAATGGCCATACTGCCCAAGGTAATTTATAGATTCAATGCCATCCCCATCAAGCTACCAATGACTTTCTTCACAGAATTGGAAAAAACTACTTTAAAGTTCATATGGAACCAAAAAAGAGCCCGCATCACCAAGTTAATCCTAAGCCAAAAGAACAAAGCCAGAGGCATCACGCTACCTGACTTCAAACTATACTACAAGGCTACAGTAACCAAAACAGCATGGTACTGGTACCAAAACAGAGATATAGATCAATGGAACAGAACAGAGCCCTCAGAAATAATGCTGCATATCTACAACCATATGATCTTTGACAAACCTGACAAAAACAAGCAATGGGGTAAGGATTCCCTATTTAATAAATGGTGCTGGGAAAACTGGCTAGCCATATGTAGAAAGCTGAAACTGGATCCCTTCCTTACACCTTATACAAAAATTAATTCAAGATGGATTAAAGACTTAAATGTTAGACCTAAAACCATAAAAACCCTAGAAGAAAACCTAGGCAATACCATTCAGGGCATAGGCATGGGCAAGGACTTCATGTCTAAAACACCAAAAGCAATGGCAACAAAAGCCAAAACTGACAAATGGGATCTAATTAAACTAAAGAGCTTCTGCACAGCAAAAGAAACTACCATCAGAGTGAACAGGCAATCTACAAAATGGGAGAAAATTTTCGCAACCTACTCATCTGACAAAGGGTTAATATCCAGAATCTACAATGAACGCAAACAAATTTACAAGAAAAAATCAAATAACCCCATCAACAAGTGGGCGAAGGATATGAACAGACACTTCTCAAAAGAAGACATTTATGCAGCCAAAAAACACATGAAAAAATGCTCATCATCACTGGCCATCAGAGAAATGCAAATCAAAACCACAGTGAGATACCATCTCACACCAGTTAGAATGGCAATCATTAAAAAGTCAGGAAACAACAGGTGCTGGAGAGGATGTGGAGAAACAGGAACACTTTTACACTGTTGGTGGGACTGTAAACTAGTTCAACCATTGTGGAAGTCAGTGTGGCGAATCCTAAGGGAACTAGAACTAGAAATACCATTTGACCCAGCAATCCCATTACTGGGTATATACCCAAAGGATTATAAATCATGCTGCTATAAAGACACATGCACACGTAAGTTTATTGCGGCACTATTCACAATAGCAAAGACTTGGAACCAACCCAAATGTCCAACAACGATAGACTGGATTAAGAAAATGTGGCACATATACACCATGGAATACTATGCAGCCATAAAAAATGATGAGTTCATGTCCTTTGTAGGGACATGGATGAAACTGGAAATCATCATTCTCAGCAAACTATCGCAAGGACAAAAAACCAAACACTGCATGTTCTCATTCATAGGTGGGAATTGAACAATGAGAACACATGGACACAGGAAGGGGAACATCACACTCCGGGGACAGTTGTGGGGTGGGAGGAGGGGGGAGGGATAGCATTAGGAGATATACCTAATGCTAAATGACGAGTTAATGGGTGCAGCACACCAACATGGCACATGTATACATATGTAACAAACCTGCACATTGTGCACATGTACCCTAAAACTTAAAGTATAATAATAATAAAATTTTTTAAAAAAGAAAACAATGACATAGAAAAAAGAAAAATAATAGAGAAAAATCTATGAAACGAAAAGGTGATTCCTTGAAAAAAATAACAAAATTGACAAATCTTTAGCTAGACTGATCAAAAAACAAAAGAAGACACAAATTACCAATATCAGGAAAAAAAGTGGGGCAATCACTACCAACCTTAAAATTAAAGGATTATAGGTGAATATTATGAACAACTTTGTACCAACAAATTGGACAGTTTACGTGAAACGAACACATTTATAGAAAGACACAAATTACCTAAACTGACTCAAGAGAAGTTGGAAAATATCAATAGATCTATAGCAAGCAAAGACATTGAACTGGTAATTTAAAATCTTTCCACAAAGAAATACTCCAAATGACTTCAATGGTGAATTCTAACATATATTTAAAAAATAAATAATTCTAATACTTCACACTTTTAGAAAAGAGTAAAGGGAAACACTTCCAAATACATTATATGAACCCAGTATTACCCTGATACAAAAGTCAAACAAAGACATCTCAAGAAAAGAAAACCACAAACTGATATCCATTGTGAACATAAATGCAAAAATCCTTAAAATTTTAAGAAGCTGGATCTAGAAAGATATAAAGAGAATTCTATGCCATCACTAAGTGGAATTTATGCAAAGAATTCAAGTTGTTTAGTATTCAAAAATCAATAGTGTAATATACCATATTGATGGAATTAAGAAAACCCATGTAATCATCTCAATAGATGTAGAAAAAGCATTTTAAAAATCCAGCACCCATCAGTAATAAAAACTATCAACAAAATAGGAATACAAGGGAACTTCTTTAACTTGGTAAAGGGAATCTATAAACAAACTATAGCAAATACCATACTTAATAATAAAAGATTCAGTGTTTTCTTTGCTAAAATTGGGAATTAGGCAATGTTCTCTACTCTTGTTCCTTTTACTAAACATTTTACCAAAGTTTCAGCCAGTTTAATAAGGCAAGAAAAAAAATTTAAGTTATTCTAATTGGATGGAAGAAGTAAAACTGCCTTTATTCACAGACAACATAATCTTGTATGTAAAAAAGAAATCCTAATAAATCCACACATTTAAAAAATCTATTAGCACTAATAAATTTAGCAAGTCTGCAGGATACAGGACCAATCTACAAAAGTCAGTTGTATTTCATGTACTGTTGATCCTTGAATAACACAGATTTCTATGAGGGTCCACTTAGACGTGGGTTTTCTTCTGTCTCTGCCACCCCTGAGACAGTGAGACCAACTCCTCCTCTTCCTATTCCTCCTCAGCATACTCATGAAAATGACAAGGATAAAGACTTTTAAGATGATTCACTTGCTTAATGAATAGTAAATACATTTTTCTCTTCCTTTTTATTTTCTTAGTAACATTTTATTTTCCCTAGCTTACTTTCAAGAATACAGTATCTAACACATATAACATAAAATATGTGTTAATCAACTGTTTATGTCAGTAAGGCTCTAGTCAACAGTGAGCTGTTAGTAGTTATGTTTTAAGGGAGTCAAAAGTTATGTGCCAATTTTTGAATTTACAGGAGTTGGCACCCCTAATCCCTTGTGTTGTTCAAGGGTCAATCGTTTTAGCAAAGAAACAACCAAAAAAGGAAATTAAGAATATTTCATAGCATCAAAAGAATAAAATACTTAGAAATCAATTTAACAAAAGAAATGCAAGGACAAGATTTATACAATGAAAACTATAAAACATTGCTAAATACATGGAGTTATATTTCATGTTCATAAATTGGAGATTCAATCTTTTTAAGATAGCAATTCTCCCCAGAATGAAGTATAGATTCAACACAATCCCTATAAAATTTCTAGCAGAGCAATTTCTTTGGTAGACATTGATAAGCTCATTCTAAAATGCGTATGAAAATGCAAAGAACCTAGAATAGCTGTAATAATCTTGAAAAAAGAACAAAGCTGGAGAACTTACACTCCCCAATTTCGAAGTTATAATAAAGGTACAATAATCGAGACAATATAGTATTGGCACAGGATAGGTACATAGATCAATAGAATAGAATTGAGAGTCCAGAAATAAATTCTTCCATTTATGGTCAGTTGATTTTTGACAAGTGTAAGGCAATTCAATTCGGGAAAGGACAGTGTTTTCAACTAATGTTTGTGAGACAGTTGGATATACATGTACAAAACATAAAGAAAAAAGAACATAGACACCTCATAGTATACACAAAAATTAACTCAAAATGGATCATTGACTTAATGTCTAAGTAAAATTATAAAACTTTTAGAAGAAAACAGGGGAAAAATAGTGACATTGATTAGGCAAAGAATTCTTAGATATGACAACAAAAGCATAATCCACAAAAGAAAAAACTTAAACAAAATTAACGTTTTTGCTCTTCTAAAAAATCATTAGACAATGAAAGGGCAAGGCAAAAACTGGGAGAAAAGTTTATGAATCATACATCTGATAAAGGAATTTGTATCCGGAATACATAAATAACTAATATAACTCAATAACAAGAAGACAAGCAGCCTAATTTGAAAATGGCCAAAAGGTTGGTGGCTCATGCTCATGGTGGCTCATGCCTGTAATGCCAGTGCTTTGGGAGGCTAAGGTGGGAGGATCACTTGAGTCCTGAAGTTTGAGACCAGCCTAGACAACATAACAAGACCCTATCTCAAAAAAAAATCTTTTTTAATTACCGGGCATGGTGGCAGGCACCTGTAGTCCTAGTGACTCAGGAGATTGAGGCGAGAGATTGTTTGAGCCCAGGAGTTCAAGGTTCAGTGAGCTATGATCGCAACACTGCACTCCAGCCTGGGCAACAGAGTGACCCTGTCTCAAAAAACAAACAAACAAAAATAAACAAACAAAAAACAACAACAAAAACAAAAGAATGGCCAAAAAAGTTGAAAAGACATTTCTCCAAATGAAATACAGAAATAACTAATAAACACATGAAAAAATGCTCACATCACTAGTCATTACGGAAATAAAATTCAAAATCAAACTAAGATACTACTACACTCTTACTAGAGTGGCAATAATTAAAAGACAGACGATAATCAGTATTGGTGAAGATGTGGAGAAATTAGAACTCTCATACGTGTGGGAATGGAAAATGGTAGAGCCACTTTGGAAAATAGTGTGGCAGCTTCTCATAAAGTTAAACACTTATTTACTATACAACCCAGCAATTCCACATGTAGATATTTACACAAGAGAAATACAAACTTCTTTCCATACAAAGACTTATGTATTAATGGTCATAATATCCCCAAACTGAAAACAATCCAGGTGTCCATCAACTAATGAAAGAATAAATAAAATATACTATATCCATGCAACTGAATACTATTGAAACAATGAAACGTAGCAAACTATTGATATATGCTACAACATAGATTGACCTTAAAAACATTATTCTAGGCCAGGCGCAGTGGTTCACGCCTGTAATTCCAGCACTTTGGGAGGCTGAGGCTGGTAGATCACAAGGTCAGGAGATCAAGACCATCCTGGCTAACATTATGAAACACCGTCTCTACTAAAAATACAAAAAATTAAACCCGGCATCGTGGCATGCACCTGTAATCCCAGCTACTCAGCAGGCTGAGGCAGGAAAATCGCTTGAACCCAGGAGGCGGAGGTTGCAGTGAGCCGAGATTGCACCACTGCATTCCAATCTGGGCGACAGAGCGAGACTCCCTGTCAAAACAAAACAAAACAAAACATTATTCTAGGTGAAAGAAGCCACCTACAAAAACATACATACAGGTTGAGTATCCTTAAACCAAAATGCCTGCAACCAGAAGTGTTTCAGATTTCAGATTTTTTTTCAGATTTTGGAACATGTGCATATACAAAATGAGATATCTTGGGGGTGGGACCCAAGTTTAAACATGAAATTCATTTATGTTTCATATACACTTTATACACATAGCTTAAAGGTACATTGAATCATCAGAAAGCACAAGTGTCACTATCTCAGCCACCCACCCATATGGACAATCTGTGGTTGTTTGGCATCACCACATTTCCTGACTCTAAATGTAAATGCTACCAATAAGCAATCATGTTCCTATACTTATTCACACATAAGTACTTAACAGTAAAAAATATTATTTATCTTTAATACCTTAAAAAAACATGTGTTCAGGGTAATTAAGCAGCACAGTAGCATCACCAGAATCCCTGTATCAGCTGTCAGACAACAGCAGCAACGAACAACAGGCTTTCAGTCTCCACCTGCAGTGCTGTGTTCTGACTAAAAGGTTACTGTACTCTGTATGGTTTTTTTTTTTTTTTAAGGTGAGAAAAAACATCAGAAGCAGTTGAAGGACCAGAAAATGGGTCCCCTAGCAATGAGGAGGCGTTCTGCTGGATAGATTTTTAAAATGTTTCCTCAAGTCATCTGCCTCATCAACAGTGTTGCTTTTTGTCTTAACAATCTCTCTTTTTATATACTACATGATTTCTTGTTCCATCGCAAATCCACACTGCCCTAGTCCTTCAATAAACCCATCACACATTTTCACCATGTCCTCTACAGATACTTTTTGTGCAGTGTTAACAATGTCATCATTGTCGTTATTATCGCCATCACCTCAATTCAGAACCATTTCAGCTATTTCACCATCAATCAGTGAATGAACAACCAGAGGCTTATTATCAATGTTAAAACATCTTCAATATCTACTTCTTCCAACTTACTGACAGCCTCTGAAGATATATTTTTTGCGTATGTAAGGAGGTCAAATATCTTTTTTTTCTCAATTGACAGGTGGAATCCTTCAAAGTCACCACCTGGTTCATCATCATTACTGAACATCATTGCAGGCCAGAGGTTGTGCCAGAAATATACAACTGTGTATTTAGTCACTGGATTCCAAGCATTGGCAACAGCACACACAGCATCGTTCATCCTGAACTTCTTTTGGAAAGCTTCCATACTTACACCTCTGTTCACTGCTGCCAGCATGCTGTTCCAAAAAAAAGTTTTGTATATTTACTTTTCATTGATTTAAGGATACATGATCAATGAATTATGTCACATTTGGGGGAAAGTCCATGGCATAAACACTATTTTGATAGAATTGCAGCTGGAGGATGAGCAGAACAGTTGTCAAGGAATAACAAAAGCTTCTAGTTATCATCCAGTCCAACTTCCCTAGAGTGAGCAAAAGCTACTGGTACAAAATATTTTGAAACCAATCAGAAAAGATATTCCTGGTGATACATGCCTCTTTGTTAGCATAATAATGGACTGGTAAGAAACTCACTTCTTGAAAACAGCAAGGATGTAAGCTTTTGACTATCACAGCAAGTATATACCAATATGTGCCTGCTGCATTAGCACATCCCAGTAGCTATTCTGTTCTTGGCATCCTCAATTATTCTTGTAGGGGTCATCTCATAAGTCATAGTCAGTGTCTTTCTGGGGCAATAACACCAAAAGAGTAATGTTTCATCAGCATTATAGACTTGTTATGGTGTCAGATTTTAATCAGTGATGACTTTGGCAAATTTGTCAATAAATTTTTCCATTGCTTCACGATCAGCAGACACTTCATCACCACAAATCTTTAAAAATTTAGTGCCATGTCTTTTCTTAAACTTCTGCAACCAGCTTGTTGAATATTCACAGTTCCATTCCATTTTCAGTTCACTCTGATAGATCTTTGCTTGCTTCACCATCAGCATACTATTAAGTGGCATGTGTTCACTGCAACGCTGATGGATCCACTCCTTCAATACACAATCGAGATCTTCATTTTAAGCTTTATGCAGTGTTTTCCTATTTTTAATCAAATTCTGCTCATCACTTTAAGCATAAAAATTCCACAGTTTATCCTTATTTTCATACATGGTGATCATTCCAACACCATACTCTTCCATAAGACATTTCACACTTAGACTGCTGTTCAGTATCTGTTCTACAGACAAACATAAATGTGTTCTCTTTTTCTTATTACTATTACCCATATGCAGACCTTTTTGACATTTTCAACAATATCTTTATACCACAGAGCAGAGAATAAGCAAAAAAACACAATGAGTAATACATGCCATCTTGGCTCCCCATGGGGCATCATGGGGAACCTGCTATTGGCACATCCGGCCTGCACGTGTGTCATTTTTATTACCCTTTGTGAGTGTGCTTGCATGGGGGAATCTGGGCATTGGGTAGAAAAGATGTATTGCAGCTGATGGGGGCTGGGTGGGTCTATTTGTCTTGAGAAGGCTGAATAAACTGTGTGTTGCATGCCTGCATTTTGACTGACTGCAACTCATCATGTGAATGAGGTTATGTGTGAAATTTTCCACTTGTGGTGTGCATATGTAAGGAGGTCAGGCATCTTTTCTTTCCTCATTTGTGGTGTCATGTCATGCTTGAAAATTTTCAAATTTGACCATTTTGGATTTGGGGGTTAGGAATGCGCAACTTATGCTGTTTGATTCCATTGATATAAAATGTCCAGAAAAGGCCAATCTATAGATATGGAAAACAGATCAGTGGTTGCCTGGGGTTGAAAGTAGAAGCAGAATTGATTGCAAATGGGCACAAAGAAACATTTCAGGCTGACAGAAATGTTCTAAGTCTGGATTGTAATGATAAGACCATACAACTCTATACATTTATTAAAAATCATTGAATTATACACTCAAAATAGGTGAACCTTATGGTACATAAATTATACTTCAATACAGATTTTTTTTTGAGGGTATGTGGCTTGGACCATACGTCTCAGAGGAGAGGTGGTAAGTAGTAATAACAGATGGCGGAAGACATTACAATAACAGGCACCAAATAAATGGGGTGATCAGGGTCTTGATCTGGGGTCATTACACAGGTCAATAGATCCATTATACTTGTGCTTCATTTTTTCCTCCATGGACTGTTCTTTTAATAAATTCTTATATTCTTGACCCTTTAGTATATGAATCCCAGGAGGGCAGAGACATTTGCCCATTTTTTTTTCACAGCTGTTCACCCAGGGCCTGTCATTTAGTAGGCCATCAATAAATATTTTTTGAATGAATAAAGGGCTGAAGAGCTGACAACCAGGGGATAGAAAAGTAGCTATGAGTAGAGCTCAAGCCAGGTAGCTCTTCCAAGGCTCTGAGAGTGTAGCCTTAGAGGCCCTTTAACCTGAATCACTTCCGAGGCTCAGGATGCTGTGCTCCTCCACACCAGGCCTACTCCACTTTTTCATCCCATTAGTAAAACTTCACCATATCTCAGGCCCATGTGTTTCAGTTGGAGACCAGGCAATATTTCACCCCATCCTTCCCTATCTTAACTTCTTTTTACAGCTCAATGTTAAAACAAGTTAATCGAAAACACCTCCTCAAACTCACACCATTCACTCAGCTCTTGCTATCCTGATTGCCATATTTTTCACTTTATCTTTGGAATTTTGCTCCATTATTTTGCATTTCTGACAGACAGAACAGAATGTCTCTGACTTGCCACCTTGAGAACCTCCTTCTAAGAACCCAGCAACCAAAAGCATAACACAATTGGTTTTTAAAGAATTGAGGTCTGGCCAGGCGCGGTGGCTCACGCCTGTAATCCCAGCATTTTGGGAGGCCGAGGCAGGTGCATCACGAGGTCAGGAGATCGAGACCATCCTGGCTAACATGGTGAAACCCCATCTCTACTAGAAACACCAAAAATTAGCTGGGCGTGGTGGTGGGTGCCTGTAGTCCCAGCTACTCAGGAGGCTGAGGCAGGAGAATGGCGTGAACCCGGGAGGCGGAGCTTGCAGTGAACCGAGATCGCGCCACTGCACTCCAGCCTGGGCAACAGAGCAAGGCTCTGCCTCAAAAAAAAAAAAAAAAAAAAAAAAAGAATTGAGGTCTTACTCTGTCACCCAGGCTGGAGTGCAATGGCACGATCACAGCTTACCACAACCTCAAATTCTTGGGTTCAAGCGATCCTCCTGCCTTATCCTCCTGAGTAACTGGGACTACAGGCACTTGTCACCTGCCTGGCTAATTAATTTTTTTTTTTTTTTTTTTTTTTAGAGACAGGGTATTGCTATGTTAGACCAGGCTGGTCTACAACTCCTGGCATCAAGGGATCCTCCTTTTGGGTCCTCAGCCACCCCAAGCTCTGAGATTACAGGTGTGAGCCACTGTGCCCGGCCTAAAAATGTTTTTTAAACATTTTGAAAACACCCACCATGCTTTAGTGAGAGAACACTTTTCTTCTACCTCCTGTTGCATTACTAGTCCATTAAATTTCTTCACCCCACTCCTGAAGATGCATTGTCTACAGCTGCACCTGGCCCGACAGTCCACTATGAAGGCTCTGATTTAGATCCTGCTGGAGGACCACCTATATTGTTGTCTTACCAGTGGTCTCCCAGGCTGTAAAAATCTCTGGAGACTTGTTTATCATTAAATTTTAAAAGGCAAGAAAATGAAAATCAGAACAACCCTAATGTAAAATTCCTACATGTCTGTCCCTTTAGCAGCATCTAACTTTTTATCTTTTCATGTATTTCATATACTCTCACACCTACACACACACACACACACACACACACACACACACACACACATTCCTTTTCATTTTCCTTGCTTGCTTGTTTATGTTTGGTTTCCAACCCTAAGTATTGGAGCTGAATTCTGCATTCCATCTATTAGTGTCATCACAGAAGACATCACATCTTCCTGAGTTCATTTATCATTCCTCCTCCTCTCTCGACATCCTTTTAAATATGCAAAGTCTCATCACAGTATCGCGGTCCCAGCAGCAGTCGTAGCTGCACTTGTCTGCAAAGGAAATAAGGGAAAGATTGCAAGAATATGATGTGAATACATAGTCTACCTTGGAATCATGACTCATTCATTTTTCATGTATCCAGAAAATTTTTACTAAATTTCTAATGTGTGAAGGTCACTGTGGAGGTTGTTCAAGCAATGCTAAGACATAAAACACAGTCTTTACCTTTAAGAAATTGCCACCAAGTAGTGGAGATAAAACATATGGAAGAAGAGGGTAGGGGATGACAACTGCTAAGCATTAGAGTGGGGGCTTTAAAGGAGAGCAGGCATCTGGCCAGAGGAGTTGGCATAGAGACAGTGGCTTGGTGGTGGCATTTGAACTGGGTCTTAGAAGATGAGTATGGCTTGAAAGATAGAGAAAGGGAGGCAGAAGAGAAGGAATTCTAGGGCAAGGGAGCAGCATGAACAAAACCACGGAAATGAAGAGCTTAAACTGTATTTGTGGATGAGACCAACAGCAGGGGCTCCTCCTTCATCAGATGTACCCAGAAAGTAGAGCAACAACACAGATGTCCAAGTCTCACCCAGAGATTCTGCTGGAGCGCTCTTCCTACTTCTCTCTGGAGGACCAGCTCCTTCTCACAACTTCAACTGTGAGATTATGTGTCAGCTTCTCACAAAGGCCCTTCTCTGACCACCACATCTACAGTAGGGCTCCTTCCTGCCAATGTCCTCTCTGTCAGCCTCCTTCTTTCCCATCATAGTGTGTCATAGTTTATAATCATTTTGTTGATGTTTGTCTGCTTGTCTGACTCCAATGGTAGCATCAAAAGTCTCTGATAACAGAGACCAGGACTGATTGTTTAGTGCCTGAAAAATAGTAAGAGTGCAATTAATATTTGTTGATTGAATGAGTGAGTAATTGAGTTATTAACGAACAAATGAAAGTTAAACATTTTTTGAGACAGGGTTGATGATTTTATTTATTTATTTTACATTTAATGAGTGCATACCTTATTACTTGTCTTTAAATCTTTCACCAAAGTTCATTTATTAAATCTATATTTTCTATTTCGGGGAAAGTCACATGACTTTCATGGGACTTGACACTTTTGCTTTCATAGGTATCTTTGTCCAAAAAATATTAAAATTATGTTTTACAACTGTGTTAATATAATTATGCATACAATACAATTTGGATTGTGTTCTTTTTTCTTTTGATTGAAAAAGAAATTAAAAGATCCTGGACCTCTAAAAGCATTGTGGGACCTAGGTGCTGTACTTCCTGTATCTAATAGGTAAATCAGCCCTGTGAGTAGTAAAATTGTTTTTAAAGACTTAATAGAAAACAAGGCTAGACAAATAGTATGGGAAAAGATTATAGAAGGACTTGTACACCAGATTTTGAGTTTAGTAAATTTCAACTTTATTTAGGAGGCAATAAAAATCACAGAGAGTTTAAGCTAAAGAATTATATTTCAATATGGCAGAGCCATTGTAGGAAGAAGAAGCTGCAGGACAAACGGAGAAGATGCTGGTCAGGAAAGCTCCAGAATGTGGTTCAGACCCCATGAGATGAAAAGGATTGAACTATGGGTGATAGTGATGCTCTTCTTGCTGGAAGAGCAAAAGCTAACCTGAGAAAACATGTGAATTTATCTTACAACCAACTCTCTAGGGAGGGTGGATTCAAAGATGGCTGTGTTTCTGAACCAGAACTGGGAGAACAGTGTGATCAGGAACAGAAGTAGTGTCATCCAGAGAAGAGAGACTTGGTGGGGAGTATGATGGGATTGATTTGGGATATGTTTTGGGGAAGGGATACTAGCTGAACAACCCAATGGAACATCTTAGCAGGTAGGCACTTAGAAACATAAATCTGGAATTCTAGACCTCCAAAATTTTAAACAATGTTCAGACAACTTCAAGGTTCTTTAAATCATAGTACATGAATAATAAATCAGCAAAGAATATTTCTAACTAACCATCCAAATATTACCTCCTCTTTGTGCTGGCTGATTTGTCCCAGTAATTATCCCCAGTTAAGGGGTCCCCCAAGTCTCCTGCCTCTTCATTCTTCTTAGCCAAGGAAAAGAGAGATTCAAATAAATTCTTCTGTAATAGAAAGTAAATGTTAGGTTCGATTAGTTCACTCTTATTCTCAATGGGCTCTAATTAAATGAGCTAACTGGTCATAGATGGTTAACTGGTCATAGATGGTTAGCATTATATCTTTAATTAGTAGAGGCTTAAAATCTCTTTTTTTCTGTAAACCTGATTAGCAAGCTGGAGGCTTGCAGCATTTCAACAGGTCCCAGCCAAAAACAAGGTTGAGGTAAGGGCAATTTCAGCATTCAGAGGGCAAGGAATAATTGGAGTTAATGTCTTCCAGTCTCAATGTTGGTACCCTGTGAGATAGATGCTACAGTGGGCAATTTCTCCTAAGCTCCATCCCTACCCTAAGCTACCAGGCTGCTGTGAATTTTTCATATTAGAATCAGGCTATATTAAAACACTAGAGTGATGGCAGTATATGCTGTTCCTCTAGGTGGAATTTGAGCAATCTATCCCTTCCTTACAAAATTCTTCTGACACATTCAAACTTTCACATTTTACCAGGAAACCAGGACACGAGTGTCTTCTATTTGTAAAATGGAGGAAATATTAGTGGTTAGCTCATGGGATGGCATGATAATTAGTTAATTTCTGTACAGCACTTTGAAGAGTGCCCAGTTCATAGTAAATACTCAATACATGTTAACTTTTTGGTTTTTATTATGGTCACTCTCATCCAGAGTCCTTCCTGTATCTACTACATTTTATTTCCTGAAAATGGAAATTGTACATTATCCGCATCAAAATCACTTAAAGGGCTTGTTGAATGTAGATTATTGGCCCCCACCCCAAACCAGTGGAATAGTGAACTCTGGGAATGAAGACCAGAAATCTGAATTTGAACAATTGTTTTTTAAATAATTTCAACTTTTACTTAGATTCAGGGGTACACGTGTAGGTTTATTACATGAGTATACTGCATGATGCTGAGGTTTGGGATATGAATAATCCCATCACCCAGATAGTGAGCGTAGTACCCAACAGTTGGATTTTAGTTTCTCTGGAGTTTGAGACCACCAGTCTACTGGGTTTACATAAAGTACGGATGAAATTTCTGCCTTGGCCTTCATGTCCTGCTACTGCACCAGTTATGCAATGTATTCCAACATCCAGAACCCCAAGCCCTGAGATGTGCTGATTGCCCAAAGCATGGTGGAGCCTTGGTTGGGCTAATGTCAATAAAATCACTCTGAAGACCACCTGACTCCTGTTCCACCCCTCAGTCTTGTTCTAGAACCTACATCATGATCTGTTATGGTCAATTCCCAGCCTGCAGTCATTGGAGGGAGCCTGCCACAGTGATCAGTTTTCCTAGAAGGAGCTTTGTTTAGAGAGCCTGCTGATGCTTTGAATGTATCTGTCACCACGTCAGTCACATCACATCCACAACACACATGATTCCTGCTGCCTTCTGACTGTGAAGTATCTGATTCCCTGGCACATCAGCATATCAGATGACTCATTGAAACGCAACTCCACTGCATGAGACATTTGAATTTAGCCCATTGGAGTAGCCTCACCCCAGAGCAGCTGTTGCATGTCTCATATTTTAAGTACAAGAATCCTGCCACATCATCATCATAGCAACCACAATACAAAGTAATGAATCCTTAGATATCTATAGGACTTTCTGGCTGGTTGTCAAAGAACTTCCACACTTATCTAGCATTACCCACATTGGGAGTTAAAAAATACAAGCGTCTCTTCTGTTTTATAGAAAATGGAACATCAGGAAGTTTATGTGGGCTGGGCGCAGTGGCTCACGCCTGTAATCCCAGCACTTGGGGATGCTGAGGCAGGTGGATCACCTGAGGTCAGGAGTTCAAGACCAGCCTGGCCAACATGGTGAAACCCCGTCTCTACTAAAAATACAAAAATTAGCCGGGTGCGGTTGTGCATGCCTGTAATCCCAGCTACTCAGGAGGCTGAGGCAGGAGAATTCCTTGAATTCAGGAGATGGAGGTTGCAGTGAGCTGAGATTGCGTCACTGTACTCCAGCTGGGCGACAGAGCAAGACCCTGTCTCAAAATAATAATAATCATAATGTGACTTAATTCAATTTACATAACAGATTCAAAGCTAACATGGCATGTGCTTCGCAATGCAATGCTGAGATCCCTTGGTGTGGGTTTTTCCTGCCACCCCACTGCTTCCAACCACTGTATTACCAGGGTAGAGAGAGATTAGGAGCACCGGCTTTGGGTCTACTGTTTGAATCTTGAGTCCATCACTCACCAGCTTTGTGATTTTGAGAAAACCCATTTCATGGGAGGGAGGTAATGATGCAATATAAAGCACTGTGCCTAGCATACAGTTAACACTCCATGGTTTTTATGTGTTACTATCATTGCTGTTATTAACTACAGATATCACTGCCATCAGTGATGATGTTTCTGACCAAAATGACTAAGATTCTAGCAGGAGCCTGCCTCCTCTCCTACATACCCTTTGTGGGTAAGAGGACAAAATGGTTATTATGTTCCGTACTTGTCTTTCTTTGCTTTGATAAAATAGAGGAATCCTTTGGAACTTATTTTCCAATTGCCAAGAACATTAAACTAAATTACTACTGTATGATATTATGTTTGACAAAAGTAATAGAATTTTTTCCCCCAGAAAACCGAATTTAAACTTTATCCTTGTCCCAACTCAAATGAGTTCAGTTACTCTGTTTTGTTCCATTAACTTTTTGACCAGTGTTAAACATGCTAAATGCTTAAGAGATACACTGGGTCAAATGAGTGGGTGCACTATGATTAGGCAAAGAAGGGATGTTATATGAGTTTCCCTGATACCTGCTTGGCTTGATGAGCTGGTCCCCTACTAATTTCTCAATAATATGTAGAAATTAAGAATGAATATACTACATAAAGGAATAAACAAAAATGATGGCACCTAGGGAACCATTTGCCTTAGATGATATAATCATAACTTTAATTTAATTACAGTCCAGAGGCTTATGAACAATAATTTACATTATTGCCACTACCTTACATATTCTTTGTTCTACATAGAACAACACTTACCAGGAACTTAATAGGCCCTTGGGGAAGGTGGCAAAGGCAGAGAGCTCCCTGTTAGGTTAAGGGCCATGGAGGTTCTCAGTGCAGAACAAACCACTCACAGAGGCCACATCCTGGAGGATACAGTGCAGTAACACAATAACCTGCATTCTCTGAACTCCTAATGAGGGTCATCCTCTTCCTGCCTGTCACTACTCCTCCCCAGCCAACTCCGCAGCAGCAGCTGGTGCCATGGGAATTTCTCACATCCAGACAAGACAAACAAAGCACCACACCACAGACGCTGTGTGCTACAGAGAAGCTGTGACATGCAGAGAAGCAACCCATGAGGGGATGCAACCTAAAAAAATAGCTCATAAGAAACAACACTGTTCCAAAAGATATTCTCAGCAGAACTATTTTTCAGAAAAACAGTGTACAGAGCTAAAAACCACAGGAGTGTGTAGAAGGGCCAGAAATAACATGATGGAAACCATGATGGAATACTACACAGCTATTAAAAATAACAAAATTATGAAAAACAAACATGTGGAAATATTCATGCAAAATAGTATAAAGTGGAAAGTCACAACAATCAATGTTAAAATTAATTTATATGTCTGCATCAAATTGTCAAACAAAAGGCTATAAAAATCATGCAACCTGGCCAAGCGTGGTGGCTCACGCCTGTAATCCCAGCACTTTGGGAGGCTGAGGCAGGCGGATCACGAGGTCAGGAGATCGAGACCATCCTGGCTAACATGGTGAAACCCCGTCTCTACTAAAAATACAAAAATAAGCCGGGCATGATGGCGGGTGCCTGTAGTCCCAGCTACTCAGGAGGCTGAGGCAGGAGAATGACATGAACCCGGGAGGCAGAGCTTGCAGTGATCTGAGATCACACCACTGCACTCCAGCCTGGGTGACAGAGCGAGACTCCGTCTCAGAAAAAAAAAAAATCATGCAACCTGAGAGATTACAATGTTTATGAATTTATTCTAGCTCAACTTAAACAGACCACACAACCATATTATTCCATTACATTGTCAATGAATAAGGTCATTCTCTCAGTCTGGCAACTTCTATTTCATACTTCCTTCACCAGCCTCAAACTTTTCAGCCTTCTCATAGACAACCCTAAGAGTTGTCTGTGACCTTCCCTCTGTCTGCTCATATTGGCAACATAATCCCTCTTCTTTCCTGTGTTCCAGCCACACTGACCTTTTGGATATTTCATTTGCTGAGTGCTGTCCTATCTGAAGGAATTCCCCTATGCACTCCCCTTGTCCCACATCAGTCAAGTCAACTAAAGTTTCATGTTTATATGCCTCCAGTGTTATCATCACTCCTGGGAGCCTGTACTTTTTTCTTCATAGCACTCAGCACACTTTCTCATTATAAATTTGTTTGCATGATTATTGCTTTACTATGTCCTTCTCTCCCAAATAGACAGTAAGCTCTGTTAGGAAGGTGATGATTACTTTTATCTGCCAACTTGATTGGGCCAAGTGGTGCCCAAATATTTGGTGAAACTTACTCTGGGTGTTTCTGTGAGGGTGTTTTAGATGAGATTAACATTCAGATTGGCAGACTGAGTAAAGTAGAGTGCACTCCCTAATGTGACAGTCCTCATCTAACCAAGTGCAGGCCTGCATAGAACAAAAGGCTGACTCCCCCAGGTAAGAGAGAATTCTTCCTGCCTGACTGCCTTTGAACTGGGTCACTGGCTTTTATTCTTGCCTTCAGACTCAAACTGAAACATTGGCACTTCCTGGATCTTGAGCTTGCTGGCCTTCAGCTACACCATCAATCCTGGTTTTTAGATCACCAAGCTCAGACTAGAACTAAACCATCAGTTCTCCTGGGTCTCCAACTTGTTGACTCATCCCACATATCTCAGGATTTTCCCACCTTCATAATCACATGAGCTAATTACTTGTAATAAATCTCTTTTTGAGATATATATTTCCCTTTAGTTTTTTTTTCTGGAGAACCCTAATTAACCCAAGGAATAATATATTTGCTGTTCACAATCATGTATCTACCTAGCACCAATACAGTGCCTGCCCCAGACTGGTTGTCTAATACAACTTTACTGAATGAATGGATGGATGGATGGATGAATGGATAGATGGATGAAAGTGATATTAATATAATTTAATATTTATTAAGTTTTATTTTTTTCTACAAAAAAATCCTTGTAGTGTATGTAGACTACTGAATAATACCTGTACTTACTTGATTGGTGCTTTCTATTTTTCAAAGCATTTTCATATACAATAAATTTTTTTGATTCTTGGACCTCTATGAGGTAGATAATATTCCACATTCACATTTGAAGAAATAGGGGTCTAGATAAATAAAGTAATTCGCCCAAGCTCATACAGTGAACTAAGTGGTAGAGCAAGGTCTGGTATCTAGACCTGCTAGATTTGGGCCAAGGACTTGGATCCTTCTATCTCTGCAGTTATTTGTATGCCACTATGTTCACTGGAAGGTGCATTGCTGAGCATGGGAGGGCTGAAAGGCACAGAGGCATTATCCTAATGGGTCTTTGTGATATTCAGGAATGATGGGAGGAGATGATGCTCCAGCCTGGGGAGAGGGTCCTGGCCCTGACCAGGTCAGGTTGCAACAGTGAGGTCATGAGCTGTGGGCAGTAAGCCTCAGACATGGCTCTCAGGTCACTCACATGCAACCCATAGGTGTTCAATGCCTCATTTTCAGTGTTACTCTGGTGATCATACAATAGTCAGATCAAACTATCAGCTAAGGATTATTGAACCAGTGGCTCCAAAGACACCAAACTCAGATGCAACACGGCAGAATGGCTAGAGCATGGGCTCATAGTCCAAGACCCTGGGTTGAGACCCAAGGGTGTGGCTAGAAAAGGCAAATGACATTGAGAAGTCAAGGAGACCCAACATTTATATTCCAGCACTGTCTCTCCCTCTGGCAAAGCCATGACCTCGTTTATCACCTTGTTTGTCCTATCTGAATATTTACAAAAATACCAGCTCAAACAGCAGAGGTGTGGTGGGAGTAAAATGAAGAGTAAACAAATGAAGGTCTGATTCTCAATTTGGATGCAGAAAACCCTTTCCAGTGCCATATGCTTTTAGTGCTCTCTTTTTATCACTGCAATTTCACAACCTGTTAAAGCCTTCATCTTCTTTTCAGCCCCTGTCTACAGCAGCTTTCCATAAAGAGCTTGATGACAGCTGTGTCTGTTGAGAAAACCACAGCCTCATATTCCTCTCCTCAGAAGTATCCTAGGACTGTGATACATACCACCACTTAATAAGGTGGGGGTTGTCAGGCCAGCAGTGTGGGGGATGGTTATTCCTTCTCTGACAGCATTCGAAGAGCTCCAGCAGCTGCCTCCAGGTGAATGGCAGGTGGTACTGGAGGTTGATTGCATAGGCCCAATGCTAAGATTTACCCCAGACAATGAAGACTAAGAAAAAGTCAGGACTTGAAGCTCATTGCCTCTCTTAGGCTTTCTGTATTATCCAATTACTAAATTTCTCTATTATATTAATTATACATAATTATATATTATATTAATACTTCTATATTATTAAAATAATAACATAGTTAATTATTTGAGAGGCACACTATACAACGATTAGAAAAAATCCAAAAATGAAAATAGCTACTATTTTTAGCACCTTATCTATGTTACATTTTTCATTTCTATCAATAACTCATTTTACTAATAAGAAAAATGAAATTCAAGATGCTAAGAGACACTTACCCAGTAGGGAGTGGAGTTGGAGGTCAGGAGGTTAAGAGTCTTTTGCCAACTGGCCTTAGGTAAGTCTCTTTACCTCTCCAGGCTTCAGTTTTCTTTCTGGAGAAAGGAAGTGAGTGAGTTTCACTTGCAGATGGAATAGGTCCCTTCTTGCACCAGGTGTCTTCAGGATGAATTTTATTGCTTTTACTCATCAATGATTATTTTAGTTCTTGTTTTGAGGTTTTGTTTGTTTTTGTTTTTCTTAATCCACATAACTTCTGCATTATTCAACTCTCAACTTGTCACCTTTCAGAGAGGATTTCCTTGACCAATCCTGCTAAAATAGCTTGTCCACTCTCCTCCACTCATTATATCACTTGTTTTCATTCTCTTCATAGAACTTTCTTTTCTCTCTTTCTTTCTTCCTTCCTTCCCTTCCTTCCCTTTCTTCCCTTCCCTCCCTTTCTTCCCTTCCTTCCTTTCCTCCCTCCCTCCCTCCCTCCCCTCCCCTCCCCTCCTTCCTTCCTTCCTTCCTTCCTTCCTTCCTTCCTTCCTTCCCTCCTTCCCCCAGAAGAATGTCAGCTCTAGAGGGAAATTACATCACCTGCTCTGCTCATGCTTAAACACTGGTGTTGGGTCTCCTTTACCAAGCACCTCACAAAGTCTAAACACCCTGGCGTGTCACACCCTATTGCCACACACGTTTTCACTGCAGAACAAAGTAAACAATCAATAAATATTTATTGATTAAATTAATGAATAAATCCAGTTTGTTACAAGTTTGTTTGATTCTGCCACAAAAATCTCTAGAACTGTGCTGTTCAATGTGGTAGCCAATAGTCACATGTGGCTATTTAAATTTAAAGTAATTAGGCCGGGCACTGTGGCTCACGCTTATAATCCCAGCACTTTGGGAGGCCAAGGCAGGTGAATCACGAGGTCCTGGCCAACACGGTGAAACCCCGTCTCTACTAAAAATACAAAAAATTAGCCGGGCGCAGTGGCGGGCGCCTGTAGTCCCGGCTACTCGGGAGGCTGAGGCAGGAGAATGGCGTGAACCCGGGAGGCGGAGCTTGCAGTGAGCCGAGATCGCGCCACTGCACTCCAGCCTGGGCGACAGAGCGAGACTCCGTCTCAAAAAAAAAAAAAAAAAAAAAAAAAAAGAAAAAAAATTTAAAGTAATTAAAAGTTCAGTCCCTCAGCCTTACCAGCTACATTTCAAGTGCTCAAGAGCCATGTGTGGCTAGTGGTTTGCATAACGGACAGTGCAGAATAGAACATTTCCATCATGTGGAAAGTTCTGTTGGAGAGTGCTGGTCTACATTCTGGTTCTTCCTCTCCAATCCCACCGTGATCGCTCACCTAGATTCTTGTGAGAGCCTCTGAACTGACAGTAGTTTCCTTCCACGCTAGTCCATTCTCCACATTGCCTTATTTGTTTAGTTCATTTATTCATGCAGCAAGTATTTAAGGAGGACCTTCTATATGCCAGCATGGTGCTAGGCACAGAGGAAGGAACAGAGTATGAGTTAGACCTAGTCCTGACACAATGTACTCACAGTCCACAGACGATGTGTGTAGCACTCCCATGTTTAAAAACCAGTACTGGATCCCCCTTACCAACGTCCCTTACAGTGTTCCCAGGACCCTGGGCTGTGCTCTGTGGGATGCAGCCCAGAGTCAACTCTGCTTTCTCAGGAGGGGGTCAGCCAAAACAACTGTTTCTGTATGTGGGGTGGGGGGTGTATGGGGGGTGTGTGTGTGTGTGATGAGGTGAGGTGTGTGTGAGGGGAGATTGTGTGTGGTCAGGTGTGAGGTGTGGGGTACGTGGTGGATTGTTCGGGGTGTGGTGGTAGGGTGTGTCTCTGTGTGTGTGTATGTGGTGGGGTGTGTGACGGGGTGTGTGTGTATGGCAGGATTTGAGGGGTGTGTGGTGGGATGTGTGGAGGGGTATGTGGTGGTATGTGTGGGGTGTGTGGGGGGTGGGGTATGTGTGGTGGGGAGAGAGTGTGTGTGAGGTAGATGTAGAATATATGTGGTGAGGTATATGTGGGAGGTGTGTGGGGGGTATGTGGTGTATGTGGTAGGGTGTGTGTGTGCAGTGGTGTGGGGAGTGTGGTGGTGTGAAGGGGTGTGCTGGTGTGTGGGGTTGTGTCGGGGGTGGGGTATGGAGTAGGGTGCGTGAGATGTGTGTATGTGGTGGAGGGTATGTGTTTGGTGGCGGGATGTGTAAGTGGTGGGGTGTGAAATGGGGTGTGTGTATCTCTGTGTGTGGTGGGTTGTGGGGTGGAATGGGGGGGTGCATGGTATGTGTGTGTGGTGGGGTGTGTGGTGTCTGTGTGTGTGTGTGTGTGTGTATCTGTGTTGGCAGTAGGGCTGCCACCCATGGGTTGAGGTTGTGCCTTCTGGCACTTGAGTTTGGATGCATGGAGGGCGATGGCCTGGTGCCCTACAGTTTCAGTTTCACTCTTCCCCATCACCTCTCCCACGGTTCTGTACCCGGTCCTCCACCCACCACCTCACCACCTTCCCTGTTCTCTGCATACCCAGTCACACTTCAGTGCTTTTGCACAGGCCTGTCCCCTAGTGGGCTTTCCTTTCTCAACGGCTTAACCTGATGAATGCACTTATCCTTCAAAACTCACTTCAAATATCACTTTCTGTGAATCTTTTCCAGCAACCCAGAGGGGCGACCTTTTCTCTGTATGTCCACAGAAATCTGTTATTAGATCTAGTAGAACACCTGTCAGGTTTACCCTAAACCCCATTTATGTAGGCCTCCCTCCAGTAGAGTGTAGTTCCTCCAAGTGAAGAATTCATTTATCATCATAGCCCCAGTGCATGAAATAGAAGAGGTCCCTAATAAATGATTTTGGATGAATGATAAATGGACAGCAAATGGATGAACAAATGAGTGTAAATATTATGAAAGTGCCTGGCCCATTTGCAGTTCCCTCGGGAGGCTGCATTGGTTCTAGAACTTCAAAATAGAATAAAAACACCATAACGCTCTACTTGCTCTTATCAAAGATAAAATGTTATTTTTCTTCTTACCTTTTTTTTTTTTTTTGAGACGGAGTTTTGCTTTTGTTGCCCAGGCTGGAGTGCAATGGCACGATCTCAGCTCACTGCAATCTCCGCCTCCCGGGTTCAAGTGCTTCTCCTGCCTGAGCCTCCCGAGTAGCTGAGATTACAGGCATGCGCCACCACATCCGGCTAATTTTGTATTTTTAGTACAGATGGAGTTTCTCCATGTTGGTCAGGCTGGTCTCAAACTCCCGACCTCAGGTGATCTGCCAGCCTCGGCCTCCCAAAGTGCTGGGATTATAGGCGTGAGCCACTGCGCCTGGCCTCTTCTTACCATCCTTATTTCCTACTGCAAATGTCCCTTCTACTCTGTTTTCTCACCAAGAAAACATATTTTCTTTTTTGCTTATACAAGCTTTCCTTTATGGCCAGCCAAAACTCTAGGATCAAATACTTCACTTCCAAATGCCATATGTCCCAAGACGCTCTTTCTTCTAATTGATGAAATGACTCTTTCCTACCAGAATGCTTACCAGCCCCTCCGAACTTGGACATTAGGAATCCAATAAAAACTATTTTATACAAACTAGAAATTATTGTCCTTACAATTATTATATTACTATGTGAGTGTTTGATAAACCAATCTGAAGCAGGTTTAATATTTCTTAATTTTTCCCAATCCTTTAAAAACACAATCAAACCAAAGGGAAATCTCAAGAAATAAACAGAGTTTCCCTCCCAGGTGCCTTGGGTGTAATCCTCCATTCACCCAACCAATGTGTTATTTCTTTTTTCCTTTCTTTTTTTTTTTTTTTTTTTTTTTGAGATGGAGTTTCTCTTTTGTTGCCCAGGCTGGAGTGCAATGGCGCGATCTCGGCTCACTGCAACCTCCACCTCCCGGGGTTCGAGTGATTCTCCTGCCTCAGTCTCCCAAGTAGCTGGGATTACAGGCACTCACCACCACGCCTAGCTAATTTTTTTGTATTTTTAGTAGAGATGGGTTTTCACCATGTTGGCCAGACTGGTCTCGAACTCCTGACCAAAGGTGATCCACCCGCCTCGGCCTCCCAAAGTGCTGGGATTACAGATGTGAGCCACCATGCCTGGCCCCATTGTGTTGTTTCTATGGTTCTTCATAAGGAAAGAAGGGTTCCTGACACCCCTCAACAAGCCAGTTCAACAAGCCAATATTAATTAACACATCCAACTAGCTTATAAACTTTCTGGGGTTCAAATAGATTTTCTTGACGTTACAGGATATTTTAAGTGAGAAGATTCATCTGCTCCCTCATATCAACTCCTCCAAATGACCCTGCAGACACATCATCAGAGCAGGGAGCTGGACGTGTTTACAAAAGCATACAGCCTGCAGCCCCAACTTCTTCGTGCCCTCCCTAGCAGTTTGAGTTTCATGCCTTTCACTACATTTTGAAAAGGGTAAAGTGGGTTAGAATATATCCATAATCACCATTCCTTAGAATTGCTTTAGTTAAATTTGCTAGTATTAACAGAACAATATTTCATCATTACAAATTCCTAGTTGCTAAAATCTTTAGTCACTTAATCAGCAATACTGAAAGACTAAGCCACATCTACCCCTTGTTAAATTTAAAATTTTAAATATACAAAATTACAATCCTTGGATAGAGTGTGCATTGGGTATGTGTGTATGTCAGTCATCAGGGTTTCAGTAGATATTAAGCAGCCTCCAAGTGAGTCTTTGTAAAAAATAAAAGCTTGCCAGAGGCTCAAGACTTTTTCTACAGAAGAGATAATCTTCCCTGGATTCTCAAACTTATGCTGACTTGTGACCATGGAAAAACCTGATCTTAATGTAAAGGAAGTATTAAGAATTTCTCAGGAAAAGGTGTTGTGTAAGTATAATGGTTCTGCCCCATTATCTTGGCTTAATCCAGAAAACTGAAAGCTAAAGTGACACATTAACCTACCTCTAGTATATTTACAGGTTTAAGGAGGACACTGAACATTTGTTCTCCATCTTAGGGAAGATCAAAGAAGAAACAAAATGACTTAAGTTTTGACCCCAAAGAGCATGATCATACTTAAGACAAAACATCTTCGTTATAAAGGTAATTTATGCAGATTTCCTAAAGAAAGAATGGAACCTGACACCTATTTACTGAGTGACCGTTGTGTAGAAGGCTTGGGTTTTGGAGGACAGAAAGAAAAGTAAGATGCATATAGTCTATGCTCTCCAAGAGGTCCCAATCTAGTTGGAAAGATAAGACGTACTCACAAAGGATAGGTAATACAATAACTCCTTTGATGTGCTGTTGGATTTGGTTTGTAAGAATTTTGTTGAGGATTTTTGCATCAATGTTCATCAAGGATATCGGCCTGAAGGTTTCTTTTTTGTTGTATCTCTGCCAAGTTTTGGTATCCGGATGATGCTGGCCTCAGAATGAGTTAGGAAGGAGTCCCTGCTCCTCAATTTTTTGGAATAATTTCTGTAAGAATGGTACCAGCTCTTCTTTGTACATCTGGTAGAATTTGGCTGTGAAATCATCAGGTCCTGGGCTTTTGTTGTTGTTGGTAGGTTATTTATTACTGATTCAATTTCAGAGCTCATTATTGGTCTGTTCAGACAATCAATTTCTTCTTGGTTTAATCTTGGGAGGGTGTATGTGTCCAGGAATTTATTTACCTCTTCTAGCTTTTCTAGTTTATGTGCACAGAGGTGTTTGTAGTAGTTTCTGATGGTCATTTTTACTTCTGCGGGGTCAGCGGTAACATTGCCTTTGTCACCTTTAATTGTGTTTATTTGGATCTTCTCCTTTTTCTTCTTAATTAGTCTAGCTAGTGGCCTATTTATACTATTAATGTTTTTTCCAAAAAACAACTCATGGATTCATTGATCTTTTAAATGGCTTTTGGTGTCTCAATTTCCTTCAGTTCAGCTCCGATTTTGGTGATTTCTTGTCTTCTGCTAGCTCTGGGATTGATTTGTTCTTGCTTCTCTAGTTCTTTCAGTTGTGATTATTAGGTTGCTAATTTGAGATATTTCTAATCTTTTGATGTGGCATTTATTGCTATGAATTTCCCTCTTAACACTGCTTTAGGTGTGTCCTGGAGATACCGGTATGTTATATCTTTGTTCTCATTAATTTCAAAGAACTTGACTTCTGCCTTAGTTTCATTATTTATCCAAAAGTCATTCAGGAGCATGTTGCTTAATTTCCATGTCATTGCACATATTTGAGCGATTTCCTTCATCTTGACTTCTATTTTTATTGCACTGTGGTCTAAGAGTGCTTTTGGTATGGTTTCAGTTTTTTCTTTTTTGCATATGCTGAGGATTTTTTATGTCCAATTATGTGGTCAATTTTGGAGTATGTGCTATTTGGTGATTATAAGAATGTATATATTCTGTTGTTTTGGGGTGGAGAGTTCTGTAGAGGTCTATAAGATCCATTTGGTCCAATCCAGCAGCCCATCAAAAAAAAGCTAATCAAGTTGGCTTCATCCCAGGGATGTGAAGTTGGTTCGACATACACAAATCAATAAGTGTGATTCATCACATAAACAGTAGAACTAAAGACAAAACCACATGATTATCTCAACAGATGCCGAAAAGGTTTTTGATAAAATTCAACACCCTCTCGTGTTAAAAACTCTCTATAAGCTAGGTATTGAAGAAACATGCCTCAAAATAATAAGAGCCATCTATGACAAACCCACAATCAATATTATACTCAATAGGCAAAAGCTGGAAGCATTCACCCTTAAAAACTAGCACAAGAAAAGGATGCCATCTCTCACTGCTCCCATTTAACATGGTATTAGAAGTTCTGGCCAGAGCAATCAGGAAGGAGAAAGAAATAAAGGGTATCTAAATAAGAGGAGAGGAAGCCAAACTATCTCTGCAGATGACATGATTCTGTATCTAGAAACCCCACAGTCTCAGCCTAAAATCTCCTTCAGCTGACAAACAACTTCAGTAAAGTTTCAGGATACAAAGTCAGTGTACAAAAATCACTGGCATTTCTATACACCAACAATAGCCAAGACAAGAGCCAAATCAGAAAGGCAATCCCATTCACAATTGCCACAAAAAGAATAAAATACCTAGAAATACAGCTAACCAGGAAGGTAAAAGATCTCTACAATGAGAATTATAAAACATTGTTCCAAGAAATCAGAGAAGACACAAACAAATGGAATAATATCCCATGCTCATGGATGGGAAGAATCAATATCATTAAAATGGCCATACTGCCCGAAGCAATGTACAGATTCAATACTATTTCTATCAATCTGCCAATGACATTCTTCACAGAACTAGAAAAAACTATTTTAAAATTCATATGGAACCAAAAAAGAGCCCTAATACCCAAGGCAATCCTAAACAAAAAGAACAAAGCTGGAGGCATCACATTACCTGACTTCAAACTATTGCTATAGGACTGCAGTAACCAAAACAGCATGGTACTCATACAAAAACAGGAGCATAGACTAATGGAATAGAATAGTGAGGGCAGAAAAAAGGCTGCACACCTATGACCATCTGATCTTCAACAAAGCTGACAAGAGCAAGCAATGGAGAAAAGACTCCCTATTCAGTAAGTGGTGCTGGGATAACTAGCTAGCCATACGCACAAGACTGAAGCTGGACCTCTTCCTTACATCATATACAAAAATTAACTCAAGATGAAATAAATATTTAAATGTAAAACCCAAAACTATAAAAACACTGGAATACAACCTAGGCAATACCATCTTGAACACAGGATTGGGCAAACATTTTATGACAAAGACACAGAAAGCAATCACAACAAAAGCAAAAATTGACAAGTGGGATCTAATTAAACTTAAGAGCTTCGGCACACCAAAAGAAACTATCAACAGAGTAAACACACAACCTACAGAATGAGAGAAAATATTTGCAAACTATGCATCTGATAAAGGTCTAACATCCAGCATCTATAACTTAAATTTACAAGAGAAAAACAAACAACCCCATTAAAAAGTGGGCAAAGAACATGAACAGACACTTTTCAAAATAAGACATACATGCAACCAACAAGCATATGAAAAAAGCTCAATATCACTGATCATTAAAGAAATGCAAATCAAAAACACAATGAGATACTATCTTACACCAGTCAGAATGGTTATTACTAAAAAGTCAACAAATAACAGATGCAGGCAAGATTGCGGAGAAAATGGAACACTTATACACTGTTGGTGGAAGTGTAAATCAGTTCAACCATTGTAGAAGGCAGTATGGTGATTCCTCAAAGAGCTAAAAGCAGAACTACCATTTTCTAGCAATCCCATTACTGGGTATATACCCAGAGGAATATAAATCATTCTACCATAAAGACATATGCACGCGAATGTTCATTGCAGCATTATTCACGATAGCAAAGATCTAAATGGAATCCACCTAAATGCCCTTCAATGACAGACTGTATAATGAAAATGTGGAACATATACACCATGGAATACTATGCAGCCATAAAAAAAATAATGAGATCATGTCTTTTGCGGGAACATGGATAGAACCGGAGGCTATTATCCTTAGCAAACTAATGCAGGACTAGAAAGTCACCAATACCACATGTTCTCACTTACAAGTGGAAGCTAAATGATGAGAAGTTATGAACACAAATAAGGAAACAACAGACACTGGGGTCTACTTGAAGGTGGAGAGGGGGAGGAGGGAGTGGAGCAGAAAAGATAACTATTTGGTACTGGGCTTAATACCTGGGTGATGAAATAATCTATACAACAAACCCCCATGCCATGAGTTTACCTATGTAATAAACCTTCACATGTACCTCTGAACCTAAAATAAAAGTTAAAAGTAAAAGATAATAACTCAAGATACGGCATAAGACAGTGTACATAAGGTCAAGAAAGTGGGAAAGTCAAGTACACAGAACACTCTGAGTCCAGAATAGGGAGAGAGCCTCATGGGCTGGAGGAACTGAAAATCTTGGTGTTGAGCATTGAAGGATGGAAAGGATTTTGAGAAGAGGAGAGGAGGAAGAGAAGGTGGAGGAAGATGAAGGGCACTTTAAGAGGGGTGACCAAATATCTTTAAATTAAGCTAGATGAACAGATAGTATATGATTGTACTTATATGAGATATCTAGAGCAGTCAAATTCACAGAGACTGAAAGTAGCCCTGGTGGTTGCCAGGGGCTGGGAGGAGAGGACAGTGGGATCTGTATCCATTCTTTAATGGATACAGAGTTTAATTTTGGGAAGAGAAACTAGTTCTGAAGATGAATGAAGGTGATGGTTTCACAACAATATAAATGTATGCAATGCCACTGAACTGTACACATAAAAATGGATAAAATTTTACATTTTGTTATGTATATTTTACAATTAAAAAAGAAAGCTTGTGGTAGCCAACCATCTATCCACAGAGGAGTAGAGGTGAACTCTTGAGGTCTCTTTTTCTTCTACGACTCCATATTAACTGTAGGTGTGGTCCATGTGATGGCAATGTGAAATGATTAAATATAATCTATTCCTGGACTGCTGCACTTCAGGAAGGTATTCAATGGCTGTGGTTGACTACCCCACAGCTTTTCTCCTCTTCCTTCTTTACACATAAAGTCCACTTCCACCATAGAAGCCAATCACTCACTTTTCCCAACTTCATCACTTTTCCCAGCTTCACTGAAGGTAGAGCACAGGCACAGGGCCCTCTCCTGGCCCGTGGTACCTAAGAAAAAATCTGCTAGGGGGTATATTCTTAGAAAACTTTTCCTCCCTATTTTTTAAAAAAGAGAAAGAGCACTCTAATGGGATGGACTCTTTCCCTGTCTTCCTTTGGATGTAGTTGTGTGAAGACATAATGTTCGGCCAAAGATGGCTTAGGCGGCCATCTTCACCCACGGTGAGAAACTAAAGGAGAACAGATCAATTCATCAAGAATTGTAGCAACTTTTGTGCTGTATTAACCACCCTCAGAAAATAGACCCCTCATTGTTTCAGCCACTTTTAGTTGGGTATTGTGTTTACTTGTAGCCAAGATCATTACAGTAGACAGACTATGGTAGTACAGAAATAGCTTTGTGATGCATTGCCAGGAGTCTATATTCAGCTGGAGTTTATTCTTGCCTCCAAAAGACAAAGGTGTTTACTTCCCTTTTTCTTCACTGTATGATAGGCAAAAGAAAGAATACAAAGAGCAGGGTGCAAAACCAAAAAAGAACATCTAGCACTGGGTTTGAGAAGACACAGGATCATCAGGAAATAAGCTGATAGTAATGAAGTAAATAGCCAGTATTTTGCCATGTATTGGAGAGAATCAGATTCTCCTTTGTAATGGAGAGAGGTTGTATATAAAGGGAATATTGGGTAAGAGTATAAACAAAGATGGAGGACTCTGAAGATGATAAGGGCCCAGAAGCAAGCAAGCACTATCCGGTGGAGACTGGAGAAGGATACCAACAGCATAGGCTAAGAAAAGGATCAGGCGGTCCAAAGAGAAACCCAAGGTCTACACCAGAACCTTGTTTTTCTCAACTCAGCTCTATAGGTTTCGTAATCCACAGCTAAGCTTTTTACTTTTCTTGTAAAGACACAAGTTAAAGTGTCCCTCAAGCTATTGGTAGGGATAGATATCAAGTCTATGTGTGTCTGCTTTCTTTTTATGTTTGTTTGTTTGAAATGGAGTCTTGCTCTATAGCCAGGCTGGAGTGCAGTGGCGCGATCTCAGCTCACTGCAACCTCTGCCTCCTGAGTTTGAGTGATTCTCCTGCCTCAGCCTCCCGAGTAGCTGGGACTACAGGTGTGTGCTACCACTCACAGCTAATTTTTGTATTTTTAGTAGAGATGGGGTTTCACCATGTTAGCCAGAATGGTCTCGATCTCTTGACCATGTGGTCCACCCGCCTCAGCCTCCCAAAATCCTAGGATTACAGGCGTGAGCCACCATGCCCAGCCACTTTGATTCTTGAAATAGAGATTCTGGTACTCTTTTATCAGAAGGTTTTTCTACCAAGGTAACCATCTTTCTGGGGATATTACAATTTGAATACTTATTAAGCACTTTTATTAACTAGAAGTTTGACTGCTATCTCCAAAGTTGATCAGACAGCCACAGCCAAGAAAGGGAAGACAGCTCCATCTGTCCATTAAAGATGCTGGCAGCCCTGAGAGAGAGGTCCAGGCAGGGGCAATCTGTCACATCTCAGCTATACATGTCCTGTGGCACTTTAAACAGGAACTAAGGCACTGTGCTAGGCAGCTGTCCCCGAGGAATGGGACTCCTTAACCCAAGGCAACTAGAATTAAACCACTTATATTTGCAGAAAAGAAGAGATGTATTCCTTAGCATGACCTACCTCCTTCCTCATGCTCACATACTAGTTTTTGTTTTTTATTTATTTACTTTTTTCATGGATCCTCAAGTTCCCTGACAAGAAGCTGATCTTAATGCTTTGCAAAGGACCATGTAAAAAAACTCAGAGCCATGAATGAATGCATACAAATATCCTTATAAAATGGAAGCCCCTGTGAAATATGGCTGATCCCACCCATCAGGGATTGGTAAACCTTCCCACAAGGCTCAGCTTGCTTTAGGGCTAAAAATAGAATTAGAAACTTCAATTCATATCATCTGATTCTGATCAAGTGCAGTCTTTTGGCTATTCTCTCTGCATTCAAAGAATGTATTATTATTCCCCTGATAGTACACAAACTCTATGAGTTGCAGACTCCCAGTGGAGATATAAGCATTTGCCTCTGGTGAAAATGAATTTCCATGGAAAATGTGACAAAAGAACTACCTTTTGGGTCTCACATAAATCAAGTTTTTGATTTTGTTTTTGAGACAGTGTCTCGCTCTGTCACCCAGGCTGGAGTGCAGTGGTGTGATCTCTACTCACTGCAACCTCTGCCTCCAGGGTTCAAGTGATTCTCCTGCCTCAGTCTCCCAAGTAGCTAGAACTACAGGCACGCACCACCACACCCAGCTAATTTTTGTAATTTTTTGTGGAGACTTGGTTTCACCGTGTTGTCCAGGGTGTTCTCGAAATCCTGACCTCAGGTGATCTGCCCATCTCGGCCTCCCACAGTGCTGGGATTACAGGCATAAGCCACCACACCCGGCCAAGTTTTATACCAGAAAGCCTTTTCTCATTAAAGCTGTTCTTTCGGTAAGTGGTCCTCAAAGGGCTTGTGTGGGTCTTGATGGTCCTTAGGGCCTTCCTGGGGCCCAAGGCTCTATTCTGTTTTATACATGTTTTTTAAAGTGGGTGTATTAGCTCATTCTCACACTGCTCTAGAACTACCTGAAACTGGGTAATTTATGAAGAAAAGAGGTTTAACAGACTCAGTTCTGCAGTTTTAACAGGAAGCATGACTGGGAGGCCTCAGGAAACTTACAATCATGGCAGAAGGCTAAGAGGAAGCAAGCAGATCTTAACATGGAGGAGAAGGAGAGAGAGAGAGACAGCAAAGGGGGAAGTGCCACACACACACTTTTAAACCCCATCAGATCTTGTGGGAACTCACTCACTGTCATGAGAACAGCAAGGGGGAAATCTGCCCCCATGATCCAATCACCTCCCATCAGTTCACTCCTCCAACACTGGGAATTACAACTCAAAATGAGATTTGGGTGGGGACACAGAGGCAAACCATATCAGTGGGTGATATGGAGTAGCGGGAAGAGCACAGAGTTTGACCTGGGTTTAAATTAGGAGTCTGCTGCTTCCTCACTGTGATATTAGACACATTAACTCATTTCTCTGGGCACTTACCTTGTAGGGTTGATGTGAGACAATATATTAAGTAAAGTACCTAACATAACACAAAAAGATCAGATTATCAAAGTGGATTCACATAATAGAGATCTTACCCAGTATCACACTTTGCTAATAATTTCAATAAAACAAGCAATTACAAATGAAGCAGGGAGTGGCTTAGGACCCATGCAGTGTCCTGAGTCCTTCCATGCCACATCAAGATATTCTTCCCCAGATTAACACAGAAGATCTTCAAGCCATGTATGTGGCACATCACCTACACAGAAAAGAACCATCAATAAATATCTTCATATTATACTTAGATAGTTATATAATTGACCTGACCTTTTCTCAGAACCCATACCCAATACAGGCATAGATTCAGATTTGTTACAAATGAGCAACCCAGGCAGATCAGGTACCTCCTTTAAAAAGAATTCTATAGATAAGGACCCTGCACTAGCAAATATCATTAATGTGTTTATCTGGAGGCCTGTCATTAGTATGTTCATGTGAAGATTTGATTAAGTTACCTTCCTTCCTTCTTTCCCATGGACTTCCCTTTGGTAGCAAAAAAGAATGAATTGTAGACCTTTTGTTTAACATTTTCTACCCAGCACCTAACCCAGACTAGGACTTGGTGTACAGTAGCTTTTATCACATTATTAAGAATAATAATGATAATAGAACTGCACTTACACTTTCATTTCCACTGACTTACCAGGTCTTGCATGATTTCAGCCTGTCTCCTGCCACTACCCATTGAGGCTTCACTTCCCCCGTTGTGTGGGATTCTTATTTCTGTCTTTCCTCCCTTGTTCTATTCCACTCTTCTACCCATCTTCCAAGGACAGTCCAAGTGCTCCTTCCTCCTGCAAACTTCTGAGCCTACATAAACCCTTTTTGATATCACCCCTTTCTACCCTCTATAATCCATAATCTAACACTGAACCTAGAGTGTCCTACACTGTACTCTTTCTTACTTTTGCATGCATGATATTCTTTTTTTCTCCAGATAGATTATCAGCACCACTAGAGCTGAGAGTGCTAACTTAATTTGAGTCACTTGCACAAGGAGGTGTCCCTTGAGCCACCTCTCCAACAAATGTGGCCCCTTGGTATTGGCTCTATTAGCATTCACTTGCCATATTGTGATGATATCATAATTTCTTGTAATGCTTAATTTAATTATTGTCTTTCCTTATGGGCAGCAAACTCCAGGAGGAAGGGTCTTTTCTCTCTTGCCCACTCATATCCCTAGTGCCTGACTCAGCACCCGGCAAAAGTAGATAATTAGTAAACATTTGTTGAAGAAATAGGTTTTCTAGGGTAAAATGAGGTACAGTGAAGAAGCTTATTAATTTACATAATGAACATATGGAGTATCTACTCTGGGTGCTCAGGTTGCAAAGATGAGTAAGACATGATTTCAGTCATCTGGTCTCTGGACTGAAAAAGTTTGAGTCAATTTTTTTACCACCACTGTTTAGGTCTTCAGATATGTACAAAAGAGATTTGCAGATAAAATCAACCAAATCCTATTAATTAAGCCCAATTAATTACTGAAAGGAGAGGAGAAAATTCAGAAGAACACAGCTCTGGAAGGGCACAGGTGCTCTCAGGAAGAATTCTTGCCCCCCGTTCCCCTTCCTCTGGTTCAGTTGGCCACCATACGCACTTTACTACTGGCCCCCAATTCATTTGAAAAGTAGTCCTTAAACTGAGCTTTAATTCAGTAGCTACTACATCTTTCTCCTGCCCCTCACCTCCATTTTCCTTGTGGGCAGTACTACATTTGTGTAGCTATATGCTAGGACCCATCTCTGGAAACCTACTTTTAGAATCAGGCAATTAGAATAGCATTCCAACCTGTTTCTAACAGGTTTGGCCACCAACATAACAAATTCAAAGCTACATGCTAATTAACTATATGTTCAAACCAGATAATAATATATATTTAATTTTATCAATCTTAATATCACCCTTGTAACAAAAGACATCTATTTCCATTGCCTTTCCTAAGTCAGTGCACTCGAGGGTTTGGTCCAAGGCAAGTCCATTCTCCAGTCTTCCGAGAAACAAGGAGAGCAATAAACTTGGTGGGGTATTTTTGTTAGATTTTATGGAAGCCAAAGAGAACCTCTAATAGACCAATCTCTCAGCTCCTCCTGAGAGAAGGGGTTGGAATTATGGAACAGAAGCAGATGGATTCATTGATGATATTTTCTCAAGTATAGAAGGTGACTTCCTCCCTCCCTCCCCTTCTTTCTTTCCTTTCTTCCCTTCTTTTTTTCTTTCTGTGCCAAATAATTATGTCATGCAATTCATCAATACCAACATCACCAGCTGCCTTCAGCCATACAGCAAAAGATTGATTCTCTCAAAACAACCTGCTGGCTGCTTCTTTTTCCCAATTAAATTTTCTCCCTCCTAATGCTCCTGTCTTTTTCTTCCCTCCTGGAAGGTCACCTCCAGGTCCCTGGTGCACCCTTTAAAGCCTTTCTCCATTCCTTGCCCTCCTCCATTGCCATATGTTAGTAACTATTTCTCTGCCCTTCCACTACACTGGAGCCCTTGGAGGCAGGATCTGTGTCTCATTTGCCTTAGCATCTCCCGTGCCTTTAAGAGGGCCTGGCACATGGTGAGTGTTCAGTAAATGTTTGAATCTAATGAATACATTAAAACAACGTTAAATCAGTGAACAGTCTGAGAGGTACAAAAGAAGTCGGTTTAATGATTCAGATTTGAGCACTTCATCCATCTGTGATAAAGGAATAAAAAGCAAGGGATTCTATAACCTATAATACCTCATCCTGTGAGTTAAGGGCAGCGGAGAGGCAGTAACAGCAAGGGACAATACAGATTTCAACTGTGCCTTATGTAGTCTTTGGGGACAGTTGGACAACACTGATTTAAAGACCTGAACAATCATTAGTCAAGAAAAACTTGGGGGAAAAACACAAAAAACCTCCTTCAACTGGTTTCAATCAAGCCAATGTAACCCCCTTCCCATTTTTCAGAAGTCAGCATATTGTTCCCCCTCTTTATAAACCATTTGGAGCTCTGACCAATGATCTTAGATGGTTCTGTTTTTTTCAAATACATTTTAGGACCATTTCTAATGCATTCATCTGAATTGGAAATGCAGGCACAAAGAACTGCAGTTGCTGAGAGGCCTTTTCTGCCCTCCTCCCTGATCTGTCTGCAAGAGTCTGCAGCCCACAGGTCCATGTGGAGGGCTTGATTGGGTGTCCAGAAAGAATGTGAATGTTATTAATATGGTTTGGCTGTGTCCCCACCCAAATCTCATCTTGAATTCCCACGTGTTGTGGGAGGGACCTAGTGGGAGGTAACTGAATCATGGGGGCAGGTCTTTCTCGTGCTGTTATCATGATAGTCTCACGAGAGCTGATGGTTATTATAAGGGGGAGTTTTCCTGCACAAACTCTCTCACTTTTTGCCTGCTGCCATCCATATAAGATGTGACTTGCTCCTCCTTGCCTTCCACCATGATTGTGAGGCTTCCCCAGCCATGTGGAACGGTAAGTCCAATTAAACCTCTTTCTTTTGTAAATTGTCCAGTCTTGGCTATGTCTTTATCAGCAGCGTGAAAATGGACTAATACAGTTATGAAACCAGAACCTCAGAGTTTTGGTGAGAAAACAGTCTTGAGAGGTCCCTCTTCCTGATGTGCCTGTAAGTGAGTTAGCTGGACATCTAAAAGTGATGGAACAATCATTAGTCAAGGCTAACTTAGACTTGAAGTAAAATCTGTCTTGTACTGTAAGCTCAACCCTGTGATTCCTAAAACCAACCACCTGGCCTGCTTCCAGACTGCACAGCCTAAACCACAGAGAAGGTGGAAGAAATTTGATTATCTGATTTTATTAGTGCCCCTCAGTGCACAGTCCTAGCCTCAGGCTCCCAGCTATCTAAGACATTCCCTTAGTTCATCCTCAGAATGTAAACATTTGCCTGATGGATAAGTAGTTGGCATAAGCACATTAAGTCCCTCAGAGGAAAGATGCTGTCATATTACTTGACACAAATTATCATGACATATGTACAGAAATAGGATCAGAAAATTTCAGTGAATGTGATTTATTTCTTTCGAGTGCCCTCAATTTCTCATCAGAAGCTCAAAGTGGATTTGCAGACTGTTTGTTACTGGAGTTTCCAAAATTCTTCCTCTCTCCCCCAGAAGGGTGGGTGTTTTATTAGAAGCAATAACAATGGCAATTATTGATAGTGCCATTATCAATAATTATTTATATGGTATTATTACAATTAATGAATCTCTACCTTGTGCCTGCTGCTGTACCAAAGCATTTTACGTTAGTTTGCTAGGCCTGTCATAACAAAATACCACAGACCAGGTGGCTTAAACAACAGAAATTTATTTTCTCACAGTTCTGGACACTAGAAATCCAGACCGAAGTGCAGGAACATTCCATCTCTGATGAGGCCTCTCTTCTTGGCTTGAAGACAGCCACCTTCTTGCTGTGTCCTCATATGGGCTTTCTTCTGTGTACAACTGGGAAAGAGAGAGAGACACAGAGAGAGAGAGAGAGAGAGAGAGAGAGAGAGAGAGAAGGGGGAGAGAGATAGAGATCTCTGGTATCCTGTTTCTTCCCCATTTTATAAGAATATTAGTCCTGTTGGATTAAGGCCCCACTCTCATGACCTCTGTTAATTTGATTACCTCCATATAGGGCCTAACTCCAAAAACAATCACACTGGAGATTAGAGCTTCAGTGTGTGAATTGGGGAATTTAGAGAGGGACACAATCAGTCCACAAGAACCTTACTGAGTCCTCACCACAAGTGTGGGAAGCCAGGGGCATTCTCTACATTTTATCAATGAATAAACAGAGAGCTCATTAATTTGCCCAAAGTCTCACCACCAACAATAAGTTGTTAGCGGTGTTGCTCTTTCTTCTTATTGAAGAGAAGTGGAGTTATGGAGCACTCATCTGCATAAATATGGGGGTTGCTCATAGCAGTGTCAGAAGGAAACTGGCAGGTGGAGACTAGAGCAGAGCACTGAACCCATGGGCACTCTGTTCAGTCAAACAAGTCATGGGTTACTCTGCTGAGTTCTGGGGAGAGAGAGAGACAAAAAGACAGTCACCGTCTTCCAAGAGCTCGCAGTCTCAGCAACAGTGAAGGAGGTCTTCCCTTCCAGGTCCTGATCTGGATAAATGTGTAAAACAGGCAAATGACCCCTTCATCCCTTTCCTTTTCTGAGGGGTGCTTTTGGGTCCGTGTTTGGTGCTACACTCCTCAGAGGCCATGTCTGTCAGAGGCCACCTCCAGCCTGGGAGCTAGTACCCCAGTTCACCCAGACTCTTCAGTGATGGTGACCCACCTCTTATCCTTCCCTCATCCCCTACCCTACTGTCCAGACATTTTATTGGTAGTCTCTGGAGACTGATGGCTTATAGCACAAATTTCAGGCACCATGGCAGGCAGTGTGGTGGGAATCATTTGATGGTAGGTGGGTTTGTCAGTGAACATCAAAACAGTAGTGAGAGAGACAGCCTTCATCCTGAGCTTTTCACAAAATAGACTGTTCCTGCTATGGCACAGAATTATGCTAAAGGGTGTATCACAGACCCTGTCAATGCTCTGCTCACATCCCTTAGGAGAAATCAGCAAAGGACGGTGTGCAGGCCAGCTCCCTTCTCAAGCCATGTGGTTGGCAGACCCTGTGGGAGCCTTCCGGGACCCACCCTTCCATCCTCTGCACAGCCGCTAAAGGAGGGTGAGGAGCCCACACCAGAACTGGTCTGCTTGTGAGATGCCTGAAGAGGACAGTCCCAGTTGATTGTGTTTTCTTAACTGTAGACTCTAATCTCTCCAGGTGGAATCTTAATTGAGGCTGGCCCTGCCAGGGCATGTACAGGGTCCTGGGAATTCAACAGAATGAATTCAACAGAATGCATGGGATCTGATGTCAGAAATGCCTTGCTTGTATTCTGACCATATCACATATGAGCTATGTGGTGATTTAACTTTTCTGGGTCTTATTTTCCTCATATGTAAAATGGGAGAATAACCGCCACATCAAAAAACCATTCCAAGATGATAATAATAGCTAATAAGATTCGGAGGGGGGGCATGAAGTGACTATAGCTCAGCGACCCTATGAGGGTATATCATAGATCCCCAAATCTCTGGAAACCAGATGAGTTTTGCAACTCAGAATGCAGAATTAATAAAGGCAACAGGGTGCATATGACAGATATTACAGAACACCCACCAAGGTCTGGGGTGGTCCCTTAGAATCAAACCCAATATTTCTGCACCCAAAATAGAAAGATTTATATTAAGCAAGTAAAGCCTATAAATAGTTTCAATTTGAAGTCGCAGATCAAGGATTGTGGCCCAGTGAACTTAAGCAATTGGCTCAATATCACATACCAAGTTTTGAACCCTGAGACCAGAGACTCTGCTCTAATTACTATAGTGCACTCCTGCAGTAATGAAATCCTCTCACCTGAATCAATGAAGACGTTAAGGGATTTGGATCTGATTCACAAGAAGGTGAGAGCTGCTTTTTGTTAATATCTTTAATAAATATATATGGATTATTCCTCCTGGAAATAAAATTAAAGATATGGTTGCATTTGATATATTAATGCCACAAAGTACCTACCTACAAAAAAATAATAGCTGCTATTTCTTGAAAATGTGCTGAGTAAGTTACATATATTCATCACATTTAATCCTCACAAGAGCCCTAAGAGATAGATTTTATTAGTATTGCCCCCTTTTAGAAATGAGAATAAGGAACTTACCCAAGGTCACCCCAAAATAAGTGGCAGGGCATTAGATCCAATTGGGTTCTGTCAAAGCCTGTGCCCCTTCCACTCCACCACCCTGCCTCCAAGGGGCAGTGTATGTTGCTGACCATGATTATGTGGTTTGCCTAAGGCCATAGGCAGATCCAGTGTCCAGAGCACTCAGTACCTGGGCCTCGTGACTTTAAAAGGCCTGGCAGTGATTGACTTCCACTTAGAAAAGCTTTGCAACTCAATATCATCTCTTTTTGCTGCCTACTCTTGCCACTCTGAGAAAAGAACAGTACCTAGTGTTCACAAGAAGATGTAACAGAATTGATCGGAAAGAAAATTTTATCTTATTCCAGTCCTGTTCATAGTGTTGTACCAGTCTATATTTAGATAAATGCTCCACACAGCCAAAGAGGCAATAAAAGCAAGTTAAAAAGGTACTAGGTTCATGCCAGGAAACAATAAGGAGCTGCAAGTTCTCATTCTTTGCCCAAAGAATGACTATTTAAAACACAAGAGACAATAAAAACAAGCAGTCTCAGCAAACACAACGGTGCTTTCAGGTCTGGGGCATCTCATCATCTCAGGGCAGTTGAAGAAAAATAAGGATGTCAGAGCCCTCTTCTGTTACAGAAATGAGGCCCTCAGTAGGGAACCCATACAAGTCTCAGTCTGAACTACTTGTAAAGGCAGAGAAGAACACTGATAGGAAAGTCATGGGCTGGCCTGAGGGAGCTCCTCAATGCCCAGAGGATCAGCTACTACCCCAGAGACCAAATTTGAACTCTAGTGTTTCAGGAAGATGAAAATGAGTTTGGGAAACAATTGAGGTTTATTCATTCATTCATGGGTTTCAGGGTTTGATGAGAAACCAAGGTCCAAGCTCCCCAGTCCTTTTGAGAGCCCCTATTCTGGGCTACCCTAGAATGCTGTGATTCTTGCATTATTTATAGCAATGTATGTTTCAATCATTAACTGTCTTCCACTGCAGTTATTTGTACACATTTTTCTCTTTTCTACTAAGTTATAAACTCCTTGAAGGCAGAGAACAGTCCCTACTTATTTCCTAGTCTGTAGATGCTAGCATGGTATCTATTAAATTGAGATTTTTTAAATGGACCTATGTTGCTCAAAGCCTTTTTCAGTGATACCTTCTATGGGTTGAGAACAATAATGCTTTTCCAATCCTGTGAAACATCAGATTTCTGGACTCTGTCTAGACTGTTTAATTTCTGCACTCATGCAAACGAGTTCTTAGCAGAGCACATCTGTCTGGTTATACCTTGCTGAATACAATAAGTAATAGCCAGCCTCTCCCCTGGAGATAAAGACTTGTCAGGCACTGGGCATGCCTTTTAAATAATCACCAGCAACAGATTTACCAAATGCTCTGCCATCTCTTCCACAGGTCTCCATCTTCCCAGCCTTTGATATCAGTGTCTGTGCCACCCACCATCCAACTGCTGAGTCGATGCAACATATCTTAGGTTTTTCTTACATTAACCTCCACTTCAAAGTGCCAATTTCTAAATTTACCAGGACAATTAACACTAACAGCTATAATAAACAAAACCCAGAATTTTAGGGACCTAACCCAAAATAAGTTTGTTTCTTCCTTATAAAACAGCCCATTGCAGGTGTTCCTGGGTGACAGGTAGCTGTCTCCCAGGTAGTAATTTAAGGACTCCAGGCTCCATAGATCTTGTGGCTTCACCATTTCCTAGGGGCTCTTTGTTTTCTGCTTCCAGCCAACAGAAATGGAAAGAGACAGTAGGGAAGTCCTGTCCTTTTCTAAAATCTTTACCCCAGGAGTGACACACAGCTCTTACATTCCACTGTCTCCATGTTATATGTACACACCTACATGCAAGGAGAGGCAGGGGCTGTCTCTGCCACTACAGCTAATAATAATAATAGCTAAAATATATTATGCATCTTTGTTGTGCAAATTGTATACACTAACTATATTATATAATATATACAACAATCCTGAAAAGTAGGAATTATCATCACTATTTTAGAAATTAAAAAATACTAAATATATATATATCAATTTCTGAGCCTTGGTGACTATATATACTGTACTATACTATACCATATATATAAAAATATATATTCTGGGGCTCAGAGAGGATAAGTGACTTGCTCTAAGTCACCCACTCAGTAAGCAGCAGGTCAAGATGTGAACCCAGACTTGCATCACACTTAAGCCCCTTCTCCTTCTTTTGGATCATGGAACAAGAGATACATGTGCTTTGAGACTGGAGGGTAGGAAGGATTCAGGACAATGACTCAAGCTGTATTTTGAAAAGTAAGTATCCGACCAGCCAGAGTGGTACTGAGACTAGAGGATGACGTTTCCGTAAAGGTGATGAGGCCTTTGGTAAAAGTATGTCTATGGAAGACTTAGAAATAATTACAGTGTTTAGACAGAATTAATCAAGGGTCTTAGGAATATCCAAATCATTTTGTAAACCTCAGCCCTCCCTCTCCAATATGTCCCTGAGGGAGCTGTATACTACAGAAAATTGGTCAAGAAAAGAAAAGCAAGTGTCCTATTCTCAGCTGAAGTCAGTCCCCTACCCACAGTGCACAGCCCTTGTAAGCTGGGCTGGGACACCTGAGCAAGCCTGGAGGATCAGAGATGGAACACCTTTTCTCCCCATAAGCCCAAACTCAACTTCAACATTTCACCACACCTCATCTGCCATAAATGAAGACAGAAATCCAAATAGATGAAAATGCTTGATCAGACAAGATAAGAGCAAAATTTTGGCTGGGCACATCCTAAGCAAGAGAGCCCTGGCTTTCTCCCCATTCAGGCCACATGGAGGAAGAAAGGAGAAGAAAAGAGAGTTAGGTCTTTAGACTGCTTCTATAGCACACATGAAAGAGGGACAGGAGATAATACATCTTTGTACGTGACCTTTTTGTTTATATCAACTCTACTGAGGTATAATTTACATGAAAGAATATGCACCCATTTTAAGCCTAAGTTTGATGAGTTTCAAAACTATAACCAGACATGGAAACACCACCACAATCAACATATAGATCATTTCCATCATCTTTTGCCTGAATTCCTTCATGCCCTTTTGTGTTACATACCCTCCATCCCAAGCCTCAAAAAACCATAGATCTATTTTGTCATTATAGATTAAATTTGCCTTTTCTCAAGTTTCATATAAATTCATATAGCATAAATGCTTTGGGTTTTGACTTCCCTCATTCAGCAGAGTGTTTTGTGAGTCACCCATGTTGTGGTGTATGTCAGTAGCTTGTTCTTTTTATTGCTGAGTAGTATCCCATTGTAAAGATTACTACTGTTTGTTTATACATTTACCCATTGATGAATATTCAGGTTATTTCTAGTCTGACTGTTATGAATAAAGCTGTTATAAACCTCATGTACAGGTCTTTGTGTGGACATTATGCATGACCTTTTAGTGGGCAGCAACCATTCTACTGGCAAACATGGTCCAGTGTCCTAGAGTGTCATCAATCTATAGCAACTCTGCCCCACAGGATAGGGTGGAGGGTGGAGGACTGGGGAGCATGATGGGGAAGCATCGCTTCTCTTCTACAAACCTGACCTAGAGCTCAATAACATCCAAGGGAAATGCACATGAAACCCATTGAATTCCATACATTTTCCTCCTATTTTCTCCCTCACCTACTTCCTTCTTGCATTTGATTTTTTTTTTAATGTTTAACTTTGAGCACTGGAAATAATGACTGTTTTTTCCGCATGCTATCTAGTACCCTCATGAATGATTTTGATATTTCATTTATTATTAAATATGAGATCTACTTTAAGTAACCTGGCACTTATTAGAGGAGTCACCACCAAAATGTGGCCAGTTGCACCAGGGTCACTCCACTCTTCTCCTCCATCTCCGATAGTCTCTCAAACACTGTGGCCCTGAATCTGCCAGGGGAATATGCCATTTTCCATATGGTCTGCTGTTTTAGGTGCCTAAAAGGGGGAAGGGTCTCAATACCTCACATAGGTCTGCTCACCTTCCAGAAGTGGGATTAGCCAACAAATAGGGCCTTAGCCATTGTATTTTTTCTTAGAGAATAAAAACAAACAAGTAAGAAAACAAAACACAACCCAGAAGAGCATTGACGGTTACAGTAGGAAATGTAATAGAAAAACACAATGAAACATGACATGCATACATATATAAAGATTTAGATTGATATCAAAGACTGGTGGACTGTGGGTTGATAAGAACCCACCAACATATTTTGTTTAATCTGCAGTGTTTAAATAAAATTGATATTTTGTGAAGTTAAAAGTGGGGAAACTTCACCAAAAAATTTCACACACAAAAGTAAGAATATCTGGCAAGTACGCCCATGTTGCCACTTCACAAGAATCTGCTGGAGCTTCACAACAGCTGCTCCCTTTGGCCAAGCTCATTTGCTGTGTACACTCACATCACTCCAGTGTATTATCTACCTGGCTGTGGCAGGCACTTTAGTTTGCAACCCTTGCATTAAGGCATCACCCTATTAAGGAAGAGGCAGTGGGCAGACACACTTCACTTTAGGTGCGTAAAAGAGGGAAGGGTCTCAATATCTCACATAGGTCTGCTAACCTTCCAGAAATAGGATTAGTCAACAAATAGGGTCTTAGCCATTATACTGTTTCTTAGAGAATAAAAACAAGCAAGCAAACAAACAAACAGAAAACAACCCAGATGAGCACTGAAGGTTACAATAGGAAATGTAAGTAGAAAAACACAATTAAACATGACATGTGTACTCATATAAGTCATTCAGTTCGAGAGCAGCCTGGTCAATATGGTGAAACTCGATCTCTACCAAAAAAAAAAAAATACAAAAAACATTTTTTTCTTCACTGACAAGGATACGTATTTTCTGAGATGGAGACAACATGTGAAATAGTCAAATCCCAAGGCAGGAATTCTTTTCTTCTTTCTTTCTCTTCCTTCCTTCCTTCTCCTTTTCCTCTTCCTCCTCCCCATTTTTTGGCAGCAAAGAATTCCACTTATTGAACATATTACAAAAGAGGTTTTCAACAAAAAGACCAAAGTCCATGCCATCAACAGACTCCTCAGAATCTAGGCGTTTTTAACGTCCGATGCTTTATCCAGACACTCCTTCCCCTTCCTACTCCCCTCAGTGAGCTCTGGCCTTCACAGCCTGCCCAGGGAGCTCCTACCGCTAAGATAACTCCGCAGTGTGGCTCTCATGGCCCCTCCCTCGCTGCTAAATAGCCGGTCATTCTGGGCCAGGGAAGCAGACCTCCCTGGCTGGTGCCCACAGCTCAGAGGCCTCTTCCTGAGGTGGCTCCGGTCTTTCTTCCTCAGCTGATTCTGCCTCTACAACAAGAGAAAACTGGAACTTTCCACAGTGCCTGGCATTTTCATAGCAATATCATAAAATTACGAAGCCTTGTGGTGGTTCCACCAGGAGCTTAGGTCTCCCCTAAGCTCCAGATTTATCCATCCACTGTCCACTAGATTTCTTCTCCTCCATCTCCGATACTATCTCAACCAAAACTTTTCCAAATATATAGCTGTAATCTTACCTTGTTATCCCCGCAAAGTGAACCATGTTTTAACTCCTGTATTTCCTTTTCTTACAATTTTCCTCACAATGACCCAAGCCAGAAGCCTTGGAATCATTCTAAGTGTCTCTATCTTATTACATCTACTTTCTCACATCCAAATGGTCATGGGACCTACTACAAACCACCTCCTTTCTATCTTTCATACATCGGCTCCTCTCCATCTTTAGTGTAACTAACCTCATTCAAGCTCTCACATGGGATGTTCTGAAAGTCTCCTGATTATGTGCTTATGTCTGGGCTTGCCTGCTCCAACCCTCCACGTTCTACACATAGAACAGTGAGAGTGACTTCTAAACCAGGAGTCTGATCATGGTGCCCTTCAGCTTAAACCCTTTACTGGGCCCTCTGTTTGGACAATGGATACAGATTATGGTTCTTGGTGACCTATTCTTAGCTTCTGGCCTAGTTCTCTAGACCTGCACTGTCCACATGTGGCTCCTGAGCACTTGAAATTGTGCTAGTCCAAACCAAAGGATGCTATAAGTATGAAACACACACCAGATTTCAAAGAGATAGTAAAAAGAAAAAAGAGTCTAAAATATCTCGTTAATAATTTTTATATTGGTTATGCATTGAAATGAAAATATTTGCATATATAGAGCTAAAAGCATATTATTAAAATTATGTATTTTCTTTTTAACATCTTTTAGTGTGGCTACTAGAAAATTTTAAATTACATATGTGGCTTGCATTATGTTCTAGATGTTTTCCTCATCATACCTTTCTACCCTCCATCCTGCTAAACACCAGGCATGCTAAATGACTGACAGTTTCCTACAGTAATCCATAGTATCTAGAATTTTATACAGTCCCTTTTAAGTGAAAATTAAAATGGCCTTAACTATCACACCCCATCCCACCTGTGATGGTTTTAAGATATTATCCATAAATCCTTTTGATACTCCCCCCTTTCAAAAGGTAAACTTGAATACACCTCCCCCTAGTATGGACTAGACTTGGCAACTTGCTTCTAATGAACAGAATAAAGCAGAAGCATCAGTGTGTGTGCTCCAGGATTAGGTCATCAAAGGTGTTGGATCTTCTCTCTCTCGTGCTCTCTCTAGCTCTCTCTCACTCTCTCTTGCTCTCCCTCTCTCTCACTCTGGTCATTCGCTCTGAGTGAAGCCAGCTGTAGTATCATGAGGAGACCCAAGGTGTCCTGTAGAGAGATCCACATGGCAAGAAAGCAAGGCCTTCTCCTGCCAACAGCCATGTGAGTGAGCTATCTTGGAAGTGGATCCTCCAGCCCCAGTCAAGCCTTCAGATAATGGAAGCCCTAGCTAATATCTTCATGGAAACCTCATGAGAGACCCTGAGCCAAAAAGCTGCTCCCAAATTTCTGAACCACAAAAACTATTGTTTTAAGTAGCTGAGCTTTGGGATAATTTGTCACACAGCAATAGATTACTAATATACCATCCATACCCTATATCTTCCCCACCCCAACTTCCACCCAAGAACAGGAAGAGAGAAGAGAAGCTGCTAAGAACTCTAACTTAGTTTTGCCTACTTAGATGTCAAGATTTGATTCAAAGTCATCTCCTTTATGAAGCCTTTCATCAGAAACCCCAACCAATTCCCATGTGTCCATAACATTTTTTTAAAATTTAGAAATATTTTAATACATTTTGAACTTTGTGTCTTAACTAAACACATATTTTCTGTTTTGAACTTTCCAAAAATGTTTTTTTCTGAATATAAAAGTGATAAATACACATGGCAGAAGCTTTGGAATAATCTAAAAAGAAGAGAATTTAAATAATCTGAAGTGCAACCCCACTGAGGAAAACACTGTTGATATTGTTCATGTCCCTCTTTGCATACATTTTGTATAGATAAGAATATATTTCATATACAGTTTTGCATTCCTCTTTTCTCATGCAATGACCTCACCTCTCAGTTCCTTGACTAGTCCTGACTTGACTAGTCAGTACTACTCAGTTCTCAGACAGAACTACTCAGTTCCTTGACTAGTACTGACTTGACTAGTACTGAACTTGACTAGTACTGACTCCTGGGTCAAACTCTAGTCTATACCCTTACTACTCAAAATGTGGTCCATGGACCAGCTGCACTGACATCATCAGACAACTTGTTAGAAATGCAAAATTTCAGATCCCATCATGGTCTAAACTCAGGACATTTGCACTTGCTGTTCCCTTTGCCCGCAAGGCTGGTCCTCTAGTTATTTGCATGACTCCCACCCTCACTGCATTCTGGTCTCTGCTCAAATGTCACCTGCAGAGAAAAGCCATTCTTGGTCACCCTAACTAAAATTGCATTCCTGTCACACTCTATCCCCATACCCTGCTTTATGTTCTTCATAGCATTTGTCATCACTTGACATTATTTTATGTGTATTCATTTGTTTATTTTCTTCCACAAATATTTGTGGAACACCCACTATGTATCAGACACTGTTCTAACTTCTGGGAATATAGAAGGGAACAAAATAAGGTCCTTATATCCCCCACTGTAATATAGGCATGCTTATACAACTACAAATTGCTAGTTATTATTTCATGTTTTTTAATTTATTCATTCCTTCAAGAGACCTAATCCCCACCATCAACAGAAGGCTCCTTGCCATATCCCATGACTTAAATGCACCCTGAACATTCCCCCTTCTCTTTTAGAGAGAACTTTTCAATGTGCTTTTGTGCTGTGCTAAGTTTAACTTCTTTTCAGTCCTAATGAATTGCCCCAGTACAGCTTCCCTGCAGTGGAAATTTCCCTTATTTGATATAAGTCTCCCACTGCATAGCTGGTGTTTATCTTATTCCTATGCAATTTATCTAAACCTAAAGGATCCCCCAAAGTGAGACCAAAAAAAAAAAGTGTTATCATCACCATCACCATTAGCAGCAGCAACAGCAGCAGCAAGATCAGGCCTGAGAAATTTTTCAAAGGGTAAAATTGTCCCCCCATCTTTTCCTTTACCTTTGCCGTGGTTTGAATGTTTGTCCCCTCCAGACCCATGTTGAAATTTAATTGCCATTGTAGTAGTATTAACAGGTGGGATATTTAAGAGGTGATTAGACCATGAGGGCTCCACCCTCATGGGCAGGATTGGTGCCATTATAAAGGGCTAATTTGACTCCTCTTGATCTCTCTTTCCCTTCTGCCTTCTGCCATAAGATAAAGCAAGCAGGCCCTTGCCAGATGCTGGACCCTTGATCTTAAGCTTCCCAGTGTCAAGAAATGTGAGCTAATAAATTTCTGTTCATTATAAATTACCCAGTCTCTGATATTCTGTTACAGAATAACAGAAAATTAAAATGCTCTTTAACTATCACACCCCATCCCACCTGTGATGGTTTTAAGATATTATCCATAAATCAAAAGGATTTATGGATAATAATCAAAAGGATTTATGGATAATAATCAAAAGGATTTATGGATAATATCTTAAAACCATCATAGGTGGGATGGGGTGTGATAGTTAGAATAACAGAATATCAAACAACAAAATGGACTAAGACTACCTTCTTCATACCCTGCTAAACATCTAGGTCCTACTCCTTGGAGGACTGGCTCTCAGCTAGTTATCATGTATTCTCTCCCAAGGTGGCAACCTGCACATCAATGGGAAGAGTTTGGAGGCTGCAAAGGGAAGGATCATTGATAGATTATTGTATGCTGGGCTTCATTTATCCTCACATAACCATTTCAATGTGTGAGGAAAACACAACCCTGGAAGGACACACTTTGTCCTTCATTTTACAGATGAGAAACTGAGACTCAGGGAGATTACACAACTGTCCCATGTCACTGTTGGTTTTCTGAAGTCAAAACTCTGCCTTGCAAGTCTCTTGGGCCTCAAAAATTCAAAGGAGCACAATTCTAATGGTGGATTAATAAGGCCCATGATGGGAGGAATATGTTGTTGTTGTTTTTAACAGGGGTAGAGGTGGAAGAGGGTGATGAGCGTGAGGGTGAGAAGGAAAGATCTATGTGGCAAAATCTTTCAATTATAGGATCACCAAAATAAAGAGCTAGAGGGGATCACAGATAGTATCTGCACCAACTCCTTTCATTTTGTGGGAGTGGAACATTATGGTCCAAAGTGGATGAATTCTATTCATTTATATCTAAACAATAGAGAATGTACAATCCAGAAAAAAGCAACATTCTTGGTTATATTTATAGGAACCAAGTTTTCTAATGATCTCACTTGGGATGGGAGAAGAGATGACCAATTTTTCACCCAATATTCAAAACCACAGCATCCCCATCTGTGGTCATCAACAGAAGTACAATCCACAATAATTGTATAATTATGTGAGAGGAATTACCATTTCTAAGTAGAGTTTCCAAATTTAGCAGTGTTTACATGCCTTCATTTCCCCAAAAAATGTTGAATAAATAAATGCATAGGTTTGGCATAGGAAAGGATGTGTAATCAAATAATAAGTAAACTTATCAGGCAGATATATTTTGTTTATAAATCCTTATTTTGATTTCTCAGAACTCTAAGGCAAGGGATCAAAATATAAGGGATCTTGTAGCATAAGCATGCTTACAAAAGAAAATCGCATGGGATGGTGATTTGTCTCACAGCCTGAGGTACATGAAGCTCTGCTTTCTGTACAAAGTGGACAGGGCAGAAAAGCAGCTGGTCCTTGCCCTGCCACTGGAATGGCAGGAATTGGATGGGGTGGGTAGTAGTCCATTTATGAATATTTGAATGCAATCAAATAAGACTTCTATTGAGCTTCTACTCTGTATCAAATACTGCATTATCATTAGGTGGGATGTAAGCTGATAGATAAGATAAAATGTACCCTCAGAAAATTAAATAGGTCTTGTGAGTATCAATATGAATTTTAATGACAATTAACACCTTCTGTTTGTGAATGTAACTGGATAATTTTTGATATATTAACTGATATATTTTCCCTTTTCAGTAATTCTTGTTCCCTGTGAACTTTTTCCCATACAGGCTTTCTTGGCACACTGCCTCAGGAACAGGATTATGCTACAGAACAAAAAGAGCAAATTCTTGGCTTTTGAATTCCAAAATCTAAAATCTTGGCAAAAACAATATGTTTAGAAGGAAAATTGATCTGGAAATGGTCGGCATCAGTTTTTCCTACCCCTAAGACAAAATAAACCTAGGGGAAAAAACCTGTTGGGGATAAAAAGTAGCAAAAGTGGAAGAGTTAGAACCTTGAACTGGTCATGGAGCAGACACCTGTGGTCCGTGCCCTCCGCTCTGACCCCAAAAGTTGCTGGTGCAGAGGAGAGACAATAGACGCTCCAAAGGAAATAAAGGAAATGAAAGGGAATATGGCCAGCACCCACTCCTACCCTATACCCCCTACTGCTGCCTCCAGGCCCAGGTAAAGCTCCACATACTCCACATATCTCAGACTCTTAGGATCTTTCTTCAACATGCTATGAAGACAGCAGAGAAGCACATATGGCTGGGAAAGTGTATCTAGATGGAGAGGACCCAAAACAGCCTGAAAGTTCCCCAACATGTCCCTGGAGTTCAGGACCAGACCAAATATTTTCCAAGTGCTCAAGAGAAAAAGTCATGAGAGACCCAGATGGACCTCAGGCACTGCAGGATGATGCCCAATTCAGCCACTACCTGTGTGACTGATGAGAAACCCTAAGGACTGATGTCTGTCCCCCAGCTCTCTCTCTGTCAGATGCTAATGCACCCTGAAAGTGTCCTAGATCTATACAAACACTCCATGTTCACTATCCCACATAAACAACTATCCATCCCAGAAGAGTTGCCACCAGGCTCTTCATAAACCCAGCCTCACCCACGCATCCATGTTTAACCAGCTTCCTTCAGAAATATTCTCGCAGAGTTCCACTAAATCTTCTATGCTATAGGCACAACTGCTTTCTTTTTTCCATTCTTAGGAAGTAAAGAAAAGGCCAGGACAACATAGTCTGTGTAACAATCTGGTGCATCAGAAGAACGGGAAGAATAAAGTCCCCAATGACCCTAGGTTTCTGATCCATACAAGATCTTCTTTCTGATCTCCAGAACCCGAGCCATGAAGTGGGAAAAAGTCCTCTAGGTGGCCTGTTTCCCAACCTGGTGGTACTTAGTGCCCTTTCCTTCTTGCAATGTCCTCTCACTGTCTTCCCAAAACAACCCGAAACTCACTCCCATTAAAGTGACGGGACTCAATAGTTTGAGGTTTAACTCCAGCTCCTTCTCTGTTCACGCAGCTATCCAGTTGTTAAATCTACCTGCCGGCTCTCTCCTCTCCTTTCTATTACCTGGAAGTGCTGCTTTCTGAATATTCCTTTTCCTCAATCCAGGAACATGACAGATTTGCACTTCCCCTCTTTCTTGAGGTAGATCATGGCCAGGCACGTGGCTTCCTTTGGCTAGTGAAACGTGGACAGGAGTAACATGGGCTGCTTCCTAATTGCAGTAAGCAACACTGCAGCTGGAACTGCCTCCTGCAGCTGGAACTGACAGCATTTCAGATGGTGGAGGCCCTGTCACTCTGATTTCCAGAGTAAAGGGCATGCAATGGGTCGTTTCAGTCAATGGGCATGTAAAGTGAGCAAGCAATAAACACTTGTTAAATGAACTCGCTGGCTGTTGCTGCATAATAATCCAGCCCACCCTGACTAATATGCCCAGGCTATTATTGGGGTTCAGGCTCTCATTCCTCATCAAAGCTTTTAACACATGCCACTCAAAGTGTAGTTCATACACAGGTATCAATCCACAAACTATTGCTGCTCTGCAATGATGTAAGTATAGAAATTGAGAATAAACATTTAGAAATTCTTGTAACAGTTAAGCTGATTAATTTGACCTATTGAATCTAATAATAACATATTTGGAATTGTCTTTCCACCAGATCTTAGCACGATGTCTTACCCATGAAGGTGCTAACAAAATGTTTGTCAAATTAAATTGGATTATTGATTCATGATTAAGAAACAGAATTATGTTAGGATTCCAAGCACTGGCAGGCAGATCTGAGGAATACTTGGGGTGCAAGATCATTGAGGTGCAATGGTCTTCTTCATTGAGGTGCAATGATCATTTATAAGTTTCTGGATTTTCTGTTTGTACCAGCACAAAATTTAGTGTCAACAAGCAGAGAAACTTTCTGAGTTCTTCTTTATTTACTATTAAATATTGTTTTAGGTTTGCCAACATAAAAGCATGAGCATGAATGTGTTTATCCTCTGGAATAAAACTCTGTAAATATATTGCTTATGAATATGTTTTTCAGAATTACCCACAAACAGCTTGACATTTTGATACATTTGTTCAAGTATCAGAGGATAATGTAATTGATCCAAAAATCACTTCCTAACTCCCTCCAGGACTGAATAATTTTTTCCTCCCAAAGACTTTGGCACACACTAATATATTTCTCTGCATCATACAAGAAAAAGGCAACATAATATTCTGAAAACAATACAGTGCTAGGTATCAGGAGACCTGGATCTAATCTGCATTACCCACTCCACTTGCTTGCTACTACCTGGAGCTATTACTTAACCACTTGTGCCCTAATTTCTCTATCTTATGAGGATAAAAAGTTAATAACATGTAAGTAACATCAGCTCTGTTGTGAGCATCAAGATATAGGGTTCTGAAGCACTTAGTAGTGAATAAAGTACAACATGATTATAACTTTGCATTTATATATAATGTTGTCCTTGTAATGCTCTTGAATTATTTTGTACCTAGATTTTCTCCTTTCAAGGGAGACAATAAGCTCCTTAGAGGTTCACTGTGCACTTTTTCTTTGCATATGATCCAATGCTGAGTACTTTGGGACAAATAATACACATATGATGATCGTTTGAAAACTATTTATCATAAGTTGTTAAACCCCTTCACCCTTAAGTAAACTACACAAACTTTATACACTGCAAGACAAGTATTTCTCAATTCACACTAACAACAGGTGTTTAGAATTTTGGCTAAAGAGAGTTGTAATTGCCTGTCTGAATTCCTTGAGGGTAGAGGTCATGTCTCACCAATCTTTGTATCCCTAGACTTACCACAGTATCTGAGCACAGAGAAGGAGCCCAGTTTATATGGACTGCATTATGTACCCTTCAAATTCATATATTGAAATCCTATCCCACAATGTGACTGGAATTGGGGATAAGGCCTTTAGGGAGGTAATTAAAGTTAATGATGTCATAAGGATGGGGCCCTAATCTGATGGCGCTGGTGTTCTTATAAGAAGATGAAAAGATGCCGCCAGACAGCATGCACTTGCACGTGCTCTGACCCTCTCTCTCTCTCCTTTTTTCTCAATCTCGCCATGCCCCACAGAGGAAAGGCCATGTGAGGACACAGCCAGAAGGCTGCCATCTGAAAGCCAGGAAAAGAGCCCTTAAAAGTCTGCTAGCACCTTAATTTGGAACTCCCAGCATCCAGAACTGTAAGGAGATAAATTTCTGTTGTTTATGGCACCCAGGCTGTGGTATTTTGTAATGGTTGTCCTAGCTAAGATACCAGTTAATGTCTGAAGATAAACTGATAAATAACCTTTAATAAAATACTTCTTATTACTTCCCCTTAGTACCCAGAAACCTAAAAGGCCAATCTCTGATTTTGCTTAAATTGGCTTTGGGAAAATTTTCAAAATCATTTAAACATTATAATAGCACACCCACCTACTAGACATTTGATTTTTCCATCCACTTTCCTTAGTGAGTACAAGCAGTTCTTATCCAAAGATCATTAAGAGGATTAGGGGGTGGTAAGGAACGGTTATTGGCCAGAAAGAAGGGAAATTGTACTATTAATTGCTCAGAGGATAGCACATTATTCTGCACATGTAAACACTCAAGGTAAAATATGGCAGATGAATAAAGAGCTTCTGTATAGAAGAACTACAAACTTTGGCAGGAACCACTGTGCTGCAGCAGTGAAGAGGCCTTCTGCTAGGGGCTGCAATGGAAAAAGTGACCTCAGAGAGGAATTCAGAACAGAAATACTCAGAAAGAGATGAAACACCATGAAGTTTTGGTTAAGTCATTTGGTTCCAGGCTTATAAAAGGGAAAAGCTGTTTTAGTAAAAAATAAAAAATAAAAATAAAAATGCTGACTACGTGAACTTTGCAGATTACTCTTCTATTCTAATTGTAAATTTGAATTCCAAAGTACCTCTTCCTTCATGTTCTTTACAAGAGATCTATGGTGTTTAGTAACATATTCTTCTAAAGAGTCTCAGCCAGGAGAAGCAAATACTTAGTCTGGAGCCATAGGACCTAGCTTAGTATTCCACTGAGCTTCCCCAGCACAGAGGGCACACTGATTAGAGACTCCAGAAAAGAAAGGCAAAGGCGGCACCAGAGAGAAATCCTCACATGCCATTTCCCTCTTTCATGCCCCAGCTAAAGAGGGCACCTCTTTTACAGAAAAGTTTATACCGGCATACCTTGGAGATATTGAAGGGTCAGTTCCAGACCACTGCAATAAAGTAAATATTGCAATAAAACAAGTCATACAATTTTTTTGGTTTCCTAGTGCCTATAAAACTTGCATTTACACGAACATGTAGTATATGGCATCATGTCTAAAAAACAATGCACACACCTTAATTTTAAAATACTTTATTGTGAAAGAGGCTAATGATCATCTGAGGCTTCAGCAAGTAATAATCTTTTTGCTGGTGGAGAGTCTTGCCTTGATGTTAATGGGTGCTAACTGATCAGAGTGGTGGTTGCTGAAGGTTGCGGTGGCTGTGGCAAAGTCTTAAAATAACATACAATGAAATTTGCCAAAATCATTGACTCCTCCTTTCACAAAAGATTTCTCTGTAGACTCTGATGCTACTTGATAGCATTTTACCCACAGTAAAATATTCAAAATTGGAATCAATCTTCTCAAACTCTGCTGCTGCTTTATTAAGTTTATGTAATTTTCTAAATATTTTGTCATTTCAACAGTGTTCATAGCATCTGCACAAGAAGTAGATTCCATCTCAAGAAACCACTCTTTGCTCATCCATAAGAAACAACTCCTCATATGTTCAGGTTGTCTCATGAAATTATAACAATCCATTTACATCTTCAAGCTTCACTTCCAATTCTAATTCTCTTGCTATTTCTACCACATCTGCAGTTAACTTCCTCCACTAAAGTCTTGAATGCTCAAAGTCATCCACAAGGGTTGGAATCAACATCCTTCAAACATTTTTACCTCTTCCCATGAATCACAAATATTCTTAATGGCATCTAGAATGGCAAGTCCTTTTCTGGAAGGTTGTCAGTCTACTTTGCCCAGATCCATAACAGGAGTAACTATCTATGGCAGCTACAGCCTTACAAAATGTATTTCTTAAGCAATAAGACTTCAAAGTCAAAATCACTCCTTGACCTTACTGAATGGATAATGTGTTCACAAGCATGAAAGCAACATTAATCTCCTTGTATATGTCCATGAGGGCTCTTGGGTGACCAGGTGCATTGTCAATGAACAGTAATATTTTGAAAGAAATCTTTTTTTCTGAGCAGTAGGTCTCAATCGTAGGCTTAAAATATTCAGTAAACCATGCTGTAAACAGATGTGCTTTCATCCAGGCATCATTGTTCCACTTATAGAGTATAAGTAGAGTAGATTGGGCGTAATTCTTAAGGACTCCAGGATTTTCAGAATGGTAAATGAACATTGGCTTTAATTTAGTCATCAGCTGCATTAGCCCCAGACAAGAGAATTAGCCCATCCTTTGAAGCTTTGAAGCCAGACATTGGCTTCTTTCTAGCCATGAAAGTCCTAGATGGCATTTTCTTCCAATATAAGGCCGTCTGTCTACATTTAAAGCCTGTTATTTAATATAGCCACCTTCATCAACTATCTTAGCTAGATTTTTTGATAATTTACTGCAGCTTCTACATCAGGATTTGCTGCATCACTTTGCACTTTTAAGTTATGAAGACAGCTTCTTTCCTTAAACCTCATGAACCAAGCTCTGCTAGCTTCAAACTTTTCTTCTGCAGTTTTGTCACCTCTCTCAGCCTTCATAGAATTGAAAAGAGAGTTAGGGCCTTGCTCTGGATTAGGTTTTGGCTTAAGGGAATGTTGTAGCTGGTTTGATCTTCTCTGCAGACCACTCAAACTTTCTCCATATCAACAATAAGGCTGTTTCACTTTCTTATTCATGTGTTCACTGGAGTAGCACTTTTCATTTCTTTCCATAACTTTTCATTTGCATTCACAACTTGACTGTTTGGCACAAGAGGCCTAGTTTTTGGCCCATCTCATCTTTTGACATGTTTTTCTCACTAAGTGTAATCGTTTCTAGCTTTTGATTTAAAGTGACAGATGTACTACACTACCTTTTACTTGAACACATAGAGGCCATTGTAGGGTTATTAATTGGCCTAATTTCAATATTGCTGTTTCTCAGGGAATAGGGAGGCCAGAAGTAAGGGAGAGAAATGGCAGAAATCCTGGTTGGTAGGGCAGTCAGAACACACATAACATTTATCAACTGAGTTTGCTGTCTTATATGGGCACAATTTGTGGCACACCAAAACAATTACAATAGTAACATCAAATATCCCTGAAAAACAGATCACCATATCAGATATAATAATAAAAAAAGTTTAAAATATCGCAAGAATTACCAAAATATGACAGAAAGACATGAAATGATCATGTTGGAAAAATGGCATCGACAATCTTGCTTGAGGCAGGGTTGCCACAAACCTTCAATTTGTAAAAAACACAATATCCCCAAAACAGAATAAAGAGAATTGCAATACAACAAGGAATACCTGCTTATATTAAAGCAGCAATGTATATCTTTTACCACCAGCACTTAGCCAGAATAGTGAGTGTTCCAGAGCTGGGGTTTATTGCTATGTGATGTGATCCTGAAATTCATTTCAGGATAAATTAGGCTTTTAGAATGAAAAACTAAAATGCATACTTTCATATGGCTAAGAAAAAAAAAAATATATATATATATATATAAAACCCACCCCATCTACCCCTACCCTAAACAGGCTTTTATTTCTAAATATAGATCTACATTTTAAGCAAAGCATGAATCAAGTCACATATTTAATGTCAGTATAATTTTAGAGGCATGCCAGAAAGAAAAAGGGGATGTGAGTACGTAAAACTTATTTATATTTTTATTTATGCTATTTCCTACAGATTGAAAATAAATTTTCAAGAGTACCACTTCTCCAGCTAATCTACTCTTAGTAGAGTCTGAAAATGCTGTGGTTATCTAGCAGTGCCCTCTGGTGTCCAAATGAATTGTTTTAGTTTGCCTTGAGGGAAAAAATAAGCCATTATATAATCAGACACGGCTATAATCAGCATTCATTCATTTGCCAAGTATTTACTGAGGGTTTACTATATGTGAGTTACTGTGCAAAGAGGCAAGATACAGAGATGTATTAAAAAATACATTTCTTGTTCTGTTCTTAAGGAGCCCAGTCTAACAGGGAGACAAATGTAAACTCACTTACAAAATTACTTAAATCACTTTATCTAGTTTTTCATTAAAATGAGACATACACAGCTGGGTGGCCTCCCTTTCCAAAAAGTTCTGGGCCATTATTCATGTTAGGATGTGTCTGGCTGGCTTTGGACAGAACAACTTTGGTGAAGTACACAGGGAACATTCTGAAATAGAGTAAACATCCCAAGACATACAGCAGGATTCAATCCTAGTTTAAAGAGTTGGGAAAGCGCCTTTCACAGCCAACCCCAAAAGACACTTCTGGTTTTGTAGTTATATAGGAGCCCACTGGTCAACAGATCCGACACACAAATCTGACATTATCCTTACACTTCTTTCTGAAAATGCTATTTTTCTAGAATTATAATGAAAGACCTCAAAATGAATCAAACGAGAGACTTAAGAAATCAAGAGACCCTAAGAATTTATCATAAACTGTTTGAGGATTCTTAGACCTGCAAATTTTCCACTAGAGTCACCCAAACACATATTGTTCTGAATAGGTCCATCTTCATGTCCTCTGGGGAAGCAGAGGGAGCCTGAAGGAGTTATGGAGACCTCCCACCAAGAATAAAAGTGAAATTCAAATACCATCAAAGGAAGGAGTCAGGAATGACTACAGATGAAGAATGATGCTTTATACTATTTTGTGATGTTCCTAATTTTCATCATTTTTCCATTCTTGTTATTGTTGTTTCCTAATCAGCCATGAAACCCTAGTGTGTAGGCAGGACCTATGACCTGCTTCCAATCAACAGAATACGGCAAAGGTGATGGGATGTATGTGATTACATTATATAAGGATTATAAGGTCCATCTTGCTGAGACTCTCCTTTGCTGGCTTTGAGGAAGCAACCAGTTATATTGAGAAGGCCCACGTGGCAAAGAGCTGAGGGTGGCCTCCTGCCAATGGCATATAAGCATTGAGCACTCTCAAGAAATTGAAGGCTACTAATAACCATGTGGGTGAAAAAGCTGACCCTTCCCCAGTCAAGTCTCAGATGAGACTGGAGCCCTGCCCAACACCTTGACTGTAGCCTCATGGAGGACCCAACTAATCTGTGCCCGGGTCCCTTGCCCACAAAAACTATAAGATAATAAATGTGTGCTGTTTTAAGTTGCTACATTTGTGGTAATATTATTTTGCAATGATAGATAACTAATACAGATTTCAAGACACCTTTTAATTTTAAAACATTTTTATTATAAAATACAAATAAAAACATTGAGAAAAGACAAAGTCATCCATTTTCTGCCTCCTATCCCACTATAACCAGTTAGTAATTTGATTTACTTTGTTATCTTTTTATCATATGCTTGGTCTGTTATTTCAGCCATGATTACACCCACTTATACACTTTTCCGTCTTGCAATTTTTACTTAAGGTAATATTTTCATGTTTTTAATAATATTCATTACTAATTTTTAATAAGTACATTATGTATCATTTGTATATATCTGTTTATTGACTATTTCCTAGACCCAGGGATGACAAACTATGGCACCACATTTGTAAACAAAGTTTTACTGGAACAAAGCCACGCCCGTATTGTTTATGTATTGTCTATGGCTGCTTTTGTGCTTCATACAGCAGTGTTGACAAGTTATGACAGAGACAGTAGGTTTAAAAACCTAAAATAGTTACTTTCTGGCCCTTTATAGAAAAAGTTTGCCAATCTTTACCCCAAACTTTAAAGTGGTTTATAATTTGGGCTACTAAAAGTAATGTCACTTGGAACATCTTTGTGCATATAATTTTTTATACTTTGTACAATTTGAGAGACATTAACAAAAGTGGAATAACTGGGTCTAATTAATGAAGACATTTTTACGGTTGATTCTCTCCCACACTGTTGTAATATTCAAGCTATGATATGTGATAAGAATGAAAAGGATAGCCCAGAACTCTTGTAGGTAACATGTCTCTGGTCCCTGTTACTTAAGACACGTAAGTTACTTAAGACACACTCTGGATGAACATATTTTGAGTTTTGATTTAAAGTTAACCAAAAAAGAGAAATAACAGTAACTGCAATGGGAAGACCAATTGAAAGAAATCTTTTACTTTTTACTGGAGAGGAAAAAGTAAACAGAAGTGGGTGACAAGGTACATATAAAATGCCATTCTACGGTAGCTGCAGTGGCCAAAAGGCACTGGGGAGAGCTGAGTAAGAGAAAGAAATGGCAGTCTCAACAATGAGCTGGCAGTGGCAGCAAGAAACAAAGAGACAACTTTGAGTGTGGGATGACAAAAGCAGCACACAGGTCCCACCCATCTGAATACATCCTAGGCATAAACCTGTATATAACTGTAATTAAACTGTCTCTAGATAACAAAGTTTTAAAGAAATCACCCTATATTTTTTAAGAAGGAGAAAGTCTTCTACCTGGGGAAGTTTTACTCTTCAGAATGAAAACCTTATGGAATGGGGAAGTCAACCCTCACTATGTACGTCAACCCTATTTCTGAGATAAAAGATGAAGCAGTCTGATGGGTCTCAAATCCAATCTTGTATGAATAAAACAAGCATCAGGAAACATGGATGTCATCTTCTAAGAGAAATATTCTGGAAAAAAAAAAGATCAGGATGGACTTTTCTCCGATAAACAATGTAATCCAAAAGCAAAATTAGAAAGATATTTAATGTAATTATCCAAATTATACCAACAAAGTATGTAAAGAAATCACATATAGCACATTTATCTTATTAAAATGTTCCTGTCAAAATGTCAACCAATTTAACATTTCTTAAATAAGCGTTTTTTTACTTACAACTATTATTAGCCTTTACATTCCACCTCAGCTACTCACTAAATAATTAAATGCATGATGACTTCATAAAATACTTTGGAAAACCATGAAATTCTCCAAAGAGTAAGGAAATCAATTTTTTTTTTGCAAAAATAACTAGGAACATGCTACTTTGAACAAAATATAACCAATTTTCTGACGTCTGAAAATCAAGACTTTTTTTCTTGAATTTTCCCTATGGCAAAGGAAGTGGCAGTTCTGTGACTGACTTGAGTCACACTTAAAATCACGTCATAATTTTCCTCTTTTTGTACTTCTTGCTGTCAGTTACCTCAAAACTGACCTGAGGGTCTGGCAGCATAAATCCATCAGTAAGTTTATAATAGACTATTGTAGAATCAGACTCCACTATGGCCAAAGTAAAAGACATCGGCAAATCTGGATCACCTTGCAACTTTCGAGATGCCTTCAAGATCTCCCTTATCCTGAAAATAAAGTCACAATATACTTAGGAGTTGCGGTCACTCAATTAGATGAGATGTGACAGAAGAAAGCACTAGAAAACTTGAAAACAGGTCACAAGAAACCAAACTGAAGTAAAAAGAGAAAAAATAATTTTAAAAAATAACATCAGAGTCTTCTGGTATAGTATCAAATAAGTTCAACATTACACATAATTGGAATCACAGAAGGAAAGGAAAGAGAATGGTATAGAAATAGTTGACAGTTTTCCAAAATTGTTGTCTCTGAATCTGAAGTGTATCTTTTGTAGATAGCATATAGTTGGATCTTGTTTTTATATCCAATCTGACAATCTCTGCCCTTTTGAGTGTTTATTCAAATTTAAAATTAACATTGGTATGGTTGGATTCATGCCTGCCATTTAGCTATTTGTTTTCTATATATCACATGTCTTTTTACTTCCTCTCACCCTCCTTTATCACCTTCTTTTCTATTAAATAGGTATTTTCTAGTACACCATTTTAATTAATGTATTTTTTTTTACTATAGTTTCTTGAGTTTCGTAGTGATGACTCTAGAGATTACTATTGCGTCTTAGTTTATCACAATTTCTCTCAGCTTAATACTAACTTGATTCTAAAAAATATAGAAATTGCTCCAATAGAGCTTTATTCCTTTCCTCCACCTTTATGCTATTATTGTCATATATGTTTATATATTTAAACCCAGTAATATAGTGTTGTAATTATTACTTTAAATAATTTTCTTTTTATAAAGTTAAGAGGAGAAAGGAAAATATATTAGGGTCTTTTACATTCACATATTTAATATTCCTGGTATTCTTCATTTCTTCACATAACTGTCTGGTGTCATTGTTTACTCCAATATAGCTTCATTCCTTCCCCCATCCTTTGTGTTAATAACATCATATAAGTTACTTCTTAACGTGCTATAAGGCTGGTCAGTTGATTTTTGACAAAGGTACAAAGGCAATTCAATGGAGAAAGTCTTTTCAAGGATACTTGAAATGAAGATAGTAGTACACCTTTATGTTTACACATAAGATTATTATATGAATCAATTAAATGGCATATATGAAAAGACTTCATAAACTGTCAAGTGGTCATATTATGTAGTATATATACAACTTTGCTACCTTGCAAATTGGGATATAATATTTATAGATACCCCTGCCTCCATGATTATTGCTAAAACTGAATACTAACCCAAACATACTAAGGTACACTGTGCCATTAGTGGAAATACAGAAAATGTTTCTTTTCTGAAACAGTCTGAATCCCAGAAATTGACTTAGTCCTTAAAAAATTATTTCCACCTATGCTGAACTGCATTACAACTAGCTAGATTCTTATTCACAAGAATGATTTACTTTAGAGAAAGATATTCTGATAAAGCAACGATAGATATTAATCAGAAACTTCATTACTCAGCACTGATGGGAAGTCACACTGTGATAAAAGGCAGCATATCACAATTGCTTCTTCAATGCAAATCTTTTAATGTAGCTAAGTATTTTCCTTCTTCAAAAGTGGCACGCCAATATCTAAATTAATAATAATAGAAAAAGATACATTTTTATAGGCTGTCCATCTTGAATTAATTTTTTTCTACAAAGATGGCAAAGAAGAAACAGACAATGGATCAACTAAAATTTTAACTTATCTACATCTTTTGTTGTCAGCATGTATCATGATTACTTCACAGTATGCAATATACATAAAACCCAATATATAATGCACATAAAGCCACTTCAATGCCACAAGATAAATTTCTCTAAACATCCCTAACTGGTAGACTGTGATGAGAATGGGACACAGACAAGAAGGAAGCCTGTTAACACAACTTTAACACATTTTCCATTTCTGAAGATATAATGTTATTTAAATCAGAAGGTGTGTTTGTATGTGTGTGTTGGGGGGTGGTGTTCACTAAGGAAAACTATATGGGAATTGTAGCCCATATAGTGAAATTTAGAATAGAAATTTCCATCTTATTCACTACTCTTTTTCCATTCTCAATTTATATCTGTTTCCAGAGTTCTTTGATTTAAGCAGCAAAACATTTTCATACTTACCCCAAATACCCATGCAGGAAACCCTAACATTTGAAAACTAACTCAGAGTTGTAAAAGGGGTTTTGTTTTCAGAGTTGAGAGAAATCACTGTCAAAAATGAAATGGAAGTTCCCATTTCTGAGGCCTTGTTTATGGTATTTGGTTGGAGGGGGCGGTGATTGTGAATTACCAGTGAATCTTCTCACTAGTAACAGAATAAAATAGTTTATCTGCCTCTGTTACTCAAGGTACATTCCAGAAGTCTTACAGTTTCTTGTTCAGGATCTCTTCTAGTCGATTTTTCAAGTATGTTTAAAGCAAAGCCATCATCTTTTCCTCAACAAACAAGAACAAGACCTTTCTTGTTTGTTTCCATTATAGGATACTGCATAAAATCTTAAAAATGTTTATTTTGCCTTTTAGTCAACAGATTATATTTTCCCAATCTATTAATAATAGCAGTAACAAAAGATTCTTAAGTTCTTAAAAAACCACATATGATTGTAAAGATCCCAAGAACATTTAAGTATCACCAGAATACTATAATCTCACTTAATTTCTAACAAGCTTATGGTTTGAAATCTCACTTTAGAAATGACAGAATGTTTCCTTATATGTATAAATTTTAATAGCTCAGTTCTTTGGAAAAATATTGTGAAGATACTGGAAATATTGTATGTTTCATCACACAAATCTACAACAATAAACGATAAAATTCTTTATAGTTCATATTGGATAGAAATCAACCTATGAAAAATATAACCTATGTATTAATACTAACAGTTTCAAGTTTTAAACTCAGTTATATCTAAAGGGAAAAATCCCACCTAAAGAAAAATATGTATCAATAATAATAGCTATTTAATAACAGCAACAAAATTTGATGCTCACAACAGGTTTTTATTTCTCATAACTGTTCATAGAGGAGCTCTGTGTACTGAAAAAAAGTGATTCCAGAGCTTCATATAGCTAACTTGAAAACAAGCCTGAAGCAAATACACAGTTAACACTATTTGGCTAATACCTTTAGTCCAAGCTATTTAAATGCTTTCCATAAATCTTAGCATTGATTTTTCTGTAATGATTCTGAAACAGATACTAAGTAATCTCTGGAGATTTACACAGAGGACAAGAAGTTGAAGACCGCATTACTTTTAACTTCAAATGCTATTGAAATAGAATGTATCATGGGTTAAAAGTAGTATTAATTTCAACCCATAGAAAGTATCTCCTATCCTCTTCAATGTGGCCAAATAATATATGCTATAGCCTTATTAGTAAAAGGGAATAATTCCTTGATTTGCCTCATTATGATATAATGGAATGACATGCCATAATGCAACTCTGAAACATAATGCAAAATTAAGTTGGTGTCAGAGGCACCAAAGAAGCCTTATTCATCCACAGGCTCAGTCCCAAAGAAAAGTTTCAGGGATAACAGACCACCTCCTTGAAATTCATGCCAATGCCTTCCTAGTAAAAAATCAAGGCAGCTAAAATTCCAAGGGGGTTTACTGAACAATGAAGCTATCCACCCCAGTGGGAAGTCATTCTGTAATGAACTGCAAGCTTTTGTTTAAGGGTAAGAGAAAAAAAAATGCTGTATCAGTTAAAAGAAGCTGCCAGAATTGGGGGTTTCACCAGCAGCAGATTTCTAGCAGAGGGAAGGTGAGGACACACATCCTAATATGCAGAGAAGCCAAATGACAGAAGTCATTTTGCAATTATGAGACTTTAGGACTCAAATAAAATAGTGGTCATTAAATGAATTTGTAATAAGGATTATGCTTTCAGAAAGTGGAAATATTTTTCAATTACAGGGAAATAATAATGGACGGTCCTTCAAGAAAGTATGTAGCATTTGAGGATCAAATCTCATAACTAAGAATATCTTCAGAGATGTTCCAAAGAAAGAACTAGTTCTAGTAACCCTCTACTCCAGAATTAATATAAGTCCTTTTCCCAAGGCACTAGGGAAAAAGAGGGGTGAAAGGGCAGAGAGAATATAAATGAAAAAAAATTCAACTAAAAAGTAAAGAGGCTATTCATAACATTGGCAGGTTACAATGCAAAGCGTGGAAAATGGTGATAAATCCTGCAAGTGGATGGATTTTGCAGATACATACATATGTACATATATATATATATATATATATATATATATTTTTTTTTTTTTTTTTTGAGAGAGAGAGTCTCGCTCTGTCACCCAGACTGGAGCACAGTGGTGTGACCTTGGCTCACTGCAACCTCCACCTCCTGGGTTCAAGCAATTCTCTTGCCTCACTAGGCCTCCCAAGTAGCTGGGACTACAGGCACACACCACCACATCCAGCTAATTTTTTGTATTTTTAGTAGAGACGGGGTTTTGCCATGTTGGCCAGGCTGGTATCAAACTCCTGACCTCAGGTGATCCGCCCACCTCAGCCTCCCAAAGTGCTGGGATTACAGGCGTGAGCCACTGTGCCTGGCAGATTTTGCAGACATTCTAATTTTTTGGAAATTCTTAAAAGGTTGCTTATAGTATATTCTTATGTTCTTTAAGGTATTAATTAGGAAGTCTCTGCTGCAGGAACACAGTAGCCTAAGATAGCTTACCCAATCTTTCAACAAATACTTACTTAGCACCATGTACCAGGTACCAGGTTAGACCCCAGGGATATACCAATAAACAAAACCAAGTTCTCACTTTCAGGGAACTTACTTTCTAGTGGAGGAAAACAGACAGTAGATAATCAAAGAAAACCAAATATGAAATATGTTGAGTAGCATTAATATATCAAGTGTTTTAAAGGAGGACCACTTAGTAGGTCCAGGAGGTGAGATAATAGCAGCTTAAGCCAGAGTGGTAACAGTTGTAGTGTAAGTGGTAAGAAATGGACAGATTCTGGATGTAATTTTAAGGAATTGACAGGGTTTACTGATAAATTAATTTGGGGGTATGAGAAAATGGAAGAATAAAAACTAAGAGATTATAGCAAGGTTACAGGATACAAGGATAATATACAAAAGTCCACTGTATTCCTATATATCAGCAATAAACAATTGGAATTTGAAATTAAAAACAAAACACCATTTACATCAGCATCATAAAAGATAAATATTTAGGTATAAATCTAACAAAATATTTATAGGATCTATGTGAGGAAAACTGTAAAACTCTGATGAAAGAAATCATAGGAGATCTAAACAAATGGAGAGATAGTCCATGTTCCTGGATACCAATTCTTCTCAATGTGATCTACAAGTGCAATCCCATTCAAAATCCCAGCACGTTGTTTTGTAGATATTGACAAGCTGATTGTAAAATTGATATGGAAAGGCAAAAGAGTCAGAATATCCAACAAAGTGTTAAAGAACAAAGTGAGAGGACTGATTTTATCTGACTTTAAGGCCTATTACAAGCCGGGCACAGTGGCTCACACCTGTAACCCCAGCACTTTAAGAGGCTAAGGCAGGCGGATCACTTGAGGTTAGGAGTTTGAGACCAGCCTAGCCAACATGGTGAAACCCTGTCTCTATTAAAAATGCAAAAATTAGCCAGGTGTGGTGGTATGCGCCTGTAGTCCCAGCTACTCAAGAGGCTGAGGCATGAGAATTGCTTGAACCCAGGAGGCGGACCGGGTTGCAGTGAGCCGAGATCGTGCCACTCCACTCCAACTTGGGCAACAGAGTGAGACCCTGTCTCAAAAAAATCACATAAAGAAAAAAAAAAGACCTATTGTAAAGCTATAGTAATCAAGATCATGTGGTATTGGTTAAGGAATAGATGAATAGGTCAATGGAATAGAATAGAGAGCTCAGAATTGACTCACATAAATAGTCAATTGATCTTTGACCAAAAAAAAAAAGGCAATTTGATGAAGAAATAAACATCTTTTCAACAAATGGTGTTAGAGTAACTGGATATTCACCTGGAAAAAATCAATCTAAACACTGACCTTATATCCTTCATAAAAATTAACTAAAAATGGATCACAGACCTTAATGTAAAATGCAAAACTATAAAACTTCTAGAAGACAAAATAGGATGCCTTGGATTTGGTGATGAGTTTTTAGATAAAATACCAAAAGCATGATCCAGGAAAAAAATTATATCAGATTCTATTAAAATTTAAAACTTCTGTTCTGCAAAATACAATGTTAAGATAATGAAAATATAAGCCATGGACTGGGAGAAAATATTTGTAAAACACATATCTGATAAAGGACTTGCATTCAAAATATACACAGAAGTCTTGAAACTTATCAAAAAGAAAACCCAATTTAAAAATGGGCAAAAAATCTGAACAGACACCTCACCAAAGGAGATATACAGGTGGCAAATAAGCATATGAAAAGATGCTCAACATCATATGTCATCAGGAAATTGCAAGAAGTTAAAAGAACAATGAGATGCCATTGTGTGCCCACTAGGGTAGCTAAAACCCAAAATGCCATGCTAGCAGGGATACATATTGCTGAGTGAAAGCCAATCTGAAAGGCTACATACTGTATAATTCCAGCTATATGCCATTCTGGAAAAGGCAAAACAACACAGAAAGTAAAAAGTTCAGTAGCAGCCAGGGATGTGTTTGGGGGTGAAGAAAGGGATGAATAAATGAAGCATAGGGTATGTTTATGGCACTGAAACTATTCTGTATGTGATGATGAATACATGACATTATGCATTTGTCAAAATCCACAGAATTGTGCAAAAAGAATAAACCCTAGTGTAAATGACAAATTTCAGTTAATAATACTAATAATGTATGAATATTGGTTAATTGTAACAAATGTACCATACTAACACAAAGATGTTAATAATAGGGGAAACACTATGCTGGACTGGGACTTAGATGGGAAATCTCTGTACTATCTGCTCAATTTTTTCTGTAAATCTAAAATTGGTCTAAAAAATAAAGTGTGTGTGTGTGTGTGTGTGTATACATTTTAAAATGACTCTAAGGTTTTTGGTCTGAGCTTCAGAATGAATAGAGTTGCCATTTATTGACAAAAAGAAAACGACAGAAGGAGAAAGTATAGGAGCAAATCAAGATTTCTTTTTGGACATGCTAATTTGAGATGCCTTTTTTAGATCACAGCGGAGATGTCAAGTAGGCACTTACATATATGAGTCTGAGGTTCATGGAAGAGGTTGGGATGGAGATAAAAATTTGGGAGTCATCAGTATATCGATGATATTTAAAACCTTAGAACCAGATAAGGCCGCTTAGGGAGTGAGTATAATGAAGAGAAAAGCTCAGATGACTAAACCCTAGTTACTTAACCTCCTCAAATCCCCAAATTAGGTTCTTGCATTAATAGCTAAACATCTATATCCTTACAGATTTGCACATTGTAATTGGTATCCATTACAGAAAACAGAAACAAGCATTACAATTCCTAATATTCTGACTCAAATAATTTTCCCACCTTTGTTTCAGGATTTCCTACAGATTTTGTAGTGGCAAAACTCTTGATTTAACTTTCTCTTACCTTTGACTTCCTTAATCCTTAAGAGGTTGCTTCTCCTGAACTGTTACTTCCCAGGAGGAGAGCTGTTTGTTTGTTTGTTTGTTTTTTCATATTTTTTCTATGTCTGTCTCTCCTTTCCTCCCCTCCTTTTCCCATCATTCCCATATCTCTTGTATCACACATACTCACTCCTTCTCCACCCATGCCACACCAATCTAGGGCTTTCTCACCAACTGCAGGCAGGTACTCTCTCTGCCATTACTACATACCCAGTCATAATGAACTATTGGCAAATTTCAGGCCCTCTCAGCCCTCAATACCTTGCTCATGTTATTACTTTAACCAGGGCATCCATTCCCATCCTTGTTCCTTGTTCTTGCATATTTCAAACATCTTGTCCTCCAGTAAGTTTTCCCAGACTCTCTTGTCTCTTTATCCCACCAGTCAAAGTTAGGTCTCCTCCCTCTGTGGTCTTCCTCAGTACCCTGTACATATCTGTCATTACGTTTATCACACTAGATGTAAATGACTGTCCATCTCAGCTCCAGACTGTTAGCATCTTGTAGGCAAAGTCCATAATATTTTGCACCCGATGAGCCCAGGCAGCCAATAAATAAATAAGCAACTTAGAAAATACTGGAATAATTTGTAATTTACCTTTTTATTCTATCCTAAAACCAAATTTTGCCTCTAGGTAGTATATAATTATGTTTGTATTAATTATATTTAAATAAAAAGTAAAATCAAATACATTTATAACATTTTTAGTGATGGGTAAGAACAATAAATAAATTTTTAATTTTCCCTACACATCTCGGGGTTTTAAAATATTAGGTTTTTTCTTCTCCCCATGAAAACACAAAGGCAATGGATTTAAAAATAAATAATTCGTCCATTTATATTATCTGGGTTACTGCTGTGATAATACAAACAGCTAATAAAATGTTCTTTAATCATGTCCTTTAAAAAAGAAAAATTACTATTGGCAGTCTTTAAAAGCTATATTGGGAAAAATTAATTCTGACAAAGAAAAAATAACTAAAATTCATCGGATTCAATGTATGAGGAAAAGAGAGTACATTCTTTTGAAAACAACATTGAGGGAAATAGGATATGATATGCATTAATAAGCTAAGCATCAGATTAAGCAAATCACCACAGGCTAGGAATCCTAACTTTGGCTCTGACATTCATTTCTAATGTGCACAGAATTATTTTCACTTCTCTTAAGGCATAAATTCCTTTAATTGTACAATACTCTTGCCAAAATAATTTTATTCAAACCAACTTTTAAAAGCTCTTAGACTTTTAGCTTCATGGTAGCTAAGCTTGCAAAGGAGCAATTTGGTATATGGAATGTTTACATCTTTTTTCTAAACTTCCCAAGTAATATGCAGATGCCAAGAAGAACTTTTGAAATATTTTTGTCTCAGATAAGATGGCTGAGTGTATTCAATTTAGAAAGGTTACCAACTGCCACGAAACAATAACAACAAAAGAAATGCCACTATTTGAGGTCCTAGGGGAACAAAATGGTGATGGGAGAGGCTCCATTCTCCCATCCACTATTCTTCTCTGACACTGAGAAGAAAGAACCATTTACAATTTAGTCAGGTTTGAAAGGATGAATGATTCACGTATTACTAAGGAAGGAACTACAATCCTTTGGGGAAAGAAAAGGAGATTAATAGTTTCAGAAAGCTGTATCTTAACTGTGCCTGGATTTTATAATTGTATAAGACATTTCACTTCGCTCAGCTTTTTTTTAATTTACATATAACCACAGATGAGTTTAAAATATGTCAACTAAGGTTTTCCCACCTCTTGTATCTTACTGAAGAAACAAAATTTACATTAGAATTGGGAGGTGACATTGGGTCTATGAGGGGGAAAAAAAAACAAACAAAAAAAACCCTACCAGTAGTTAAAGACTAGAAAACCATTTTGTTCCCTTATAATTTGAGTCCCTGTATAAGTCACTTAAGATATTTTCCCATTTGCAACTACCTGTAGTACTACTACTATTACAGAAAATTGTAATACTATTATCCTAATTTCAGTATAGTATACTTTTACCATTTAGGGTACTCAATAAATACCAATGGACCCAAGGTGGTCCAAAGTGAAGCTAATCAGGCTATCTGAACATAAATTTGACTTCATTTGCAATCTTAGCACTGAAAAAGATAGGTCACTAGTTTTAGTTAGTATTCCTCTTGTTGTCTCATCTTTAAATCCATCAGATCTCTTTCATCTCTGTGTATCTATGAATATGATTTTATACCATTGCTTTGTCTGAGCAAACTGTACCTCTACAGTCATTTACCAAAGTTGCTTCATGTATTCCTTAGATTCAATTTAGCAAAGAAACAATCTAGAGTACTGTCCATATGGATACCATGCAAATATACAACTTAATATGGCATTATAATGCAAACTAAAAATTATTTTACATTAGCTTTAGGAAGTATTTTTAGATGAGAGAAACAAGAAACACTAGCAATTAATTACTTCATACTCCATCAGCAAAATTTTCCCACTAGATAATCAGAAATGGGCACTTTATCAATTTTATTCCCCCATTACAGATCAGGAAATAACATTAAATCAATATTTTCATAAGGACTATTACACACAAGACCTTCTGAAACTTGAAAAATATGACAAAGTGTTTTAACTGTGATCACATATCATATATAACTGCTTTACAGAAAATGCTAAACACAAAACGTACTTGTGCTCAAAGTAATGCATTCACTCACAGTCATTCAAATACACATTCACCCTGTAATGGAATCTGTCGACACTCTTGCCAGAAAGTATGTAAACAAAACCACCAGGTCTAAAGCCTGGGAAAGTAAGTGGGAAGCAGACACTAAAAACTGTTCAGGCATTCTTAGAATAGCACACAGATATAACATTAAACACTCCTTAGAACAATTACTTTTTAAGGAGGCAGAAAATACATATACACCATAAAATAAATAATAAACCATATAAATATACATGCCACTCTGCCACATAACAGTCAAGTGGTGACTGAAACAGTGGGACTATTTGTCATCACTAGGGAAATACTTTATAACTAAGTTGTAGTTAACTATGTAAATGACAGAGTTTGGTTCAGTTTTACAAACAACAGATTATAAAATTTGTCTCCTTCAATAAAAGAGACAGTTATCAGGCCTTATGTGCTATATGCTCTTTGTAAATAATAAGAAATTGTAGCTCCAGCAAACTGCCAACTCCTCTGGCTCTACAGCTGTGTATGCTACCCAACTCTCCTACTAATAAAAATGTTATTTAAGGTTTTTTGAGGACTACAAAGCATTTTTTAAAGCACTATATTCAAGCAGCTAAGACGCACAGTCTAAAATGGTGATTTACAACTGGTATGCTGAGGTTGGTTGTATAGTATGTGGCAAGTAATTTGTTTCTAACAATAGAGTAGTAAAGTTGGCAGGGTATTTTTAAATATAAAACTAATATTCCTGATAATATTATCAGTCTCACCAGTGATATTCCAACATTCTTTCTTGAGTGAGAGTCAAAAGACAAATTAGCACTAAGAGGTCCTGGGAACAATATATGGGCCAAAGCCCATTATTACTATAAAAGAAAGAATAATGGCTATTTTGGGGGGGAAGAAAGATTATGATTGGGATGGGGCACATTGAAAAGTTTGTGGGGTGCCTAGAAAAGTTCTATTTCTTGACTTAGTTATAATTACAAGAGTTCTAGACGTTTGCCTTATAACTCATTAATTTATACATTGGTATTGTGTGGTTTTCCGTATCTAGTTTCATTTACAATAAAATCTTTTTAAAAACCAATAAAGCAAGAGAAACTCTAATAGCTGTGAGGCTAACTGAGACCGTGGTACAGCTCACTTAATCTTTTATTATCTTTTGGAAAAAGTGGGGGTACAAATGAAAATATACTTTTAACCTCAGCTTTTTGTATGTAAAGTTAGGATAAAACAAACACCCCGTATACCACTAGGGATTTTGGTGCTGATTTAATGAAAGTCTACTTGTAAAAATATTTTGAAATACTTTGAAATTCTGTAACATTCTCTGCAAATGCAAAGTATTCTTAAAACCACATAGAATAAACAATAGTCTCACTTCCTTGCTTAAAGCCCTTCAATGACACCACCCATTTAGCAGTAATTTTCATAGTGTTCTTTGTGGAAACCTAAGACTCCACAGACATGCTTCAGGGGCAGGGCATCATGTACAGATATGCAGATTGTGCTTTGCACAACGGTGCCTGGCACAAGTGGATCTAAAATCTGGCCTTCATTGTTCGCCAAGCCTTGAACCTTAGTGAAGAGACATTTTCCTTTGCATGTCGAGAGGGAGCTCCTTTTCCTAAACTGTTCAGAGACTCTCTAAGTGCTAGCTGTAGTTCTGTTCAAAAGTTCCCCATTAAACAGTACCTTATTTCTGTCAAAAAATAAAAACAAACTGTCTGCAAGTCTTCTTCAAAGTTAAGACAACACAAACACATTTTATATTTGTAATTCCTTCATTTACAAACATATTTGAGCATTTGAGTTCCTCTTCTGTGAGTTGCCTGTTCATATTCTTTGCCCATGTTTCCCATTGGGATTTTTTTTCTGAAATCACAGAAGCTAATTCTAAATTAACCTGTCAGTTATGCACATGTTATAAATCTTCTCCCAGTCTGTGAAAACTTACACATTGCAAGTGCAAGTGTAAACTGGTAATAATCCTTTTGAAAACAATTTAGCAATAACCAGTAGAGATGAAGGGATAGGCCAGGCCTAGTGGCTCACACCTGTAATGCCAGAATTTTGGGAGGCCAAGGCGGGCAGATAACTTGAGGTCAGGAGTTCGAGACCAGCCTAGCCAATAAGGCAAAAACCTGTCTCTACTAAAACACAAAAAATTAGTTGGGCATGGTAGTGCATGCCTGTAATCCCAGCTACTTAGAACGCTGAAGCAGGAGAATCACTTGAACCCGGGAGGCGGAGACTGCAGTGTGCCGAGATTGTGCCACTGCACTCCAGCCTGAGTGACAGAGCCAGAATCCATCTCAAAAAAAAAGAAGGTATAAAGGTATACATGTCCCAGCTATTCTTAGGAAAACTCTCATACATGAGTACAAGGAGGTACTCACAAGGCTATTCATTAGAATACCATTAGTAATAGCAAAAAAGTAAAAACAATGATGGCCTTCATAATCTAAATAAACTTTCCCATCTAATTTTCCATCCTTTCCCTCTTTTCTCTGAAATTTTATTCATTCATTCATTCATTCATTTGCTGCCTTAAGGAATATTACTAGACACCTACTCTGACTAGACACCATGCTAGGTAGGCAATCATGCTTAATTACTTGCAGTTACCCTACTAAACCATGGTCTCTTACTGGCTAAAGAGACTTTTCCTGTCCTTCCTCTGGGTTTTGACATAATTTTGTACATATCCCTGTTAAACTACTTATCAGTACTCCATAATACTTGTTATTCAATTATCTAGCTACAAAATAAGTGAAGGCAGTCCCAAATCACACATTCAATTAAATATCTGAACAAAGGGCAATTCTGTTTTTTAAAATTCCATCCAACAATTACCAAAAAAAAAAAAAAAAGTATTTTCTAAGCGAATATTCAGTGCTAGAATACTACTTTCATGAGGATGTCATGAAAGTATTTGTTATCATGGTATCCCCAGCACCTAGATCATTGCCTGACACATAAGAGTCACTCAATAAATAATTGTTAAGACCAAAAAGCCCAAGCAATATTATCTGACAAATAATAATATTTAAAAGTGAAAACAGAATCGTTAATTTATGTAGATGTTTTATCACTGAATAAGTAAAAGCTGTTTTCCCTCTTAAATAAAAAGTATTTTTTCTTTCATGGTGAGTTGCCCTCACATCTTCCCACCAAATACTTTTAGGACATGTCCCAATGAATTTCTTTGCTATACAAGGTTATCAGAGACTCAACATCAATCATTTTCTTCTCTGTGTTACTAACACAGAAAAATTCCCACATTAACTATGAAAGGCTGGAATTGCAGCATTACTGTTAGATATATAACATTTTATATTATAAAATACACTAAAAGTAAAAATAGATAAAAGTATGCCTACTACCTAAAAGACTGCCCTGTTAAAGACTGAATAATGAAATCACACATACACACATATACACCCACACATTTCCATTTGTTAAAAAGTTATTTGCATAGTTTGAGTTGAGAAAATGTTATGCACTAAAAGGCATATAAATCTAGTATGTATCAGGCCTCATTTGTGCTACATTCTATATTAGTATTCTACTGTATAATATAGTTAAGAATATTTATATAAAAACAAGACATAAAGATTTAAGCTCTCTCAGTTATTAAATGCAACAGCATCAAAATGGCTTACCAAGTTATCATTCCAACTAATTCTACTTGAAGAAGAAAACAAGCTTTAGCCATTCAAGCTAGAAAAGCATTAATTACCACCTGGAAAATACTAGAAATTAACAATGGAAACAAATTTGTACTTCTAGACTTATGAAATGATTTTGATTAAAATAGGCTATTGCTTTCATTAATTTTATTTTTTAGGAATAAATGCAGGTTAATTTCAAATAGTAGCTCCTTGTCCAAACAAATAATATAACATTAATACTAGCTAGGACAATATTTGTTACAGTAATTAAAAGACAGAAGTAATGAGTTCTGAGGAATGAATTAAGACTCTTGGATATAGGATGGCTTGGAAATCATGCTAGTAAAAACCGGAAAGTACTAGCGATTAAATCTGATGTCAATGCTAACAACTATTTGTAATTCTCAAACACAGAGAAAACAGTAAGGAGCTTCTCAAAGAAGCATATGAATAGACTGACATATTAAAAAACAATTCTCATTATGAATAATAAATACAAAAAATACTTCATAGAAATCTGCAAATTTAGTTTAATATGGCTTTATGAAATATGCACAATGAAAATAACCAGTTACAGCAGCTTTAATTTAGAAGGGATCTTGCATGTACTGGTAATCTAAATCCCTCAACAACAAAATAAGACGAGGAAACTGAAACCCAGAGAAATTAGGTGTGTTGCTAAACATCAAACAAAATGTTAAGTGTCAGTCCCAAGACTAGAACCCAGGTCTTAAGACTTTATAGTCTGGGGCTCTTTCTACTAGACTGCTATGTATTCAGTCATAGTCAGCTAGAAAAAATGTTAAGTATTCATCAACGGTATTCATGCTGGAATTTAAGAGGCTCTGCTCTTTTCCCTACTTATATGCCACCCAAATAGAGCTGTGTTTTCATTTGTTCATTCTTCCCATACCCCACTCTCAGAGGTTTACAGCACCCCTTTACATGCTCAATATTACTCTCCTCCACTATCCTCTTGAATCCATCCTTCCTCATCTCTCAAGAATCTTGCTCCATCAATAATTGTCATCTCTTTTCTATTTTCAGACTTTCTGTAGGACAGCTCACGTGGCAGCTGGCTTCCTTTATAGTAAGCAAGAGAGAGTGCCCAAGATAGAAGCCACAGTCTTTTGTAACCTAATCTTAGAAGTTACATTCCTATCATTTTTGCCAAATTTTATTCATTAGAAAGAAGTCACTGAGTCCAGGTCACACTCAAGGGAAGAGAGTTACATAAGGGAGTGAATACCAGAATTAGGAGAAGCCATCTTAGAAGCTGCCTGCTACAGCTTCTAAAGAAGAAATGCATAAGGGAGGCTTGCTAACCAGATACCAAGACTTCTTACCAAGCAAGCGATTAAGAGATATGGTATTGGCAAAAGGACAGATAAACTGGCTAATGGAATATAATAGAGAACCCAGAAACAAATTAATGCATGTTTGGAACTTTGGAAAGTAGCAGAAGTGATATGTCAGATAGTGAGGAAAGGAGGGACTATTCAGTAAATGGAGGTAGAAAAAGTGGTTATCCACATGACAATGGTATCCCTAACCGCCTCTCACACCATTAAAAACAAGAACAATAGAACTCTTAGTGAAAATATAAGTATTTTTTAGACCGTTAGATAGAAAATATTTCTTAAACTAGACACAAAGACGTTGATTATAAAAGATGGATAAATATGATTATATTCAAATTAAGAACTGTTACTCATTGAAAGACATCTTAAGACAGTGAAAGACAGACTTAAAAACTGGAAAACACAATAAAAAAACTATTAGGTCAAGAATATATAAAGAATTCATACAAGTCAATGAGAAAACTAAAAACAACCCAACAGGCAAAAGATATGAACAGATATTTCTTATAAATAATACATATATAAAGAAATATTCAGTATTATGAGTAATAAGGGAAATGTAAATTAAGACCAAAATAAGAATAATCCATTCCATTGGCAAAAATTTAAAAGTCTGACAATACTAAATGTGAGAGACAATACAGCTCCAAAGGATCTTATTTACACTGCAGGTGAAAAGTAAATTGAGGCAACCACTTTGAAAATAGTTTGAAATTATCTCCTAAAGTTAAACATTAGCAACACTCCATCATCGAGGGAGTGGATGTAAAAATGGTGGTATAATCACACAATGGAATGTTATGTGGCAGCTCAAAAAATGCACAAGAATGGATGAATTTTAGTAATATAATATTAAGTGTATAAGGTCAGCCTTAAAAGATAAGATTTTTTAATTAAAGTTAAAAACATCTAAAATTTAAAAATTCCCAATGTACATGGAATTCAGAATGAGTTACCTCAGGTCAGTGAAAGCACGTTAAGGAAGGGACTTATAAGATTAGATGTTAGTTATTATCAAGAATCTAGTTTTGCTTTGGGTGATGGGTACAGAGATACTTATTACATTATTAAAAATAACTAAGTAAATAAATAAAAACCAAGCATGAACTAATAATGAGAGTATGTCATGAAACAAAGACATGTTTAATCCAATGCTGTGTACCTAAGCTTTTTAAAAAAAGGTCCTAAAAAAAGTCTCTTTTTTAAAGCTTTTAAAAAAAGCTACATGAAAATTTGATTTCAGCTTGCATGTTAATCATGCTTTTCACCAACTGCTATATAAAGTATAATTTGTATTACATGGTACATCTTATAACAGCTGTTATTTCATATGTAATGGTCTTGCTTCCTTACCAAGAATATAAATATTTCTACCATACATACTGTCTCTGAAAAAGTACTGACCATAGAGTAAGTGCTAAATAAATACTTGTTGAATGCTTGATATACTTTGTATATTTGTTCCTGCCCAAATCCCATGTTGAACTGTAATCCCCAATGTTGGAGGTGGGGCCTGGTGGGAGATGTTTGGGTTATAGGGGTAAATCCTTCATGGCTGAGTGCTGTCTTCAGGACAATGAGTTCTCGTGAGATCTGGTCATTTAAAAGTGTGTGGAACCTCCCCCTCAACACTCTCTCTCACTCCTGCTTTTGCCATATGATGTGCCTGCTCTTGCTTCACGAACTTCCTCCATGATTATAAGCTTCCTGAGGCCTCCCTAGAAGCCGAGTAGATGCCAGCACCATGCTTACTGTAAAGCCTTCAGAACTATGAGCCACTTAAACCTCTTCTTTTTTTTTTAAGAAATTACTCAGTCTCAGGTATTTCTTTATAGCAATGCAAGAATGGCCGAATACAACACTCATATTTAACTTATTCCTCAAATAGCCAAGAGTAAAGCTATGAACCCTGTATCCCAAATTTCATTAAAAGTATTACATCACTATGTTTAATGTTTCCTACTGCTTTACTCGGGAAAGGAACTTAGACCAAAATCACCTGCTCACCTGTTATGGCTGAGGGAAGCAGTGATGGGGGTAGGCACCACAGTCTGTAACCCCTCCCCTTCTATCTCAGTACCAACAAGGCAGATGAGCTGGAGTTCTGGTAATCCTACACAGTTTACTTCATGCCAGCTTTTGCCTGAAAGAGCATCATTGAATGGACAATAATGTTTATTAAATACAAAAAATAAAAACTCCAAACTTCTACCTAATACTCAGCTGAGCAAATATCACTCGTAACACTACCTCCTGTCTTTGCTTTTCTAGTAGCTTCTGTTACTCAGTAATTCCCAATGTAAATAAATAAATTGCAAAATTAACAGCAAATGCATAAAAGATTGCTTATTATGTTAAGAATGCTATATCCCAATCCAACCCCCCAAATCTCTACCACAGTCCCAATAACAAAACAATATAAACAAACAACTTACTTTCCATGAGGTCCAGGTAAACCAAGAACGCTACATAAACTTGGGTGGCATCTCCTATATCTAATTCCATCATTTCTAGATACTGAAAATTAAAATATAATTGTCAAATTGAGAAGAAAAAATTATTTAATATTTTCTTCCAATCATCAAGTGGTCATCAAGCATATATAATCTATAAAATTCTTCTAGGTATAGTGGAAGTTAAAAGGCAATATAAGATCTTATCTCTGTCTCTAAAGAACTTGCAATTGTTAAATACATGCACACTTAAAATTGTTAGGCAAATAACAATATATGACTGTAAGTGATTAAAAACCATGTAAATGGAATAAAAAACATGACACAGCAGGTCAGAAGAGCTCTACTCAGAGGGACTGGTGAAAGATTTATAGCAGAGGTGGGATGGGATACAAGTTGAGCACTGAAGAACATTATGATTTAAGTAAGTGGAGAAGTAGAGTAATACTGCAGGTAATTACACAAAGGTGGGATTAAGCCACATACATTCAAGGGCCTGTAAAGAAACCTATCTGCCAGCAATAGAGAAACCTTTTTAATAAAACTTGTGATGGGACATGTTAGTGGGTACTGTGTATTTCCCTAGCCTCTTATTTGTATATGGAGAGAATCTGCTAGAGTATCAGTCCTAGCCTCTCTACCCACTCTTTCTCACTTTAAGAGTAGATTTTTTAAAAGGAATTGACAAGGAACTAGAGAAAGCTGCTTCTTTCAGACTACTGGTCAGCATAAGGGGAATACTTTTCAGGGGCCTACACCTGCAGGAGAATTCTGAGGCTGCCCAGCTATGCCAGCGACTAGGTGGATATGCAGGGCTAATGCTGAGTTGAATTATTAGCAGACCTGCATGGGGACAGGTCTAAAGTCACATTCTCCCATCAGCTTCACTGTAACTGTACAGGTTCAGGAGGACAGGGGTTAATTAGTTGTCGACTTCAAACATGTTTTGAAAATAACACCCAAAACATAATTTTGAGCCAGGTTACAAGGCTTTGGTGGTCAAGCTAAACATGTGATTTTATCAGTATGGAAACACTGAGGATTTCTAAGCAGGAGAATAATAAAATAAAAGTGTGTTTGGGGATAATAAATCTGGTACCATTTTACTGGATGAAACTACATAATTTTTAAATTAACAGAAAGGTGAAATTGGAAAAACAAATACCCCCTATTATTTTATTACTTGTTCTTTTTCTTTTAAAAATTAATTTGATCCTTCAAGAAGAGAAATCAAAAGGGGAGATTTGATGGTCAAGGTGTATACAGCCATTAACTTGAAAAAGAAAACAATCTACAAGTATATAAACTGAATAACACCACCAAATCTAGATAAAGTCTTAAAAAGTTGTTACTGGTGTTTCGCTTATTAAGTACTTATATAGTGCTTTCTGTATGTTGAATGGCTTACAAATATTCATTAATTTAATCCTGTAACAACCGTATAAGTAAGTATGGACTATTAATATCCCCATTTTTCAGGTGAGGAAACTAAGGCATAATAAGATCAAGCAACTTGTCCCAAATCACAAGGTTGATAAGTGACAGAATCAGGATTTAAACTGAGTCTGATTTTGAGTTCATGCGCCTAACCAATATGCTGCCTCTCCATGCTATTGTTTCCCTAAAAGGGCACTAAATAATATTTCCATGCTATTGTTTCTTTTTCTCACCTTTTGGGAGGATGAAGGGGACAGAGTAGGAAGATAAAATTAAGCAAGAGAAGCTGAAAAAGGTTAACTCTTCAAACTTATACCTTCAAATTTTTTCTTGGCTGTTTTTAGATGATTATGAATTATTGCTCTCTAGCAGAAGAGTGCAATTCTGTTAAAGTACCGTAGAGACTAGTTTTTGAGATTCTTACAAAACCCACATCTCCATTCACTGTCTATTCACTGCTTGGAACCGTACTTGTACAAGGCAGTAATGTCTCAAGCAGAAGTAAGCAGAGGACTATCTTGATCTCGCCTGCTGCTAATCTAGAAAAATACACGCAAAATGTGAGTAGCTCTGCTTTGAGCAAGAACCTATTCAAACTTTCGAAGAAATCTGAAATATTAGGAATCTGCACCTTTTCAAAATAAAGATGCATTCTGGGCCCAAGGCTAAGTGTAAACGTGACTGTGCTTAAATCTTTATCACTATGGACCCCTAGATCTTATCCATCGCCCACAAATTGTCTTGCATGGTTACCGTGAGGATTAAATAAATTTATCCCCCAAAGGGGATTTACCTAGACAGCAAAACTAGTGGAGCGCTTATTAGGGATCTCCGGCTTGAGAGGGGCGGAGTTACTGTCTGGCTCTCAGTTCCAAAATGGCTTTGGCTGGGGGATTGAGATAGTGCAACTTGTTTAAACAAACAAAACCGATGCTGCCTGAGGCTGGCAGTTGTGCACACCGGTCCCCCTCGGTGAGGGTGGCGCGCGTCCTCAGTCTCCCACTGAGGAAGAAAGAAAGAGAGCTGCCTGGGAGTGTTCTGCCTGGGTTAGGGGCCTGGACGGCGCCCTGCTCCTCTCGCGCCTCCTGACCTTAGGGTGAGTGCCCATCCAGGCGTCCTCAGGGGCCCACGAAGGAGCTCCACCGCCGTCGCCAAAGCCGCGAACACCGCCCGGACCCAGGCCGCTGCAGCCGGGGGTCGGCTCGGAATCGCCGCGCTCCTCCATGCCGGCCGGTGCGGCGCTCCCGTGGTGCACCACGACCCGCGCCCGGCCAGAAGCAGCGGCGCGCGCGCCTGTGGGTTCCGCTTCCCCGAGGCTCGCAGCTGCAGTGCGAGAGGGCTCAGAAACTGGGAGGAAAGTTGCATCAGCCCCTCCTTCTGACCAAGGTAGCTAGAACCTGCGCGAACGCTCTCTAGTTTCGCTCTGCGTTTATTCAAATCTGAGCAAATTCTAACGTGAAAAATATTAAAGAGTAGCCTGCGCCCTGAAGCTCTTAATCCTCTTTAAGTCAGTGCTGCCGATAACTCTCTGAGAAAGTTGGGGGATACATACGTCCTCTTTGCCTTCAGCAGTGGGGTCCTGGTTTCTGATTGCTGGGGACGGGAAAGGCCTTACTCAGTGCCCTGACATAGAACTTTAAAGTAGAACCATACTTTCAGGGTGGACCCACGTTTCAGGATTAGAGGAAACACGAGTTGCTGAACGAGTGTTCAGAAAGGTAGGATACAAACTAGCATAAGCATGTGATCTGGAAGCCAAGGATGAGGAGTTTCAAACAGGCAGAGTAGCACATTTTAAGTATTTTTTAATTTACTGTGAGTGAAATGGGAAGCTATTGGAGGCTCCTGGACGTTTTCATAGGATCACTCTGACTGATATGTTGAGGATAGACTGGAGGGAGCAAGGACACAAACAGAGACTGGTTAGGAGGCTATCGCATTGACCAGGACAAGGGTGACTCAAAATCCAAAGTCCCAGGCAGGACATAACTTCTGTTTTCAACCATGATAGACTAAGACCCTAGTGGACCATCCCCCAGCAGAAAACAATTTGGACACAATGCAAAAAGCTGAATATACTGGAATGTGAATAGTGGACTGGTAGGAAGGGCAAGCTTGCTTGAAGATCAGGAACTACACTTGGACACAATACAAAAAGCTGAATATACTGGAATGTGAACAGCAGACTGGTAGGAAGGGCAAGCTTGCTTGAAGATCAAGAACTCCACAAGAAAATTCTCCTCTCTTTGGCATTTAGCTTGGGGCAAAGTGCAGTCCAGAAGTCAGGCTCAGCAGTACCAGGGATGCATGTATAAAACTTATCAGTTATTCTTGTCTGGGGAAGCAGAAAAGTGAAGACAGAAAATTTTGAATTCTGAAGAGATTAAGAAATCCCAAGGAAGGAGTCAGAGAGTGGATCCCCAAACTGTCAACCCACATCTCTGAGAGATCCTGAACCACCCAAAACAGAATCACAGCAGCTCAGTTAAAAACAAAAGATCTGAACTGAGACCAGAGCTGTCTCCAAAAGGGAGAGAGTTTTCAGTTAAAATCTAGCCGGGAAAATTACCTACTAATACAAAGGAAATAACACTCATCAGAGAAGAATAATAGAATCCAGACTCTCCACTTAACACTCACAAAGTCCAGAGTACTATCCAAAACTATCTGACATATGAAATTCAAGGAAATGGATCGCATACTCTAGAGATCAACCCTGAGATGAATCAGATATTGAAACTGACAGATAAGGATTTTAAAGTGACTATTATAACTATCCTCAATGAAGTAAAACATGTTTTCAATGAATGAAAATCTCAGGAGACAAATAGAAAATCTCAGCAAAGAAAAAGAAAAAAAAAGATTTTTAAAACCAAATGGAAATTCTGAAAATTGAAAATTATAATTTTAGAAATAAAAAATTCACTGGGTGAATTTAACAGCCAAAAAAAATTACAAAAGAAAAAGTAGGGAACTTGAAGATAGAGCAATAGAAATTATTAAAAGTAAACAACAAAGAGAAAAATTATCTTTAAAAAGTGAGTAGACCAACAGAGATTTGCTACATGTCAGACAATCCAACATGCATGTAAACAACAGAAGTAGAAAAAAAAAGGGACAGAAAAAATTTTTGAAGAAAGAGTGGTGGCCAGAATTTCCCCAAATTTGATGAAAAACACATTTACTAGTACAAAATGCTAAATACATAGCAACTAAAATAAACACAAAGAAGTCTACATTGTAATAAAACTATTGAAAGTCAAAAAAATAAAGAGAAAAGCTTGAATGCATCAAAAGAAATAACACATCATACACAGGGAAAAGAAGGGCATCTATTATTGAATGAAATGTAAAGCCACACATGAAGATTCATATGTTGCCCTCAAATACATTACATTTGAATGAACCTTTGCCACCACAAAGCAGCTGCTAAGCCCGAAAGAAGAAAATGGCACTGAAATTAATTGGGTCATTGAAGCATGAAACACTGACACGAATTCAAGTGATTGGAAGTGAATAAATCTCTCTGACTCCTAAAGATCCAAATCAGTTCATATGATGGCATTTTTAAAAGCATTAAGAGTATTTTGATGCTAATCTGAGTAGAGGGAAACTTTTATAAATCAGTAAGGATATCCAATGGGATTAGGGACTATATGAACCAGCCTCAAACATCTGCAGGGGAAGAATTTCAGCTTATGTTCAAGAAAAAATAATTGGGGGTATGGAAAGAACCATAAACCAAAAAAGCAACAGATAAATGCCATCCTTTGGCAAATAGATTAAATACTGTTGCTTAGAAAAAGCATGATACATTCAAGAATGAGTATTACGTGCTTTTCAAAAGAGTTGAAGAATGAAAAGGGAGTGTCTGTTAGCTTCCCTGTTAATGTAAATTTTTAAATAGGTCTTGGTGATTGTGAATGGCTAAGAATGAACACAAAGGATTTGGGAACACTTAGACAACCCAGTATTTAAAGTACAGAATCAAAATACCTATTGTGACAATCTAGAGTGAAATCCACTAGAGAACAGAGGAGAGTTTCAGTGTCTGGTATCCTGGAGGATTTCTCATTTTGTAAATGCTTCAATAGTTCACTCTATTAGAGAACCAAAGTAGTGAGAAAAAAAAGCTAGATAAGAAACAACGAATGAAATCCCCCCTGAGTATATTGGATTTAATCAAATTCATTGTAATCTGGCACTTGCTGAACTCATTTCCCAATGATATCCTGAGCCAGATCATTTTATTCCTACAAAAATCTGTAATGTCTAGCCAGAGACATATTAATTCAGTAAGAGTCTCGAGGAAATGCGAACACTAAATTGTGATGTGAATCTCTAGTGTGGAAAGAAAATTTAAAAAAGAAGAAGAAAAGCTTTTACACAGTATTGTATGAGACAGTGATTCCAAGCTGAAAAATGTAGCCTAGCATTCTGGATCAGCTTTTCATTCATTGGTTGTAAGGAGGTTCACATATATCTTGTTCCTTTTTTTGTACACAAAACACACAATTTCCTATTCTCTGTGTTTCAAGAACAGAGAAAGATTCAAGAAAGAGAATGATTCAATATTGTAAAGATGGCAATTTCCTCCAAAGTTATTTACAGATTCTATCAATTCCAATTAAAATCCCAAAAAGTATTTTCTTAATACCTGATAAACTGATTCTGAAATGTGGGCATAAAGGGCCAAAAATAACCAAGACCCTTTTTGTGAACAAAAGGGAGAGAACTTACGAAGTTAAAGTTCTGAAATATAAATATCTTATAAAGATAAGGTTTTAAACAAAATTTAAATTCTTACAAAGATCTCTAATTACAAGTATGTGATATTGGCACATGGATAGGTAAAACCAATGAAGCAAAATAGGGAGCCAGGCAACAGACCCATACACATGTGGGCAGATGCAAGAAGGGAAGGAGAGAAGGGGTGATTGGCTACACGGTATAGGCAAACACTTTTAAATCTCTAGGAGAAAATATAAAAGAATATTTTATGACCCCAAGTTTAAGAGTGATTTCTTAAGACACAAAAAGCACAAACCATATGCTTCACTCATGTCCCTGTGAAGACACCACCAAACAGGCTTTGTGTGAGCAACAAGGCTGTTTATTCCACCTGGGTGCAGGTGGGCTGAGTCTGAAAATAGAGTCAGCGAAGGGAAATAGGGGTGGAGCCGTTTTATAGGATTTGGGTAGGTAAAGGAAAATTACAGTCAAAGGGGGTTGTTCTCTGGCGGGCAGGGGTCGGGGAGGGGGGGGTCACAAGGTGCTCAGTGGGGGAGCTTTTGAGCCAGGATGAGCCAGGAGAAGGAATTTCACAAGGTAATGTCATCAGTTAAGGCAGGAAGAGGCCATCTTCACTTCTTTTGTGATTCTTTAGTTATTTCAGGCCATCTGGATGTATATGTGCAGGTCACGGGGAATATGATGGCTTAGCTTGGGCTCAGAGGCCTGACAATATGGAAAAAATTTGGTAAATTTAACTGTATCTCAGTTAAGAATTTCCAACACTAAGAGAGTGGAAGGAAAATGACATCTGTAACACACAATTGAAAGAAAAGATACCCAGAATATATACAGAACTCCTAAAAATCAATTAGGAAACAAAACAAAACACTCCTTAGGTTAAAAAAAAGAAAGTAAACAGAAAAAAAGACATAAAAGGCCAGCAAACATAACTTGATGTTCAGCAACATTGATTGAGTGAGAAAATGTAAATTGAGGCAAGAAGATACCATAATACACCTATCAGATTAGCAACAAAAGCCAAGAGTTGGCAGAAAAGTAGACCAAAGGGAAGATGCACAAATCCTATGATCCAACAATTCTAATCCCAGGTATATATTCTAGAGCAATATTTTTAAATGAAGTGCCAGGACCTGTTAGTGGTTGTGAAATACACTAGTTATTTTAGTTATGTTAGTGGTTAGTGGGTTGAGTACAGTTTTCAAAAAGTAATTATTTAAAACACACATAGAGTTTCAATCAACAACTTGAATGAATCTCATAAAAACTAAAAACCTAATGTATAGTCAAAATGTTAGTTATAGAAGCGTATATAAGATATTTGATTTGTTTAAAATTCTAATATAGCAGCTGTATTTATAATAGCCCAGAAGTGGAAACAACCCAAATGTCCCTCAGCTGATGAAAATATAAAGTAGTATGTTCATACAGTGGAATATTATTCAGCATTAAAAAGGAATAAAGTACTCATGCTACAACATCAATGGACCTTGAAAACATAGTAAGTGAAAGAAGCCAATCACAAGGGGTCACATATTGTAGAATTCCATTTATGTGTAATGTCTAAAGTAGGTAAATCTATAGAGACAGAAAGTAGATTAGTGAGAGAGTAGCACGAGCTGGGAGACATAAGGATTGATCACTAATGAGTATAGGTTTCTTTTTGTGGTGATAAAAATGTACTAAAATTGATTGTGATCGTGTTGCATAACTATGAATACACTAAAAACCTTTGCATTGTGTACTTTAAATAGGTGAATTGTATGGTATTTGAAGAAAAATTCAAATGCAGGCAAAACTAACACACATTTAGGAGATGTACCAGAGTTCTCCAGAGAACAGAACCAAAAAGAGAGAATGAGATTGATTTTAAGGAATTGGCTCATGTGATTGTGGGGGCTTGAAAACCTGAAATCTGTGGAAGGCAGGCTGGCAAGTTGGAGACCCAGGAAAGAGCTTATTTTGCAGTCTTGAGTCCAAGGGCAATCCAGAGTCAGAATTCCTTTTTTCATGGAGAATCCCATTCTTTTAAGGCCTTCAACAGATGGGATGGCAACCCACATTATGAAGCGTAATCTGCTTTACTCAAAGTCTACTGATTTAAATATTAATCACATTTGAAAAATATCTCACAGCAATATCTAGACTGGTTTGACCAAGAAACTGGGCACCCTAGTGTAGTGAAGTTGACCCGTAAAATTAACCATCACAGGAGGTAAAGTTCTAAACAAAATGAAGAGACTGATTAACACAAAATTCAGTCTAGTACTTATCTCTGGGGAATGGAACAAAGCATTGTGACAAGAAGGGACTCAGGGCTTCAGAGTTAATGGTCATGTTCTGTTTCTCAAGGTGGGTGCTGGGTATATGGATATCCATTTTATTAGTAGTATTTAAATTAATGTATTAGTTTATGGATTATATCTGTTAGTTTATATTTCATGTTTATTAAATATTTTTATTAAAATTTTTCTAATATCTAGAGTACAAAGTGATAGTAAGTTAGGCAATTTCTATAAGTAAACAGATGCATATATGCAACCTTAAATAATGCCTGGCTTTGTAAATATGAAAAGACATCAAAAGCAATCCATGGTCCAAAAAATATCCCATGTCTATCTCTAGATATTTAGTCAACATCTGCTATCAACATGGATATTGAGTCTCACTGAAGAGGACTGAGTACAAACCCACATTGAAAATGTGCAAATTAAAAATGCCATATTAAAATTACCCCAAAATGTTAATGGTTGTGGTGGAGTAGTGGATCATGAGTGATTTTTTTCTTTTTTTCCCCCATTTTCAACATTTTTTAAAGTTCTATAGTAAAATAGACTTTAATAAATCATTGAATTTTAGAGCCTTTGGCCTAGAAGGGCTAATACAACACTCCACATTCATGTTAAAATATATCTTACGGCTTATTTACCTTGCTTAAATGTCCCTCCCTGCTTTCTTCTATTCCTCTCTCCTTCTCCCTCTCTCTGTCCTTTCTTCCTTCTTTCCTTCCTTCTTCTCCTCCCCATCTAAAACATCCAGTACAACATTAAACAGACGTAATGAGATCTGACATTCTTATCTTGTTTCTGATCACAGGAGGAACACTCAGTCTTTCACCATTAAGGATGATGTTAGCTGGGGGCTTTTTGTAGATGCTGTTTATTACGTTGAGGAAGTTCCCTTCTATTCCTATATACTGAGAATTTTTATGAGGAATTCATGTTGGATTCATAAATGCTTTCTCTGCATTTCTTGAGATGATCATATGATTTTTCAAGTTTGTTAATAAATCACATGGATTGACTTTTTCTTATTTTCTTATTGTGGTAAAATACATATAACAAAAAATTTACTATTTTAAGTGGTATTAAATACATTCATAATGTTGTGCAACTATTACTCATATCCATCTCCATGACTCTTTTATCTTTAAAACTGAAACATATACCCATTAAACAATAACTCCCCATTTCCCCTACCCCCATCCCCTTGGCAACCACCATTCTATTTTGTCTCTGTAATTTTGACTAACTACCTTATATAAGTTGAATCATACAATATTTGCCTTTAAAAATTGGCTTATTTCACTTAGCATAATGCCCTCAAAGTTAACATGTTGTAGCATATGTCAGAATTTCCTCCCTTCTTGAGACTGAATACTATTCCACTGTATGTATATACCACATTTTGCTTTTCCATTCACTAATCAATAGGCACCTGGTTTGCTTCCATATTTTAGCTATTGTGAATAATGCCACTGTGAACATGGGTGCACAAATATCTCTTTGAGACTTTGCTTTCAATTTGTTTGGGTATATAGCTAGAAGTAGAAGTGTTAGATTATATGGTAATTATATTTTTAATTTCTTGAACTGTCATACTGTTTTCCACAGCAGCTGTACCATTTTACATTCCCACCAACAGTGCACAATGTTCCAATTTTTCTACACCCTTGCCAACATTTGTTATTTTCTGTGTTTTTCTAGTAGCCATCCTAATGAGTGTGAAGTGATAAATCTTATAGTTTTGAATTGCATTTCCTAAGGATTAGTGATGTTGAGAAACTTTTCATGTGCTTATGGCCATTTGTATATCTTCTTTGGAGAAATGTTTATTCAAAGTCCTTTGCCCATTTTAAAGAAATGATTATATATAAAATTGTATAAAACCGTATAATTTTCTAGCTTTCTCTGTTACTACTTCCCATCCTATCTCCCAGCCATGCCCTGTTCATTGTATCTCTCAAGTGTGTCATACTGTTTCATTCCTTGCTCCTGCAGTTCCATCTACCTGGAATTCCCATCTCTTTCCCCTTCTGTCTTCCTTTTCTTAGTCCATGCTACTCATTTTTCTTTTCTTATATTTCGAATCAAATTATATTTTTTTCAGCTTTTAAGTTCAGCAGTACATGTGCAGATTTGTTACATAGGTAAACTTGTTTCATGGGGGTTTTTGATACAGAGTATTTCATTACCCAGGTATTTAACCTAGTACCCATTACTTATTTTTCCTGATCCTCTCTCTCCTCCCACCTTCCATGCTCCAATACGCCCCAGTTTGTGTTGTTCCCCTCTATGTGTCCATGTGTTCTCATCATTTAGTTCCCACTTATAAGTGAGAACATGTGGTATTTGGTTTTCTGTTCCTGCATTGGTTTGCTTAAGGATAATGGCATCCAGCTCCATCCATGTCCCTGTAAAAGACATTATCTCATTCTTTTTTATGGCTGCATAGTATTCTATGATGTGTATGCACCACATTTTGTTTACCCAGTCTATCATTGATGGGCATTTAGGTTGATTCCATGTCTTCATTATTGTGAGTAGTGCTGCAATGAACATACACGTGCATGTGTCTTTATGATAGAATGATTTATATTCCTTTGGGTATATAACCAGTAATGGGATTACCTGATCGATGGTCTTTAGGACTTTGAGGAATTGCCACACTGTCTTCTACAATGGTTCAACTAATTTACACTCCCACCAACAGTGTATAAGCGTTTTTTTTTTCTCCACAACCTTGCCAGCATGTTATTTCTTGACTTTTTAGTAGCCATTCCGATGGTGTGAGATGGTATCTCATTGTGGTTATCCTATAATTCTCAGCCTATCACAGCTGCCCCAGAGGCATTTATTTCCTCCTCTTCTTCGCTGTGGTTTTTACTTGAACTTCTCCAATAATCAATGATGTTGAGCTTTCCTTCATATGATTGTTGTCCACATCTATACCTTCTTTTGAAAAGTATCTGTTCGTGTCCTTTGCCCACTTTTTAATGGAGTTGTTTGGTTTTTCCCTCTTGTAAATTTGCTTAAGTTCCTTTTAGATACTGGATATTAGACCCTTGTCAGATGCATAGTTTGCAAAATTTTTCTCCCATTCTGTAAGTTGTCTGATTACTCTATTGATAGTTTCTTTTGCTATGCAGGAGCTCAGTTAATTAGATCCCATTTGTCAATTTTTGTTTTTGTTGCAATTGTTTTTCACATCTTCTTCATGAAATCGTTGCCAGTGCTCATGTCCTGAATGATATTGCCAAGGTTGTATTCTAGGGTTTTTAGAGTTTTGGGTTTTACATTTACATTTATAAGCCATCTTGAGTCAATTTTTGTATCTGGTGTAAGGAAAGGGTCCAGTTTCAAGCTTCTGTGTATGGCTAGCCGATTATACCAGCACCATTTATTGAATAGAGAATCCTTTCCCCATTGCTTGTTATTGTCAGGTTTGTCAAAGATCAGGTAGCTGTAGGTGTGCAGTCTTATTTCTGGGTTCTCTGTTCTGTTCCATTGGTCTATGTGTCTGTTTTTGTACTAGGATCATGCTGTTTTGGTTACTCTAGCCCTGTAGTATAGTTTGAAGTTGGGTAGCGTGATGCCTTCAGCTTTTTTCTTTTTGCTTAGGATTGCCTTGACTATTTAGCCTCTTTTTTGTTCCATATGAATTTTAAAATAGTTTTTTTCTAGTTCTGTGAAAAATCTCAATGGTAGTTTAGGAATAGCATTGAATCTGTAAATTGCTTTGGGTAGTATGGCCATTTTAAAAATATTAATTCTTCCTGTCCATGCATGCTACTTATTTTTCAATGCTCAATTCAAAGACATCTCTTTAATTAAACATTTCCTAGCTATCTCCACTTCCCCACTTCCTTACTTATGCTCCTTTTTCCATCATAAGACATAAAATGACTTATAGCATTTGTGCATTTATATGACACATCTTATTTATTCATGCATTTCCAGCAACTATATCTTGGCACAGAGTAGGCATTGAGCAAGTGTTTGAAGGAATGAGTTAATATAATTTAAGGGATGCATCTATTCTTAAATGAGACGTAGAAGTGTAGTTTACATTTGTATAAACTTGTTTTGAATTGGAAAACATTCCTCCGTAGTGACTATTCTATAGCTCTTGGATGCAGCCAGAGCATAGACAAAACTTTGACACTGACGTAGTTTAATTTTAGCCTTTCCCACCTCAGTCACTGCTCTTTTTCTCCCTTAATATTAATTCCCTTCCTAGGACCCAGAGTCCTCGGGCCTACGTATCAGAAATCCATAAAACTTGCTTTGTCACCAAAGAGACCCATGCTTCAAATTAGGATCCCATTCAGTTCCCTTTATCAAAACTTCTTATAGGCCATTTCAGTTTAGGTGATAAGATTTAAAAATCTGATTGAATTAAAAAGATATCATCTAATGCTCCTCTCTCAAGGATTTTCATGTTGAAATTGGCAGAATTGTCAATTCAAGTACATTTTACATTGTAGGATTTTAGGATGGATCAGAAAAGCGAGTAAAACAAACCAGGTAGTGAAAGAAAGATATTTCAGTACAGAAGAAAGAAGCCTGGATAATTCAGCCAAGAGACTCTTTCTGCCAACTATGGCCCAGCAGGACTTACGAGGGGCTGGCCACTTTCTCCCTGTTTTTCCAAGGGAGAAGCATTCAAATATTCAACACTCAAATGATTGGCATTTAGCAATTTCATAAATGTTTGTTGAATGAAAAAATGAGGCAAGCATTTAAAACTTTTTTACCTAGGAAGGAATTGATGTTCAAAGAGGTCAAGTTTCCAAGGTCACAAAGAGAATAAGTGACACCAGTGAAATGAAAATTCAGCTCCAAGTGTCAGTTGCTCTTTCAAGCCTATCACAGCTGCCCCAGAGGCATTTATTTCCTCCTCTTCTGGGCTGCTGGAGCCACAGACATCTTGAGAAGCTTTCCTGCAAGAAGTCCTCTGGCCACCTCATAGGCCCTGTCCCCACCACATTGCACTAAGGGTGACAGTCCAAGAGGTTTTGTTGTCCCAGATGGAAGTCCCCTGTGCTGGAACAGTATGGGGAGGGGATATGAGAGAAAGTGCTTACTTCTAACTTTATGTAGAATCAATTGGAACAGTCTACTGGCAGTGGAGACAAAGAGATATGTGTGTACAACCCTGACTTTCCATTCAGCCGATTTTCCATGGAAAGAGCATTATAAGCAATGAATATTTTAAAATATAATTGGCTTTTATTTTTAAATTAGTTTTTTTTTTCAAATTAACTGTCTTATAACATCAATCCTATGCGGGGGGGAAACATCCAAATTCACATTACTGATTTCTGAAGAACTTATGAAACAAATCTGTTAGTAAGATGGGGACTTAATTTTTCCCAGGCTTCCCCTCCACTGCCTCCCAACCATATTTACAATGATCTTCTACTGTTGCATACCCTGTTATTACCTTAATATTCTCAGTCACTAAATGAGCACTCAATTAAAAGTTTTAAATAGGTGTTTTGTAGGTTATGTGGCTGGGAAACCCTTGATTTCATCTACAGAGCAGAGCAGGTTGTAGTTATTTTAAGAGAACTCCATGGAGCCGATTTCATTATAATGTCATTAGAGACCATACAGGTTTAGATGCTTCACCTTTCTTTGAAAAAATAGACTCAGATAAGCTGTTGACTTTAGGTAACTGTATTAGTCTGTCCTCACGCTGTGAATAAAGACATAGCTGAGATTGGGTAATTTATAAAGAAAAAGAAGTTTAGTGGACTCACAGTTCCACATAGCTGGGGAGGCCTCACAATCATGGCAGAAGGCAAAGGAGGAGCAAAGACACACCTTACATGGCGGCAGGCAAGGGAGCATGTGCAGGGGAACTGCCCTTTATAAAACCATCAGATCTTGTGAGGCTTATTCACTATCACGAGACTAGCATGGGAAAAACCTGCCCCCATGATTCAATTACGTCCCACGACACGTGGGGATTATGGGAGCTATAATTCGATGTGAGATTTGGGTGAGGACATAGGCAGACCATATCAGTAACAGAAGGAAAATAAGACAGAAATGTGGTTGCCTAGCTTTAAACTCCCTCTGTTTGCAGTAAAGTGAACAAATGATAACTATCAAACCAAGTTTGGCTAAGGAGTGCGGATTTTAGTATTGAAAGATGAGTGGGACATAGTTCAAGAAAGGGAAACAAGAAAGACAGAACAACATGGAGATTGTCTGGACCTTTCTAACAGTCCCATCACTACCTCCCTTGTGGAAATGACCACATCTTCCTCTATCCCTTCACTGTAGCTGGTACATCTGTTACAGTACTTCTAACAGATGTTTAACTCTCAGTCTTCCCTACAAGACTGTGAGCCCCTTGAAAGTGGGAACAATTCCTGAAAATGGATGGAGGGGAAGGAAATGTCTGTAGGCCATTCGATAAAAAAATATGAAGATTAGAGAAGAGATTAGAGCAGAAGACATAGATTTTGAGGATATAACCACAGGAGACCATATGGAGTGGGAAGACTAGCACACTATAGGGAGGCACACAGTGAAGGGGCTTGGCTCAGAGACAAGTAGTATCAGAGGAGATCTAGGATGGGAGATTATGTAATCGAAGTCCAGGAAGGTGAGAACGGAAGAGTTTACTGAATCTGCCAATGCTGAGGCCATCTGTTGGTTTTGCAGAACAGTGGGGAGGGCTGACGCCTTACTGCACTGTGGTGGGAAAGATGGGAGATGAAGAAGTGGAGAATACAAGTATAGATCTCTCTTCCAAGGAGCTTGGTCAAGCAAAGGGATGACTAGAAGAAGACACAGGACTTTTTTTTAAAGCTTTTCTTTCTTTTTTTTTTAACGGATAAGAGAAGACTGACCAAGTATTTAGCTTGAGAGAAAGGAGTTGATAGAGATCAGTTGAAGATTCAGTAGAGAGTGGAATGATAGAGAAAAATCATGGGCTAGAAAGGGAGACCTCTCCCTTTCTAGTCTGTGATCAAAGACCCTGTCGTGAGGAGGCACCTGCAAGTAAGAAAGGTCTTGGTAGGGATGCTAGTTGGAGACAGTGGTGTTGGGGGAGCTGGATGAAGGAGGTGATATACTTCAAAAGACAGTAGGGAAGACTTCTAATAGTTGCTGAGAAGGATTGATAACAACTAATAAAAAGACTATGGGACAGACCTGAGGGTGAGTTGGGATTGGAGATCATGAATGTGCACTGGCACCAAAACACCCTCCATACTTATCTATCAAAGGCTACACAATATATCTTCAAAACTAAATATCCAGCCGAGCATGGTGGCTGATGCCTGTAATCGTAACACTTTGGGAGGCCGAGTTGGGCAGATCACTTGAGCCCAGGAGTTCCAGACCAGCCTGGGCAAAATGGTGAAAACCCGTCTCTACAAAAAAAAAAAAAAAAAAAAAAATTAGCTAGGCGTGGTGATGGACACCTGTGGTCCCAGCTACTCGGGAGGCTGAGGTGGGAGGATTGCTTGAGCCCAGGAGGTCGAGGCTGCAGTGAATTGTGATCGTGCCTCTGCACTCCAGCCCCGGCAACAGAGTGAGGCCCTGTCTCAAAAAAAAAAAAAAAAAAAAAGTAAATCTCCTTTAGCAGTGTATGCCAGCAGTTTCATTTTATGTGCTAATTGTGTTCTTCCTTCACCCCTTCTTTTCTTCCTTATCTCTTCTCTGCTCTCCAACATGCGCGAATTTTCCCTCTTTGTTACTCTATCATATTGGCTTATTACGGAAAAAGAAAACCAGCTAAGTGAATTTATTCTTTCACAGCCCTCCTGTGAGGAGGCTTACTGGGTTCACAGTAGAGTGAGGCTTCAGGACAGTGTCTCCCAAGGGCTTTCTTTTATTTTGCGGGGTCTGATCTGGCTCCAAAATTCTCCAAGTCTTCAAACTTTGTGTTATTAGGTGTCTACTCAGTCAAGAATGAATTTCAGAAGTTGAGTATATAAGAAAATGCGACATGCTGCCTTTGCGGTGGTTAAACAAGTGTTTGTCATAATCGTGAATAGTTGGGGAGACTTTTCATTTTAGAACTCTACTCAGTCAATAGGTGCATTATGAAAACTGGATACATTGCATCACTGTGAAGGGCTTCAGTCTGCGGTTTGCAAAAGCAGAATAAATTTTCTTGGGGTTGTACCGTTATGTACACACACACACACACACACACACACACACACACACACTCACAGGCTCATTGGCAGACAGGGCCACAACTCGCGGCTCTAGGGAAGGCCACAGACCTCAGCTGTACGAGCGGAACCTGGACTAGAGGAACTTTCCTCAGGACTCAGGGCACACAGCCCCTCGGCCACTACTGTCTGCGAGCCCGAGGCGCAGGGGAGCGCCAGCGGCTGCAGGTACGCTGCGCACCCGCACTGGGGCCTGGGCGGTGCAGCGGCGGCGGGAGGGTCCTGGGAACCGCAGCCGCCGAGGCCAGTGTGTGAGCCGGCCGGCCGCGGCAAGCCGCATCCCCCGGCCGCCCCTCGCAGCCCCTTGCTCCCCGGCAGCCGCCGCCGCCCTCAGGCAGCCCAGCCGGGCGCTCGCGCCAGGACTTCCCCGCCGCCCGCCTCGGCCCGGAACATGGCTGCGCGCCCTGCTGCCACCCTCGCCTGGTCGCTACTGCTCCTCTCCTCAGCCCTGCTCCGCGAAGGCTGCCGAGCGCGCTTCGTCGCCGAGCGGGACTCGGAGGACGACGGAGAGGAGCCGGTGGTTTTCCCGGAGTCGCCCCTGCAGAGCCCCACGGTGCTCGTGGCGGTCCTCGCCCGCAACGCGGCGCACACGCTGCCGCACTTCCTCGGCTGCCTGGAGCGGCTGGACTACCCCAAGAGCAGGATGGCCATCTGGTGAGCGCGCACGGGCCCCGGGCCGCCGCGGCGGGACGCGGGGGCGGCCTGCCCAGCGCGGACAGCGCCCGGAGCAGCAGCTGCAGGGCGAGGGAGCCGCTGGAGGGGCGGGGGGGCACGCGGAAAATCTGGCGCACACACCCCCTCGCTGCCCGCGCCGGTGGCTGGCGGATCGGGCGGTCAGGCTGCGGAGGGACGCGCGGGTCAGTGTGCGCAGAGGGTGCTGATGGGGAGAACCGGACCGCTGGAGCTCTGGAGGGTAGCCTGCGAATTGGGGCTTTGTCCCACAAGGGGCATGGGGGACACCCCTCAAGGGGACTTTCAGTTCCCTCGCTTTTAACTCTCGAGGTTTCCTCTTTCCCCACCTCATACTGCTAGCCCTGACGTGAGGGGATAGGGTGCCTGTCGCCGTATTCCCATGTAGATACGACAGATGGAACGTAACTGCGGTTGGCCAGGGGCTCCGCAGTGGCTGGGGCGCCGCAGTGCGCTGCTCTGACTTTCCGGTGCCGGGCTCCTGCTCCAGGCTGGAAATGTGCTCCTAGCTCTCCTAGGGGGACCTGGACCTAGGGGTGGAGATTGGGCGGAGCCCGCGGAGTGTGCCCAACCATGGCACCACCGTGGGCCTGGTCTCCTGCGAGCGCTCCGGGCTGTCCCTGCCGGTGCATCGGGGTTCCACGTCCCGGGGAGAGACGAAGATGCCCTGGGAAAGATAAACAGCCAAGTTTTGTCCCCGGAGGAAAGAAGCTTGGACCTGGTCCCTGTGTCTGCTGCGGGGAGGGCCAGGGGATAAGTGCGGGTGCCTGCCCGCCCCACCTTGTAGAACTTGGTCGTCTCGCACCTTTTATAAACGCGAGGATCCGAGGGCGAGAAGTTAGTTGGTGGCCAGGTTAGCCGCTGAGTGGGTTGTGGAGGACAAGGAGGTGGATGCTGGCCAGGGGAGATGTGCTGTCAGGTAGGTACTCGGACAAGAAGACTCTGGCCCCCTGAGGAAGACAGAGCCCAGGTCACTCTGGAGCAATTTCTGTCTTGTGTTGATAAAGGGAGCTGTTCTCAGGCGAGACACATCCTTAAAGCAGCGGTTGGGCAAAGAGAGGAAGAGGAGTAAAAGCAGCAGCTAGAATTGGCAGCCTCAGAGTACCTGGTGGGAGAGGTGCAAAGGTGCGAAAGCAAACATGTGATATAGTACAGCTCTGTGCTGTACACTGCTTTACTATATACCCTGCCATACGTGACCGCCTGGCGGAGAAGGGCATATTATGTGGAAAGAGAGCACTGGGACAGCCAGGCTTTAAACCAGAAGGAAGGATTTTTTTTTAACCACTTCGGTACCAAAAGAAATTCACACATATCAGTTACCTTAGTTGTTGTGTTTTTTTTAAGAGATATTTTAAAATATGGTTTTGATCTTTATGCATGATTTAGTTTTTTAAAACGTTACAGTATTTACCATAAGAAGTTGGTGAGTGGTGAAGCAGGTGTCAGGCACATGCTTTGCTACCTGATTTAGAGACATTACCTCTTTTTATCATACAGTAAACTTTTAAGAGGATGCTATGATGTTTATTTTGCAAAGAAAGAGACAGACTTGCATCAGTTCAGTAAGTCACTTAAAGTGACAGAATTAATAAATGGTGAAACTGGAATTTGAACCCAAGGCCACCCTAAAAAGGCAGGAAACATGATATAAACAAAATTTACATAAGCCTATAATCTACAAATTAGGAGACTTGAGTTGTTTATTACTAGTTTGATATGTGATTTGGGGCTGGTTGCTTGGGATCCATAGGCATCAGTTGCCTCATCAATAAAACGAGGGAGTTGGAATAAATGATTTCAAAAATTCTTTATGGCTCTTGAATTCCATAGATTTTGCAATATAATTAGGATCAACCAGCATCAATGTACATCCTAAGTTCCCTGTAAGTTCCAGATGGTATGGACACTGGTGTCTTACTTAGATGAGAGAATTCCAGTTCTGCATAGACCTTTGAAATCTGTTGTCTTTTATGTCCAGCATTGGCAGGTTAAGCAAGAAGTGCAAGGCCATGCTTGCGTCAGTCATTGAAGACTCTTCTTTGAAAAATTTTGGTTCTGTCTTTAAAACATTGTGTAATTCTTTAGGTAACAATAATACAAATCCCAGTTTCTAAATAGTTCTTTTCAGCTCACAAAGGAGCTGTAAAGAACCTTTGGAAATAACTTCCATGCACTGTTAACTCATTTGATTCTTACTGCCATTCTGTGAAGAAATAAAATTATCTCTATTTCCCAGAAGAAGAAATGTGTTTAAAGTGATTGACTTACTCAAAATTACATTTATTTATAAATTCCACACATAATAATAAGAGCTCGTGGTTCTTCTAAGAACTTCACATTCATTTTCTGGTTTAAGCTTCAAAATGACCCTATCAGATATGCACTGTTATTATACCACTTTACAGGTGAGAGAACTGAGGTACAGAGAGGCTGTACAAGCATATTCTTCTAATGCATTTTTTAAAATAAGAACCAGCCAGATCAGGGCTGAAAAAAAGTGTATTTAGATATGTGTGTTTTTTTACAGATAAATATGATTCATTTTACTGGGCAGTGTAAGGTGATCTGAATGGCTTTTAAAGGGTTTGGGGAAGAACCAAATGATTTATAAATCAGATTGGGGCAGTTGTATGGATATGGATGTCTTCTTGATGAGTGGACACTTAGTTTGAACTCAGTTTTGAAGGAAGAGTAAAAATCAACTAAAACCTGGGAAAGAAGGATGGCTCTAGAAAAAGGGATCAGCAAGGCAAAAAACAAGCAAAAAAAAAAAAAAAGATAATAGGGCATCAACCAGAGTTTTCTCTCAGGGAGTTCAAGTGGGTGGCAGGTCTAATGACTGCAAGTCTCCAAACAGATTGTATTGTACCATAGAATCTCTTTGGAAGTGCTGACTTCTGGTCTGGCCCTAGGGGAATATTTGGCTGGGAAGCTTATGAGATATAACACTCTGATGGGAGGTGGTACCTCAGTTTAGGATGTTACAGATTTGAGGTGCTTCTACCGATTGCTTGCCTCTAGTTTCTCATTCCCAAGCTCTATGCAACATTCCAAGATGCCAAACTGATTAGTATCCATTCTGCAAAGCCAGCACATGCTGATGTCAAAAATGGCTGTGAGCTACCCAGAACTTTGTAAAATAGAACCGCAGTGAATACAGAGCCACACAGAATTCAGCTTCCTCTGAATCTGACCACAATAACTCACTCTGTGCAGACTCACTCTTCTCATTCATCCACTCACAGGCTAGAGGAGCATCTGATTTCTGTCCCAGATGGGTCAGTGAGAGACCTGGCTTATTGATCACATTCAGACTCCCCTGTTATGTGATAATTTTTCTCACTTTAAGTTCTGGACCAGATCTGCACTGCACATACAGATGAAATGAGTATCATCAAATTGACCTGGAAGATACTGTTGTTGAAGAATGTCTGCAGTTATCTCAGTCAGCATCAAGTTTATTCAGATTAGTCTGAACAAAGGAAAATTTATATTTTAGAGATACTTTGTATAAGCAAAAAGGAAAGCTTTTTACATTTACCTGTCTGATCTCAAAATCCACCAAGCTAATTGTTTTCCTTCAAATATCACAATCCTGTGATAAGGACCTAAGGAAGATATCTATTTCATGTGTCCTAAAACCTGCACTAAGTTTTAGGGAATTGGGAATATGCTGAGATGAAGGGAACTGTGAGGCATTGTGACAAGTGGTAGTGTACTTCAGTGGGTTCTCCTTAATTCAGTGGAACCATGAGCAAGTAGCCTTAGCAACAGAGGGAAGGCTGACCTCATCCTCCTTAAACCTATGATTAGGGAGAGTGGGGCCAAGTACCATGACAGTGAAAACCGAAGCATGGCGCAGGGAAAAACATTTGCCCCAAATGAAACATTAAGTTTTTCTTTTGGAGAGCCTGCTGTTGCTTGTGGGAAGACAGTTGGGATTCACAGAGTCTGTGCAGGCACAAGGCAGTAACTGCTATGTAATTACAGAAAGATTTGGGCATTTTGTTTGGCAGAGTTTTGAAAAGTAACATACTAAATTGGGAACCGCTTTATGGATTTTTAAATAAAGAGAGGAGCTTCTGTTGACATAAACATAAACAGTGATGAGCTGGGGGATGGTCCTAACATTTTGCATACTACTTTATTTCTGCATTGTTTGGGGATTATCTTGAATTTATCTCCACATTTTAATGTCCAATCAGTAGCATTTTCATAATTGTTTAACTAGAAATACTAATATACTTTGTGTTTATAAACTGTTCCAAACTAGTATCAGTGACATTTTTCAGCACCAGTGGTAAGAATGATGTCATATTTTATCATTACACTCTTGATATTAAATGTTGTATGTTATCCCTACAGATAGAAGTTTCGGTTTATGGCTGAAAAAGCAGATGATGCCTTAGGCCCCTTCTGTCTGTTAGTCTGTTTTCCTCACCTTTTTCCTCCTTTCCTCATTTTCCCAATCTGGTAGTTTAGCGTGGAGGGCATCAACCAGAGTTGGAGGAAGAAATATACAAGCTTAGGGTCAGATAGACTAGAGCATAAATCTTCTGTGTGATTGTGGGCACATCAGTAAACCTCTAAGACATAGCTGCCTTATCTTCAAATAACTAATAGTAACACCTGTCTCAAAGAGTTATTGTTACAAGTAAATGATATAAGGTATGCACAGTGTCTTTTACATAAATGCTACTAACAATGATAGTTGCTATTTCTTTTGAATCTTTTCCTTTTTCTCCTATCTCCTTTACCTTTACCTTTCAAAATCAAGATTTTAAAAAATCTTCAAATGGAAATTTGTTTAGTTTCTTCTTTCCAACAACAACAAAAAATATTAGTATAGGAAACTAACATTTATCTGGATGCAGTGGCTCATGCCTGTAATCCTAGCACTTTGGGGGGCCGAGGTGGGCAGATTTCTTAAGCCAAGGAGTTCAAGACCAGCCTGGGCAACATGGTGAAACTCCATCTCTACAAGAAATGTAAAAATCATCCAGGCACGATGGCATGCACCTATAGTCCCAGCTACTTGGGAGACTGTGGGTGGATTGCTTGAACCTAGGAGGTGGAGGTTGCAGCAAGCCGAGATTGAGCCACTGTGCTTCTTCCTGGGCAACACAGCGAGACCCTGTCTCAAAAGAAAAGAAAAAGGAAAAGGTAAGGGAAGGGAAAAATAAAGAACTAAGGAAGGAAGGAAGGAAGGAAGGAAGGAAGGAAGGAAGGAAGGAAGGATACATTCATGGAGGCACTGTTCTAGACACTTTGGTATCAAAACTGATTTACTCCAGACAACAACCCTAGGTGGGAGATGCCATTACATTCTACTCTATCACTTTACACAGAAGGAAACCGAGGCACAGAGAATATAAATAACTTGCCTGAGGTCACTAGGCTAATGCATGGTGGAGCCAGGATGTGACCCAGGCAGCTAATGTTGCAGACCGAGTACAGATGGTCTGCTTAAGATTGTGAAAAGACCAATTAGTTCTAGTTTTTGCTTCTGTCGGTTGACCCAACTTGGGAAGATAAGAACGCTAGTGTTTCTTTCAAATAAGAATTGTCATTTCCACTTGAATGATGCAAGGGTCTTAGTGGTTCTCTTCCGCTGTCTTGATAATTTCATCACTTAGTTCAGGCACTTTTTAGTGAACTCTAATCTGTTTTGGTATATTTCATAGGGACAGATTATGACTAAAATGTGGGTTGTACATAAATATGCAGGTCACTTGCTGTGATCATAGCTACATAACAGTAGAAAGAAATTTCTCAAGTATTATTAGTGGCAAATGATTAAGGTGGCACTAATCATACACGTATTGGCTACATTTTCAGTTCATATTGGTAAAATAGAGATTCCATTTTTCAGGCTTTTTAATCAGTAGTCTTAGATTTGGTTGTCCCCTAAATTCAGCTTCATTCCAAATGATTGAAGAAATTATCAATCCTCCCTGCAACCTCCAATTTCAAAATATGATTGGAGCTCAGAATATTTCCTCTGGGTAAAAACTGAAGTGACTAATAAATGACACCAATCCTGTTGTTCCAGTTATGACAGCTTAACTACAGAATTAGTAAGAATGCCTAAGTTGCCCTGGTTTTATTATATTGAGTTCCATGATGAGGCATCTAAAGCACAGGGCAGTTAAGAGATTCCCATGGTGATTATGGAATGAGATAACTGATTTCTAGATTTTTAATCCTGTGTAGCTGTTTTAATGCTGATTATTTTATAATGAATATCCTTCTTGGTTTAAAGGAGCATGGGGAGTATTTTAAGCAGAGTTTGGTTTTCTCAGATCTGTTTTTAGCTCCTTTATCCAAGTGATTAGGCCAGGGAGTTTCTTTGTGACTCCAAATACATAAGCATGTGCTTCTTAGGTTCCTTTTGCTTGTCTGTTTCTGGTGGTCATAGGAATGAACAATGAATGCCTTGTAACTGAGAAGGCTGCTGGTTGTCTCTTGGTTCTTTTTCCAACACTTAAACGTGCACTTGGGTCATATTGCTGTGTGGCACCGTCTCCAAGTCTATGGCACAGTATAGTAGGACCATTATAAGGCTTATATAGGACTATAGTAGGACAATAATAAGGCTTGTTTCTGCATATTTCTTGACATAGCATAACAACATACAGTAAAGTCTGAAAGAAAATCATTAGCCTATGGTATGGCCACTACACCTATTCCCCAGTTACCATATCATGAAGAACTTTTACCATATGTGTTTAAATTATAGCTATTATTCATCAGGAATTACAAAACGTATGTATTCTATGTTTTGACATTTTTATTTCAAAAGAGTGACTTGTTCATTTAATTGCATTTAATTGATATGTTGTTAGCATATCAAAAATTGTTAGTTTTTAAAAATTTGAATCCCTTAGGGTCTTTATGGATTTTTAATAGTACTTCAGTTATTTTAAGAATTTGCTCTTCTGACTTTTTTAAATGGGAAAGTAATAAAAAAAGTATGATTGGGAATATCACAAAAAGTAAATCTCCCATCTACTCTATACCACCTGCCAGTGACCAATATTAACACTTTCTTTCATATTTTTCTAGAAACTTTCTATACATATACATATATCCTTTTCATTTTAACCCAAATATGAGTGTTTTACATATCCAGTTCTGGATAAGTGTGATATTTTAAAATCCATCTCTCTATCCCATGTTCTTTAAACACTGCCAGCCTATCTACAGCCATGCCCTGGGTGGCACAATAAAAGCCAGCTTCATATAACACCTGTTCCAGGCAGGTACTCTGAAGGCCTCTCTGATAACACCCGTCCTGCTCTCTTGTCCTTGTCTCTCTGGCCTCTAGAAGGTCTGGCCCTAATAAAAAAAACTTTTTGATGAGGTGTAATATTTATCCAAAAGTTCATATATCATAAATGTATAACTTGGTAACTTTTCACAGACAAAACATGCCATGTAACCAGCACCTGACCTTGCCAGGCCTGGATTCATACACAGCAACTATTGTTGGAGCTGAGTAGCTGCTGTCCCCTGGATTTTGTCCAGGCAGCCCAGTCCCCATCAGACCCACACTGTGTGCACTTGCAGTTAGTCCCCGCTGTCTTTCTTTGACTTGACTTGCCTGACCCATGTTGACATTTGGGTGGTGAGCTTTGCTCCCACCTCAGGCTGCTGAAGGAACCCTAGGACCCAAGCAGTAACTACTTTGGGGAACCAGCAGGCTTGGCAAGCTGCCAGCGAGTGACCTAGTGGTAAAAGGATCAGGATTGTATTACTTTTCCCTTAGCTCTCTACTCCTCTGGTAGGAAAGCTGTGCATTAATGTTCATAAAAATAAAAATCTCATTATAGGTAATAATTGAAAAGTCAGGTAGAATATAAATAGAGTGGCTGTAATTAATTTGCTGGAACTTTCTGTAGTTCAGATCCGTGAAAATGCAGCATTTGTGGTAGGTGGCATTAGCCAAGTCTCTTGCATGAATTAAACCTCAGATTTGGCTGCAGGGCGTTTCTTTTCCTCTCTAGGAGCACCATACAGAAATCCTTTCAGAGTTAGACTTTGAATAATAGCTCCATGACATCTTGCTAGGGCTGACTTTGTAACGTGTTTCACTTAATTGAAGCAACAATTATTATTTTAGTTGTTTGTCAAATTCAGCAAGCTAAGGCCTGTCCCCTGACTTGTTGGTTTAACTGATAAGATTTTGTTCCTCTGCAAACATAATGCAAAATAATCTCCTTCCCTCCAGTGTTTTCTGATTAATGTTTGAAGACATCTTAGAAGATATGTCTTTCAGAAACACAAATAATAACATAAATAATGATCTTAGAATAGTGATCTTGGGCTGTATACCCCCAAGAGTATGGTAGAAGATGAGTCTGGGACAAGCTGCTGAGCTGAAGCATTTTCATGAGTACCTGATTTCATTCACACATTGGCTTTATTGGAATAGTTCATTACCTTCCAGGTTGAATCACTTCAAGACCTATTGAGGGATACATCAGGCTGCAGAGAGGAGGTTCCTTACATAGAGCTTTCCCCATTTGGACTGCCAAGCCCAAAGTGCATACAATTGCTGCCAAGAGGGAAGTAGGACTGTTTCTTTCCAGTCCCTTTTCTTTCTGAGAGTGATTGTATATGTTTTGGAGATGGGGAGGGCAGTGGTGAAGGCAAGTATCTCATTCTCACAAGAGAGAGACATAACTCTAAGACAGGAGAGTCTGTGGAGGTACATTGATTGGTGTTCTCCCTGAAAGCCATATTAAGTGAGAAACTGCTGCATTTTAGAGTCTTGGGAAAGGTAGAATTTTCTAGAGACTAACAGTAGAACTTAAATTCTTGGGATAGTTGTGAAAAGTGTGGTTGTAGACATTTGGGGCCATAGCATTCCCGACACGGAGTCCCTTGCTGGACTAATAGACTGTTTTTTAGTTTCTTGGTTGCCAGCCAGCCCCATAATCCTGTCTCAGCACCACACACCACAATGATTATGGTTTACACCCGCCAAGATAGTGGAAAGTTGCTGCCAAGTGGAATCAGGATTTTTCATGTCATCACTGCACCATTGAACAGTAAGCTTATATGCAGCTTCCACGCCACTGCTTTCCTTGTGCTAGAAACAGGTTGGGCGGGAGAGTATTCAGACAGTCAGACCATCTCTTGTGTTGCAAATGGATTTTGTGGAATTGGCATGTAAGGCTTGAAACAGCCAGCATACGAAAATATTTTAGAAAAGTACAAGCCTCTTCTCTGCCTTTCCTCAATCTTGTTAGATTTTAATAAAATTTATTGGGTACGTTGGTTTCCATTGTAAGCTTTTTATTTAGCAAGACAAACTATGGATTTCTAAAACAATGGATTTTTAAAATGTTACATCCTTTTATTTATTCCACCATCACTGATTGTCTATGTGGATAAATCCAGGTAATCATGTTGAAATTAGTAATTGAGGTGGCCTAAAAGTGACTTGTCCCCATTGGTCTAGTTCATTGTCCATGAGTGGACATGGTCCTTACCATTGTTCTGCCAACCCTTTAGTGTAAGGCTGCTGGATTCAACTAGTGTTTCCCAAATACAGGTTCAGAGGCCAGTTGCATCACAATACCTGGAGCATTTGTTAGATACATGGATTTCTGGGGCCCATTTCAGTCACATTCATCAGATGGTCCACAGCGGGGTCCTAGGAATTGGTGTGTTAAGCATGTACATAAGTGATTTGGATGCACTTCTTCTTGGTTTGGGAACTGCAGAAGATGAGCTCCTAGAAGGCTATGTATGCACTTAAAGTACAGATCATGGGATTTTCAGAGTTTGGAAAGTTGGCATACTCTGGAATATTCTAAACTTCAGATTCCAGATGCTTAAGCCATCAAAAAGACCAAGGGGTTTTCTTATTAAGAGAAGTAGTAATGTACAGGATTACATAGGAGAAACCCAGCCAGGCATGCATCATTTGTGTTTTTTTGTTATTATTATTAAGTCAAGCACATATGTTCCATCTCCATCTAATAGTGACTATTTTTTTAAAAAGATTTTTTAAAAGACAATGCCCCAAATGTTTTACCCACTGTATGAAGCTCCTTGCACTGGGGCTCAGTATAAAACGACACTCCCTCACATTCTTTCTTCAGTGTATCTTACACAATGAGTTCATTAAGCCTTTAGTATTGCAGAAGAAAAAATACCTACTAATGAACATCTTAGAGTACAGGGAAATCAAACCAGTGCATTTCTTTAAACTAAGTAGAATTCATTTGAGCCACTTCAGTCCTTATATACCCTAATCTTGGTTTCTTTGTTTCTTGTATTTAATTTTCTTAGATTTTTCCCGTTGGCATACCATTAAAAATTCCTCCCCTCATTTGTGACAAATGTAAACAGTCTACTAAATTAGCCTGTTTTTAGTAGCTGGCAGTTCAGCCTTAATTACATGATATTACAAAGTCCCTAACCCTGGTGTCTTCACTAGCTATGAACTCAAAATATGGCTTTTTAGAAATTCACACAGTTCTGTTCTGCTATACAGAGGATTGTTCTGAGTTTGTTGCTGCTGCACAACAAATATTTTTTAAGAAGTTGATATAGCAGCATTATTATAACTGCATGTACAGCAGCCTCCTGTGGGGAAGATTGCAACTCAGTTGTTAAGTCTTATATGGTTCCATACCCTATTTTCTTGTGCTCTTTTGGTGACAGGGCAAAAATTCTACAATAAAGTTCTTAAGTTTATGCATCCACTTTATTTTTGTATCTTTTATCCTTCTCAAAAATGTGAACTGCATACCACAGCTTAGCACATCCCACCAAGAAAATAACAATCACCTGGAGATGAAGTGAGGCTGGTGGCAGTGGGGTCTCCAGGACAGTTTCCTCTAGCCAAAAGCAGCGTCTTTCATTTTTCCCTAGTGTGCAAATACGCTATCTGTGTTGTCCTGTGAAAGGTCTTGGAAGCATTGCTCATGCTAGGCTGCTTTGAGCAAGTCACTTAGTTTCTCCTGTAACATAAGGGAAATGTGCTAAAATTGTGCTTTTCAAATGCAGCCACTTATTGGAATCATTTGATGATCCAGGGCAATTGACGTATTTTGAAAACTTCCCAAAGGGTGGTAATATGCAGTCTTGCTTAAAAATCTCTAGATGAGATGTTCTCTGAGTCCTTTCCTGACCTAACACTTTCCTCTTCATGGGGATAACCATATCTGAAGAATGTTCACATAACTGCATAATCGATGCTTCCTGGACCCTCAGCCCAACTTTAGATCTCTGGGGGATGGCTTTAAAAAATCCTTTTCTAGGAAGCTCGTGGTATTTTATCCTGTTTTATACTGTGCGAAAGGTGTTTGCTAAGAGTGTTGTCTCCTTGGGAAGGCACGTGCTTGATGATGACTGAACTCCCAAGGAAAGTGGCAACATGAGAGCTAGCCTTGCAATGGCATATATTAGACCTTCTTATGAAGGAGCTGTGTGCACCAGGTAGAGAAGCAGCAGCTGCCCAGGAGGTCCTTCCTTTGGCACACAGATGGTTGCCTCTTGACTAAGGGAGCTGCATATATCAAGACTTCTGAGCACATCTAGCCAGGCTCTGGCCAGCTCAGGATTCCTTCCTACAGTATGTGTTTTGGTGTGTTGCCCAGCTTTGCTTTTAGGTTTCCTATTTCATACTGGTCTAGGGCCTCTAATCCTCTCTGGGTATTGAATTTCTGATGTTACTTCTGATGGCTTTGGAGATTAGCTTCTTTTGTTTCCAGATTTGCATAAACAGTGCTGCCTTTGTCCCCTGGTCTTGACCCAGCTTCAAAGCTTTGACGGGCATCAAAGACACACTGGATCCTCATTTCTTAGGCATCAGATGGCAGCAATGCCAGCAGGTGACTGAAGGTTATAGCCCCACTTTTGGGCCAGTTTTCTGTCTCTCAGTCAGAAAAGATTAGGTTACATTCTGCCAAGTCCTCTGACAATGGTTCTGAATCTTAACAGCTTTCATAACGCCTGTGCGAATACCATTGAACTAAAGGGGAACTGCTGGTGTTTGTCTAAAGTGGAAAGGGCAGTAACTCCCTAATATTTGCTGAACTCTCCTTGCCCTATGAGAGGCAGATTATTAAGTGTCCCTCTGGAAAGCATGGAACCTCCAAGCCCATTGGCCAGACTTTGCTACTGATAATCTTCTTGTGAGGCCCAAGACCTCATTTTCCCATGCATCTTATCAAAATAACAGCAGTAGTAGAACTATCAGTTGTCTATGCATGGATTGTCAGTATGTTGGATATGTAGAAGCCAGTTTTGATAACAGGTCAGCTTGGTCCAATCATCCAACAAACCCTTGAGCTGTATCTCTGTCTCTGTGTTGCCTGATACTTGTATGTTTAGAGAACGGAGCCTAATTTTTATCTCTGCTCAGAAAAAAAAAAAAAAAAAAGCTGAGGCTGGGTGTGGTGGCTCACGCCTGTAAACCCAGAACTTTGGGAGGCCAAGGCAGGCAGAACACCAAGGTCAAGAGTTTGAGACCAATCTGACCAACATGGTGAAACCCCATCTCTACTAAAATACAAAAATTAGCCGGGTGTGGTGATGGGCACCTGTAATCTCAGCTACTCGGGAGGCTGAGGCAGGAGAATCACTTGAACCCAGGAGATGAAGGTTGCAGTGAGCCGAGATCATGCCACTGCACTCCAGCCTGGGCGACAGAGTAACACTCTGTCAAAAAAAAAAAAGAAAAAGAAAAAGAAAAAAGCTGAAAGGTATTCAGCAACATTCCATACAGAGCATTCCAGTACCAGTAATATCTGATTTCTTAACTGCTCTTTTGCATTGTCTATGTCATGTACCACTGTATTTTCAAATTTTCTTGAATTCTTTGCCTTGCCTTGCCCTCCTACCTGTACAATGAGGGTTGCATAGGCTAATCTTTCAAGACTTTTCTAGCCACCACATGCTATGTATTTGAAGTTCCACCACTAATGCCATGAAAAATGAAACAACTCACGCTATTGCCACATTATTTAAGATGGCATTTTGAGCTTTTTTCCTTTATTTTTACTTAGATTTGACTTCTTCTGTAGTTTTGACTTATCCATGTCTCAAATCCTTGGTGATTAGACTGATGATTCATATCTATATAAAAATTGTAAAAACTTATTTGCCCTCTAACCTGAGTGAAAATGCTATCTTTTTTCATGAACAACAGAAGCAAAAAAAGGCTGTGATGAGAAGAAAAAAAGCCCAGAGAATTATGTCAGAACTATGTCAGAGGAGATAGTTCCAGGTCTGAAAACTAGGAAATCTATTGCTGTTGACTCCACTAGGAGTGGAATATTTGCAGCATAAGTGTACGTGTTGCAGGTATTTGGTTAGATTTAATTTTATCATATATGCAAAATAAGTAAGTGCAAGTCTTCCCTAGAATGCTTCCGGCACCGCCCCCCCCCCCCACCTCACGCACTTTTGGAAAAAGCAAAAACAGCAGTTTGACATTTGCCATTGTGATGGGAAACGATATGTGTGTTTGTTATTTGCAAAAGTTACTGGTGTTTTTTGCTCAGTCTGCTGTGTAAGGAAAGCAGCCTGCATTTGCACTTTGGAGGTTAGAAGAACCTGCCAGTTGGAATTCAAGTCTCACCAAGCTAGTGGATTATCACACTGAAGTGATAGCTCCTCCTATGGAAAGGCTTTACTTCACAGTAGTGTCATTATATAGAAATACTAAACATTGGCAATGCCTTCAGAGGCCAAAAGCATGAGTGCCATGAAAGGTCCTTGTAACATGAAGCTGGTTGGGGCTACCTCCCTCCTTGCTGACACTTTAGGAGCAAAACAAAAGTCAAAGGAAGTAGAGATATGGGAGACTGAAAATCACTTGTCTCCTGAGTTTGAGTTTATATGCTACAGAAAAGTCAAAATCAAGAAGGCAAAAACTTTCTTTTTCAAGGAGTCTTCCCCTTAGTAACTCTTTGACTTACACTAGGGGTTTAGTTTCTAAAATCAAACGCTTCCCTTTCCAAGCTATAACTAATAAATAAAAAAGCACATCCTTCTGCTAGATCAGAATTATCTCGAGAAAATACTGCTCTTTGGCTGACTCCCTCATCCCTCTCCAGTCTTGGCTATTCAGCTGATACTCTCCAGCTGTAGGCCAGCTGCCTTGTTTCCCTGAAATGTGGTGCCAGCTGTTTTGAGTTTCTTAAGGAAGGTTTCTCTTGGGTGCATTGGTAACACTAGGGCTCAAGCATGAAAGCATAAAATGCCCTAATGAGTTTTCACTTTGATATCATAGTCAATGTGATTTAATGGACTGAGGGTGAAACGATTTCTGCCCTGAGGCAAAACAGATTTTGAAGCTTTTCTCTCTCTTCTTTGTAATAGAGTATCTGAGATTTAGTGTTGCTTCCCCTAAGCTATATATCAGTTGTCAAGTATTAGATAACAAATTGCCTTTGTGTTCTATAGCTTTGAGCCAGAAAGCAACAGTTTCCCTTATTATTTTGATGTCAAAGGAGCAGAAGAACCATACTCTGTGTTTTACCTTCTGAAATAATTTCTCCTGAATTGATTTTTTGGAGTGAATTTAGAGTTCTCATTTTTATTTAAATTTCACTCCTACTTGTACTAACATCGTTTGTTTGGCTCCATTTTCTCCCTTCTAATTATTTTCTTTCTGTGTTTCCAAACAGGCATTTTTCTAGGTAAATCTTAAGGCTTCTCACATTGGGGATCAAGTTTCCAACACATGAACTTTGGAGGACACATTCAAGCCAGAGGAGTCACTAAAAAGAAATTAATACTTTCTTCAGGCTCCTTAGTTAATTTATTGATGGATTGATCTATTTATTTATTCACGTAATTAGTTTTAGTCATTGTAGTAGAAATTCAACTGTCTTATCTGAAATAATTGGGAGAAGGTGTTCTTCCTTTCACCTTGTACAGAATGATTATGACTTAAAAAATCCAGACAGATAACTCTTGTCTTCAGCAACTTTACAAATATATTTGCCTTCCTTAGTTTTTGAGCCCTAAGACGATAAGGGTTACACATGGCTACAGCCTGCCCCAAGTTTACTCTGGCTGCCAGAATAATACAGTATCCTTTCCAGACCCCTGAACAATCAACTGTTAACAAGTGAGATCATTTTTGGTAGAAGAATTGCATATGTCATTGTCTCAAAAGAGACATGGGCTGCAAATCCTGTCTGGGGACTTGCTTCCAAATACTTGTTCAAACTCCTCCCAGCTTTGTCTGCACTTGGCATTAATCCCACTTTGACATTCAAAGAGCTTGAGTGCTGCACATTCTCAACTAAATAGATAGTAAAACAAAACCAGTAACTTGTTATTAAATACATAGTGAAGGGGGCAGTAGTCATTTTATTATTCTTTTCATTTATTCTGTCACTGTCTTAGTCTGTTTTGTGCTGCTATAATAGAATACCACAGACTGGGTAATAATTTATAATGAACAGAATTCACTGGCTCATGGTTCTGGAGGCTGGGAGTCCAAAATTGAGGGGCTGGCATCTGGCGACGGCCTTTTTGCTACATCATTCTATGGTGGTAGGGCAAGAAAGGGTGAGAGAGAACAAGAGAGGCCAAACTTGTCCTTTTATAAGGAACTCGCTCTCATGATAACAAACCCCCTCATTCAATAACAATAGTAGTCCACTCATGAGGGCAGAGCTCAAGTCCCACTTACCTCTTGAATGTCCCACCTCCCAACGTTACCACATTGGGGATCAAGTTTCCAACACATGAACTTTGGGGGACACATTCAAACCATATAAGTCACTAAAAAGAAATTCATACTTTCTTCAAATGTCTTAGAAAAGTAGAAAGCTTTAATGAGTTTTTTCAAGTCCTTTAAATGTTGAAGTAGTGTATAAAAATACAAGGTTTTGGAACCTCAAAGGCTTGCTTTTTAAAAACAGTGAACTGTAACAGCACCAACCTCTCCCGATGGACCCAGTGATCCTTGCCTCCTGGTATTCACTCCTATAGTCTCGTGCCATGCTGAATCATGTGACTTGACAGGATAGGCAGAAGTGAGATCCTGTGACTTCTCAGGCCAGATTATAAACGGCACTTCAGTTTCTGCTATGGATTGCTTGCTCTGGGGAATGCCAGCCCCCATGCCATGAGAACATCCAAACAGTCCCAAGCAGAGGCCCACATAGAGAGAAACTAAGGCTTGCAACCAACAGCCAGCACTGCATCTAAGTACAACCTCATGAGAGACTCCAAGCAAGAATGTCATAAGGGCTTGACCCATACAATCTAAGAACATAATAAATGTTACTGTTTGAGATGCTGGTGGTACAGATGTAGACCCTGCTCTCACAGAGTTTATGGTGCACTGGGAAAGACAGATGATACACAAATAAATGAACAAAAAAGATGATTTCAAAAGATGTGTTAAGGAGAAAGTAAACCAGAATAATGGGGTAGAGCTCTGATAGGAGAGTACGCTGTATATAATGTGTTCAGAGAAAGGCTTTTTGAGAAGGTGCTATTTGAGCCCCAAGGCCTGAATGATGAGAAAGAGCCATCTTGTCAAGATGTTGAGGAGGGGAGGAATGGAGAAAGGGGAAAACAACAAAGAAGGTTTGTATGGCTGAGTCTTTTTGGACTTAGGTCAGATTTGCCTTCAGAATAGCATGCGATTCTTTGAGCTTCTTGAGAGAAATATGGTCAGTTTTCAATATCATCAACAACAGTATATAGTATTTTTTCATTTTAATTCTTACCAATCCATTTAACTATATTATTCAACATCTACCAGTTAGTGGAATGAAATATTATTTGCTCTGTTAACTCTTGTTTATTATATTAGCAAATCTGCTACCTTAACATCCTCTGCATCCTTATTTCACAGTGGAATATTTTCAACTTTTTCTTGGCTCTTCTGTCATCAATGGCAGTGTCATTACTAATAGGATTCGGGGGCAGGGGCAGTATATATGAAAAAATGCTTTATTTGAAAATAACAAAATTAGACAAAACATACCACTTAGACAATAAATGAAGACTTTCTACACTGCCATCCAATAAGTCTAAAAACCAGGCGAGTGCTGGACACCAATAGATCTGCATTTATCTCTTTTCTTACTTACAGCACAGGTTAGGAGTTTTGGAAGGACCTGCTAAATTTACAGCATGCATCACTGCGTTTTAGGTGAATTTTTTGCTGTTCCCTTATGCTTCTCCTTGTTTCTTTAGGCATGGAGCAAACATATGCAGAAATATATAGATCAGTGTTTTGGATCCTGCTCTGCATCTTCCCACAGAAATCATTTGAATACTGTCCACTTTTGATGTTTCTGTTTCCTTGGTTGACGTCACAGCACATCTCATCTTGAATAAAAAGAGCGCTTCTCAGATTGGCACTGGGCTAAACAGAGCAATTTGTTTTGGGTTTGCTTCAGTTTGTACTTAAGTTCTGAGTCTCAACAATGGAGTGTTATTCCTCTGAAAAGCTCTTCTATCATTTTTGATTCTTTGAGGCTTTGATTTCTGCATCTCCTAAAATAGGAATGAGGCCACCAAACATAAAAATGTGTATTAAGAACAATCTGCTTTAGTTGAATATTTATTTTCTATTTAATCTAGTTCATCAGTTAACATAACAGAGAACTTTGTCAGGCCCAAGTATAGGTAAAGGGTACTCATTACTGATTTAAAATGAGAAACCCCGTAAATCAATATTTGAGCTATGTTTCGTGCATAAACCCATTAGCTCTGTCCTGAGGAAAAGTCTCAATGCGTAATTATTTCAAACCAGTGAGCTCATAGCTGTCTGCTTGGCACAGCTCAGCCTGGTTTCTTCATGAAAAATGAGATAACTGCCAGGATTTTTTCTGTCTCCTACCTGAGCCCTCACAAGTACTGCTTTTCACCTCAGTGGACTTCGATTCCTTAAGTCAATGGTATTTATTGTGCCTCCCATAGAGTACAACCAAGAAGTGAGTTGCTATTGAGAAGCCAAAAATCGGAATAGAAAGCAATGATTTGTTTCTTTTTGAAAGGAGAGGCACATTTTTAGGGACCATGAGAAAGGTCCTCAGCCGTTCAAATTCAAGTGTTGAAACTCAAGATGTTTGCAAGTCTAATCTCTAATAAAACACGAATTATAATCTGGTTTGCTTTAGGCAGATGTATGGTCCCATGATGAACCCCATTTGATTTTTAAAACGCTTCCCCTCCTTCCCTGCATTTGGCATTTTTACTGCTTGCTACTGGCAGGAAATATTTCTTCCTTCTCAGTTTATTCTGATCCCTGCTGTCTGGAGAATCTTGCAGCATACTAATTTATGACTTTGAAAGATTGTATATTCATTTATGTAGAGGCTTCTGTGTCAAATTTGACTCTAAAATACCTCATGCTTTCTCACTTAGATATTTTGTGCAGTATTACCTATTACTTAATAAATATTTAGATTTTCAAGGTAAAAAAAGAATTTGTATAGTCTGAAAAAAGTTTATAGTGTTCCTAGATTTTATTAGCAATGAAAAAATTTCCTATGAATAAAATTATTGTTAAGATTTGTTTTCCATTTTGTTTACTTTGCTTCTGAAGATGTTTTGAAACCTTGATTTCTGGGAATGGAATTCTTTATGTGCTTCCTAGGAAAGGAAATATAACACACCAGTTAGAACAATTAATACTAGAAAAGAAACATTCTTCTTCCTCCTAAAATACTATAGGGCAACAAATCACCTACCCCACCCCAACCCCATTTCAAATATAGTGAGATGGGAAGAGGTGGTATTCCATCTGTACAAGTTAAATCTCTCAGATATAATTTTTTTTTTCTTTTTGAAACAGGGCCTCACTGTGCTGCCCAGGCTGAAGTGCAGTGGCATGATCGTAGCCCACTGCAGCCTCGAGCTTTTGGTCAGATATAATTTTTAAAAAGTAGTTTTGTTGTTTTCAAATATATATAGTTATTTAGGGTAATAATAAAATAGGAAATTAGCTTTAACTAACATGACAATTGTGTCTGCTTAATGTCTTTATTGTTTGTTGGTATATGAATTATTCTTCTAACCAATTTGTTATGTAGTATCCTGCAATTTATAACATCTTTTGCTTAATAATGAAAGCTAATATTTATTAAACATTTACTGTTTACCAAGCATTATGATAATGGTTCCCATGAATTAACTCATTCCGAGCTCACAACAGCCCTGTGAAACACATAGTAGTAGTAGTAGCCTCATCTCACTAAGGGGAAACTGAAGTTCAGACAAATTAAGATTTTTCCGGAGTGCCATGCTTAGGACAAAACAGTGACCTGCCCAGGCCCAGAAGTGGTTAACTGTGATGCTAATGAAGCTTGCACTTTAGTCTGCCTGCTCCAGGGGCCCATCACAATGTATTCACATTTGTTTTGGTAAAATCTGTGAAAAGAAATATTTTATAAGCAATTGGCTAAGACCACTTAGCCAACTTCCCCTCTATCATACTTCTTGTTTTGGGTGGCACTGGAGTGGCCCTGGACGTATCTGTGATCTGGTTGAGGGGAAGTTAACTTGGGGATGCATTTAGTTTGCAGTCGGTGGAATAATGCGGCTTATAGTTACTTCCATATGTAGGTTATTACTCTTGTGGTTCACTTGACACGTGGGAAAGGACCAAAGGCTCTGCCGTCTGGCTGGTATCAAAAGTAATTGAGGGCCGGAGGAGAAACAACAATTGAAACTTGTCTCGGGAAAATACTTCCAATCATCAGACATGAAAAATTTCAAGTGAATGACTTAATTCTCTCTATGCCTTGTCAAAACAAAACTGCCAGAAACATACTTGATAATGAAGTGAATACAATTTAATATAATTATAAGTACATCAGATGCATTTCTTTTTTGCTATAAAAATCACATGAATTAGAAGATATCAGGATTGCTGTGTTTGAAGAGCACAAACTTGTGGCAGTACTATGAACAGAGAGTATGTCCAAGTACATAACATTTTATACATTACAGCACCTTAGGTTAGACTGTGTTCTAACAGATCAAATGCATGTAGCCTGACAAAGTTTGGCGGTTCCATTTGAAATGGCACATAACACTGTCATCAACACAGTGAAATGGCTTGAAACTTTTCTAAACTGTTAGTAAAACCAAGTTTCAATCAACTTTGGTTGAGGGAAGACTAAATTATATTGCTTTTCTTTCTATACAAAAAGATATAGATATTTGCTATATGAAGAGGTTGAGAGTATATAAACAACAATATAAGGAAGTAAATTAACAGCAATATGTCAGGCAGTTAACTAATAAAATATTTTTCTGAGTTTTGAATGCTTGTGGCATTACTCAGCTTTTAAAAATATTATAATTTCTTTTCTCATTTTGAACAAATAGTTACTTTATATATTTTTATATAAAAAATTCACTTTTGAAATTTAATTTTACATTTTGAATTTTGTATCCTTCTTCTTAAAATGGGCTCCCCCAGGTTATATAAGCTTCCAGCCCCACAAAAGCTAGATTCAATCCTGCCTAGGTCTTTAGCTTTAAAACACAGCACCTGCCTGCTGCCCCACCCAATGCCACTTGAGTGGTAGAAATATTCCTTTTGAAAACTTGTTTTTACTTTTTATTACCTCACACACCAGCTGTTCTTTTAAAGTTCTATGTTAGTGCTTTCTGAATTAATGAAGTTTAGCCTTAACACTGAAATCTCGCTGCTGATAAAATTAGCATGCCTAAATTTGTAGTTATACATAGTATTTTAACACCCACATTTATTTCCCACAATAAAATGCTTTGCAAACATTCCATATGGCTGCTTTTGCCGCATTGACTTAGACAATTCTTAGCATGAGAAGTCCCACTCCAGATTTGCTATATAATTTTTACTGAATCTTTGGTGTAATTCAGTGAATGATAAAAATTTTAGTGACTGATAATTTATAATCAAAGTGAAAAATTCTAAATCATTTTGACTCTGAGATAAATTTAATAACTAAGGGTTATAGTGCATGAAAAACTCATTCTGTCACATTTTATTAACTGTGTATGGCCTCAGAAACCACTATGTGTCTATAAATAAAGCCACCCATGACAGTTTGATGCCTGGAGTAAGAATTCATTTTTATAACATCACCTTTGACATTTTAACTTCTTCAGCATATTCACTAAAGCTAATAGTGACTGTCAATAAATTACAGTGAATTAGAATATCTAATATTTAATAGTTTGCCACATCTATGGCATCTACAGCTGGGACTTAGGGACTCCTTATAGTTTCACGTAGATAGCTTTTTACTCAATTTACCAAATTCTCTACACCACAAGGTGTTCTGTGAACTCCCTGGCTTGTCATCTGGCACTAAAGCATCACCTCTCCTTCACATCAGCCCCACAGTTCCTTCTAGAGCATCTTCCCTAACTTTCAACAGAAGAACATCATGGCAGAGGGCCAGGGATCTGTTGCGTGGGATCTCAGAACTTAGAATACTCCATAGGTACCTACACAGGGAGAGTGAGCACAACAGTCTACATTTCACCAAATTAGAAGATGTGCAAACATGCGGAGACATTCTTTCATTTATTCATTCACTACAGATATCAAGAATGTCTCTAATGGCGGGAATTGGACTCTCAGAGTGAGTAAAATACTGCATTTCTCCCCTTGGGAAGCCCAGCATCACAAAAGAAGCACAGTGGGTTGAGGAACAAGGCACTGTTCTGAGAGCCTGGGGGCAATGAGATGAGGTTGGCAACGTTGGTTAGAGCACCTGGTCATGGTAGCCAGACCTAAAAGCAACAGGATAGATGTGTATTTACCTTACATTCACATAGAATATCCCTCTATAACAAACCTTCAGCTCTCATTCTGCCATGTTCCCTACAATCTGATCTGATCTTCTTTAAGACCCTCTTGATACTTTACTTGCTACCAAAGTTTCCTTTGGTCTTCAGTTCCTTCTAGCGTGGACCAATTGCAAATATCTGAGATTCCCTTCCTCTGGCATCTTTTTTTTTTTACCCACTAGAAAAAGCCCAATCCCAGATCCATCCTCCTGCAGTCTCTAGTTCTGAGGACTGTTCATCCCCCAGCCCCATGTCTGTGTTAATTTTGTCACACAGGGTGAATCCCTCCACCCTCAAGTGGGCCCTCAGCTGCCCACTGATCTTTTTGTTTCCCTTGCAAAGCTTGCTATTTACTCTTCTAGATCTACTTACTTCATCATTTCCATGGACATTTTCAGTAGATCACCTTGCTTCTGAATTCATCAATAAAACTAAAGCTAGTGGATGAAAATTATTTCAATTTTGTGACCTCTTCTACTCCTGTTCTTCTGGAAGAGAGATTTCATCCTGTCTAAAGTAAACTTCTCATTTTTACTCTCAATCTCATCCTTTTCCTTGACCCATCCTCCCAGTAGCCTTTGCCTCATCTTCTTCCCTTGTTTAGAATTAATTCAACAGATATTTATTTATTACTTGTTGATATTATACCTCAGGATACAACAGAGAATGAGGCACAGTGCCAGCCTTCAAGGACTTAGAGTCAAACTTCTTGAGAGAATGGTCGACATTTGCCAGTTTAGCATTCTCACTTGCATTCATTTCTCATCTGGTTTCCATAATCAAGTTTCCACACTCACCACTCCACTGAAAGTTTCCTTGCCAAGATCACCATTTAATGAGTAATCCCCCTCATTAAATCCAGTGTCACTTTGACTTCACTTTCTCTTCAGTCCCCTTTCTGCTGCATTCAATCATGTGGACCAGTTTCCTTTTTTATAACAGTGCCTTCGCTCAGATCCATGGTTCCACCTTCCTAATTTTCTTCTTACCTTGCTGTCTTCCCTTTGGCTTACTCATTTCTCAATACATGTTTCTTAAAAGTGGTGTTCCCCTGGGATCTAGATTTGGCTTTCTTTTCGTTGGAAAACCTCACCTCAAGTAGTCTGGTCCGTTCCTGTAGCTTCAGTTACCAAATGTATGCCTATGACTCCCAACTCTCTATTCTCTCCCTGATGGTGTCTCTCCAGCTCAAGACCTAGAGATCTCCTGACATTTTCATGTGAATGGTCCAGAGATTCCTCTAACTTATATCTCAGACTGATCTCTCCACTTTCTCATTCCTTTTCTCAACCAGCTCTGTCTCCTATATTCCCACCGCCATGCAAGCATTTGCCCAAAACAGAAACATGGACCTCTCCCCCATCATCCATATCAAGTTATTAATCAGTTTTTGTCAGTTGTTCCTACTTAATCCTCTAGATTTTTTTCACTTTTTCCTATCTGTTCTGCCACTTCCTTAGTTCAAGTCACCGCCATCTCCCATTTCCTAATGGATTGCTCTGCCCCTCTGTTTTACCCCCCCTCCCACCAATTCATCCATTATACACACTGGAAGCTACATGACCTTTCTTTAGGTAAAACTTGGCCATATTACTCCCAAACCTTCAAAGACCTTTGAGGGTAAAATCCGTATACCTTGGAATGGCATGCAAGGCCCTTCAAGATACAAGGGTTCTGCCAGTTTCTCCCGCCCCGTCCTTCCCCATTCTTCCCTCATGCTGCAATCATGTTGAACTGCCTTCCACAGGGCCACAACTCTCTCTGGCCTCTGGACCTTTATAAATGCTCTTTTTTAGATTCAGACTACCTCTCCACACCACTTGCCTATTTTTTAAGGTTTGTAACAGACCACACCTTCTTTGAGTAGATTCTTGCAGGTATTGAAATCTGGGCTGAGACCTATTGTGTGCTTTACCGAATCTCCCACAATGCTGTTTTGTTTGTTTGTTTGTTTTGAGATGGAGTCTGACTCTGTCGCCCAGGCTGGAGTGCAGTGGCACAGTCTTGGCTCGCTGCAATCTCTGTCTACCAGGTTCAAGTAATTCTCCTGCGTCAGCCTCCTGAGTAGCTGGGATTACAGTCGTGCACCACCACACCCAGCTAATTTTTGTATTTTTAGTACAGATGAGGTTTCACCATGGTGGCCAAGCTGGTCTTGAACTCCTGACCTCAAATGATCCACCCGCCTTGGCCTCCCAAAGTGCTGAGATTACAGGCGTGAGCCACCGCACCTGGCCTCCCTTAACACTCTTATAACTATTCTTAATTATGTTTACTTTTTTGGATCTGCCCCCTAGGCTCAGCTTCTTGAGGGCCCGCCCTCTTCTTTTTGAATCTCCAGGTTCTAGCACTGAGGTGCCTTATAGGAAGCTGCTCGGTAAATATTTGGGAAAAGGTAAACAAGTTATTGTAATAGATTTTCACATCAATAGCCACTTTATTTATTTGCATTTTATGATAAAACTGAGATCCTCAAAGACAACTGATTGTTTCCTCCTCCAAGTTCCTCAATGGCCTATCTGGTTACAAAGTTAGGATCAAAACAGAGATCACATGCTTTTCTCAAGAACCAGAAAAATTGGGATTCTCTTCTGTGGGAACCATTTTCTTATTTTGCTTTTTTGATGATAGGAATAGACTGCCTTTGAAATGCACAGTGAGGATGAATTTTATGTTTATTAGAATTTCCATGTACACACTGAAAATGTACAGTTTCTTGATTATACTGCTAAGTTCAGTAAAAACAAAGGTTCATTGTTTCCAAGAGTCATCCATACTTATTATGAAAATAGATTCAATCTTTTTTCTCTCTCTTTTAAGAAAAAGAATTTGGAAATGTGATCCAGCATCATGTTTTCATTTTGTTTAAAAGAAAACATATTTTTCCTCTAATAATCCTAGATGCTGTGGGAATAACACACACATGGTTGGCTTTAGATTTGGTGACTATCAAAATCTCTGAATAAATAGTTTCTTTTCTGTGTTTGTATTACTAATACAATATTTTACAGTGTTTTTAAATACTTAGAGAGACATTTGCACAAAAAGGCTTATAAGATTAGTGGATTTGAAAAATCATTTTTACTCATCATCCTAAAGAAGGAGGCAGCAGAAATGCAGGGTTGTGGACCATGATGGTCTAGATGCATGAGAGATTGTGGGAAAACTCTATTCTCTTTTATTTGATATCCTATTTTTCTTTATTCTTTTTTGGGGAAAAGGAGAAATGTCATCCTCAACAGGCATGAGAAAGGACAAAGAAAAATCATTCCTTTTCTGCCCTTTTCCTTCCCTTATTTTCTTATAGTTTTCTTGGAGATTACACAATTATGAATTATAATAAAATATTCTATGGTAAAAGCCAGTGCGAGTGCAGAGAATGTGTAAGATTTTCATTTCCAGCCAAACCCTGCTGGTCAGTTACATTTATTATTGGTTTATGTCACAGTCTGGGAACATATTAACCAACTGCCCAGATTGACACCCACTTACACCTCACATGTAGGTTTTACATATAGGGTTTACACCATCTAAAAGTAGGCAGCCGAGAGAGCTGCCTACTGACTATAACTACGCAATGACATTGAGAGCAAAGGAAGAGTTTGAGATGGTGACCCCTTGAATTACTAAGAGAATGCTCCCTGACCACACGTTTAAATAGTGAAGAAGCATAACAGCCGATTGGAACAAGGAAGCCGGGTTTGCACCTACTGTCTGGCTCCTTAAATCAGAGTAGTGAGGATGGAGGTTGTCTGGGTTTCCTATGTAGCAGATGGCAGTAAACAAGGAAAAGGTTTTCAGCAGACAGATTGGAAGGTAACTGGAGGTTGGAATTACTCTGGAGTGAGTTGGAAAGAAAAAGGAGGTTGTGCATAGTAATCTCTCTCTGGATAATTTATCTTTCCCAGTTAAGTTGTCAGACAACTATGTTGGAGAATGGCCCTGAAATGAAAGCTTTACTGGTCCCAATTCCAGCTTTCATTAAATCGGCTCCCAAAGCAAACCACGGGGCTGGCACCTGCGAGCTAGCATTCACTTTACAGCTGTGAACAGTGTCTTAACGTGCTTGACTCTAGGTAGGGAAATGTACTAAGGAGAAAGAGGAAATGTGGATTTTATTCTGACAAGGCTTTGAATTGTTTCTTGAAAAAGCTGAAATAGCCCTTGGATCTCCATTAGCCTCTTTGGTAGATTGCTGCCACTGGTAATTATATGTCAAGTAATGGCCTCCTCCCCATTCAGAGTCCCTCACTGAGCCACAGCATGATGCCACTGAGAATTAAAAACAGGCCTTCCTCCCCACTGGCCTGTTGTATTTGCTTCCTCTGGCTGGAGGGCACTATTGGCTTCCTACTCTATGGCTGTCATCCATCTCCCAGGAGCCGATGATCCTTTATTTCAGCAGCCCAAAATCTGGACAGGAGATTCCATTGATGCCGTTGTGAAAGGTGGCCAGTACTTTTGGAGCAAAGGCTGACTGAGTTCAAAGAAACCTTGAAGTTCTTTCCCCCAGATGTTGATCAAAAGCAGGGTATTTGGTGGCCCTCAGTTTGGATCTGTAGTTACTCTGTCATATTTCCTTTCTGTCCTCACAGTAGCCACTGTTCTTTGGTCATGGTTCTAGGAGATTGTCCTTCACTCAGGCCTGTGTACCTCATTCTTTGAGAGGACAGAAGGGAAGACTGGTAGGAGGAAAGGTGGGGAAAAAAATCTCATCATTTCTAGAAAACATATTATTTGCCTCTAAATCACCATGATGTCTTTGGAGTTCAGTTAGCTCCTTGCCCCTCTGTGCCTTTCAAGATTTGGAGACATTTGATGATTCCATAGCGAAGCTCTCCCAGGCTGCCAGACTCTTTAGTGAGGAGACACAGTTGGTAAATACCTGTAGACACAGTTGGTAAAACCTGTAGCAGAGATCCTAAACTAGGTGCCTGTGGGCCAGATTGAACCTGCTCTTTTTAAATTGCCAATATTTAAGGATTTCCTATAAAAATCTGGATTTCTGCCTTCTCTTTAAGAATTGGAAACTTTGGTATTACTGGGCCTGAATTTCTAAATGGCAGAATAATGGCCATACCTTGAGTCGGGGTATGTAGTCTCTCAACCACATTATTCACCTGCATGACTGGCTGGTCCCTGTAGATTTTTAGGTGAAAAAATCTAGACCCCAGAGCCATGCTGGAAACCTCTCTGTATCCAGTGGAAGATTTTGCAGGATCCTCCCCCTTGATGAAGTGACAGCAACTGGCAACTCCATTGGTACCTCCAGGAATCTACAGCATGGACATAGTCATAACTGATGAGTGTATGGAAACTGGACTTTTCTTTGGGATGTTCAGTGCTTTCGTGTTACTTAGCTCTCTACACTGGGCAGAGCCTTGGCATGAGATCTGTGATGCCTACAGAACACAAGCAAAAGTAGAATAAATAGAAATTATGACCAAGAGGCAGGAAGAGAAGTCAGATTTTTAAAATACCATAATAATTGCAAATTTTAAATTTAAACAAAAATATTTTGTCTTAACTCTCTCTGTCTCCATTAACTTCTTGGACCATTACTACCAGGTTCTGGGCATTCAGTGATTTGGAAAAAAGTGGTATTGTCTTCTGTCAACAATATGAATATAATCCCCAAGATGATCTACTCATAATTCTCTGTTTAAAATCTGAAAGAATCATAAAAACTGTTATTTTGAGGTTTAGAGGAAGTAAGGGGGATTCATATGGAGAATAAGACAAGAAAAAACAGAGGATAAAATAAGTAGACATAATCTGAAGAGCTGCCATTTACAATCTAGATTTAGGAGCTTTCTGGCATAATTGACCAAATATAATACATACTGAGAAAGGGACAAGGTAAGAATCATGCATCTATTAATTGTACTTATACCTCACCCTTTTCCAAAAAGGATTGAAGGAAATTATGTTGATTACGAAAATGTCAATCTCTTAATAAAATGCAATTTCAGGATGTTGAAACAGAAGGAAAATTTTGTTGTTCTTAATTCACATTTAACAAATCATGTTTAATGCTGACAACTGCCTCTCTGATCTTGACTTTGTTCAGGTTCATTTCTCAGGATGTGGAGATTAATGTGTCAGAACTCATAGCACTGAAGTTTGCAGGCTTATTTGTCTATACTTCTTGTCTATTAGATCTTATTTTTTACTTTAAGAACAGAGTTCTCTTTAATTGTACTACAACCTTACAAATAAGTATACACAGAAGACTTTCATGTGAATTATCTATTGTTTTACTTTTTATTTTGAAATAATTTCAAACATTACAGAAAAGTTGCAAGAATAACACAAAGGTCTCTCATATACCAACATTTTGTTATATTTGCTCTATCATTCTCTCTATATGAGTGTTTTTATACATATTATTTTTTAATTATTTGAGATAGTTTGCAAACCTCATGCCTCTACTAAAAATACTTCAGTGTATTTTTCCTAGGTATAAGAATATTTTCTTTTACATATCTGTAGTTCAGTTATCATATTCGGGAAGTTTAAACTGATGCAATGTATTTTTTAGAGACAGGATCTAATTCTGTTGCCCAGGCTAGAGTACAGTGACATGATCATAGCTCACTGCAGCCTTGAACTCTGGGGCTCAAGGGATCCTCCTGCCTTAGCCTCCCAAGTAACTGTGACTACAAGCATGCACCACCAAGCCTGGCTAATTTAAAGAAAACTTGTGGAGGTGGGGTTCTCAATATGTGCTCAGGCTGGTCTCAAACTTCTGGCCTCAAATGATCCTCCCGCCTCAACCTCCCAAAATGTTAGGATTACAGGGATGAGCCACAATGCCCAGATCTGATACAATACTTTCATCTACAATCTACATGTCATCATTTTATGAATTGTTGTAATGTCATTTATAGAATTTTCTTTTTAAAACAAGATCCAGTCTAAAATCATTTATGGCATTAAGTCATTCTGTCTCTTTAGTCTCCTTTAATCTGAATTAATATTTAATTTCAGCCTTTCTCTTTGATACTATCGATCTTAAAAAAATACAGGCCTGTCATTTATAAAATATTCCACTGCTTCTCCAATGTTTCCTCATGATTAGCTTTTGTTTATCCATTTGGAATACTGTATAAGTCACGTGTCTTTGGTATCACATCTGAAGGTTGACGTCTGTTTGCCCCTTTCTAGTGATGTTAATTTTGATCACTTGGTTAATGTATTTCCAACTTCTCTAGTGTATAGTAGTATTTTCCTTTTGAGATTAATAAGTAATTTTTCCCATTAGACTTTTAGTTCTTAGTTAGCAGGAAGCATTCTGTGATCCTAGTTCATGTCCAGTGCCAAGCGTGGGCCCTGGTAATGGGGGGTGATGAATATTTGTTTAATAAAATGGATCTGTTTATGTATTCTACTTTAATAGTTCTGAGAGATTTTTATTGAGAAAGATGAGGTAATGTTGGTAGAGGAAAGATTAAAGAAAAACAGTAGGGTAGAGCTCTTTTCAAAATGTTTGAGGAACCTGGGATAAGCTTGAGGACCCTGGGGGCCATGGCCACTGTGAACCAATTTCACAGAGCTCCACACCAAATGGAACTGTGGTCTTGGTTCTTGGAGCAGCTGCAGTCCCCAGGAAATGTGCCCTATTCTAACTCTTCTCTAAGGAGGAAGGAACATATTAGGAGGGCAAGACCTACCCACAGATTAAGGTAAAATCTACATGATTTGTTGCAAGTATTATGTATCGTTTGAAAATTACTTCAGTTTCCATTATTGTAAAATACTCTCATATTTTAAAATATGATATTTAATCAAGTCTGATATACCATGATTTTATGTATTGTAGAAAAAGAAAGGAAAGCCGCAAGTTAAACTATGGCATAATTATTTCTTATCACTTAGAATTTTTATCTTATGCTTATCAAAATATCTCTTTTAGAGTTGTTGAGACATAGATGTTTATCTCTTGTGAACACATACAATAATAAAAGAAATAAAGGGATTGAGATTTGCCGAAAACTTCACAGGCAGAGTCCAACTCTCCAGAATCACCTTTTTCCCAAGAGTCATAGAGGTCTGTGCTTTGCACATGGTGTTATTCCCTGTGCCTTCATGAGCTTGGGGTTGCAGCATTGCATTGTGCTCTGCTTTTGTTTCTAGGATTTTCTTCTAAGCCACTGACACCCATACTGCACATTTTAATGCTGCCTCTGCTTTGATCTTACCAGGATGTGTTAGCAACCATGGCTAACACTGCTTCCTCAAATGGTCCCTAAGAGCTTTTTGACTGAAATCTTGAGGGATAGTAGTTGTTCAATGGTAAAACTAGAATGAACAACCAAGTTCACTCATCACAGATAACTAAGTGGCATCTACTGACTGGTCTAAAGTGATTGGCAGATGCCAGGTATTGCAAAGTGCCAGTGAATTCAGAGATGTTAAGATAGAGGAGGGAAAATACGTTATTAGAATCAGTGAGGTACAACTTGTATATGGGTTGTTTAAAAGTAATTAGCAATGTTAAAACAATGATATTATGCAGGGTTGGTGAAGATGTGGAATCAGGCCTGGGTATTCCTAGTACTATAAGTTATTACTTTTCTGAAGGGTAGTTTAATATAAATAAATAGCCTCAGTTATGTTAGTATCCTTTGCCCTCATAATCTTTTTATTATTATTATTATTATTATTTTATTTTTATTGTTTTTTGAGATGGAGTTTCGCTCTTGTTGCCCAGGCTGGAGTGCAATGGCATGATCTCGGCTCACCATAACCTCTGCCTCCCAGGTTCAAGCGATTCTCCTGCCTCAGACTCCCAAGTAGCTGGGATTACAGGCATGCACCACCACGCCCAGCTAATTTTGTATTTTTAGTAGAGACGAGGCTTCTCCGTGTTGATCAGGCTTGTCTTCAACTCCCGACCTCAGGTGATCCGCCCACCTCGGCCTCCCAAAGAGCTGGGATTACAGGCCTGAGCCACCGTGCCCGGCCCATACTCTAATTTTTTTAGCTCTAGTCTAAGAAAATAACCAGAGTTGCAGTTAAAGATTTATGAACCGAATATTCACCATGCATTATTTATAAAAATGAAAAATTGGGAACAAGTTAAATGTTCAACATATGGGAGTGGAATGAAAGAATGTTTTCAAGCTTTCTTGAAATTATATGAACAAGTGCTCCCTAGAGCATAGAAAACTGTACATATAGTATGCTCCCAATTTTGTTTAACCACATACTAGAAGGGAGAGAGAAATATAGCAGGATGGGGAAAGAAACTGGTATGAAGATGGTTTCTTTCCAATAACTCTCCTCCAACAGCAGGGGAAGAGCTTTTTTCTTCCTTAGATACCTAAAACCCTTCCCAAGTTTCTATGATAGCAAACAGATTAAAATTTGCCACCGGGTCCTGTTGACTTTCTCTGACATTCTCATCCATCCAATAACTTGCACTTTCTGTCTTGTGTTGGGGTTCAGGCACCACTGGCCTCATCTGTGAACTCATGAGACAGGCCCAGTGGAGGAGAGGTCTCATGATTCGCACCAGGGCTGAGGTGTCTCCTGGGGAATAAGTCGAGTTCTATCAGCACTCAGGGGCCAGCTCTGCAGAGATATGACTGGTGACTTGGTGGAGTGAGGACGGAGAGGCAGAGTGTGGATGGGCTGTGCAGAGTGCTGAGAAAGCTTGCAGGAGAAAAGTCTTCCTGTCAAAGAGTTCCAGGCAGGAAGGGCATAGGTGGGAATTCTGAGTATAACCAGGTAGCTCTTTTCAAATTGATACCTAGGCTAGATCCCACACAGTTGTCTGGGCCTTAGAGACCACATTCTGTGACACACTGAAGCCTTTGCTCCACTAACCAGAAATATCCCCACTCCCCATCCTTCTGCCACTAGCAAAGAAGTACTATGGCAAGAGAGCAACTTAGCAACTAGGAGAGATTAAGACAACCAGTTCACATGAAGTGACGGGGTCAGGGAGCCTCTGCCAGGACTAGAGGTCCTGTGTGAGAAGGTGAAGGAGAAAGCCAAGCTTTCTGAGGAGCTGACACTTTTTAACAGGTCTGCATCCATAGGCCCAGGGAGCCTGGAGAAGTTTGGGCCTTCCTTGCCAGTCATTCTTTCCACAGATGTTGACTGAGCCCCGGCTCAGTAGCGTGCTCTGGGTCCTTGTCCTGGTTCCAGGCAGGCTGAGGCAAAGAGGGCTGTGGATCACTTGCGGGAGCCCTCAGCCAGCATTCCATCATGCCTCTGTTTTCAGGGGCCTCCTGGCCCCAGTTTCTATTCCTTGTTAAAAGAAATGACAGCTTTCTTTGAGTATAAAACATTAATTATTCCCAATGGTTTTCACAAACTTCATGATATGAGGAAGGTTTTGATGGCCTTCAGAATCAACTCCATGACAAACCACCGATCCCTCGAGGGAAGGATCTCTCTGTGACTCCCACGTCCCCCTGCTCTGTGACTCTCTGTGACTCCCTGTGCTCTCTGTGACTCCCATCTCCCCCTCCTCTTGTCCTGTGCAGTGGCTCCCTGTGGCTCTGTAGTGAGACTGTTTTGCAGTACAGCAGACTAGAATAATTTTTCTACAAAATTACCAGAACATTAATGTTCTCTATGGTGTCTACCAAGGGCCATTGTCCCTCAGGATGTTTGTAAATCATCTACAGTGCCAGTTTAGAGATTATGGAAATAGAAAATTCTGTATCATGTATACTATATAGTTGCTGAGTGATTTTTATAGAGAAGTAGTTGCCTCTGGTTACATCTCCTCCTAAAAGGGTTGTTTAAAATTAAATGAAATAGAGAAACTTAAAAATACCTAAAAATGTTGTAGAACACAGTTAAAGATGTAGATCACTCTGCTTTGTTATTCTTTGCATATTTCTGATATTATTTGGAATAAATCCTTTGTGTTACTGTTTACCTCCTACTTTTTCTATTAACTTCAAAGTTTTGCAAAGTGGGTAGTTATGGGTTTTTTTCCTATTATTACCAGACTTCAGGACACCTCTATGAATTCCAAAGTTGTGCTGCTTTCTTGCACCTTGCCATGGTTAGGGAAGAGTGACAACCTTTTACATCTTAGGTTCTCATTTAGCCTCCCAAAGCCTTCTTTGGATAAACTAGACATGGATTTTAAGACCGTAGCTAGCTTACTATTTGGAAGATGTGAAGTGAAGGTTATATTCAACCTGCACCTTAATCTATGATTAAAAAAATAATGCCGTTTTAGATCCTGCATGGTGGTGGTTTTCTTTTTCAATTAATAATTTGTTGTGAAAAAAATACTGATAAGGTTTGTATCATGTTGACATACTATAGTTGTGGGAGTATGATATCTGATTTTAAAAACTAAAAAGCCTGGAATATCCTCTTCGTCTTCTTTGGACTTTTTCACATGTGCTCAGTGGGGATTTGGGCTTTCAGAGTCGTGTTACTAGTGGAAGCCGGCAGACCTGCTTGTCTCTGGCATCATAGTTTCCTAGCAAATGTCCTTATTTTATATAGACTTGGAAAATGTAATAATGTATGTACATGGTAATAGAAAAATTGAAATGGTATGAAAAAGCAAACAGTGAAGAATAACTCTTTAAAAACATACTATCTGTGCAAGAAGCCACCTCAAACTTAGTATCAAAAAAGCACAACTGTTTTACCACAATCATCAATTCTGTGATTTGGAAATTCATAAAGGGCACAGCAGGGGTGACTTTTCCCTGGAACCTTATAGGTTCCATGATATCTGCAACCTTGGCTCAAAAGACTGGAAGGCTGGGAGGCTGCAGCCATCTGAAGGCTCATCACTCCCATGACTGGTCCCTGGACTGGACGGATTTGAAGACAAGGACTATTGAGCAGAGCATCTATCGGTAGTAGATCATCTACTCGGTAGTAGAGCACATGGTCTCTCCATGTGTTTGGCTTCCTCACAGCATGGCAGCCTCTTACACAGTGACTTTGGACTCCAGTCATGAGTCTTTTTGGCCAACACAGAGAAAGCTGCCTTGCCTTTTCTGACTTAGCCTTGGAAATCAGACAGTGTCACTTCTGCTTCCCAGATTTAAGAGGAGGGGACCTAATCCCTATCTTTTGATAGGAGGAATGTCAAAGTCACATCATGAGATGAGAGATATTGTTGCAGTTGTATTTGGAAAGTTCAATATATGATCTTTCCCCCTGAAATGTGGAGATTATTCCATATAGATCTCTGAGACTCTTTATGGCTACATAATAATGTATACATCATTTTCACAACCAGTCACCTACTGTTGAATATTTAGTTTGTTTCCATTCTTTTGATAGCACAGTATTTTGATATTTTTATTATATCTTTATTTAGTTTGTTTCCATTCTTTTGATATCACAGTCTTTTGATATTTTTATTATATATTTTAATGCTATTCCAGTATATTTATAGGATATAATCTTATAAGTGGTATTGCTGGGTTAAAAAAATGTGAATTTTAAATTCTGGTAGATATTAAGCCCAGTCTTTTGCATCAAGATTATTTTGGCTGAGAGTGATGAAAAATCCAAAATAACAATGGCATCAAGATAGAAAGACAGAAAGCATGGAATAAGAATCCAGACCTAAGTCCTTTTTTCACTGTACCAAACTAGAATAGGACTAAGTTATAAACTCAGCATTTATCAGCCAAAATATTACTGCTTATCTCTGAGGTCCCAATAAGGTTATTTGGTCCTATTTTATTTTTGTGGTATCTGAATTGTGTATACAAAGATTAACTTTCTCTATAATAATTATTCTTTAAGTGGAAAATTCTCTTCCTGTCGCTACAAAGCAGCAGCCTGCCTAGGGAAAGCTATTTTTTCATCTTTGTTTCAATGGCTTAGTAATCCCCTTTGCTGTTTCTTCTTTCAGATCTTCTAGCCTCCTACTCCTCACACAGTAAATCCTTTCATAAAGAACGGCTGAGTCATGAAAGGGAATGCAGATGGCCATGAGTTTATTTCCTGGCATGGAGTCTAGCCCAGGTTTCTTCTCCCAGCCAGGGGCAGCTGTCACCTGACAGCAGTAGTCCTCTCCAGGCCAAGTGGACTTCGTTTATTGTTGGGCCCAGGCCCTCAAATCCTGCTGGTGATAGAAGCACAGCCTGTGGAACAGGCTAGATAGGAGCCCAGGATGGATGTACAGTGAGCACTGGGCTGGCTCCCAACCCAAACTTCCACTAGTCTAGTGTTTGCTTTCAGTAGCAGCAAAATGGAAAAATCATAATCTTCAAAATGGTGTGAGGAAGATAAAATAGGAGCAAGGGGTGGCATAGCTAGAGGGTTTAAACTTTGTCATTCAAAGGCTGTACTTGGAAGAACCTTATAAAGCAATGAAAATTTCTGCCAGAGAAGCATTAGGCCCAGACTTTTAGACCTGTGGGATATTCCCAACTACACCTAAGGATTTGGCCTTGCAACTTTACCTGCAGATTATAATGACTATGAGATTCAGGGAGTAAGAAGCAGGAAGCAGGGCATTTCATGGGATGTTATATTTCTATGTGATTTCAACTGACTTTCCTAATAATCAAGAGACCCAGAATAATAGTTCAATAAATATGTAAATTAACTTGGTGTGACACGAATGTGCTGGGGAAAATTTGATTATCTGCATATATGAAAATGTGAAATTGGGATATATTAGTCATCTCTAGAAATGAAAGAAAATGATGCTTTAAGTACATCATAAGAACAAAGTAACAAACTGGAAAATAGAGTTAAAAAATTATACTGCATGCAGTATATAAAGTCAAAAAGATGGAAACTATGAAAGAGAGGTTTAGACATATGGAAGAAAACATGAGAAGCTTTAATATATGCTTGTTGGAATTCCAGAAGTATATTTTTAAAAGATTGAGGGATAGACAGTACTTGGACATAATATGGGTAAGAATTTTCCAAAATCTATAAAAGATACCAATCTTCAGATCCAGATTCCAATGAATCTCAAGCAGAATAAATAAAAAGAAAGCCACAACTTGATGCATCATAGTTAAGCTGAAAAATATTTATTTTATTTTTTTTAAAAAAGTAGAAGACCTTTAAAACAGCAGAGAGAAAGGATAGATTACCAAAAAAGAACAACATAGTACAGGAGACTTTTCAAGAGCAAATATCAAAGCCAGAATAACATCTTTAAAGGACTGAAATAGGCCTGGCGTGGTGGCTCACGCCTGTAATCCCAGCACTTCGGGAGGCCGAGGCAGACGGATCACGAGGTCAGGAGACCGAGAACATCCTGGCTAACACAGTGAAACCCCGTCTCTACTAAAAAGAAATACAAAAAATTAGCCAGGCGTGGTGGCGGGCGCCTGTAGTCCCAGATACTCGGGAGGCTGAGGCAGGAGAATGGCGTGAACCCGGGAGGCAGAGCTTGCAGTGAGCCGAGATCGCTCCACTGCACTCCAGCCTGGGCGACAGAGCGAGACTCAGTCTCAAAAAAAAAAAAAAAAAAAAAATGGGGGGCTGAAATACACTGTCCTCTTAGAATTGTACACCTAGCAACACTTCCTTTCAATAAGGAGAGTCAATTGGAGACATTTTCAGATAAACAAAAATTGAGATAATTTACTAGTAGGTAAAGAATCACCTAAATCCATGTACTTCAGGGAAAAGGTAAATAATAAAGACTTAAGATGCAGAAATCTATGATGAACAAAGAAAATGTTAAACACGTGGGTGGATCTTAAATTAATTGACTTTATAAAATGAGAACAATACTGTGCAATTTAAGGGATTACAAAATCAAGATAAAACTAAAATATGACGTAACAATATTTCATTTGGGATGGGGGTGACTATAGTTAAATCATTCTAAGTTCCTTGTATTGATTTGGAGAGGGTAACATTTTTATTAAATTTAAACTTTGTCAAGTTAGATATACACATCTTATTTTTATGATAGCCGTTAACTACTGAGGGAGAAACATAAAATGAGAGGAAAACATCTCAATCAATCAATCAATAAGTTAAGAAAAGAAAAATTGAAAAAAAGTACCACCACTGCAGAACATATTTTCTTCTCTGACACACATGGACCTTTTACAAAAAATAGACACATAGAGGCCAAAAAACGAGACTGAAAAGTTGAAAGGAATTGGCATCATATCACATTCTCAGAATATATCACAACCAGACGGAAACCAAAAGCAAAATAACTCAAAAATTGCCATGATTTGGAAAATAAAAGTCACAATTATAAATAAGTCAAGGATCAAGGAAGAAATAATAATGGAAATTTAGAAGGCCTTGACTTTTATTTTACTAAATAAGCTAAGAGGTGAACTTAAGACATTTGCGGGTAAAAAAACAGAATAAACCCAAGGAGACAAGGAAGAAAATAATGCATATAAAGACAGAAATTAATGAAATAGAAACTGAAGATATCAAAGAGGACTAATAATCCAATATATGGTTCTATGAAAAGAACAATAAAATAAAATCCTGGTAAGACTGGTCATACAAACAGTATAAAGGATGAAAAGGAGAATACATAAATAATGATGTAACTAATATTGAGAATATAAGAATGCTATAAATACATTTATACTAATAAATTTGAGAAATTAGGTAAAATATTTAAAATTCTGAGAGAAATACATATAACAGTCTGACTCATGAAGAAAGAAATCCTGCACGTTTTTATAAACATTGAAGAAATTGAGTCAGTAGTTTAAAATCTTCCCCCAAAGAAACCATTAGGCCCAGAAGATTTTATAGGCTTTATATATTATTTCATGAAAAGATCATTCCAACATTATATATACTCATTGAGTGATTAGAAAAGCAGGGAATACTTTTTCCAATTTATTTCGTGAGGTTAACATAACGTAATACTAAAATCATATGAGGACCGTATAATAAAAGAAAATACTACCTAATTTTACCCATATACATAAATGTAAAAATCCTAAGCAAAGTACTAATAAACCAAATCCGACAACATAGCAAAAAGATACTGCATTGAGTTGAGTTTACACCAGGAATGGAAAGTTAGCTCAACATTAGAGAATCTACAGATGCATTTTATCATATCGACAAATTAACGGGAAAAAGCCATATGTTCATCTCAATAGATGCAAAAAGTGTTTTATTTCAGCAATCATTCGAAACAAAACTCTCACCAAGAAAATTTTCTCAACCCAATAAATGCTACCCACAAAACAAAACAATAAGAAAAGCCAAACACCAAAGCAGACTGTAACAAATATCATATTTGATGGTGAAATGCTATAAATAAAGGAAGTAAAAGGTTAAAAATTAGAAAGGAAGAAGTAAAGCAATCATTATGTATGTATGTAGATATGATTATCTACAGAGAAAATGCAATAGAATTTGCAGATAAATTATACAAATTGGTAGAAAAATATAGCAGAATTCACATATGAAAGTCAACTGCATTTCTGTTAGATACCAACTGAGTATCTAACAGATACTCATTTATTTAAAAATATTATTTATAGTAGAAACCAAAAATGTAAGGTACCTAAGAATAAATCTAACAAAAATAATATCTTTATGAAAAAATTCTGAAACTTTATTAAAAACATTAAGGAAGGCCAAAATAAATGTGGAGACATAGATGTACATGGAAAGGAAAAATTGATAAAGATAATGATTCTCTCCAGACGATTAATTTAATGCAATTCTAATAAAAATCCCAAGAGGATTGTTCATGCACTCTGAGATGCTGATTATAAGATTTATTTGAAAGAACAAAGGACCAAGAATACTCAAGTCATTCAAAAAGCAAAACAATAAGATGAGGGGACTTTCTATCAAAAGACATCCTAAAAATAGTGGACAAACAACCCATAAAGTGGGAAATCATTTTTGCAACCAACAGAGGAATAGTATTGAGAATCAACCAACCGACAGAGAAATAATGTAGAGAATCAACGAAGAACTCATGAATAAAAGAGAAAAATCAAAGAACCTAACAGAAAAATGGGCAAAAATACAAACAGGTTTCACAAAAGAGGAAGCACATGAATGACCATAAATATATGAAACATTCCACCACCTGATAAGTAATAAGGAGATGCAGATAAATACCACAATAATGTATCGTTTCTCAGCAGCCAGGTTGGCAAAAATTTTAAAATCTGACAACATTCTAAGCATTGCTGGGAATATATATGCAATAGACACTTGCATATACTGCTCCTGGGACTATCAATTGGTGCAACTACTTTGAAGACAATTTGGCATTCCCTAGTAAAGTTGAACATATTCAGACCTATGACAGATCCAGGAATGCCACTCCTAAATGCACTATTGTTCATATACAGCAGGGGATACGTGCAACAAAGGTCATAGCAGCATTGTTTGTAATTGCAAAAATCTGGAAATATGCTAAATGTCCACTGACAGTCAAATAGATCACTAAATTATAGTATAATAATACAGTGAGGTATTACAGCATTGGCAGTGAATTTATCAACTACAGATAAAAGTATCAACATGTGTAAGTTTTAAGTCAGTGTTAAGCCTACAGAAAACACATGTAACATGAATCTATTTATATAAAGTTCAAAAACAGCCTAAAGTATAGTTTGTTTGGGGTTATATACATATGTAGTGAAACTATAAAGCAAGCTTGTCCAACCCACGGCCCATGGGCCACATGCAGCCCAGGACGGTTTTGAATGCAGCCCAACACAAATTTGTAAACTTTCTTGAAACATTATGAGGTTGTTTTTGCAATTTTTTTATAGCTCATCAGCTATCGTTAGTGTTAATGTATTTTATGTGTAGCCCAAGACAATTCTTCTTCTTCCAGTGTGGCCCAGGGAAGCCAAGAGATTGGACACCTCTGCTATAAAAAATACTAAGGGAATTAATAACCAAAAATTCAGACTAGAGATTATTGGCCGAGAAGGAAGAGGAGTAACTAGGGAAGGCACAAAGCGGACTTCAAAGAAATCTACTTCTTAAGCTAGGTGGTATGTACAAGGGTTCATTTATCATTCTCTTAAACGTCTATATAATCTTACATGGTAAAATTTATAGTAAGACATATAACAATTTATAATGTCTTACTATACAGAATACTGTGGGGGGAATCTTTTTTATTTTATGTTTATCTTCACAACAACTCCGTTAAGCAAAATGTGGTTTTTTTCTACAGAAAATGAACTTGAGAAGTAAATTGATTTACTTGAAATTCCATGCTAGGTTGATGGTGGGCTTGTGGCCAGACCTTAAGCCTCTTGTTCTATAGAGCTTTTTACACTGCCTGCCCCTGATCCACGCCATGAATTTGTTTATTCATTTATTCATTTGTCCATTCACTCATTCACCTCATGTGTATTGACCCCCTTCCTGACTCAGGCACTATACCATCGAAATTCTTTCGATAAGCTCAAAAATGTAAAAAAGCCTAAGTAGTTAATATTTTGATTGCCTGAGTGGCAGTGCCCTCTGGGTGCATATTCACCCCATTTATAATAGGTCATTTCCTCAACCCATGTAGTATTTACTTTCTTAGAGTCTTGGACACCTGCTGTATGTCCAGACCTTCAGTTTCTGTCAGTAGGTATTTCTCACTTGAGAGAGAACTGCAGGCTTCTCCAGTTAGCACCCTTGCCCTGTGTTTAGAGAAGGCCACTGCACTGAGGTTTTAAGGCAGATAAGCAGTGTCAGCTGACAGGTCCTCACCTCTAGGCAGGCCTTTGTTCACGAGGTGGGGAACTTAACAGAGCCTGCAGGAATGTCAAAACATTTACTTTTGTCTGAGGATAGATAACTTGGCAGAAAATACCCCTTTTCAGAGCTCCAGAGTCCAAAAAATGTTTTGAGCTAGGTCTCCTTATTGCATCTTCATGGAGTTTTCTGTCCATTTTGTCTTATCAGTCCTGAGTTTTAGATGTCTTTGTTCAGCACTGAAGCCCAATCACTGTCTACACCTTTAAATCGCCTTGTCTTTAGATGGGAATTCCAGCTTCTAAGGATTCTAAACATTATCACTTCAGCTTTCTGCCTTCTCTTTTTCATATAGATTTTCTTCTGTTAGCCTGAAGGGATCACAGGGTGATTTCCCTGAGGGTTTATCAGAGGTGCAGGGAAGGGGTGGGAGAAGCCTGTGCGCCTCCTCCCCAGCATGCGGGCCAGCTGTGGTCCAGTGCAGAGCTGTTTATTTCCTAACATTTATGGCCTGTCTTTCATGGGCCTGGCAGCGTACAAGGCATTGGAGGTCAAACCAGTTGGGACAAGACTAGAAAAGAATACTATAAGATTTAAAATACAAGAAACACAAGATTCGTTTACTTAGATAATTCAGGTAAAAGAGTTTAAAAGAACAGAGCTCAATAAGATTGAAAAGTTAAAAACACGTATTACAGTTGAGATTGAATATAAGGACAATAAATAAGGAGTAAAAAGGAGTAAAAATATAATAATAAAATGGGGTATACGTAATTTTTAAAGTAAAATGTAAGATTCAAAAGGAGAATAGGATAAGATGACAAATTAGAATACCCCATAAAAGTGCAATTAAAGGGATAAAGAAAGACAATAAACTTACATGTATTAAGGTAATTGGAATATTTTAAGTAAATTGGGATATTAAAGGGAAAAAAATGTGAAGAAAAACCAAAGGTTTCCTTAGAAAAACAAATAGTCAAACCAAAAAAAGAAAAAAAAAATACACACCCGCTGGAAGCAAACATACAAGGTAGTATACAAGAAGCCCTTGAGCGCTTGCTAGCCTGACGTGGCTCTGGCTTCCGGAGGCTGCGCCTCCACTGGCAGAATGTCCTGCTTGAAGAACTCTCTGGAAGCTGCCTAGGGATTTCTCCTGTTCCTCTCCCTCCAGCCACTGCTCACTCAAGAGGATGTTTATTTTACTGAGTTTGACACGTTTGTTGTATTCCACTTTGCTAAGGTTTTAAGATTTTTGTTCATCTATGTTCAGACATGACTATATGTGTTTTGAACTGTTCATTATAGGTTTGGAGTTCAAAAATCACTTTTGCCAGTGGTTAGATTTTTTAAAAATGTTTGGTTGTTTGGGAGATTTTTTTCTCTCAATCAGGGCCAAATGCCTTTTATTGGATTATAGCACTTATTTCTTTCACTGATGAAGTACTTACATTTGCAATTTTCTTGCTACAAGTTTGGAAATTTTATGTATTCAGAAATGACTATTGATATGTATTCATGTTATTGTTTTTCTTCTCTTTGTTTTTTTTCTAATGTTTATTCTTTTCATAGGTGATTTCTTAGTCTTTACAACAATGCAAATGTGGAAACTAAGGCTTATAGAGATGTTAAGTAATTTAGCCAGGATTAAATAGCTGAAGGGTTTCAAAAGTCACTTCACCATACCGCCTTCTGGATAAAATCTAATTTATCTATAGGCAGTATAGTCAAATACATTTGGCTTTATTTTCTATTTTTAAAAAATCTGACTAGATATAGGATCCTTGATTTTATGCCAGGTATTTTGTTATTACTCCCCATAAGACCTTACCAAAAAGAAATCTCTTCATTCCTTGCTTTTGAAAATTCACCTTTAATTTGCAGGTTAAGGCCAGGCGCAGTGGCTCACACCTGTAATCCAGCACTTTGGGAGGCCAAGGCGGGCGGATTACCTGAGGTCAGGAGTTTGAGACCAGCCTGGCCAACGTGGTGAAACCCCGTCTCTACTAAAAATACAAAAATTGGCCGGGCATGGTGGCACGCCCCAGTAATCCGAGCTATTCGGGAGGCTGAGGCAGGAGAATCGCTTGAACCTGGAAGGCGGAGGTTGCAGTGAGCTGAGATCACACCACTGCACTCCAGCCTGGGTGACAGAGCAAGACTCTGTCTCAAATAATAATAATAATTTGCAGGGTTAATTAGGCTTGAATCGTGGATCCATTACTTACTAGCTTTGTAACTATTTTCTCATCCATAAGATACGGAGAATACCTACTTCCTAGGATGTTGTAAGAATTAAAGGAGAGGCCAGGTGCGGTGGCTCATGCCTGTAATCCCAGCACTTTGGGAGGCCGAGGTGGGTGGATCACGAGGTCAGGAGATCAAGACCATTCTGGCTCACACGGTGAAACCCTGTCTCTACCAAAAATACAAAAAATTAGTAGAGTGTGGTGGCGGGTGCCTGTAGTCCCAGCTACTTGGGAGGCTGAGGCAGGAGAATGGTGTGAACCCGGGAGCTGGAGTTTGCAGTGAGCCGAGATCACACCACTGCACTCCAGCCTGGGTGACAGAGCAAGACTCTGTCTCAAAAAAAAAAAAAAAAAAAAAAAAAAAAAAGAATTACAAGAGAAAATGAGTGTGACTTATTTTACTGAATCCTTGTCTTGAGTGCTACCTTGTACCAAAAGGCTTCTCTTCTGTCTTCATACACATAACAGTCCTGATGAAAGTTTTGGTTCCTTTTGGATCCTCTGCTGAAGAAACTTGGGTCAGTGAGTTCAAATCTAGCTCTGGTAATGCCTAATTCCCTCTCTAAACATCAGGATGTGGGAATGAAAATAAGAATTTTAACAGCGACATGTTCTGAAATAATTTACAGAGGCAATTGAAAAATTAGGAAATTCTGGGGACATGAACTTTGAATGTTGGACATTGTTGGCTTCCTTCACATGGCACCTCCAAAAGAACATGGTGGCAGCTAGAGACTAAAGTATGCCTTAGACATGGCCTGACCTGGGGCTGGGGAAGGAAGGGTGTTCAGAGCTGCCCTTTGGTCTACTTGTTCCTCAGGGAGTCATTGGGTCCTTTTTTGGGTCTGAAAGGGAGGTTGCAGCCTTCTCCCTGCATTGGCTGGAGCTGGACTCTGTTTATAATGGTGCATACCAAATCCTCTTGCTGGATTTCTAATTTGGCTTAAAAGACACACCCCAATGAAAGCCAGAAAGAATTACTCACCTGTTGCCATATTTACCATCTACCACAATTATATTTGCTTGAACCTCTGTCCTGGCCAGATATTTCCTGGGTGCTGCCTTCAAAGCAACTGATTGCATTCCCCACTTCCTCTTAGATAAGTTACTGGGCTCCCCTGGAGCCTTCAGCAGCTTAATACCAAACAGCATCTGATTCCTTCCTGTTTCCAGAGCCCACATGAAAGTCAAACTTTCCAGATATGGATTATGAAAGAGAGAGGAAGTACCCCAAAAGTCATTTTGTCTTCTTTATCTGATTGTGTATTTCATTTTTACTGGTGAAAAATACATGTTTTAAATATTTAGAGTTTTCTTGTAAAAAGTGAGGATGGCATTTTTGCATCTAGTTATTCATTTAGCAACCCTTTACCCAGTGCTGATGCCAGGCACTGTCCTGGGCTTGAGGATACAGTGATGAGCAAAGACAGACATATCCCTGCCCTCATGGAGCTTATAAACCATTAGAGGAGAAATACATTATTGAGTACCATAGAAATAAATGTAGAATTACAACTCTGATAAGTACTAGAAAGAAGAGATACATGATCCCAAAAACCATATAACTGGGGGATTTTACCCATTTGGGGAGGTTGGGGAAGGCTTGAGCACCTTGGAAGTCTAGAGCCCAGTATCCGTGTCCTACCTTCCAAAGTCACCAGATGAAATCTGGAGCAAGCTTTTAAAAAGCTAGTGCATCAGGCATCCTTTCAACTGATAACTCTATTCACAGCAAGAGCAAAGATTCTTAAACCTATCTGTCAGAGACCAGATAAACAACTTGACTGAAAGTTTTGAGCAATATTAAAGAGGACAGTCAATCAATCATCATTAGGTGCCATTCATTCTTTAAGACATCATTGAAAATTATGAGTGCTTCATTGACTATATTTCTGAGGCATGAAGATGGCTCATGACCCATGGGGACTCTAAGCTGACTTAAATGATCTGTGGTCGCAGCAGTTTTACTGATAACGTGAAGCCTACTGATATACCTAGCACTTTGAAGACAAAGTTAGAATTTACCCTCTACTATCTTTAAAAGTATTTCCTTCTGTTTTAAACTTCACTCCAAAGGACAGCTTCAAAATAAGCCTCTTAGAGTAGTGGTAGATGGGACATCATGAGTCCAGCTGTCTGACTTATGTCTGGCTCTAATTCTTACTACCTCTGAGACTTTGGACATGATGTGTCACCTCTCTGGACCTGATTTTCCTCCTCTGTATAATGGAGATAGTAAGAATACTACATCATAGGGTTGCTGTGAGGATTAAATGAGATGTTGCTAGAGTTCTAGGTCAATGCCTGGCCAGGAGTGAGCACTTAGCTGAGGTTTGCTCTCACTGCTCCCCTCTCTGCAGAAGAGCAGTGAGTAGTAAAGGCAACAGCAACACATCTATATGCTGTGTATTTATGCATGCTCCTCTCCCAGGAGCAAGTGACAAAGCCACACAGACCCTGGGAATGTTAGGAGCACACGGTGTTCCTTCCCTCTGACAGTAGTTTTCCAGAATAGAAATGGAAAAAAAAAAATACCATCAGAATAGCCTCCTGTTTGCCCTGACACTACGACTAAGTAAAATAACTCAAGACTCCTCAAAAATATGACTTGGGACTCTTCAATTTACTGTGGGTGTGAGTATAGTTTATGAACATGTATCTAACACCTGCCAAACTGTAGTCTCCTGCAACATTCCCCCACCACCGCCATGTGAAGGAACCACAAATGAAGTGATATGGGAAGACCAGACTGAAAATTTCTCAAAGCAGGTAAATTCAAAGCAAACATTTGTCTCTCCCTCCTGAAATGGCCAGGAGTGTTGTTCCTGGAACCAAGACAACAGGTATTGGATAACAGTGACTGACTGGGCTGACATTTTTTTTTAGTCAGGGCCAAGTTGTCATTCTGGGATACTCTGTGGGAAAACAGCTTTGAATTCAGTTTGTAAATTTATACTTTTTCTCTTTGTTCACATTTCTAGTCCAGCTTTCTCAATGGGGAAACAAATACTGTAGCAGAGAAAAGTGTGATGGCTTTTTAAAAAAATCAAAATGATTTATATGCATCTAATATTGTTCTATTACAGATTTGCTGCTGCTTTTCATTAAGTAATAGACCCTTAATAAATATAACCACTTTATTTTTGTTCGTGTCATTGATTTATACAAGCATTTATTTGTTCACTTAGTCATTCAACAAGCACATGTTAAGTGTTTACTTTGGACACATGATCTGGGAGGTACAAATGAAGTTATGAAGAAAATGGGTGGGAATGTTAGAAATCACACCTTTCGCAGAAAACCCAGACTATGTGGCAGCTGCACCTGCGGATGGAATTGGAACTGAATAAAATAGGCCAGCACATGATGTATATTTTGAACATTTCCTCTGAGGAATCAAAGAATAAATGCATGCTCATGCTAACAGCAATACCTGTCACAATCTGGAAAAACACATAATTTCAGAGAATTATAAACCAGTTTATTTTTTAAAGGAGGGCAAGATGCTAGGGACCCAGGAAAGGGGGTCACCCCTCTTCACTGTGTCCTGTGCCTACCCTATCCCTGACAATTGCATCAGCCCTAACACCTTACAGCCATCTCGCCCTCTTGGCTTGTAAGTCCTAGCCCAACAAATTTACGTGGAGTTCCACAAACACATCAGACTCTTTCATCCCTTTCTGCCTCCACATATGTTGTTCCTTTTTCTGGAACATTCTTCTTTCTACCTTCCCTTAATGTCTGCTCAATCTTCAAATCCCAATTCAAGCCTCTGATCCTTTGAGAAGCCTCTCGTGGCCCTTCCCACACCTTTCTAGCCACTCCCTCCTCCCTGGCACTTGGAGACCTTGTCATATATCCATCGTCAACAATGTCATACCAAATTACAGTTATTTATTTACACATCTGTATTTCCTGTCCATCTGTGAGAAACTGGGTGCATCTTGATGTGAATGACAAGGTGTTGCTTTCCAGCAAGTGCCACGATCACCGGCACAGAGGACATGCATAGCCAGTGTCTGTTGAACTGAGGGAACTGTACAGGTGTTTTTATAGTTCTTATTAGGCTAGGAGTTTGATGTGAAAGGAACCATTCAACAAATATTTATTGAGCACATACTATGTGTGAGGCACTGTTCTAAGCGTTAAGAATGGAGGAGTAAACAGAAGAGACAAATGTCTCTGCTGTCATTGAGCCTAAAGTTTACTCTTTAAGCCGGACAGTCATAGACTCAGCTAAAAATTCTATTACTAGGGAAAAAGAGAAGAACTGATGTTGAGATAATTAGCAGTCCTTGCTATGGGCATGTGTATCTTTTATTCTTAAAAAATGGTAGGCTGTGGTAATTCTAGTTTGTTTGTCTTAAATGAATGTGTTGAACTTTTTTGCATGTGTCTTAAGAGCCTATTCAACAAGCTGTCTTATTTCTTAATTGAGGATCTGTGTGTGTGTTGGGGACAGCCAGGGGAAGGCCAGCTTTCAAGGAAAGTGTTCTTGAAAGCTCCTTCACATGCTGTTGGCTCCTCAAAATAACCCAGTGAGCTAGGTAGATGCAGCAGATGTTATTGTCCCATTTTACAGATGGAAAAACAAAGCACAGAGAGTTCAAGTAAATTCATTAAGATTACAGAGTTAATTGGTGAAAGAGCCATGCCTCCTGACTTCATACTTTTTATTTGATTAAGGATGTCGTTAGCAAAATAGTAGGTCAAGGAACTCAGGATTAATAGATAACTAAAATATTTATTGTCATTCTTAACTGCAGTTGTTTCCAGAAAGGAATGAATCAAAGTAAATCTTTCTACACAGAACATGGACACTTCCTTCAGCTTTCTCCCAGTCCTCAATCCAAGAGACCACTTTGCCCACATTGTCACTGCAGTTCAGCCAGTTCTCCTCCAGAGAATAGAGCAGGGAGATCCTCCTGTCAATAATTGCTGCACGTAGCAAGCCCAGTCCTTGGGCTGTGACTTTCCCTGTGGTCGCGCTGGCTCCAGTTCCCCCATGACCTCATGTTTCAGAGGCTCCATGTTTTGCTGTAGCATTGCCCTGCCAGGCACCATGAGGCAGTGCTGGACATCCCCACTCAGAGTTTAATCATCCATGTCCTGTTTCAGCTGCTCCACCCAGCTCCTCTGCTGAGACCTGACACTTCTCACTTCCTTGCAACTGCCCACGCATTCCTGGGCCCTTGCATCTGCTCATCTCATGTACAACCAAGATACTCATGAAGCAGAGTAAAGGATTCCTCTCTGCTACATTGGAACAGAAAACTGAGAATTTCAGAAATTAAGAAAAATACATATCAAAGATCAAGTATAAATGGAAAGAAAACCATCTTTGGAAGAGAGTCTCTAAGCCTCACATTCCTCTTCTGTAAAATGGGGATAATAATACTTAAAGGAAAATTACTTTAAATGTTAAAGTTATATACGTAAAATGGTCAGCTTACTGCCTGGAACATAGTAGATTCTCCACAAAGGGTAAAGAATAAAATAAAATAAATTTTATTCTTTTTCCATAGTATTTAAAATTTGAGCAGCCGTACTCAGGGTAAATGAAACCATATGTTCACACAAAAACCTGTACATGAATGTTCATAGCAGCATCGTTCATAGTAACTAGAAAGTGAAAGCACCCAAATGTCTATTAACTGATAAATGAATAAACAAAATGTGGCATATCCATACTATGGAACATTATTTAGCCATAAAAAGAAGTGAAGTACTGGTACGTGCTACAACATGCGTGAACCTTGAAAACAGTATGCAAAGTGAAAGAAGGCAGACACAAAAGGCCACAATCATATGATTCCATTGATAAGAAAGGACGAGAATAGGCAAATCCATAGGGACAGAAAGCAGAATAGTGGTTACCAGGGGCTGGAGGGGTGAGAGGTGACTGCTAATGCATGTAGGGTTTCTTTTTGAGGTGATGGAAATGTTCTGGAATTGGATAATGGTGATGGTTGCACAACTAAAAACCACTGAATTTTATATTTTAGAAGAGTGAGTATTCGATATGTGAAATATATCTCAATAAAGTTGTTAGTAAAAAGTTTGTGCAGCAGTAATCATGTCTTAGTTGCTGCGCAATGAGAGGAGGTATGTACGGTGTTTGCAGGAAGTGTACACTTACACTCATTCTGTGGTGCTGCCATCATTTTTTTCTTCTTTCCAATTCTCTTGATATTAGACTGGGTTGAGAGAATTAGTTACATCTTGCTCAATCTGTGCATGTTTGTCTTTTCTTTCTCATGGAAGATGTTTTCTGTTTTGTGAAAGCAGCAAAGTGATAGTATTGCTGTCCTCCCAGCCATATTTGAAATATTTAATTACTGAAATATGTGCCCTGAGCATGTGTGGATAGATGGACCTGGGCTATTAAGAGATGAAATAATGTGTTTTTTATGTTGATTTCCAGAGACCTCCTGCCAGGGTGGAATATTTTCATGGCATTTCAGCCTAAAAGTTTGTACAGGTTATAAATAGACTTTTATCTCTAAAAAGTAGATAGCCAGCTTCTCTTGAAACAATTTGAAAGCCTAGCATTTCTGGGCACACATTCCAGTGCAGCAGCAATCAGTTGGGGCCCACATGTGCCTATTCTCAACAGTCCTCCTTTCACACTGTTGGCTCATACATGGCCCATTTCATTTCTTTGTTATCTGTGCTCAGCATTTATAGGCATTTGGGTTGGATGGGGAGAAGTTCCCTGAAATTGTTCATTCATTCACTCATCAAACTCATGATAAGTGCTTATTTTATAGTGAACTGTTAAGTACTGGGACAGTCCCTGTCCTCAGGGAAGAAAGTCAAGTAATGAAGAAAGAAATAGAACCAGTTAATTATAACACAAGAGCAAGCACAGTGCTGGAAGCATGGCAAGCTAGTGATGCATAATTACAGATAGAGGGTGTCCAATCTAACCTGATGTGTTTGGAGATGTAGAGGTTCAGGACTCCTGGAGAAAATGTTTTTGGATCCTGCTGTGTCTTCTCTTTAGTACCAGTGCTACATTTAACTAGTAACTACATGTCTTCAGGGTACATCCACAAAATAAAGAACTTAACAGAATTGGAAAATCCAATAAGGACAAGAAAAGGGGCCATGATGAGTGGGTGAAAAAGGTGGGAAGAAGAATAAACAAGGGCCAAAGGAGAACGAAAACAGGAAGAGGGTAGATAGACAAATGAGAAACATATTTGTCTTGTCTCAGACACTCCCACTGATATTTTCATGGAATTCCAAGGGTTGTGACTCCAAGGAAAATTATGCTGAAAGTAAACCTAAGCAAAGCTTGTAGGGAATGAATGAATCTTCCCATTTTTCTTTTGTTTTTTTGCTAGAGCATTTCCATCCTGTCATCCTGAGATGATCATATTGGTCATATTGATTCATATCCTTGACAAGGTAGAGAACTTCCAATTTGACAGGTGTTTCCTGGTCATCTACTCTTTGTTGGACAGGTGTGGTGGGGAGCCTGGAGTGGGAGGGTGGGTGTTGAGGGATGGATTAGAAGGCCTAAATAAAAAGGCCAAGCTCTAGCACCCACCATTTGCATGACTTGAGCAAATCATAACCTCTCATCCTCAGCCTTCTTTTCTATAACAGGGGAAATAAAGATAATGAGTAACTTAGTTAATCATAAGGCTAAAAATGGGTTAGTGTGTGGCATAATGTTGAGAAGTTCTTAACACAAAGAGAAGAAAAATATATCTCCGAATCATGAGTATAAAAAATAGCTCAATTATAATATGTTTAATTAAGTTTATTAATTTTATTGAAAGATGATAATGGGCTTTTGAATTGACTGTTAACTGGTCAATCAGCAAATTTTACCATCAGGAAAAATTTAGAGATGCCATTTAGGGATGAAATTGATTGGTTGCTTGAATTTCTAGAATCAAATATTTATTTTTACATCACATATACCCAGGCTTCAGGTGTGTCGTGTCTATGATTGTTTCTGGGATGAAATGGGGCATACTGAGGAGGGATGTTGAGGAAGTATAAACATTAATTTTGTTGGTGAGGAATTTTTCATGAGAAGTGAGTTTTTCTGATTTCTTAGTTCATTGGGAAGAATTGCAACTAAGTGACTTGGTATGAATAGGATCTAGGAAAAGGCTTTTTGTGGGAGGAATCCCCAGACCCCCAATCCATATTCACGTCTTTAACCATATCCATATCTAGTTTCCACCCAGAAAAAGGATTCCAGATCTTTAGACAGAATTCTACCCAGTAACCAAGAAAGAAGAATCAATTGGCATATTTTGCTGAGTGGCTGAGCATGTCTCTGCCTTTGGCACGTCTGCTGCTGGGGAGGCTTTCCTTGAGACTGGACACAGAGGTGGCGGGACTCGATGATATGACCTTTCTTGAAAATGAATTACAGTAGTTGCTTTCATTAGTGGAATTTTATTTTTAGGTGGAGCTGTTTATTTTCTACACCAGTGAGTCTTCTTTGCTCAATGAAAACAAGAAGCATCTGAGAGGGTAGTTCAGTGTTTGAAGTCTCGAATTGGAAAATTTACCTTTGCCAACTCACTAGTCATGGTGAGGATTGTCCAGGTGGTGACTAAGTTTGTTGTTCATTCCACTGCCATTCCCTTGAGCCTCTGGGGAATGTATTTTGCAGGTTCTCAGGCAGCAAGATCAATAGATCAGTCGTTGTCCAGTGTTGCCATCCTGCTACTCCACCAATCGCAGACCTCTTCTATAGTGACAGAGGTCTTAGACTTTCTCGGGTGTGGCAGGGAAGCTGAGGACATTCCCTGAGTCTCAGTACAGATGGAAGTGATCAGAAGTACCGTGTCCTGGCCGGGTGCGGTGGCTCATGCCTGTAATCCCAGCACTTTGGGAGGTTGAGGCGGGTGGATCACCTGAGGATCAGGAGTTCGAAACCAGCCTGACAAACATGGTGAAACCCCATCTCTACTAAAAATACAAAATTAGCTGGGCATGGTGGCGCATGCCTGTAATCCCAGCTACTTAGAAGGCTAAGGCAGGGCAATCACTTGAACCCGGGAGGTGGAGGTTGCAGTGAGCTGAGATTGTGCCATTGCACTCCAGCCTGGGCAACAAGAGTGAAACTCCATCTCAAAAATAAAATAAAATAAAGGAGTACTGTGTCCTCAGTTTCCGTGTCCCACCTGCTGAGAGATCCAGTCTTCATCTTTAATATGATTCCAGTGGCCCCATGCTTACCAATATGAGTTTAGCCCTAACAACCTCAGTAGGACTTGTCAAAATAAATGAGTCAGTTCTAATTATTTCTAGTTGGCTCTGAGTCTTAAGAGGCAAGACTTAGAAATGAAAACTAACTTCTGGAACAAGGAGAAATGTCAATGTTTTTAGACATTGCCAGATAAATCTCAATTTTTTTTTCCACAGCCAAGCAGTAAAGCGTCTCATCCTGCAGACATGTTGACTTCTTGGTCTGCTCTTTGTGCTCCCTTCCATGTAGCGGTGACAGTGCACCTGTTGACCTGGGAGCATCATCAGCCAAGGGGATCCCTACATGTGCTGTGATCACATCTCCAATACGTGTTTCCCTTAGTCCTAATTCAATTTTGAATCTGAGACTCATGGGCTTTTGCTAACTTGCACAGCTGGAGAAGAGGAAGAAGGGGAAATAGGAACCAAAAGCAGAATCAGAGGGAAAGCAGATGGGCAGCATTAGGGTAAGAGGTGGCCAGTGTGGATGTGGCACCTGTTTCTACCAGCACTCCCTTTTCAGGTACTAGCTCCAAAGAAAGCAGGCCAGGACTCATGGACAGAGAGGTGGCCAACCATGAGCACTGAAGCTGTCTCAGGGCCACAGCTCCCCTAAAAGTGGAAGGGAGAGACCTTGGTGGCTGGCGGGTACCAGGGCTCCTTAGAGGTAAAGGAAAGTTATTGTCCCAACATGACCTTCAAAGAAAATTAAAAACAGCTCAAGAGCTGAGCTCTCCTTGCTGTCTTTTTGTCGTTGTTGTTTTTCTTTTGAGACAGAATCTCACTCTCTCACCCAGGCTGGAGTGCAGTGGCACGATCTCAGCTCACTGCAGTCTCCGCCTCCCGGGTACAAGCAATTTTCCTGCCTCAGCTTCCCAAGTAGCTGGGACTACAGGCACACACCACCACGCCTGGTTAATTTTTGTATTTTTAGTAGAGACGGGGTTTCACCATGTTGGCTGGGCTGGCCTTGAACTCCTGACCTCAGGTGATCCGCCTCACCCTCCCAAAGTGCTGGGATTACAGGCGTGAGCCACTGTGTCCAGCCTTTCCTTGGTGTCTTATCCTGAGTCAGAGATCTGGGGAAGAGAGAGTGAGTGGAGGTGTTGATTTAGGTGTGAATCCACTCTAGTTGGAGAATTGAGGCAAAGACTGAGCCGTATGAGCCTCCCGGAAACATGGTCACCCAGCCAGCCCATATTTGTGTTTTCACAATCTGTGGTTTTCCAGTTTGATTACTGACTGTCAATTACTTGCAGATCACCTCTCCAGATGTCCAGCTGTCCTTGCACATCATTTGTTTTCTTCAAGGAATCCATTAGTGATGTCTGCGATTTTTCTGGGTGCCTTTTCTGGTCTGGTTGGGAGGAGGGTAACAGATTCGAGGCAGTACTCATTTTCCAAGGAGCCTTCAGACTGAGAGAGGGGCCACTGTGCCTCAGCTCCTCCTGAGGGGCCTCACACATTCTGGGTTCTCAGCTTCCTAGCTTCATGGAAAAATCCACCTCAGCCGCAGAGGTTTTTGTGTCTAGATGCTTGTGGAGTGCTGCAGCAGGACAAGCACTGCGCTGTTGCTGCCTTGTGCTACAGGGCTCTGAAAATAGAACCGTTAGCACCAGCCTCGGGTTTCCTCCAGAAAGCTTGCATATGGGCCTTTGGTATCTCTCTCTGTCCAACCCTCTGAATAGCCCAGGGCCTGTGTTGCTTTCATTATTATGCATTCAAATGGAAATATACTTTTGTCAGAGCGATTACAAGGCAGTAGTTAGAAGTGTCTGCCTGGATTTCTGTGTTTTTGCCTTTTTTGACATTGGGGAGGAGGAGCAGGGAAACTTAGTCTTAAGCGGGGACCACCAGGCTTCCTCGGTGGGCTGGTGTGGCCCTCACTGCTCTTCCTCCTCTTCCTCCTCTGGGAATGAGTGTAGGAGAGATTGGCCCTGCACTTCAAAGACCAGGATTCATGCACCTCTCTCCAACCACAACTGGAGGACGTGTTCATTTCCTCAGAAGCCTGAGAACAAACAGAATCTTAATTCAGGGAAGTAACACTACAGACAGTTTTTTAACTCAATAAAGAGAATATTTGAAATCTGTGCATCTGTTTTTAATTAGACATCTGTACCTCTGCATACTCCAGGCAGCTAATTTCTAAGGATGTTCATCAGGAGTGGATGCTTAGGCAGGTTTTGGAGTTGTTTAATCTGTACACCAGGAAAACACATTTCGTACGATAAGACCAACTTTGTCAAAAGGATTAGGAAATGCATTGATGTAGAGAAGGCAAAGAGAATTTAAGAAGTCCTGTGTAATGAAGAAACAACAACCAAGGAAAGAAGTAGATGCTGTATAAATTACCTAGACTATTTTTTTTAAGAGATGGGGTCTCACTATGTTGCCCAGGCTGGAGTGCAGTGACTATTCACAGGCATAGTTGTACTCACTGCAGCCTGGAACTCCTGGGCTCAAGTGATCCTCCTGCCTCAGTCTGTCAGGTAGCTAGGACTAAGGGTGTGTGCCACTGCACCTGGCAAATTCTCTTATGCCGTTTATAAATAATTTAAGAATAATGTAGAAATCTCATAGCTTTTGGCTAACACTGTGATAAGGAATTTTTGTTTTGCTTAGTTTTAACTTACTCCTCTTCATAATGTTTTAAGTGAAGAATAAGGTGCTTTATGGTAAATTCTGAGTTTCAGGAATTGCTCTCTGCATGCTTCCTATCACGAGACCAGTGGTTAGACTCTCATTGCGCTCTTCATGGCGTACCCTGGACGTTGGTAGCTTGTGGCCATGAGTCACAAAGGATGTGACTTTTGCTGACGTTGCACTTTTTGGCACAATCACAAACTCAGTGGAGCCTGTGGCCTTCTTCCACGTTGCTTTCTGGACCACTTTCCCACCTCTGTGAGTTGCTAAGGGCTCCTCCTACCCCATCTTGGTCCTAACATGCTCACCTGGTATCCCTCAAAACTGTCAGATTCACACATCACCTCTCTCCCTCTCCAGGCCATGGAATGTCCAGGTGGGCCTGTGGGTCGTTCTCCCTCCTAGACCTTGCCGAGAAGAGAAGAGTTGGTTCTCATCTAATTTCAAGAAGACACTTGAAAGTAGATCAAGTTGGCCATTGGTGTCATCTGTAGTTATTGGATAATGTTTTTAAGTAGGCTAGTTTTAATTTAAGTATCTATTTTACAAGATAATATTTTCAAATATTACTTACATACCTCTATGTCCCATTTTTCTACACCCTATGGCTTAAGTTACATAGTTTTAAGTTTCTTGGTATTTTACAGAAATGTATTCCCTATCTAAATAGAGTTCCACTGTGCTTTGCTTAACAATGTATTTTTCTCTCTTGAACATTCCTGAACATTCCCTCTCTTAAAGATTATTATTTTAGGAGATAAAAAAAATTTTTTGAATATATTTAGTGGCAATTTAAAACCAATTAAAAACTATAATGTTTCATGTTTAATGAAAAGGAGTTTTTTGTGTTTTATTTATTTATTATATTTATTGAGAGAGCATCTCGCTCTATCACCCAGGCTGCAGTGCAGTGGCCCGATCTCGGCTGACTGCAATCTCCACCTTGCAGGTTCAAGCGATTCTCCTGCCTCAGCCTCCCAAGTAGCTGGGACTAACAGGCACGTGCCACCATACCCAGCTAATGTTTTTTTTTTTTTTTAGTAGGGACGGGTTTCACCATGTAGATCAGGCTGGTCTCAAACTCCTGACCTCAAATGATCTGCTCACCTTGGCCTCCCAAAGTGCTGCAATTGCGGGCATGAGCCACCGCACTTGGCCTTTATTTATATTTACTTTCAATTTATTTTAAATCATCCTACAAATAGCAGTGAAAGTAATGATGCAATAGAAGCTAAATTATTTCATGTGTACCTCTGATCATTTTTCAAAACTGTATTATATCATATATATTTTTGATGAAACTTTATTTATTTTTAAATTTCAACTTTCATTTTAGATACAGGGAGTATATGTGCAGGTTTGTTCCATGGGAATATTACGACACCCTTATCATATACTAAATTTCTGTACTTACTGTTCTGTGCCACTGGGCTCCCTATGTCATTTATCCCTGTGTCATTACCACACAGTTTTAATTGTAGTGGCTTATTTTTTTAGTATCTGCTTGAATTGTATTCTGTGTGGTTATTAAAAACCAGGATTAGGTGTGGAATTTTGTTAAAGACCTTTTACACATTTACAGAGATAATCATGATTTTTCTTCAGGTCCATAAACATAGTGAATTATGTTAGTGAAATTCCTTCATATTGAAAATTCTTAGACCATGCTATATTTTCTTAATAAGATGTTGGACTCTGTTTGCTAATACTTCATTTAAGATTTTTGCAGCATGTGCATTAAAGGATATTGGTCTGTAGTTGTGTGCCTGTGTGTGTGTGTGTGTAAATCTTTATAAGGTTTAGACATCAATATTATACTTGCAATATTAGAAGAACTTAGAATTTTCATTTTTTTCCTGCACTCTGGATAACAAGCTGTATAGCATTGGAAGTATCTATTGTAGGATTTGGTAGAATTCCCTTGTAAAAACACATGAGCCTAGTTGGGGTTTTTTTCCTGTTTACTCTCTTCTTGGAAATTATTCATTTAAGCTTTATATCACTTCAGGAGTTAATTTTGCTAACATGCATTTTTCTGGAAAATCTTCTATTATATTTAGTTTTCAAATTTATCATCGAGTTGTACAAAGTAGTTGCTTACACATTTTTAAAATTTTTCTTTCAAATCAATCTTCTTGTTTCCCATCCTTACCATTTCTTATTGTTTTATATTTGTTTGTCTTAGGTAGGTTAACTACAGCTTGTCTTTTATTGATCTTTCTCAAAGAAGTAGCATTTTAGTTTGTTTCTACTCTTTTTCTGTTTTATATCTCACAACTTTCTACCCTTATCTTTATTAATTTCTTTATATATGTTTGCTTTGTTGCTTTTTTCCTAGCTTTTTGAGTAGAAATTTAACTCATTTATTTTTATTTATTTAAGCATATAAAACTGAATTTTTCTCTAATCACTGCTTTAATTGTATCCCAAAATTCTGATATGTAGTATTTTCATTATTAATTTTTGGAAGTTCTGAAATTGGTTTGTATTTATTTTTCCACTAGTAATTGTTATTTTTTAAAAAACAACTTTATAAGAGAGTTTTTAGTGGATTTGGGGGATTTTATTTTATTATCAACTTCTACGTATATGTCATTTAGATCAGAGAATGTTGTTTATATAATTTCAATTTTATGGAGGCTTTCTTTGGGATGTAATTGTTGGTCAGTGCTAGCAGATGTTCCATGTGCACTTGAGAAGTCTCTATTAGTATGTTGTACAGATCCTATATATACTTACTTGTTTCCCCATTTGTACCATCTTTAACTGAAAGTGGTATGTTAATATCTCTTATTATTGTTATTTCTGTTTTTCTTTACAGTTTCTATACTTTCTACTATATTAGGGGTCAGCAAATTATAGCCTACAGACTGCCTGTTTTTGTAAATAAAGTTTTGTTGGAACACAGCAATGCTCATTCATTTACATATTGTTTATGGTTGATTTATCACTACCATGGCAGAGTTAAGTAGTAGCTGCAGATAGTATATGGCCTGTAAACCTAAAATGTTTACTATCTATCGCTTGAAAGAAAGTTTGCCAACCCCTGTAATATATGAAAATGTATAGATATTCATACTTTGTATATTTTGATGTGAATGGCCTCCTTTAGTATTATAAAGTCTCCTTCTTTGTCATCTTAATACTCTTTGGCCTGAATTCTACCTCGTTTGTTGTCAGGATTACAACTCCTGCTTTCTTCTCTTTTTCTGTTTTTCATTTCATTATCTCTTCATTTATAGGTGTTCTGAATAACTGTTTTACATGTGTTGGGTTTTGCTTTGTGATACAATTTGAAAATACTTTTTAAATAAATGAGTTAGGCCCTTTTACAAGTGGATCCATTTGTTAAACTTTCAGGGTAGAACAGGCACAAGTTTTGTGTACATTATTTAAAGGCTTTGGAAAATACTCTATTTTGTAAACGTGATGGTAAAGTTAATCCAAAATAGATAATTGAACATACCTTAAATTTTGAGTTTTATATTGAGAATTATTATTGTAGCTTCACAATGATTAAAGCAGCATTGACTAGATATTTTGCTGCGGTCAGAAAATTGACTTGAAATGAAGATGAAGCAGAATTATTGCTCAAATTGAGGGTCATTGTTAATGAAGTTAAAAGGTGGAGTTTACATCCTGGGTAACTGAAAGTTAAAACATATAGAAAAATTTCCAAGAAGATTCATTAATTGACTCTCAGTTAATTCATTTTATGCTTACACTCTCTTGGTGTTTTCATGTGTTTATTTATTAATGCAACCATTTACACGTTCTCCAATTGGCTGAGCCCTGTTTTAGGATCTAATGACACAAAGATGATTTTAAGCAGTGTCTCTCACTTTGGAAATTTATTGTCTAGTTTGGACTATGAGGGAATTATTTTCATATATACAATTTTTTTTCCAGGAGTAGCCATTCTTCTTTCAGTTAGTCAGGGGTCTTTTGGATTTCCCTCTCTTTCATTGGATGACATAGTTAAACTATATTGTGCTTTCTCTCATGCAGGGCAGCCACTGATCACAATGTGGATAATACAACAGAAATATTCAGGGAGTGGTTGAAAAATGTACAGAGACTCTATCACTATGTGGAGTGGAGGCCTATGGATGAACCAGAGTGAGTAGCAAGTGCGAAATTTGTAAACTCATTATTTACCCTTCCTCTTTAACTAGCTCTTTAGGGCTTCCAGGTTTGGAGGTACATGTGACTTTTCATTGTCTTTCATTTCTGTAGCTATGTGAGTTCTGAATATCTGCCATTTCTCCCTTTTAGAGATCTTCACAGTACTCTCTTGCTGTTTACTCCCACAGCTGCCAGCCAAGTTCAGATTTTCATTACTTCATAAATAAATTGCCATGACAGTTTATATTTTTAAATATTGATATTATTTATTCATATTTTAAACAAACTTTTATATTTGGAGGATCATATTGAAAATGTGTATACTTTCTACATAGAGCTTGCTTTTTTCAACTTTTATCTTGATAATCATTCTATAGCAATAGTTAAGGAGCTAATTTTCATTTTTTTTACTGCATAATCACTGTTGTATGTGCATTTACCATAATTATTTAATTGATCCCCTACTGATGCTCATTTAGGTAATTTCCTATCTTAACCATAGAAATTCCTTCTTTCTTTCTTTTCCTTCTTTTCTTTCTTTTCTTTTCTTCGCTTCTCTTCTCTTCTTTCTCTCTCTCTCTCTCTCTCTCTTTCTCTCTTTCCTTCTTTCTTTCAAGACAGGGTCTCACTCTGTCACCCCAGCTGGAGTACAGTGGCATGACCATAGCTCCACTGTAACCTCGTACTCCTGGGTTCAGGCAATACTCCTCACTCAACCTCCTGAGTAGCTAAGACCACAGCCATGCACCACTATGCCTGGCTAATTTTATTTTTATTTTTTGTAGAGACATGATCTCACCATGTTGTCCAGGCTGGTCTTGAACTCCTGGCCTCAAGCGATCCTCCCACCTTGGCCTTCCAAAGTGCTGGGATTACAGGTGTGAGCCTTTGTGCCTGGTTACCATAACAATTTCTTTCTTTTTTTTTTTTTTTGAGACAGAGTCTTGCTATGTCACCCAGGCTGGAGTGCAGTGGTGCAATCTTGGCTCACTGCAACCTCCGCCTCCTGGGTTCAAGCAATTCTCCTGCCTCAGCCTCCCGAGTAGCTGGGACTACAGGTGTGTGCCACCACACCCAGCTATTTTTTTGTATTTTGAGTAGAGAGGGGATTTCACTATGTTAGCCAGGATGGTCTCGATCTCCTGACCCTGTGATCTGCCCGCCTTGACCTCCCAAAGTGCTGAGATTACAGGTGTGAGCCACCGTGCCCGGCCACCATAGCAATTTATTAATTGCTTCTATCTCCAAGTCATCCTACATACCATACAGTCAAATCAATCTACCTCAAATACAAATGAAATGGTTTCATTTCTTTATTAAAAATACTTCACTTACTCTTTAGGACCTGAACAAAGTTCAAACACCTAAGACTTATATTTTTAAAATTCCATGAATTTAGCACCAAAAGAAAATGTGCTTTATCCAGAACGTTTCTTTTATTTCCAAACCCCACACTGTTGCTTGTGCAGGTCCTGGAAGACCCTTTCCTTCTTTATAACTAATTCTTATCCTAAATCATGCCTACTATAGAAACCTATTCTTAATCACTCAGTTATAAATATCTACCTTTGTCTCAACAATTGTATTGCTTATATTCTATGTCATCCTTTTTGGCACAATGATATACGCAACCAACATTTTCCCCCTATGCAATTAATGTATTTTTTTTCTAAATAAGTTGTAAGTTCTTTGGCAGGGGCTAGAATATATAAACACTTTATATTCCCCCTCTCCCCTCAGAGCCATGTTCTTGGCAGGCACTAAATTAATACTGGTTGGATGAACAAATAAGAACAAGAATAAATGTATTTAAAACTTACTATTATAAATGTTCCCAAAGCTACTACAGTTTTACTTTAAGGAACTGTAGAAATAGAATGAAGGAGTTGCCTGAATTTCTTCCCCAGAGAAGTCATTTATTGAAAGCCAAATTTGTATTATAGTAATAATAAATGCCATTCCAGAACAAGTTTCTGTTCTTCTAGTCTTTCTATATGTAAGAATTATTATAAATATTTATATTATAAAGAAATATATATAAATATGATATAATATATACATATGTGTTTCTCAAATCCAAGCCCATGGACTGTATATCAAGCAAAATTTAACAGTGAAGTCTGAACACCGTAAAAGATTGTAAACACTCCTTTAGAGTGCCTTATAATGGAGTTTGGCCTAACAAAAATGGCACAGAAATACTTTGTGTCCCTTCTTTGCACCTTGGTAATGTTCTCTGCAGCCAGGTTTTGACTAAATATATTATATGCCAAGGTCAGTGTGAAAAAATATTAGAACAGGCATTTTTGGGGGGAATATATTTAGAAAAATGAGAATTCCACTGATTTTCATTGAAACAATAACTGGGGAAGATATTCCAGAGAATTCCTGTGCTGTACATAGTTTTATTAACCTTATTTGTTTAGTTACAGTCTCATTGTTTTTGCAGTTTTTCACTCACTAAAACAAATGTACTGCCAGTGCAGCTATGAGATCTTGAAGTGGTGGCCAGTTTTGGGTTACTGCAACAGTATCAATGTCCGTGCCAGCTGGGTGCCTTCAGAAGGGTTTTGGAGCGTGCTCCAACCCACTTGCCTATGTGGCCATGAAGGAGTCTTGGCCTGGCTGTTTTGTGAATCTTGATAGAGATCCCACGACCTCACTTTACCTAAGATAGATCAATGTGTTAGGCTGTGTGGAATCATTTGTGGAGACTCCAACAAGTAGATTAAACCTTTGATTTTCCTGGGAAACTCATGTTTTACACTGCATACTCTCCAAATCTATTCGATGTCGGGATGTATAAAAATTGTCTAGGAACATGAGCTTTTTGCTTGGATTCAAATCTTGATTGTGCCCCATTGTGTAACATTGGACGAATGACTTAACTGCTCTACCCTGATATCCTCACCTGTGAAATGCAGAGAATAGCAGTACTCACCTCAAAGGGCTCTCATTAGAACCCACTGAAATATTTCATGTAAAGATTCTTGTATACAATGAGCAGTGAGTTACTTGACTTCTCATTGCTCCGGTTTCCTCATCTGTAATATGGGGATGATGATAACAATAATAATAGTATCTACTTCCTGGGATTGATAGAAGATTAAATGAATACATATAAACATTTAGGACAGAGCCTGGTACATGTAGGCACTCAATAATGATGAGCTATTATTATTATTTTAGGTCTTACCCTGATGAAATTGGACCAAAGCACTGGCCAACCTCCCGGTTTGCCCATGTGATGAAACTACGACAGGCAGCCCTTCGAACTGCGAGGGAAAAATGGTCAGACTACATTCTGGTAAAAACAGATGTTTGATTTCTTGACAACTGTCATCTCAGGTGTATCCAAATCAGTCGTCCAAAAACTAGAACCATGGAAGCAATCAAAACAACCTTTTTGATTAGGCAGTGCCTCCCCCACTTTTTAAGAAAGGCACAATGAAATTTTTGGTAGTTTAAAATTGGGCTACCTGGACTTCATCTTCAGGCCCACATGCATTTTCAGTGGGTAAGTGAAGAAGTGCCTGAATTATTTGGTCTCTGCCATGCAACAGGCATAAGAACTCTGCATATTTTTAGCTCACAGGAAAGGCTGTAGGTAAAGCAATGTAAGTTGTTCTTACAACTTTTTGGAAGAATTTGGGGGATATGAAAAAGTAATTATCTAAAAAAGTGATTCAGCTGAACAGCTCTGAAATGGTTCCCTTTTGCTCCTGAATGATCTGGGGAGTAGCATCTGTTGCTTGGCACAGTGATGCTCTCTTTGGAGAATTTATGTCCATCCCCATCCCCTCAACCACAGTGAAAATCTGCCCAAAAATGTATCACGCACACTTGTGACACAAATCCTTTCATAGAAGTTTTCAAATTGTACTGACAATATTTAACATTGTGTAGCTGTTTAAATGCCATTGAAGTGTACAAATGTTAAATCACAAAATTTGGGGTAAACAGATGGACTATCATAAAAATGAAGACTTCTGAATTTTTTATTGTGATAAAACCTACAAAAGGTAAAATCTGTCAGTTTATCCCTTTTTCAGTGTATAGTTCAGTATGATTATTTCTTTTATAAATTAGAATCTGTTGTTATACTGTCTCTAAATAAATCACTGTTAACATGGACTTCTAAGAATAGGAAATAGCTTCACTGGTTAGCATGGGTTGATATAATGTACTTAAACAAAAATTCTACTTGTCACATTAAAATTCATTGATAGATCTGTTTTGAGCTACTCTGGCATTACTATAGAAAAGCTAAGTAGGCATGCCCATCTGTACCTAGACTGGGCAGCCAATAAGTGTTTTTGAATGAACCTTTAATGGCTTGGGAGCCATTAATATCTTGTGCCTAAAACACTAGCCAAAGTGTAGGTTGGTTCCTGGTTGAGGCTATGCCCAGTATGGCAGCACCAATTTACTGCTTAGTGCCTTATGCAGAGCCCAACATACGAAAGTTAGACTAAATATATTTTGACTGAATGAAAGCCACCTAGCTGCAATGGGTTTCAATAAGGAGGACATAGATAGCTGGTTCCATATGTCATGAGCAAGTTTCTGGGATCCTTCAGAAGGGCTGGGTTATTCTCAAACTCATTACTGAAAAGTACCTTTTCACCTAACATTATCCTTTTCTTTTCCTAGTTCATAGATGTTGACAATTTCCTGACTAATCCACAGACCCTCAATCTACTGATTGCAGAAAACAAAACTATTGTGGCCCCCATGCTGGAGTCTCGGGGCCTGTATTCTAATTTCTGGTGCGGAATCACCCCTAAGGCAAGTCTTTTGCTTAAATGAATTAAGGCTACTAGTTTTAACAAGGCAACACCCGGTCAACAGTAGTCCCATTCACCTTTCTCTTGTTTACTCCCTTGAAACATGCGTGTCATTGTGTTCCCAGAGCAAGCATTTTTTAGGAAGGGCAGTAAATCTGGGTCCAATGCTACACCCAGTTGGGCTCTTCTGTGTTAATTTATTATGAAAAAAATAGTCTAAAGAGCTTAGCCTTAGAAACGTCAAATTAGCCAATTCCTGATTCAGGAATTACTATTTTTAATTAATTCTTTTTGTCCTTACAAAACTAACATAAGAACACTATAGAAAAACTTAGAAATTAAAAAAAGTTTAAAAGAAAACCAACAAGACAGATGTTAAATCCCCATCACCGTAACAACATCATAGATAGAAACTTGCACGTTTTTAGTAACTGTGTTATCATCAAGTGGCTATGTTCCAATTTACTTAACCTTTATCTCGGTTTGAAAAACATTTAAATTATTCACAACTTTTTAACTATCGTGACCGTCATGATTAATATAATTTTTCAGCATTTAAGATTATATCCTTAGGATAGCTTTTTAGAAGTGGAATTACTGAGTCAAACAGTACAAATATGCCAGGCGCGGTGGCTCACACCTGTGATCCCAGCACTTTGGGAGGCCAAGGCGGGCGGATTACAAGGTCAGGAGATTGAGACCATCCTGGCTAACATGGTGAAACCTCATCTCTACTAAAAATATAAAAAATTAGCCAGGCGTGGTGTTGGGCGCCTATAGTCCCAGCTACTCGGAAGGCTGAGGCAGGAGAATGGCGTGAACTTGGGAGGCGGAGCTTGCAGTGAGCCGAGGTCGCGCCACTGCGCTCCAGCCTGGGTGACAGAGCGAGACTCCCTCTCAAAAAAGAAAAAAAAAAAAAAAGTACAAATATTTCAATGACCTTCGATGTATGTTGCCAAATTTATTTCCAAAGAGTTCTAATAATGAAAACTACCATGGTAGGTTATTTTTATAAAATTCAAGTTAAAAAAGGTTTGATTTTTTATTATTTCTTTTTTTCATAGTAAAATCTTCAAAATAGTGGTCTGTTTTAGTGAATGCTCATGGCTGGTTATATTTTTTATTCTTTAATTAAAGAATTAGATAAATTCAACTGATTAATGTAATATGTATCAATGTAGGATAAAAATGTGCTAAGCAAAATATGTTGGCCAGGAGCAGTGTCTCATGCCTGTAATTTCAACACTTTGGGAAGCTGAGGTAGGACAATTACTTGAACCCAGGAGTTTGAGACCAACATGAGCAACATGGCGAAACCACATCTCTACAACAAATCAAAAAATTAACCAGTTGTGGTGTCGTGCACACCTATAGTTCCATCTATTCGGGAGGCTGAGCAGGGAGTATTGCTTGAGCCCAAGAAGTTGAGGCTGCAGTGAGCTATGATCACACCACTGCACTGCAGCCTAAGCAACTGAGACCCTGTCTCAAAAAAAGAGGGAGTATGTTCAATGTATTCTCATGGCCAAAGGGCTAAAGTTTGAGTCTCCCCTTTATATTTGGTTTTGTTTTGGATGAGAAATAAGGTCAGTAGTGTGCTGATAAATGTTTAATAACTGGCTCTTTGTGGGAAAAACCCTAGTTGGTAGCATTGCCAATTTTTATGGTTTAAATACTCCCACCATGCAAACAGCTTAAATGTTGTTAAGCTAAGGGAAAGGTTAAGTAAACTGCAGTATAGCCACTTGATGATACAGCTATTAAAAACATGTAAAACTGCCACATGAGGTGTCATTAGAGTGGTGGGGATTAACGTGATTTTTGTTTTTATGGATTCCAAGCTATCAACATGTCAACTGGTTTGCAAACTTTCTGAAAATTTAACAATGTGTGGTCCAGTACACCACTGGATGAAGCATTCCTCTTTTGTTGTAATTATTTCTTCTAGCTGTAAGAGATTTTGAATGCGTGCTATTTTCTGTGTCTCTTTTGGGAAGGTAATATGTTCATATTTCTAACAGCCATTCACTTCCTTGGGAGAAAACATTATATTGGTTTAAATTCATACATTTTCAGTGTTTCACATGGCAGAATCACTTGAGGGTTGTTTTTAATGAGTTGTGCTTTGACATCAGCAACAAGGGTGGGTTATCCTAGTGGCCGCAGCCTACAAATTTGTATTATCTCCTTATTTACTTTCAGGCTTAAAAGCAAATAGGAGAAATGTGCTCACTTGTTTTGTACAGTAAAACTAAATTCTGAGCAACTTAGGGACAAGTATTATTTTCCTCCATTTATTTTTGGCTTTCTACCATCCCAGTTAGTCTCTACTAGAGCAGGAATAGAAAGGGCCAGTGACTTCATAAATTCAAAGCAGGACCTGGTTCCCAGAGCCTTTAAACTCATTCAAAACAAAATGTCCTTGATGTTGTCTGGCCAATGAACAGGAATTATTACCAACAAGATTCAATTTATGTGGAAAAAGGAACACATTCATCATCTCTGCCTCTTTGCAGGAGGCACATTTATTCTCCCTCACTCTCCCTGCTTCCTTCCTTCTCACCCCCACCCCAAGGATATTCAGTGATTCATCATCATCATGGATTTTCCAAGCTAATCATTCTGGGAATATTGTTCCTAAGTAATCTAGAACTTTATATTAGACGCAAGTACTTAGGCAGCCCTTTAAAAAACCCGAGTCCCCTTTATCTCTTGGAAGACTGCTCATAAGCTGAAGTATTAGGAAAACCATAGAGGATGTTAAATGATCCTTAAGTTAAAGGCTAATAAAAACATTATAGTAATGATAATACTTCATATAATGAATTGCAGTTCCCAAAATAGGTTCATAGACCTTATCACATGTGATTCATTCTGCAGCTCTATGAGATTGACAGAGCAGCTGTTATCCCATTTTTCAGGAGAAAAAACTCAGGCTCAAAGAGGGTAGGCATGGACTAAGATCAAACGGCTAGAAGGTGATTAAGATGACTCTGAGACCCACATCTTCTGAGTCCTCATTTTTGATCCTCCTCCCTTATCATGGGGTCGGCATTAGGGTTAGCTCAGCTAGGACACTCTTCTAGAACCTGAAGGGAATGTCAGAGAAGTAGGTGAGGCTGTAGCACCTTATGTGTGGATGCTGAATTACAACAGGAAATGTAACCATGAAGTGATGCAACTGATTAATGAACACATAAGAACTTCCAGAGTATGGTGCCCTTCGGAGTGCTGGCTTTGCAAAACTTAACACTCATTCCAGTGAGCCTGCCATCACCTAGAACATTTTCCAAAATGCCTGGCAAAGCTTCCACAAGTATGTTTTGTAAGCATGTTTTGTTGAGATATATCTTCATCTTTTCTGGAAATGATTCAAGCTTTGGAATAAGGAAATTGGTTGTCCTGTGTGCTTGTGCAGAAGGACGTTTCAGAAGCTGAATCCCCAAAAACTATGGAGCAGCTGCAGCTTCACCAGAATATTGACTAAGTAACTGCATTGAAAGAAGACCCTCATTTGTATATCTAAGTAATGCATGTTTAATTACAAATATTAGCCACAGTGTAATGTCATTTTAATAGGAGCCGGTATTTGCTGATACATTCTTGGTGCTGGGCAGTAGTCTCAACACTATTCAGGTTCTACCTTACTTAAATTTTACAGCTAACCCCATGGAGTAGATAGTGCCGTCATCCCTGTTTTAGAGATGAGGAAATAAGCGCAGCAAGGTTGAGTCACTTGACCCATACCTACAGACAATAAGTAGCTGAGGTAGGATTTGAACTCAGGGAGTCTGACACTGGAACCTGTGCCCTTAACTGCTCTGCCACTTCTTAATACTCATGCTTCATATTTAATCATAAGTCAACATAAAATACACTTTTATGAAATTATTAAATCTAGAGATATGCTGAAATAAAAGTTACTTCTTATATCAAGACCCTTTTAGTATTATTTTATATGTAGACAGCATTTCTTGTGCTCACTTGGAAATTCATAGGCCATGATAAGAGGAGTGAAGGTGGCTTTGTTTGGGAGCTTGTATATAGCTGGTAATGACTTGAAAGGAATCAGTCTAGCAAATGACTGAGAAGGATGAAGACTTCAAATCAGAAAACACAACCCACCTATTTGCTCTTTTACAGGGCTTCTATAAGAGGACCCCAGACTACGTTCAGATTCGAGAATGGAAGAGGACAGGCTGCTTCCCCGTCCCCATGGTCCACTCCACCTTCCTAATTGACCTCAGGAAGGAGGCCTCGGACAAGCTGACTTTCTACCCCCCACACCAGGACTACACCTGGACCTTTGATGACATCATTGTCTTTGCCTTCTCCAGCAGGCAAGCAGGTACTGTTTGTCTTTGGTTGTAGTGCCACAATGGAGACACAGCAAAATGACCAGCTCCTTTGTTTTGTGCATTTTATTAAAAAAAAAAACCCTCATATGTCTGGTAGTGAGAGGCAGTAAATTGTCTGCAATAACCATACCAGCACCCTCTATGTTGCTGTCCCTGGGAGCACCAATGACCAAGAGCCAGGGCTGGCCTCTACCCAGGAACCCACTCTATTTTGAGTTGGAGGGACTGGTGGTGATATTGGGAATTATGGGAAGGTGATTGCTTCTCTGTGGTGCTACTGCATTGCAATTGTTTATTATAGAAGTTCATTTATTAATTAGGAAACTGTCACAGAGGCCTAAAACAACACTGGCAAAGACCCCAGACTTTAAAAATGGAAGTTTATTTCTTCTTGAAAAAGTCTGAGCTGCTGTAGTGGCTTTGTTCCACAAAGTGTTCAGAGTCCCAGGCTTCTTGTGTATTGCTTCTCACACTCCACGAGGTACTGCCCTTAATTGTGGAGTCCCAGGTGTCTCACCACCATGGATGCGTTTCAGCCAGCAAGGCAGAAACAACAGGGAGAACTCTCCCTGTCCCTTGAAGTGTGCAATCCAGAAGTTGAATGCAGTACTTCCATGCAAATCCTGTTAGCTAGAGCTTAGTCACAGGACAATACCTCACTGTAAGGGAGGCTCAGAATGTCGTCTTTATTCTCTGCATGCATGCACTGCAATTTTCACACTCTAGAAGAAGGAAAGAACAGATAAAGAGGCACCGAACAGTCTCAGCCTCAGTCCCTGTGGAAGGAGAGGCAAAGCGAGACTGAGGTCTTTTATGAACCACTGGGAAAGCATTTCTAGTGGGGCCTGGAGATTTTTGAGAAAGACAAGTCAACAGGAAGGAAAGTTATTTCTCTCATTTCACCCTACACTTGCTTCAGGAGGACAAAATTCACAAGAGCAGTTCAACAGCAAGACACATGGCATCTAACAGAGCAAAGCTTTGTTAGGATAATTCAGACTTTCCTGACAGAAGTTGGGTCCCATTATTAATGTGCCAGAAATGTGTCACTTAACCACTAGCAAAAATACGTTCATAAACCAAGAAGATGGTGAATAAACTCACTGTGGCCATATAACTGAGGGTGGAAAAGATGGTGCAAAGATCCTCCGGCAGCTGAGGAAGTGGCTGGCAGATGAGAATGTTAATACAAATTCAAGCTACAATTCACACATCAGACTCTCCTTAAAGCCATAGATGTCCCACTCATCAGTTGTAGATTTGCTGAGAATAAGAATATTTGGTAGAAATGGGTCAGGCTGATTTCCCCCTTGGCTGCTGGAGCAATTTAGACCCTTTGGCCAGGTGTAGGCATTTTGTAGCCCTTATGTCTAGGCAAAAGCAATCCTCATATGATTGGAAGATTTTTGTAAAGATTCCTATGTCAGTGTTAATGGAAACTCCTTCTTTCAGTTGGTCTGTGATTTGCTCTGACTTCCCCAGGATGGGAAGCAAAGTCAGGGCTTTTTGAGTCCTTTGAGTGCCAATCCCTTTCCTTCAGAGGTTGAAGTTAGGATGTTCCAAGAAAGTGAGATATTAACAATTACACGAATGACACTGCCTAACAGAGTCCTCCTTTATAGTCACTGCACAAAGCATTATTATGATGCAATGAACTAAATTATTATGATACATTGTATGAAACCAATACCTGGATATTGGTATGGGAAAAATGATTCAGGTTAAGCAGGAATTTTTCAGCTCTGCCCTGTGCTTGGCCTGTTCACCAGGATTTTGTGTGTTATTGGTCAGACTTTGAAAAGGCTTTTTTAGAACATTGAAAGCAGGTAGACACCCAAAGTTGTTTGGTGACTCATTTGGGAAGAGGAGATAGAAAAGGAAAGAGAGAGGATGAACTCCCAAGTGTTTCCTTCTGTTCCTGGCACGGTGTTAGTTGGGAGTTAAGATTTTTACATGTGAAAACACAACTAATAGTCATGAAGCAGTGAAAGCTAAGGGCCAGACTGGCGGTGCAGACCATGAACAGGGCAGGAGTCAAGGCAGGAAAGATTCACTGTCATTTTGGGGAAATGAAAGGTCTTTCTTGACAACTGTGGATTTTAAGGTAATATTGTACTTATCTCTAAGTATTTTCAAGAGAAACATGAATGAGCCTGGGAGTCATGTGCAGCCCAGGGCATGTCTCCAGGCTCTTCCTTCCTTAGTTTCAAAGCAAAGCACTTTCCTCTTTCTTCATGAAATATGATTGGTATTCTTTTGTTCTCACTCTTCTGAAGCTCCCTAGCTGTGTATCATCTATGTCCCAGGCAGGACCATCCAACCACAAACCTTGGTCCTAAATCTTTCACCCCAGACTCTAGCCATTGCCCCATGTGGGTGATGAGTGAGGAGCAATCCAAGTGTGCTGGTGAGCAGGGCTTGGCCACCCTTCTAGCCCAAGAAGAGAGCACATATGGTCATAGGCGCGTCTCTGTTCCTGTAATGAGTCCAGGGTCAAGAGTTCACCTCCCATTGTGGCCAGTGATCTGGGTTCTGTATCATGGCCACAGGAATCATCCCAGTGCCAGCCAGTCGTCTTCCAAATGTCTGATGTGAGTCAAAAGAGGTGAGTGATATGGGCAATGGGCAGACAGATCCTGAACACCACTGGTAGTGATCAAATTTGTCCCCTTGTGGAGGGATGGCAATCCCCTAGTGACTAATGGTCTTGGAACTGAGCTTCCAATTACTGACTGGGTAGAAAGCACTTGGCATTGGCTCTTTAGGGACAAAGATTTGGCACTAATGACTTACTATGTGACCTTGGACAAGTGACAGCCTGAATCTGATTTTTCATCACCAAAGATAGGGATAATTACATCAATCTGCAATGTTAAGGTACTATATGAGTACAAGAAAATGTTTAATATGTTTAAAAGAAAAACAGTCCTTCAAAATGTAGCGTAATTCACTTCTCTTTTTCAAAAGAAAAATTGTCTTCCCCAGAAGCAGCATTCACTGGGAGTGCAGACTCTTTCATAGACTTTATCTAATTATTAATACATTTTCTTTTAAATTTTCTGTTATCAAACTGCCCATGCACATGGTTGAAAGTATTCATATAGTTCCCCATGGTTTATTAAGAAATGAACAGTCCCCTGCACATCACCCTGCATCACTTCTGTCCTCCAGAAGGCAACCACTTTTATCTCTAATATTTACTTCCATGTTAAATAATATGCATGCATTGCTACTTCTTGATTTTCTGGCTTCACCGTGGGCATTATTTGTTGACTCTCCACTATAGACTGTGAGGAGTTAGCTCTTTTTCTTCCTTTTTGCCCTCTGCATGCAAACACATTCTTCTCATCACCCTGTTCTCCCATTGTAATTTCAAACAGATTGATGGTCAGTGTTCTTGTTGTAATCATGCAAGCCTAACTCCAAGCTTGGTCATTCATAGGCTATGATTAGTTTTCCTTTGCCATTCTTTGGAGGCAATTCCTTTAATAATTGCCTTTTTTGCTTAGTTTTATTATTACTAGTATGATCCAAAACTAATCACTAATTACCTCAAACTCCTCTCAGAATGTCCAGATTTGTCAGATGTCCTTTTTTGCATATTTGCGAAGACGTCTGTTCTGGAGCTTTCTAATATATTCTAATCCAAGTGGTGCTGAAGCTATCAACCTAAGACTTATTTCTCTTCTCTTATACACTGACTCTCCTGTTCATGTTGTTTATAATCTTTCTTGTTGGTTATAATCGTCCTCCTCTTCTTCCTCCTCCTCCTCTTCCTTCCTTTCCTCCTCGTCCTTCTCTCACATCATCCAGCAGCTTTCTGAGAAAGTATGATGGCAAGTAAATATATTATGGTCTTGCATGTCTAAAAATGCCTTCCTTGTACCCTCACACTTGATGGATAATTTGGATAGGTATCATATCATTTTTTTATGGAAGCCTCAGAAAGTTAAATGGTAAAATGGTTTGCCTAATTAGGGTAGAGATGCAACTTTAATATATTTTTCCTTCCACTTCCTGAATTCATCATGACTTTACAAGAAGGTGCACTTTGAAGCTCCCCAGAAGCATTCATATGGGCAAACAGCAGAGCTAATGAGTTTGCTCGGTGAAGGCAAGAGAAGGGACAGTGCTTGGTAGACCAGCCTTGATTCAAGCCAGATTCAGTAAAAGCAGGGAATAAAGGTTATTTTCTTTTCTCCTTCCTCTCTGTTAATGCCATGAGACAGCTTCACCTGATTTGACAGATGATGTAGCTGACTGGAGGAAATTTCATCTGCACAAAATAGAGGAGTCCCTATGCAGATAATTATCTCTCTGGAAAACACTGACAATTATCGCAATTAACAAATCACAGGCTTGGATACATGGACCAGAGGCTTGGATACATGGCGGACTCATCCTTTTCACTAAGCAGTCTTATCATTGATCAGGAGTGTCAATTGCTGACCAATGATGTGTATGAGACCATCCTGATTCCTATATTTCTAGCTGTCTGGTTAAACACAGATGCCTTATAACTCTGCAAGTTATCAGGTGGGGCTATGAAGAACAATTTGAATATGAGAAGGGTATTGCATACTTCTGGTATTGTCACACTACAGGTTCTTAACAGGACATTCTGAAATGCAGACTCTTTTGTCTCTATATGAACTGATTTTGGAAGTTTCATGTCTGTTGGTTGGCTCCAAATCCATGCCTGCTAAGGGAAGCAATAAAACCAGGGAGAATCTTGGAGAATTTTAAATTTCCTTCGTTTTTTCGTTTTTTTGTTCTATGTATGCCTAGATTTAGCTTTAATAATCTGTCAGCGTTACAGAATTTTCCTGTTTGCTTTCATATCAAATGTGGATTTCATTCCTCATTTTCTTGTTATTTCCTGTAGGTGGATTACAGTGTTCCATTCTGCTCTCCAGAATGGGAATTCCTTGCCTCCCTTTTGATCCTTTCATGCCTTTTTTGTTCATTCCAGGCCATGAGTTTGCTTTTTCTTCAGAGGGAAAAAATCAATTTCCTCTGGGCTGAAGAATAGCCGAGTGTTTTTATTAGTCCCCAATGCTGTGTTTTACTTTTTTAATAAAGGAGCATTTTTTAGGTCTATAGACATACCTGAAACAACCACTTATTTAATTGCAGTGTCAAACTCAGCATCAGACACAGTTCAGGTTCCTTCTCCTCGCTTGTCACTCAGCAGTATGTTTTCTGATTGTTGGCTTTGTCCCTCTCTTGGATCCTCAGGCATCCAGATGTACCTCTGCAACAGAGAGCACTATGGCTACCTGCCCATCCCCCTGAAGCCCCATCAGACACTGCAGGAAGACATCGAGAACCTCATCCATGTGCAGATTGAAGCAATGAGTGAGTGACCCAGGAGCAGAGGGGATGGCTCTCGTTCCATTGCCACAGTGACCATACCAGCCACTTCCCTCCTCTTCCAGGATTGGAATCTCACAGCCATCAGTCTCCCCTGGCTGAATACATAGCTATTTATTTGTTCATTCTTTCCTAAATTTTTCCTATGGGAAATATGAATATGACAAGGTCTTTGCCATGTGGGAGCTTCCCATCCTGGAAGAGCGCTGGGTACACAAGTAAATACTTTCCAAAAGATCTGATAAGTGCTATAATAGTGTTTTGTGGTGTGGACTTAAACCCTAACTTGGCTGCTTTCTAATTATATGACTTTGAGCAAGTAATATCCTTAGTTGTAAAATGGAAATAATGAAAACTTCCAGGGTTTTTGGGCAGATTCATTATGGTATATGTAAAAAGGCTAATACAGCCACAGTAGTTATGACTTTAACTTAATAATAGCTCATGATGTAACAGATATCACTGTTACATCATAAAATGCTAAGCACTTTTTGTACATTAAAGTGTACAAAACTGTTTCATTGTTGTTTCATTAATCCTTGCAACAATTCAATGAAGGGTTTTTATTATGCCCATATTAAAGATGAAAAACAATGAGATGTTACCTTAAGTAACTTGCCCTAGATCATTCTGCTAAACAAATGACAGATTGGGATTTGAACCCATCTTGCTATCTCCAAAGTTCATGTCCTTAAACACTATTGTTATTGCCTCTGGGTCTGGCATGATGCATGAATTGCTGTGCTCAGTCATCAGTAGCTATGCTTTTTATTATGTGTGATGTACAATGGTGGCTAAAAGAGAAAGTAACCAATCCACCTAACCTAGGGGAAGATGTTGAAATGGCTTCCCAAAGCAGGGACTATTTTCTGTTATTCATCAGTAGAGCACGGGGGTGTGAACGTGGGCAGTGGAGGTGGTTAGGGAGGAACAGCAGAAACTGAGGCTAGAAAGTGGGCAGGAGCCCCGCCAAGAGGCTCTGATGTATAAGAAGGCATTTGGGCTTCAGCTGAAAGGACAGGCACGCTCAAAAAGATTTTAGCACAGAAATGTCAGGTTGAATTTGGATTTAGAAAGGTCACTCTACAGGTAAGAAAAGTGTAGGTGGAGCATGCATGGGATGCATGGGCAGTGGCTGCTGGTCTCAGGCCAGGGGTGAAGAGACCACTTTGGACATTTCACGGCTACTGGGCAAAAGGTGGTGAGGACCTGAGCTAGAGCAGTAACAGTGGGAATGGAGAGGAAGGAACAGAAGCTTAGGACATAGGCTTGAAAGGACATAGCCAAGAGTTGATTGTAGGTAGATGAGCAAAAGGGAGGCATAGAGAAAACTCCCAAGTTCTGTCTTGAGTGTCTGGGGGTGATTTTAGGAACTTTAAATGGAATAGGGCATGTAGCATAAAGGAGAGGTTTGAAAAGAGAGACCATGGCTGGCATGGTGGCTCATGGCTGTAATCCCAGCACTTTAGGAGGCTGAGGCAGGTGGATCACCTGAGGTCAGGAGTTCAAGATCAGCCTGGCCAACATGGTGAAACCTGTCTCTACTAAAAATACAAAAATAAGCTGGGCATGGTAGTGCACATCTGTAGTCCCAGTTACTCGGAAGGCTGAGGCAGGAGAATTGCTTGAACCCAGGAGGCAGAGGTTGCAGTGAGCCAAGATCGCGCCATTGCACTCCAGCCTGAGTGACAGAGTGAGACTCCATCTCAAAAAAAAAAAAAAAAAAAAAAAGAAAGAGAAAAAGAAAAGAAAAGAAAACAGAGACCATGAGTTTATTTTTAGATCCATTGAGTTGTCTATGAGTATCTGCTTCCCACTCCCTTGCTCCTACACTATAAATTCCTTTTTCATCATATTAGTCTCAGGACCTAGCACATTGTCTGTCACGTGGTAGATGCCCAGCAAATATTTGTTAAATGACTGAATGAATGATGATGAAATGATGAAATAAGGAGCTGGTTCACTGTGACAGTATTTCTTGAACCAGCCCTCAGGAATCTCCTTTGCGAATTTCTTTAATACATACTTTTTCTGCCACTTTCCCTATGTTCTAGGCCCTAAAGGATATGGGTGGCATCTTATTGCTTTGTATTCCAAGCACCTAGCACAGTGCGTGGCATGTAGTTGTTACCAAAAAAAATCTGCTGAATGCATGAACAAATGAGCAAATGAATGAATGAAAACTGTATTGACAAGGGCACTGAACCCAAAGCGAGAATAATGGGCTTGAACTTAGACACTGTCGCTTTTGAAGGGAGAATCAGATTTCAGGACTTCAGTTTCTTCATCTATAGAGTGATTTTGCAATGTTGAGAAGAGCAAATAAAAGACTATATCAACTCCATAAAATAATGAGGTGTTGCTATTATTATGACTCCATTTACCTCTCGATAAAGTGCTGTCCCTTATTATCCCTGTTTCATGGCTCTCGGTCTCGACTCCCAAGTAGGGAGAGTCTCTCTGGCCTCAGAGAGAGGCCAGCCAGACCTTATGTTCTCTTGTTTTCTCCCACAGGGCTGAGAGTATAAGCTCTCAGTACACAGAAATGCACGTGTCATCAATAAAGATTTTAATGATTGTAAATTACAAATATGCACACTACCATGCTAGCCAGGTAGAGTTCATTTGAGAAGAACCTGTAAATTATAGCTTTCATCATTGATCTCCCAACACATGCCACCTCTAGTGCTAAGCACTTTACATATCGCATTTTATTTCATTCTTATACTTACCTTCTGTCCTGAATTCTAAAAATATAGAACACAATAGGAGTAAGAAAATGTTGGAAAAATAAAATTTTGAGGTGTATAATGAAGAAATATGGCCTAGAAGTCCGTGTAAGATTGATAAAAAGTTGGTAATGACAAAATCCTATCAGTCAAGTATCCTTCTCTAATAAAAGATTAACTAGGTGTTAAAAACACTTTGCATAGTGCCTAGAACCCAATAAGCAGTAAATAAATGGCTGCTAATAGTGTTGTTAGACTATACTGATTGAAGAATAGGAACGGGGTGTCCAATATTTTGACTTCCCTGGGCCACACTGGAAGAAGAAAGATTGTCTTGGGCCACACATAAAATATACTAACACAACAATAGCTGATGAGCTAAAAAAAAAATCACAAAAAGAATCACATAGCGTTTTAAGAAAGTTTACAAATTTGTATTGGGTCACATTCAGAGCAATCCTGGGCCACATGTGGCCTGCGGGCCATGGTTGAACAAGCTTGCATTAGTATATGCATTTTGTTCATGAGCAAACATAGAATGCCTGTAATGTATGCGTCTTCTCTGAAGGTACTAGGGATTCAAAACATTTTATGATCAATTCTCTGTTTTCAGGTATGTATGATTTAATAGGAGAAACAGACAGATGTTAAAAAAACACTAACAACACAGTATAGCATTTTGAGAAAGGAGAAAATATCAAAGAAATAGGAATTTGGGATAGAGAGAGATTGCTATGGCCTGTGTGATCCAGGAGAGCCTCAAGTCCTAATCGTTCTTAGGCTAAGCTTGGGTACAAGTGTAAAATTTAAACAAGAAGAGTGGTATGGTGAGGACACTACAGGCAGAGGAAACAGACCAAGAAAAGACGAAGTATTCTCATGCTGAAGGAGAGCTGACTTAAAACAGTAGGCAGAAATAAAGTTCGAGAGGGTGGAGTGGCTTCATTGTTGTAGTCCTTGAATTCTTCTTCAGCTAAAGAAGAATTCCTATCTTAAGGAGCCAATGAAGGTGTTAGAAGAGATAATCAGGCTGTAAGGATTTATTCAACACATACTGTACCCCGCAGATTGTTCAAGATGCTGGGCATAAAGCAGTGAACAAAACAGGCAGAAGCCCTGCCATCAGGGAACTTATATTCTAACACAGAGAGTTAGACAATAGACAATATATCTGGGAAGCAGCCATATGAATATTTGGGTGAAGAATGTCTCAAGTGGAAAGAACAGCACATGTAAAGACTGTTAGACAGGAAAAGCTTGGGGGTGTTCCAGGGACAAAAGGCCAGCATGATTGGGGCATAAAGAATGAGTTGGGTCAAGGGAGATGAAGTAATGGAAGAAGAAATGTCCAGATCACACCGAACATTCTGGCCATGGTAAGGAATTTAGATTTTACTCCAAGAGTAATGGGAATCCGTGGAAGATGGGGTGGGGCAGAGGGGGCATGGCCTGAAGTGACTTGTGCATTTAGAAGGATCATTTGGGCTGTGGTGAGGATACTAGATTGTAGGGGACCAGTACCTCTCTCCTGGTGGGACATGATGGTGATTGGGATGTGAGCTCTAGCAAGGAGTTGATGAGAAACAGACAGGTTGAGGATATATTTTGGTGGTGGAGCAACAGGACTTACAGAGACCTGAATGCAGTCCATGAAGGAAAGAAAGGAATCAAGATGAGTCCAAGATTTTAGCCTGATATGCCATTTACTGAGATGGGAAAGACTTTATAGAAAAAGACTGGGGGTTGGGGAGCTAGTTTTGGTCACGTAAGTTTAAGATATTTAATAGGCATCTAAATAGAAAGGCAGAAGATAGTTGGATATATAAGTCTGGAGTTCAGGGAAGAAACTCCAGCTAGAGACAGATATTTGAGAATCATCAGCATCAGAAGGATATTTGAAGCTGTGGAACAGTCTGAACTCATGTAGTAAAAGAACACAGGATGAGAAGAGGACAGATCCCTGGGGAAGACAAAACAGCCAGAGAGCTAGGAGGAAAAATTGAGAAGTGTTTCAAGACGGAGCCAAGATGCTGCTGAGAAGCCAAGGAAAATAAGGATAAAGAATTGGTCATTGGTTCTGTCAAGAGAGAGGTCTGTGATGACCTTGACATGGGCCACTTCAGTGCAATGATGAGAACACAAATCCATTCAAGTGGACTGAAGAGAAGCCAATGGGGAGATGAGAAAGCTGAATCTTGATGGGATGGGGAAATGGAGAAATCCGATGGAGGCTGTTGGGGGTAAGAGGTCAAGGGAAAGGTTTTTCTGGTTAGGTTGTTTGTACTGTTTTTTTAAAAAAATAGAAATATAACAGTATGTTTTATGCCAGTCACAAGGATCCAGTATATAAGGAGATCTTGATGATGTAAAAGAGAAGGTAATTATAAGGTGAAAACAAGAGGGTTTTTGTCCTGGGTTGCAGCCCAGAACAATATTGCAGAGGCTATACTAGATAGAAACTTCATCTACTGTGGCAGATGGGATGGCAGAATGTATTGATACACATGCAGTTTGGTTTGTGGACTTGAGGTGGATTGAAAAGGTAGATCTAATTTGATTTTGAATATTTTCTTTCTGAAGTATATAGGCCAGTCAGTCATGAGCTAGACAGAGATTTTGGAGATTTTAGGAGAGAGAAGACAAAAGATACAATCTCTCAAAGAGTGGGAAAATAAATTTACTATGAAAGGACACTTACATCATTTGGTGGTGTCAAGTGCCAATTTGACATCTGTGATTGTAGCTTTGAAGTGACTCAGTCAACACAATTGTGTATGTTTCTCCCAGTAGTCCTCTTGGTGCTGAGTAAGTGGGCAATGGGTTTAACCAGGATTAGGGTTTTATCAGGCATCAGTGGACGAGAATTGAAAATCTTGTGAAGGGGATGGTCAGGGAATTTCTGAATTGTAGACTGGAGTTTTAGAAATCAGAGTTGAAGAATTTGAGTGAGGTGGGAGAAGGGTTATGACGACAATGACTAACACTTATTAAAAGCACTGTGCCCATCTCTTTTCATGTGATAACTCATTTAGTACATTAGAAGCTGCACAGAGAATTTGGGGATGTGCTGCCTTCGGGAGATGAATGACAGGAGGCCAGATCTTATAAAGATGTTAGATTTAAATGGTCTATAAAGCATGAGGAGATTACTCTTGCAAATTACAGCATAAGGTGATAGGAAGTCTCAGGTACCTGCTCTCAGTATTGACATTTTGAGACAACAGTACATCATGTAAAAATTATTAAGATAATTGGACTTGAAGTTATGTCTAAAACTGAGTTCCAGCTCTGCCAATCACTCAGTATTTGACCTTGGACAAGTCTACATCTGGCTTGGTCTCAGTTTCTTTATTTGTAAAAAAAAAAAAAAAAAAAAAACCACCACAAAAAAGTGAAGATAAAATTACATGGTGACTATGAAAACACCTAGCAACCTGTTAAGCCCTTAAATATAGTGTTGAGTGTGACTGTTACAGTTGAGAACAGAGCTGTGCGGCGGAAGATTATTTTGACAACAGTGAGCATGATTAATTAGAATAGGAAAGACTGAGAGCATGTAAGTGTTTGAAAAAAATCAAAAACAGCCCAGGCATAGTGGGTAAGGACCCAAGCTAGGCTGCAACAATGGAAGAAGTTCAGGAGAAATTATAGAGAAGAAGCGGTAGGATTTGATCCAAGTACAATCTATCATGTACTATTCCAGACATGACTGGGCTTAAATGAGCTACTCTGGACCCAGCCCAGTTGCCTGGTTGGCTAATACCAGTGGCCACCAAGGACTAGCTCTGGGGATGATGTGGAATGGGAATTAAGAGCTCCGGTAAAGGAGTAGGACCTAGGTTCAAATACCAGCTCTATCAGCTCTGTGATCTTGGGCAAGTTATTTAATGTTTGTTTCCTTGTCTATAAAAATAGAGACACTCATACATATCCCATGGTACATGTGAACATTAAATATATGTGATTATATATGTCAAGTATATATGTGACATATATATATATCACTCACAGAACTCTGGGTTCTGTGAGTGATAAGACCTCTGTAACAATGGCTGTAATTATTCACATTAGATCTTGAAACTATCCCGAAAGCAATGAAGCCCATTGTCCCAAGTGGCAGTACAGGGAAGGATTATTTCCAGGAAGGGATTTAATGAGAGACCAGATCAATTATGAAAGATGGAGTCAGAAATGACTACAAACAGAAGCCAGGATATACCTAACCTTCAAGTCTGTTGTCAGCAAAGATACATCCTTCTCCCCACAGACTAAGTTTCTTAGGTCTGACTCACTGTATCACTTCCTGTTTTCCTCTGTGGCTTACTGCTGCCTTCAGTGGCAAAACCCAAGCACACTTCTCTGATATTTTTGCTCAGTGATGACTTTCGGGAGCCAACCACTTGTGGCTTTTTTTTTGCAACACTTGTCCTGTGAATGCAATGACTGCCTATGTTTGATGGAAACAAAGTGGCTAAAAGCAGTCTCTTTGGCTGAAATGTTAAAGCCACACAGGCCATGTGAGTCCAAAGGAGACCAGCAGCCTAGAATGGGTAACTCAAAATATAACATCTTCCCAAGTCTCAGGCCCCAGGAGGGAGAGTGAGACAGCTCCTCAGACAATATCATGAACAGGAGGAAGCTGGTACATTAAGCTTCTTTCTCTTAAAAACCTAACCGTGTACCTGGTGGACCCTCCCTATTGATTTTAAAAGAAACTAATAAGGAGTGGAGTGGAGCAGAAAGGACCAGAATATTCTCGGCTGCTATTGGGAAGACAAAGACATGCACTGCATATGCACAGAAATATGACTGTAAGTGTCAAGTTTGAAGTAATGAGACCAGCTCTTGTGTTTGGCCTAAGAACTCTGTCTCACTACGTTCTAGAATTTCACATCATTCGCCAATAAGTAAAATTGGATGTCAGGATTTCTCTATAATATTTCAGTGAAGTTAAACAGATCATACCCTTTGGACAGTATCTCAGGATGGGCAAAGTTATGCTGGAATATAAAAATCTGATTGGCTTCATACAACAATGGCTTATTTCTTGCTATCCAAGTCTGCAGAGCAGGTGTCTTTCCTGGGAGCTGCCCTTCATGTGTTGATGCAATGTTCCAGGCTGCTTCCAATTCACATCTGCTATCCATATCCACACATGCCGCTATGAGCACAGTGGTGGGACCAAGGGCAGTGTCGGGGGAGCCCTTGGAGAGTGGAGCAGCAGCACCACACTATAAACTTTCCCCAGAAAGTCATATAGCCCTGAGTAACTTCAAGGGCAAGAGAGTGTATTCCTCTCCTGTGCCTGGAATAGAGGTGAACAGATACGTTACAGTAGTCATGGCCATTACCCATAGTTCTTTCAACAACCCAGTTACCAGCTATCATTTTAAATTTTCTTTGTATTATCCCTTTAAGGAAAATCAAATGAGGACTTTGAATTTGTATAATACTAAACATTCTTCGAGGACTTTGAATTTTTATAATACTAAACATTCTTCAAGGCCTTTTCAGGTTTCTTAACCAATATTACTTCCAAACTTTAAAATACATAGTTTGCAAAGGAAGCTTTTTTAGAGTATCAAATAAATAAAACTTTCATTATTGAAGAAGTAGTGTCACTCCCAGCTGGAATCTTCCCATTAGACATGGGCCAGCTCTCTGTGGTTAGATCCTGTTAAAGCAATGGACCTTTTGCGCACCCACACCTAAACCTGCCCAGGTGGGATAAAAATAGTCCCCCACTTTGACAATTTTAAATGCAGAGAAAAAAGTGTTTTTCAGTAAAAATTCTAGCCTATTTCTGAGCTCTTTCATCATGGGCCATAGTAAGTAATAGCTAAGAGTTGTTGAGCATTTACTGTGTTAAAGTGGTGAGTGCTTTGCACGCAGGTCTCATTTAAATTTTATAACACAGATACACTTCTATTATCCCAATTTTACACCAAAGAAATGAGCTTAAAGAGGTCCCCTAACTCTCCTACTCCTTCGCAAACCAAGGTTTGGACCCAGATCATCCGACTCTGGAGCCCTTCCTCTTAACCATTATCCTAAACTGCCTCCCAAATATTCTTGAAATAAGTCTTAAGGGAAGTGGAGCAAATGTTGCAATCTCCATATAATCAAATGCTCCTGAAACCAGTGCCCTGACCAGCAGGGTTCCTGTGTGGCTACTCAATCCTGGAGAACTGCTGCCATTGTCCCCTGCCCTGTATTTCCAAGTTATATTCCAACCCTAGAGATCAGGCATGCGGATGGAATTCTGATTTCTGACCCTTTCATTAACAAAGCACTCTGCATGTTTCTTGTGTCTTCCAGTTGACCGTCCTCCAATGGAACCCTCCCAGTATGTCTCAGTTGTCCCTAAATATCCAGACAAGATGGGATTTGATGAGGTAGGAAAGGTGTCTATATGTGTGTGCACATGCACGCGTGTGCAGGCTTGTGTGTTCATTTTGGAACACAAGCCTGAGCTTGCATCTGAGAGCCAGCAAGACTGGCTTGGCTGCTGAAATGGCTCTGAGGTCTTGGGAAAACTACTTGGTTTTTGTTGTTCTCAGTTTCCTTATCTTAAAAAAAGGAGTATCATGATAAATGTAGTTAATCATTTACTTAGAAAGAAATTACCATTTAGTAATGAAAGTGAATTTGATATTTTCTAGGAGCAGATATTGTGATATTTTTAATCAACCTTTTTATCAAAATTCAAGAGTAAGATACAGAGGATACATGTTTTAGATATGGAGGACTTTAATTTTATTCTGCCACATCTGAGCAAGTGGAAACTATTCTGGAACTTTCTGTGCTTTCTTTTATTTCTACTATTCTTCCATGGAAAAAGGTTAGAGAGCAGGGTTGAGAGGACAAAGAAAGAAAAAAAAACATATTTGTTCTAAAATTCTGCCTTTCAGCAGGCAAGAACTTCCTAATAATATTCTAAGGGTAGTATTTATTATTAAGTTTTAGTTGTATAAAGAATGAAGCAGAAATATTAAGAGGTTCCCCTCCTGGTAATATGCGTAACAGATACTTGGCAGGGATTGTGACTCCACATCACTGACTCTCTCATGGGTGTCCCCTGTAGCTGCTGAACAGTATTCAGAAGGAGCTTGGTGGTCTAGAAGCTAGGGCAGTGCCTCAGGAGTCCACAAACTGAGAACTCTTCCATGGACTCTGGATATGTAACAGATCAGGCTTCGAGCTTGGTGCTAATTGCCACTGATTAATCGAAGGAAGATGCCTTATTTATCACATGGTAACATATACATACATATATGTACATGTCCCCAGAGTACAGCCTTCTCAAAGGGATTTGACGCTAGAACTGGGAATTAAGATTTCTTCCGTAAGACTGATTTGGAGCTATACTTCAGGAAGGGGGAAAGAATATTTCATGATTATTAAGTGGGGAAGAGTTAACAGCTACTATGGTATTTCCACAAAGGGCAGAATGAGAAGAGATGAGCTGCATGTAGTAGAGAGGAATAAGACTCATTTGCAAATAGTTTTTAAAAATGATCAGGGCTATAGAGAAGGTTGTCCCACACCCACAGTGGACCAGCTTCCACATGTTACTGTAGCTTTCCTTCCCTACAGCTCTCTCTCGGTTCCCTAGGTGAAAGGACCCAAGTGTCCTTACATAGATTCATTTCTCCTCCTAAAAACATTCCTATGAGGACCAAACCAAAGCAAATAAAATAAGACAAAACCAGGATCTTCCAGTTCCGGTCTTCTTTGGGCAGGACACGGTGTAAGGACTGGGTCACTCCTAGAGCCCTTCAGGAGAAGGCCAACTCCATGAAGTGGCACAGGCTCGGAGACTCTACTTTCCTGAGTCTGAGGTTAGTCACCTCTCCGTATGGAACAGAGATAGCATGGTAGAAAAAGGGCTTTTCAGGGGCTTTTCAATCCTCCTCGGACTCTGTGACCTCACTGGTGGTGTCTGGGCTGCATTTGGCTCTGATGCTCTTTTCTCTGTTTACTGTTCACTAAGTGTGAGTGAGCCATCTGTGTTTTTACTTCGTGGCTACAGTTTTATTGCACTTGTCCTGGCAGGGACTGGAACTGGATTGTTATTTACTGAAAGTCTTCCCAGACTGGAGGTCTCTGTTTTTGGGGGCCTTTTTGGATTTATTTCTGTTGATTTTTTGTTCTGTTCTGTTTTTGTTCTCTTAGAGTGACCTCAGGTGGCTTCATGTTTATACCTGAGAAAATGCCCTTTCCTTTCCATATCTGGAAAATTAGGGGATGAGGCATGACCCATCACAGTATGATTCTGACTAAAAGAACACAACCCATTAAGTTATAAAGTCCCAAGTAATGAGGCAAATAGAGTCACCACAGAAAATTATGTTTTTTACAAAATAATTACCCAGTTAGGTAAACAAGGAAGGTAGTAAAATTAGGATGCACTTAATCTACTTGGCCCTAAATCAGGTGGACAATTTCTTCAAAGGGAATATCTTGCTCCTCCATCAGTTTCTACACCCAGGGATTTATAAATGGATAGAAATGAGAATATTTTGCAAGGAAGGGTTGAAATTTTAGTTAGTGTAGCTTTTAATTCCAGTGAAACATATATTTATGACTGCATTCAGAATGACCATGTGAACCAAACCTTAACACAGTACAATCTGAACTCCAGACTGGTTCTAAGACAAAGTTTCTCCTTTATTCTGGCCATAGCAGAAAGCCAACTTTATTATAAACCACCTGTCTTAAACATTTTAATCTGTACTGAATTTGAAAGATGAGTTTGTGCACCTCCCTATTTTTATAGAACTGGACCCATAAACATTAATGTCTCCTCAAAGTCATCCAGATGGTTAGTCAGGATGAAGTCAACACCACCTGACTTGTTTCTATAGGTTTCTGCTTTACCATGCTATGTGTCATCCTCATTTCTCACTGGCAGTTAAAGTCACTAGTTTAACATTTAAAATGAGTTTCTTACTATTTGTAGCAAAAGGACCTTATTAAAACATTGATTTACGTGTAAAGGCATTCACAAAGCTTTAGATACTTCTATGGTTCATTAAGTCTGGGAATAGTGAGGACATCCTCATTATCTGTAACTCTTGTTGTCCTTGTTGAAAATGAGTTGGCTGTAAATGTGTGCACTTATTTCTGGTTCTCTATTCTGTTCCATGGTCTACGTGTTGTCTATTCTTATGCCAGTACCATGCTGTTTTGGTTACTATAGCTTTGTAGAATATTTTGAAGGCAGGTAGTGTGCTGCCTCAAGCCTTGTTCTTTTTGCTCAGGACAGCTTTGACTATTCAGGGTCTTTTGTGGTTCCATGAAAATTTTAAGATTTTTTTCTGGTTCTATGAAAAATGTCATTTGTATTTTGGTAGAGATTGCACTGAATCTGTTTATCACATTTGATAGTATGGACATTTTAGCAATATTAATTATTCCAATCTATGAACATGGGATATCTTTCTTTTCTTAATATCCTTCCATTTTTTTCCATCAGTGTTTTATAGTTTTCATTATAAAGATCTTTACCTTCTTTGGTTAAATTTATTCCTGAGTATTATTAAATTTTTTTGTAGTTACTATAAATGGGATTGCTTTTTCTATTTCTTTTTCAGATTGTTGTTAGCATATATAAATGCTAATGATTTTTGTGCGTTGACTTTGTATCTTGCAACTTTACTGAAGCTGTTTATCAATTCTAATGGTTTTTTGGTGGCATCTTTAGGTTTTTCTAAACATAGGATCGTATTGTCCTTTGACCTCTTAAAGAGTAGTTTTTTAAACTTTCCTATTTCAAGAGAAGGGAGAACATATTTATCAATGAACATCAGAAAAACAAAGAGAGTTAAGTCACTACGAAGAGTTGAGTTTTGAAAATAATTCAGTTTGAATTAGTATCATTTACCTTAAACACTGATGTGAGATAGAAATGAATTTTCACGACAGTTCTTCCTATCTTTTCCACTCCTTCTTCTATCTAAAACATTTACTAAACTTTTCAAACAGCCTAAAAGAAGACTTGAGTAATTTATGTGTCTTTTCCCTTTTCCTTCTTGCATTAGATTTTCATGATAAACCTCAAACGCAGAAAGGACAGGCGGGACCGGATGCTGCGCACACTGTATGAACAGGAGATTGAGGTCAAGATTGTCGAGGCTGTGGATGGAAAGTGAGTTGGGTTTCTTCTCCCATTGCAGATGTGATTGGAGTGTGGATGTGTCTTCTCTGACAGAGAGTTAGTCCCAGGTGGGGCTCTAAGTCTCTTCGGTCATTAGAGGATAGTCTTATTTTCAAAACGGCCACCTGTAGTAGCATTTAAGTTAATTTCATCCTGTAGAGCAGGCCTGAAATCCACTCACCAGCCAGTGGTCTTTGGTCTTCATTACACTGAAGGCTCACATTGGATGTGATTGTCCCGTCTCTGGGGGTTCTTGCAACAGTTGTGGTGGTTTTCAGCCTTCTGTAGTGTAACAGAAGGAATGTGTTCAGAATTGTGTTCAGAGCTGAATTAGAGCATAAAGTGCTGAAACTTGGTCAATCTGAAGAAAATAGATGGAAAATGCATAAAGGTGTACATTTCCTGTTGCATGAGATGCCTGCCACAATCTGCCTGGACCGATCATAGTGGCCACTTTTCCTGGAAATATGGCAGGAAAGTAACACAGGGAACCTAGTTAGATCCCTTCTTTTTTTTTTTTTTTATTTTGTTCAGCTTTGCCCTTTTATTTGACACCCTAAACTATTTCAAGGCATAGATTTTTATAAAATGTGCCTTTCCATGTTATATGTTGGTTTAGAATATCAGTAGCTTTGTTTTCTATTTGCATAACTCCAACTAAGGAGTATGGCTAGCAGCTGTTGAAGTTTTTATGACTCCCTTAGAGAATCTCATCAGTGTTTCCCAAAGTGTGACCTGGACACTCACATCAGAGTCCCCACGGATGGTTAAGGGGACAGCTCCCTCAGTCCCATCTCAGACCTGCTGAATTATGCTCTCTGAGGCTGGACCCAGGATCTGCATTTAAGAAGCCTCAAGGTGATTCTTAGACAGGATTGCCCCATAAAATACTGGATAGCCAGTTAAATTTGTCCCAAACATCACATGGGGCTTGGTTATACTAAAAAATTATCCATTATTTATCTGAAACTTAAATTTGACTGAGTGTTTTGTGTTTTTCACTTCCTAAATCTGTCAGCCCTATTCTTGGGTGCAGTAGAGTTTAGGAACCACTGCTTCAAATACCTCCAAGAACACCAGTCCCATTCATAGACCACATGGACCAGGGAAACTAGTTGAGTAGTGAGAGTTCTTTATATATCCTGGATGCAAGTCCTTTATCAGATATGTAATTGTCAAATATTTTCTTTAACTTTATGCATTATTGATTGTCACAATTTCATGATGGTATACATTGAAGCAAAAGAGTTTTTCATTTTGATGAAATCCAATTTATTTTTTGTTCTTGTTGCTAGTAATTTTAGTGTCATACCTAAGAATCCATTGTCAATTTCAAAGCCATGAAGATTTACTTCATGAAATTTTCTTCTGAGAGTTCTACAGTTTTATCTATTACATTTAGGTATTTGATCTATGTTGAGTAAATTTTTGTATATGGCATGAGGCAGGGATCCATATTCATTCTTTTGCACATGGTTATCCATTTGTCCCTTCACCATTTGTTAAAAAGACTTTCGTTTCCCTCGTAGAATTGTCTTGGCACCATTGTAAAAAGCCAGTTGCCCATAAATGTAAGGATTTATTTCTGAACTCTCTATTTTATTTGATTGATCTATATGTCTATCCTTATGCCAGTACTATACCGTCTTGATGACTGTAGCTTTGTATTTAAGAAGTATGAGTCCTTCAATTTTGTTATTCTTTTTCGAGTTTGTCTCAGCTATTCTGGGTCCCTTACTTTTTCCATATGAATTTTAGAATTAGCTTGTCAAGTTCCACAAATAAAGAAAACGGCAGCTGGGATTTTGATAGGAATTGCATTGAGTCTGTAGATCAACTGGGAGAATATTTCCGTGTTAACAATATGAAGTCTTCTGATTCGTAATCATGGAATGTCTTTTTATTATTTAGATCTTCTTTAGTTCTTTGAATGATGTTTTGTCATTTTCAGTATACAAGTCTTGCATTTATTTTGTTAAATATACTCCTAAGTATTTTACTCTTTTGATGCTATGGTACATGGAACTATTTCCTTAGTTCTATTTTCAGATTGTTCATTGCTAAATGAATAAGAATACAATTGATTTTTGTATATTGATCCTGTATCCTGCAACCTTGCTGAACCCTTTTTATCAGTTCTAATAGTACTTTTTCCTTTGTGTGTGTATATTCCTTAGGATCTTCTACATACAAGACCATGTCACATGCAAGTAGAGATAGTGTTATATGTTCCTTTCAAACCTGGATACCATTTATTTCTTCTTCATGTCCAACTACCCTTGCTGGATCATCAAGTACAATGTTGAATAGAACTGTTGAGTGCAGTTTCTTGATTTGTTCCTGATCTTAGAGGGAAAGCATTCAGTCCGTCACTGCTAAGTATGATGTTAATTGTGGGTTTTTCACAGATGGCCTTTACTGGGTTGAGGAAGGTCCCTTTTAGTCCTATTTTGTTGAGTATTTTTATCATAAAAGGGTATTGGATTTTGTCAAATGGTTTGTCCGTGTCTATTAAGATGAACATGTGACTTTTGCCTGTTAATATGGTACGTTACTTTGATTGGTTTTCACATGTTAAACCAAACTTGCAACCCTGGGATAATCCTGGGACCCATTTGGTCATGCTGTATAATTCCTTTTATAAATTGCTGGATTCTCTTGCTAGTATTTGCTTGAAGATTTCCACATCTATATTAATAAGTGATATTGGTCTGCAGTTTTCTTATAATGTTTTTGGTTTTGTATCAAAATAATATTGGCTTCATAAAATCAGCTGGGATGTGTTCCCTCCTCCTCTTTTTTTTTGGAAGTTTGTGAAAGATTCGTGTTAACAATTTTTAAACATTTGGCAGAAACCCCTAGTGAAGCCATCTGGTTCTAGGCTTTTCTTTATGGAAATTTTTTTTATTACTAATTAAACTTCTTTTCTTGTTATTTATTTACTTTCTATTTCTTCTTGAGTCAATTTTGGTAGTTTGTACCTTCCTATCAATTTGTCCATTTCATCTAGGTTATCTAATTTGTTGCCATACAATTGTTCATAGTATTATCATATAATCTTTTTTACTTTCATAAGGTCAGTAGGAGTGACCCCTCTTTCATTCTTGACTTTAATAGTTTGAGTTTACTTTTTTTTAATTCATCAGTTTAGGCAAATAATTGTCAATTTTGTTGATCTTTTCAGAGGACTGACTTTTGGTTTTGTTGATTTTTCTCTATTGTTTTTCTATTCTCTAGTTCATTTATTTGTACTGTAACCTTTATTATTTTCTTCCTCCTGTTTGCTTTGGGTTTAATTTTCTCTTTATCTAGTTTCTTAAGATGGATGGGAGGATTATTATTTGAGATATTCTATTTTACTAGAGACATTTGCAGCTGTAACTATATCTCCAAGTACTATGTTAAGTGTATCGCATAAGTTTTGGTATGCTGTGTTTTCATTCATCTCAAAATATTTTCTAATTTCCCTTGCAATTTCTTCTTTGACCCATTGGTTAGGAGTGTATTGTTTAATTCCACATTTCTGAATTTCCCAAGTTTCCTTTGGTTATTGATTTTTAATTTCAAACCATTGAGGTTGGAGAACATACCTTGTGTGATTTCAATCCTTTTAAGTATACTGACACTTAATTTATGACCTATATGGTCTTTATGGTCTAAAAAATGGTATTTCTTAGAGAATGTTCTATGCACACTTGAAAGTGTGTATTTGGCTATTGTTGGGTGGAATGTTCTATAGATGTCTGCTAGGTCTGATTATTTTAAGATATTATTCAAGTCTTCTGTTTCCTTGTCTTCCTCCTGCCTAGTTCTATTATTGCAGGTGGGATATTGATGTCTTCCCCTATTATTGTTGAATTGTCTGTTTCTCCTTTCAATTCTTCCAGTTTCATGGTTCTGAGGTTCTGTTAGGTGCATATGTATTTATAATTGTTATGCCTTCCTGATGGATTGACCTTTTTTTTTTGAGATGGAGTCTTGCCCTGTCACCCAGGCTGCAGTGCAATGGCACGATCTTGGCTCACTGCAAGCTCCAGCTCCCAGATTCACACCATTCTCCTGCCTCAGCCTCCCAAGTAGCTGGGACTACAGGCACCCACCACCATGGCCGGCTAATTTTTTGTATTTTTAGTAGAGATGGGGTTTCACCGTGTTAGCCAGGATGGTCTCGATCTCCAGACCTTCTGATCTGCCCACCTCGGCCTCCCAAAGTCGTGGGATTACAGGCGTGAGCCACCACTCCCGGCCCAGATTAACCTTTTTATCATTAAAAAATGTCCTTCCTTGGCTCTAGCATGAATTTTGTCTGAGATTTATTTTGCCCAATATTAGCATAGCTCTGCCAGCTCTCTTGTCATTGCTGATTATATGGTATATCTTTTTCTATTCTTTTACTTTCAACCTATTTTTGTCTTTTAATCTAAAGGCTGCCTCTTATAGATACCACATGGTTGTATTAATTTTTAAAACTTACTATGCCAAATTCTTCCTTCATTGCAGTGTTTTATTCATTTGCCTTCACTACATTTTTTTCCAGATCCTTAAGGTCAGCCAGAGGTGAGAGACTAGGGACTTCTCAAGTTTTTCCTGGGCGTGTGGACAGCCCTGAATATGCCTGGGGCCTTCTAGATTCTCAGGGATATTTTGGAGCAAATCAAACTCCCTATGGACCTCTTATTCCTTGGTTTTTCCTTTTAAGTTTTTTGGTGGGCTTCTTGTTAGCATCAGCTGATAATGCTTCTCAAACAGCTGTAATGTTAAACAGTTGTTGCTCATGGGTTTTGACAAATGACCTGCAGATAGTGCTGTTCACAGAAAATGAACTCTGAGTCAGGTCAAATCAAGACAAGCTCTGAGAATGTAGCTTTTCAAGGAGCTACTAGACAGGTTGAATAGAGATTATTTTCTGGGGGCAGGTCTTTAAGGGAGTCTCAGTCCATTTTGTCCCTGCCAGTGGCTTCTGGGTTGGTGGGGTTTGCCGCTCTCTTAGTTGTGAGGCTACTGGTTTTCAAGGCTTTTGTAGGGCTGGGGTGAACAGGTTAGGATTAGGGCAGCTGTGAACTTCACAAAGCTCACTGTGTTAACAGAGATTCAGCAGTAGGTCTTGATCAAACACTCCTTGGATTATTGCAGTACTTTAACTAATTTCCATAGGAGTGTACTTATTAAATCTTGTCAAAAAACTGATGATGCTTAGAACTATGTTGGGCACTATGAGGGATACACAAAAATATGATACCCTCTTGTCTTCCCAGACCTCATAATACTAGTGTGACACATTAGCCTGGAGGAACTTCTAAGGAATAAAGGGAAGCCTCTCTGTCTTTGTCTGTGTGGGGGAGGGGTGTTTGCAGAACTAACTCTCTCTTTCTCTGGCCTTTGTGGTGGGGACCTTTGACTTGTTAATCTCCAGACGTGTTTTATGTGATGCAGGGCACTCAACACAAGCCAGCTGAAGGCACTGAATATTGAAATGCTGCCTGGCTATCGAGATCCCTATTCCTCCAGGCCTCTAACAAGGGGTGAAATCGGCTGCTTTCTCAGCCACTACTCAGTCTGGAAAGAGGTAAATAATGCTTTATTCAGATTGCAGTTTTATGATGAGGAGAAAGGAAAGCAGGCTATCGTAGGTGAGTTAGGGCCAGATGTAAAGTGAGCCCGCAACTGTTCTGGAAATGTGCATGAGAGCTGCTCCTGCCTTGTGTCTCCCTCTGACCCAAGACCAGCAACAAAGGGGCAAGGAGGAGTAGCTTTGGTGCCACTTGGGGTGGTGACGGGGGAGACACCCATGTCCTGTGTGCCACACTCTTATTAATTCATTATCATCATTAGCAGGAATGCCTTCTATTATACCTATTATGACATCACTTATTAAGTGATTTTATACAAGAAATCACACAGAAGTCATGTGAGGTGGGTTGGGAAGGACAGACCACCTTTACCGAAGAAGAAATTATTAAGTAGCTTGACCCGGTAAGAAGTGGCAGAGCCAGAAGTGGAACCCCTGTCTTACAGATCAAGACATATCTGGAGCAGATATTGGTGTGTGGGGTTCCTGATAAACAGTCAGTTTCCACAACCAAAAAGAAAGTCCCTGAAGAAAGGCCCCTTGAACACTTTCTCTTTTAATGATCCAGTCTATGCCTGCCTTTGTTTTCTTTAAACTTTAAGTGAAATGTGATAAATAGGTATAAAAAGATATAGATCAAAAGATACAGCTCAGGGAAATTTCACAAACCAAACAACACACCCATGTTAATCAGTACACAGATCCAGAAGCAGGTAACCAGCATCCCACAAGCACCCCCCCACCCCGTACTGCCTTCTGGTCATCAGTCCCCAAGGGCAGTCACCATCCTGACTTCTAAAGGCATTGAATAGCTTTACCTTTGTTTGTACTTTCCCTTATATGAATGGAATCATGCAGTATGTGTACTCTCCTAACATGACATTTAGGAGATTCACCTATAACGTTGCGTTTAATTGTGATCATATATCCTCACTGCTGTGAATATTCCAAAGTTTATTATCTATTCTACTGTTGATGGCCATTTGCTTAGATTCCAGTTATGAATCTGTGCTACTAGACTCGTGACTTTTTAATACTTATTTATCTAATAAAAATTGGGTTTCAAACTTTTCATAGGGTATCTTCCTACTGATGACTTTTGCAGGTAATTGATCGAGAGCTAGAGAAGACTCTTGTAATTGAAGACGATGTGCGTTTTGAGCATCAGTTTAAGAAGAAGCTGATGAAGCTGATGGATAACATTGACCAGGCTCAGCTGGACTGGGAACTGATGTGAGTGACAAGATGATCTTACGAGAGGGCTCTGAGAGGCACTCAGTCCTTTCCAATGCGCAGAGAGCCCCACCTCCACAGCCAGTAGGAGATACAGCTTAAGCTTCCACTTATCTAGTTTTCTTTCCATAAATGTTCTCAGAAATAAAAATGGGTAGAGGTTAGCCACTGGATTTTGCATCCTTCTACTCTTCAGGGTGGGAAACTGTGGAAGATTGTCTGAGACCTGGAGTCGGCCTGCAGATCAGGGACCTTCAGACAGAACCAAGGTGTGGCACTGAGCACTTACTTAGGAGCACAGCAGAAATCCCACCCTCAATTAACGTGGCACATGGAGTGGGTGTGAAGCTGGAGAAGAGGCCATTTATTCAAGCTCTAAAGTCCTGTGTCATATTTAAGACTCAGCTCCCGGGACAGCAGGTTGCCTCTGCAGCTTCCGAGAAGGTGGGAGGTTAGAGGGTCAGCCAGGGAGCTCCTCTGTTGGGAAATGGGGCTGCACAAACATGAAGAACATGGACAACTAGATTTGGGGAAGGGTCTGAGGCTGATGCAGGAAAACCAGGCTCACCAAGGGAGTGCTGGCTCTGAGCTGACATTTAGTTAATGTTCTTTGTCTACTCTCTGGGAATTGAGTGGCTTCTGCTTTTTTCTTCCCTTCCCTTTCATTTTTCCTTCCCTTCCCTTTCATTTTTCCTCTCCCTCTCTCCCTTCCTCTTTCCTTTTTCTTCTTCCTCCTCTGCCTCCTCCTTTCTCTCTCTCATTTTCTTTTTAAAACAAATGACACTTTCAATTTCTCTCCAATGAAGCAGAAAGTTCCCAAGCATTGTGTTTGCTCCCAGCTGTGTGTCAAAGGCAATTCATCAACTCTGAGCCTGCTTCTTTGGAGCAGCTGCAGCAGAGGAGCTGTCCCTGCTTCTCCCACCCACAGGCGGTATTTAACTGTGGGCCCAGGTGGAATACTTGTTCCCTCAGAAAATGGGCCACTCTGAGCTCAGAAGAAACCTAGCAATGGCTCAACTAATGCGTCACTGTGTAATAAGACACCTATGCCCTGTCAGATTTCAGTCATGTGGTCATGTGGTTTGGTTTGGCATTCTGCACAGTCCCTTGAGATCACTGTTTCTTCCTATATCCTCCAGAAGTCGCTGCACTTCAGCCTTTCTCAATGGATGGCTCCGCAGCCTGTGGTTAAGGCCTCACAGGCCTGGAAGCTACTTGATGTCCACGTGACTTGTATAAAGGCAACTTCACTTAAGCCTCATAATCACAGAAGACTGAGCCCAGAGAATCTAAGGTTTAGAGCTGGCATACGTTCCCGTTCACATGTAGTTCGGTGGGTGCATTTCTCAGGACAAAGTACCGACAGATGCAAGAAGGAAGAACAGTTGTCTTGATAAGGATACAGGAAAAAAATGTTTTCTAAATTTCACAGGTTGATCAAGTCAAAATATCCCCTTAAAATCTATTATATAGTCTTAAAGAACTGTAACAGTTTTAAATTGTACCTGTTATTTTCTAAAACAAAAAAGAAACAAATGTTACTTAAACCTAAAACATGAAAGGTAATAAGCTGTTCATGATTGCCACATTACATCTTTCCAGGAAAAGAAAATAATAAAAGGGAAGAATAGAACAAGTCATTGGAATCATTGAGGGAGTGTTGTTCAATAGAAATATAATGCAAGCCACATATGTCATTTTCAGTTTTCTAGTAATCACATTAAAAAGGTAAAAATAAATTAGACTAAATTAGTTTTAATACATTTTATTTAACAAAAATATCCAAACAGTATCATCATTTTGGTATGTAATTAATATTTTAAAACCATTAATGACATAGTTTACCTTCTTTTTTTTTTTGTACCAACTCTTCAAAATCTGGTATGTATTTTACACTTAGAACACCTCTCAATCCAGAAGCTAAATTTTCAGCTGTTTAAGTAAACTGGGCTGGGCGCAGTGGCTCACGCCTGTAATCCCAGCACTTTGGGAGGCCGAGGCGGGTGGATCACGAGGTCAGGAGATCGAGACCATCCTGGCTAACACGGTGAAACCACGTCTCTAGTAAAAATACAAAAAATTAGCCGGGCATGGTGGCGGGCTCCTGTAGTCCCAGCTACTCAGGAGGCTGAGGCAGGAGACTGGCATGAACCCAGGAGGCGGAGCTTACAGTGAGCTCAGATTGCACCACTGCACTCCAGCCTGGGCGACAGAGCAAGGCTCCATAAAAAAAAAAAAAAAGTAAACTGTCGTCCTACCAAAACAATGAACTTGTTTCATGGAAAAAATATATATATTTCACACAGCTTCAACATTTAAAATTAAATTAATTAAAGTTAGAGCATTAACTCAGCACCTCTATCACTCTAGTTCCTCTCAAGTGCTCGATAAGAGTTTCCCTTCCACTGGATGAGACACGAGAGAAGCTCAGACTCCGTAATCTGAAGAGAGAGTGGCTGGGGATATATGTTTGTTGTTCTCAGAAGAACTGAAGATTGAACATAGACTTGTTCTACAAATCCTGGGATGCTTTCACAAGGGGGAATCCCTTGAATGTTGAAAGAGATTGTTTTAGGGCAAAATAGAGGAAGTACTGCTTTACCTGGCAGGCAAGAAGGAGGCAACTCCTCAGGTTGCTCCAGTCAAGCCCAAATCAATAGGTTCCGGACAAAAGTAATGGAGCACAGATCCATGGGTAGACTAGGGAAGATGGGAGTGGCCAAAGGTGCATCCTGTGTTGTAGAAGTTGTTCACGGAGGACGGAAGGTGCCTGGGGGGCCTTTCTCAGAGCAGCATGTCTGGGAGGAAGCCTGGCCACAGCTGGACGAGTGTGAGGCAGGAGAATGCCTGTCAGGAGCTGTCATTCATCCTCCCCAAAAGGAACCCCTTAGGGCCACTCTTGGGTTCCCAGAACCTTCACTGCAGACTGACTCTTTCCCCCAGCTTATTTGGTCCTGTGTTTCCCACCAGCACTCGGAGTGCTGTGCAGAAGGCATCCAAGGCTGACACTCTGGGGACCTGAAGACAGCAGCCTCAGGATTCTCCCATCTGGCCTTTTTTTGTGCCTTTCCAACCTCTGTAAACACAGCTGGAAGCCCCATCCCATCTTTAAGAAATGATCTGAAAGATCTTTTAATCTTACGACATCTTACTTTCCGTCTTGAAAACCGTCCACTAGGCAGGAATAGTGGGGGTGTTGATAAATGGAGCTAGCAAAATGGCCCCAGTGATGGCAGATGGCAGTCCTGACTGGCGATTGGATCCACTTTTGGATGTGATACATCATTTAATGACAGACAGAGTCAGTCCAGGATTTCAGAGGTATCTATGTAAACCAAAGCTGTGCTTCATCCTTATCATGGCATAATAGTCAAGGTGGAATTTTTCTCCTCTGCCATTTCCTTACAGTTATATTGGTAGGAAGAGGATGCAAGTAAAGGAGCCAGAGAAAGCAGTGCCCAATGTGGCAAACCTGGTCGAAGCCGACTATTCCTACTGGACCCTGGGCTACGTCATCTCTCTGGAAGGAGCACAGAAGCTGGTTGGAGCCAATCCTTTTGGGAAGATGCTGCCAGTGGATGAGTTTCTGCCAGTCATGTACAACAAGCATCCCGTGTGAGTCTCCCTGAACTGCCTGCCTTCCCTTGGGCACAGCCTCTTCATGAATTATGCTCTCCATTTCTGGTAGTACTTGATATTTTCTAAAGTTGTACTGCTTTCCTAAATGATCTTCTCATAATTATGATTAAGAGAGCCTAACTCAGGTGATTTATCCCTTTGTACAGATGGGAAGGTGAGGCAGAGATGGTGAGTGTCCTGCCCAGAGATTCTTGTAATATCCAGTTTGTAGTTGAACTGAATGTAATGTGCTTGGTCCCCTCCTTGTCTTTGCTCTTCTTATTTCCATAACCTCATACACCTCAAGGTGAAGGCCATCTTCCTAAGCACCTCAAAATTTCCAGTTCCTTTGGCTCAGGTCATTGGGTACTGTTGGCTAAGCAGAGATACCCATTTTTGCATAGCTCACAATCTGGTCAGGAACCCAGACTCATGAACAAATCATCATGATATATTGTGATTCCTGCAATCGCAGGGGTGTGTAAGAGGTTCAGGGAGTGTGGACCTGATACCTGAGCATGATGTCCATGGAAGAAGGGCAGTGTGATGCTTGGGGCTCCCATAGCCCAGGAGCTTACCCTGACCTAGCGCTTATCAAAAGGTGTGGCAATTAATGATTTACCTGTCAATCTCCCCAATAAACTATAAACCCTTTGGGGCAGTAACAGTCTTATGCCTCTGTGTCCTTAGAGCCTAGTCCAAATGCTACACATAACAGCAGCTCCTAAATCATTAATGAATGATTCCTAAATTCATTGATGGAGCAGCATTCGTTCTAACCTTGGCCCCTTCTCTCAGTTGCTGGGTGATCTCGTCACTAGATGGTCTCATTTTAGCTGTTGAGATTTCCTGTGCTGCCACCAGTTCATTTTGTCTCTTGTCCTCAGTAAAAATGGAGTTGTGTGCCCTCTTGTATATAACATGTCAGAGACTGACTTTATCTCTGTGTCCTAGCAGAAACATGGAGGTCAAACCATTATCCCCTAAACAAAAGGGAAATTACTACATTCAGATGTCACCTCATGTACTCTGCACAGGAGCCCTGAGAGGGAGGCCAAGTCATCCGTCTCCTTTACACCTGTTGGAACCGGAGTGGTGAGCAGGGAGCTAGAGCACAAAGCCAAGCCTGCGTGCCTCTAAGCCTCCACGTGCCACATGCCCCATCACTGCTGTCCAGATGTGAGGTGTCTCATTTATTAATCCCAAAGCAGGGCATTTTTGGTGAAGTGATCGTATTTATTTATCATTATGGTCTAACAGGGCTTACTTTTTAACTTTTGGAGTCAGACCTGAAATTCATCTTTTAAACTAGTCTATTCAAATACGTCAGAAATGTCCTGATCTTTTTGCTTGGGAGCTTGTCTTTGGAAAGCTTTTAAAGAAATATTTGTGTTTGTAGGCTAAAGTTTTTCACAAATGACACAATTGAAATAATGAAATGAACTCATGAGGTAACCAGGAGGCCTCCTTCACTCTTTGTCCCTGTTCCGTAAGTCTCCTTTCCGCCCCCTCATGTGTCCGGCCACCTTCTTGTTTTCAGAGCCGAGTACAAGGAGTATTATGAATCCAGGGACCTGAAAGCCTTCTCTGCAGAACCCTTGCTCATCTACCCTACGCACTACACAGGCCAGCCGGGGTACCTGAGTGACACGGAGACCTCCACCATCTGGGACAATGAGACAGTGGCCACCGACTGGGATAGGACACATGCCTGGAAGTCCCGGAAGCAAAGCCGCATCTACAGCAATGCCAAGAACACAGAGGCCCTGCCACCGCCAACCTCCCTGGACACTGTGCCTTCAAGGGATGAGCTATGAAGGCTCCCTGGGAGTGTGGCCCACATCAGTTCAACATCCTCTGGTTTTTCTAAAGGGCTATTCATCTGTTTGCTCCAGTTTTCTGTTTTGTTTTGTTCTTAGTGGTCACAGTCATCTAACCAAAGTGATCTAGTGTGATAGATCGAAATTAACATATTTTTGACCATGGAAGGAAATAAGGAAATTCAACCCAAATTTCCCAAGACGGCTGAAAGACAGGTTTTTTGGAAACTGTTAAGATAAACTGTAATCCAGACACCTAATTCTTCAGTTCACTACTCATGTGATACTGATTCCCACATTAAGGTTGAACAACATGGCTCAGAGTCTTGTTCAAGAGAAAGTGATCACCGAGCTGTCACATCAGCAAATATGTAGTCAAGGCAGCCAGGCCAACTAGACCACACTTATTGGTCTAGTTTGTCCGTTTTATATGACATTGAAAACTTGTGTGTGCAACTTTTGGGGGACAGGAATCACTTAAAATCATATTTATTTGGCTTTTTATTTAAAGGATTCTGTCACAAGTCTTATTGAAAAGTAGATTTTTTAAAAAAAAAAAATCTTAGTCCCTGTTATCCAGTAGGGGTGGGTATTTGGGTCCGACTGAGACTTGGCCTGTGACCATCATGGCAGTTGGAGTTCTCATATAGAGGTGACCAGTTTGCCATGTGGATATAATTTAGTAGATATTTGACAGTTTGTGTAGGTATTTGAGGGAAAAAACTCAATGTTTGGCTTTTTTATTATGGCCACTCGAGTCAGGATGCTCTATTTATAAAGATAAATGTAATATATAAAGGGTGAGGACTGGCTGTGCATCCTGCCCTGTCCCGGGTTTGCGCGCTGCTACAGAGCTTCACGCTCTCCGCTCCACCCCTTAGCCTGGGAACCCACCGCAGGTGTGAGTTCTGTGAGTCACTGCTAAGAGACAGAGCACATTTTCAGGCCAGCAACTATCCTTGCCAGAGTTTTTTCATTATATTTTGAATTATTTATTTTACAAAATGGGCGAAGATATTGTCTTTAGGATAAGGCAGAGAAACAGATGTTGCAGACTTCCACGGCACCCGGGGGAGTGGTGGGTGTGGACACATTGGTTCGGCAATCTGATTCTCCTGAATTTCCCAGCCAGGCTCTTGTGGGGAGGCCTGTGGATGGGGGGATTTGAACTATTTGGAAACAAATGATTCTCTATCTCAGGTGAGAAACCTGGTCAGAAACAAAGGGCTGGTCACCTGATTTAGGCCAGCAACCAGGGAAGCTCTTAGAATCCCAGGCGGACACCCTTTCTCAAAAGATATCCCCTAAGAGTCCTTTCTGCTTTCTTCACAGATTGATTTTATGTAAAATGCAGAGTTGGACTACACGATTTCTTCCCACTCCACAATCTGTCATCCTAGTATAGATCATGGTGGTTTCCCTCAAGTTTATGTTCTCATGCCCTCAATCTGTAAATTTTTGTCTCCAGAAAAACCCTCCCAGGCATCCCATACCAGCACCGTTCCTCATCACTGTCCATGCACCATGCAGCCATATGGGGGGCCGTGCACACCCCAAACCCTGAGCTTCACACTTAAACTCATGGGGAGGGCCCTTCAGAGCAGAGTCCACAGGCGGGTGGTGCTACATACACAAGCTTAGTGTACGAGTGTAAGATACACTTTAAGCCAGACACCTAATTCTTCAGTTCACTGCCCATGTGATACTGATTGCCACATTAAGGTTGAACAGCATGGCTCAGAGTCTAGAGAAAGTGATCACCAAGCTGTCTCATCACCAAATAGGTAGTCAAGGCAGCCTCATCTCCCCAGGTGAGGGGCGGGTCCCCACTTTAGGACAAGAGGCAGCTTGCCTTCCACCAGACGCCAGCCTCGGCCTTCCTTCCCGACTCACTGTGGGTACCCTTCTACACTGACCAGCAAGCTAGGCCGCTGGAGGAAAGGGAACTCACCCAACTCTAAATTGTGCCGCTTAGACTTAGCTGTCAGTGTGACTTCCTTTCCCACCCACCCCCAGAAAAACAGAAAGAGCATCTGGGGAGCGAGTGAAAATTCCTTAGGTGATTCCTAAGATTTCCTTGGGTATCTGGTTTTTGTTTTCATATTTGAGTGTGTGCATGTGTGCATGACTTTAATGACTTTTTTAATGGGGTGGGAGGTGGCTGGGGTGCTGGGGTTGAAGGAAGTTTGGGTTGATTTTTGTGGTGTTTTGTTTAATAGAGAATTTTTTTTTTCCTGTTCCCCTGTCAGCTGGTCTGACAGATTTAAGAACTCTCATTCTTAAAAGACTTTGGACTTAAATTCTAGCATTTTAGACTAGGACTGTTCTACTGTGAAGAAAGTTCTGTCTCCTTTAGCCCGGTTTGTTTCTCCCTGCTCAGGTCTAGAATCCCAAGCAGTGTTCTTTTCTGGTGAACACTGTGAGCCGCAGATGTGACTTTTTTTTTAAAGTCATCTCTTCAGCAATCCAGAGGTTCCTTGACCTCATTATTTGTCCTATCTCTCCCTTATAGTCCTAAGCCAAGACATTTGACCTTTGACATTTGACCTTTGCAGTGTCATGTGAGGGCGTCAGTATAGAGGCCTTTGCATCTGGGCCTGGCACCCGCTCTCTGCCTCTGGAGGCTAAACCCTGTCTGGATTTCTCTTGGGATCTAACGTGGGATCTTCTGGACAGACAACCGTGACATCAGCAGTGCTGGTGCTGCTGTGTGTGGACTGAACACCTGCACTTTGCAGAGGACACGCTGCATGGGCCCCGCTTGCGGTTCATTCAGGCCTGCTGCAGGAGCTCTGAGAACAAGAAAGAGTGGACACCCGTTCCCCTGCATCATCTGTCTTGCGTGCTATTTCAGAGTGGGGAAGTGATAAACTATTTGCCTTCTGGAGCTCTTTGTGAAAAATTAAAAAAAAACTTAGCTCAAAGATATGATTGTCAATTGCTTCCGCAGGCACTGATCAATGGCCAACGCTGCAGAGATTACCAGGTCTGCCCTTGACCAAGGATGTCAGAGTCAGGGGGAACCATCACTGCTGTGTGATCCCCATGGCAAATGAGGGGAGGGTGGTTGCTGCCCTTACTGTGCAGTGAGGGTTGTTTTAAACTGATGGGTACTGTTATGTAAGCTGAAAAGGATTCCAAGGTACAGAAAGATGGAAGAGAGCCCCCACTGGGAGGGAGTGGAGGTGTCCATCTTGCATTTTGTGCTACAGGTCAGCCTATCCGTTCATCAAAAGATACTGAGATACTGTGATACCAGTCCAAGGCCAAAGAGCTTTTTCCTGGGGAAAAATAACAGCAGCAACAAAAAGAAAATCCTTGTTGATCTCAGTGACTGCTTGAATTTTTAGATCAAGCTTACCCCTAATCTCAAAAACCAGGCTGTGAACACTGCCTTGCTGCAGGCTTTGTGCTGGGCACTGAGATGCTCAGAGAAGTAGGTAAGGTCCCTACTGCTGTGTGGGGCCCGCAGTCCAATGGAGGAGCAACATAAAGCAGGTGGCTGCCAAACAGGATGGTTTTATTTCAGAGATGAACAAAATGGGCAGAGGAGGACTGTCAGGGCAGCTCTGCTGAGAAGGTGACATTTGGGTTGGGTTTTGGAGGATGAATTGGAGTTCAGAAGAGGGAGGAGGGCTGGGCACAGTGGGTGGAGATGCTGTCCAGGCATTGCCTGACAGGACTATGAAAGGGCCAAAGTGGGATTCATGGGAACTCAGTAGGGCAGAAGAGTTAGGCATGTGTTGGGGTTGATAACAAACAAGACTGAGACACAATCATGCTGGCAAGGCAAGTTGGCTGCCTCCCTCTCAGGGCTGTCTCCTTCTCAGGGCTGTCTCATCATAAGCACAGAGCCCAGCATTTCTGGGAGAATTCTAAGTTTGGTTACCATCTTGACAGATAATACAGAGGCTTCCAGTAAAATGTTGATGTCCAAAACAAGAAATATTCCCACTCAGCTACAAATTTGGGAATCTTATGGTTTTTCCCTTATGATTGGAGCAAATCCCTCCCGCTAGTAACTATAAAATAAAGATGTGTCTTCCCAGGAGGCTTTCTATAACGTGCTTTTGAGACATTCTTGCCAACTAAACAGAGGAAAGAAATGATCCAGAAGTGATCTCCCTGACAGAAGTTAATTCACTAAGGAGTTAAATAATGACAAAGTAAAGTTAAAATGAGGCTGGCTATATGAGAAGAAAATAGCATGTAAGGGGTGACACGTTCTGAAAACTAAGAGTAGACAGCTTTGGAAATGTCACGCCCACATGATGTTTTGTGGTGATGTTTATTATTTCAGGGGAACCGGCTGTCCTTCAATTAAATGCAGCTGAGGGAGGAAGGCCAGCAGGAGAGGAGGGGCATATGAGGGGCTTCCCTGTGAGCCCGCGGCCCTAAGTCAGTGTAGGGCAGCTGAGACAAGAACCAAAGTGTGGACAATGTCCTTTTGTACCTGCTTGGAGAAGAGAGAAGTAATGATGGTAGATTTTAGTACATTATATTACAAAAGATTACGTGAAAAATGGTGCTCCCTCTTATCCCAGGGACAGAGCAAGAGGAGTTTAGGTGAGCTTTCAGGAAGAATTCATTGACAGAATTGTCAGACACTGAATGGGGTTCCAAGGTAAGTGGTGGAATGGCTCCATTAAACTTTGTTGCTGGGCAGAAGAGTGGCTTCCTTTCTGCTCTGTGAATTACTGAAATGCCCTAGTATTTTGCTTCCACCCATGGATGTGCTAATATGTGAGCTGATCTTTGTTCAGTAGCCTCTGTGACACCAGCTGTGTTGCTTCCAATCCAAAGCCATCCATCCTCCCATCTGCCCTCAAAAAGAGTGGAAAGAATGAAGAATCGTCTCTGAGGATTGCCTTCTCTTTATTTTTAATTTATGGAGTTTGTTTTTATGCCCGTCCCTGTAATTCTCCAGCCTGGCTTCTCTGGAACAGGTGCTTTAGTAAACTTACCATGTCTGAGCAATCCTAGGGCCCACAGAGCACTAGCTCTGCCCCCATGGACCTGGCAAGGCTTTGATGGGGGTTTCCTATTCCACGGGTGGCTGGGTGGATGTCTGGGCTCTTACTAGTGGGGGAATTTGATTTTCAAAGTGGAGTGGGCAGCTCTCTCTCTCTCTCTGTTCTTAGATGCTTGGAAATTAATCAGCGACAGTTTCTTCTCCCAAAAGGAAATGAGAAGTTTGGAACAGACCCCCAGACAGGAGTTCAGTTGTCCAGGCATTTTGATGGTGTGGCCTGAAGGGCTTTAACTGCTTTTAAAAATTGCTAGCATAAATTGTGAAGACTTGAAGGGGATGATATTGTTGCTCAGGCCTAGCTCAGGGGAGGAAACCATGAGCAGAGTTGAGTGCAAGGGACAGAGTGGTGCAAGCCTGTTGAGAATCCGAGGGGAGAGGAAAGAGGCAGCTTCTAGCGCACCACACACGGAGCAAAGTCCTGGTGCTCAGAGCACAGTCTGGGAGAGAAGTGCAAGGAGTGGGGAGAAGAGACTAATGCAAGCCCATCGCTGGAGACAGTGATGCCAGTGCACAGGCCAAGAAAGAGGAGAGGGAACCAATGGGGAAAATAGTGTGGTAGGAGGGAGGCTTCAAATGGAAGTGGTGACAGCCTTGTCCTTAGAGTTTTATCCTTTTAAGTCTGCAACTATGGGAGAGATTGAGTTGGTGTTGAGTTGAACCGCTTGCACAGGAACAAGTGAAATGTCCAGTGCCCCCAATGCTTGGGGAAGAGCAATAACTCACAATCAAGCATCTCCATTGTCCCTGGACAGGGCCTCTGGAACCAGAGTCGAGAACCCCTTCCTGTAGGAAAGACACAGGGACTGTGGACAGACACAGAAGGGGGTACCCAGGAGCAGGGAGCAGAGTTTCTGGTGAGAAAAATCCACCCAAGGAGGTGGGGACTCATGGGAATCGCTGCCAGCTCTGTGTGGTGGCCGATCTCTCAGGCCCTGAGAGGGACACTCCGGCCCAGGGCTGCTTGACATCAGCCAGCCTCTCCTGTCACAGCCCGTCCAGCGAGAGTGCCCACTGCAAAGCCTGCAGGCTGGCCAGGGAGGCTGCGCCGGGCCCACATCCCCGTCTCTGTGAGCCTTTTTGGACCCCAGCCGTGGAACAAGCTGCAGGAGCCCTGGACGCCCTCCAGCTCCGTGAGTCAGTCTCTCCCCAGAGCAGCAAGCAGGCTTAGCTTTTCGCAGGGTGCCGTTCCACACGTGGAAGCCCCACCTCTAAGAGTTTCACGTCTGGACCATTTGGCTCCTCCCGGGAGGAGGTTGGAGGGCTTCTTTGAAGACATGACTTCCCTTAGGCCAGAAGCTTCCCAGGAATAACAGCAACTAACTCTTGTATCATGCACCAAAGTGAACCGCACTTTCCCTACGTGTGCTGTGTAGTTTAATACAGCATGAACCTCAAGAAGTAGGAACTATTCATTAATCTCTATCTTTCAGATAAGGCAAAGAGCTAAGGGAAGCAACTTGCCTAAGGTAGTAAGTGGCCTGGGAGTCAGACCGAGGCAGTCAGATCTCACCAAACTGCATCCACTTCCAAGCTGCTGGGGGATAATGTGTCTCATTTCTTGTTTTCTCAGTAAAATTTAATGTTTTAATCTCTCACTCTTGCACTCTGTCTCACCACACACACACACAGCCTGATACATAAAGCTGGCACTTCTAACCCATGTCTGTCTCCCCTGTGAAACCTCATATACTGATTATTCAGCTGGTCATACTGCAAACTCTCAGATAACATATTTCTGCAGACTTGGATGTTAGATACTGAATAAATGAGGATCAGAAATCGATGTCAAAGGGCAAGCTAACAGTCTCATTTAGAATGCTTCTCCCATTTCAAAACTGGTGCCTTGATTTTTTTTTTTTTTTTTTATGGCAGGAACAATTCAGAAACAGCTTAAATCATTCAGTCTTCTTCTTCTTTTTTTTTTTTTTTAACTTGCTGCATTGGTAACCCTTTTCATTCTTGTGTAAGAAATTGGAACTGTAGCACATAATGATGCTTTGGTATGAAATAATGGTAGGAATAAAAATGATTTCTTCTGAGAAGCCTGTGTTAAAGCACTTGGATACTGATAACTGGCTTACAGGGAGGCTGATCCAGGTGGTCTTAAAACTGGCTCTCCTGAACGCCACTCAAGCCCCAGTCCCATCTGCTCCTCCTTTGTTAACTCCTGTCAGTTGATGCCTCTCCTAGGAGTTTCTCCCGCTGCAGGCACCCCCGGGGAACACCCGAGACTACAGATCAGAAATGGATTCCAATCCAGCTGGGGTGCTAACTCACAATAATCATCTTTTTGGCCATTTCCTCATCTGTGGGATGGAAATGATGCTCAGGATAGTAGGTGGCAGTGCTCTGACCCTCAGTAGAATGTTCCTCAGACACTTCAAAGAACCAACCAGGTGCCCAGCTGACCGAGATAGTTTGTGGGAATTCATGTGACTGGAAGGCTGGGGATGGAGCCCACAGATCCCAGGGATTCTCTCCAGTTCCGTGAGGCTGTGGAAGTGTCTGTCAGGAGAGCCTCCTCCATTCAGTGCCTGGCCCAGTGTGATATGCTCAGAGTGGGGTTTGATGATCCAGAGCTCTGTCCCTAAAACTTGGGCAACTTAACTGTTCTGTGTCTCAGCCTCATATCTATAATACGAGGCCACTGACTACATGATTTGTAAGGTGCCTTCAAACTCTTAAGAAAACATTACATACATTGGATTCCTTGAAATTTTAAGTAAGAAACTTGCTTCCACAAAGGTTTCTGGGTAGAGATGTTGAGAAACCACACCCAATAATGGTTGCCAAATTGTGAGTCTAAAATAATTAAATTTGCCTGGCTCCTATTTGATCTGTTGGGTTTTGTGTAAATACTTTACATTTCCTAGGTTTCTTTTTTTAACCTGACTTACAACTACATCTGTAAAGTAGCTCCTAGTGTCATCAAAGTAGGAACCACATCAGAAGAAAATAAATTGTTGGTGAGTGACTGTATGTTAAAAATTAAAAATAAATTAGATTGGCTGGGCGTGGTGGCTCATGCCTGTAATCCCAGCACTTTGGGAGGCCAAGGCAGGCAGATCGCTTTGAGCTCAGGAGTTTGAGACCAGCCTGGGAATCATGGCAAGACCCTATCTGTATAAAAAATACAAAAAAAAAAAAAAAAAAAAAGAAAAAGAAAAAATTAGCAGGGCATTGGTGGCTTGCGGATGTAGTCCCAGCTACTCATGAGGCTGAGGTTGGAGAATCGCTTGAGCCCAGGAAGCGGAGTCTGCAGTGAGCTGAGGTTGCGCCACTCCAGCCTGGGTGACAGAGTGAGACCCTGTCCAAAAAATAAAATTAAATTAAAAAATAAGATCAAGGCTAGTTCTAGACAAAATTAAATTGTTCTTTCTAGTATTTTCTCCTTTCAGCATCTCTCTTTCTTCAACTCTTCCTCTGTTCTGTGCAGCCTCCTCTCAAGTCCTCACTGCCATCTCTTCCAAACACTTTCTGATGACTGCCAACGGTGAACAAACCCGTGCACCCTAGGAGAAGGCATTACCCCTCTGTGGCAGAGGTGGTCGTGTTCATCAACTCCTCCAGGTTTCTCCTGCATTTCCCACCTCCCCTGTACTCACATCGGGCCCGGGGACTGGTTGATGGGCTGTGAACAGAAGTGACAGGTGTCGCTTTGGTCTAAGGCAGTTGGGAACAGTTTGTGAGTTCTCTTTACTCTCTTTATCATCACTGTGACTGGAAGGGAAACACCGAGATGGCGAAGTTGCAAGATGGAAGCTGCCTGGATCTGTGAGCTGCTGTTAGAGAAAAGCTACTAAGGAGTTTCCTGGCTTGCATTACACTGTCCCGTGAAAGAAAAAATAAACCTCGGTCTTAAGCTGTTGAAATTTCTTGGTTTGTTACTTCGGTCCAGCCTAGCCTAGCCTAACACATCCCTTCCAAAGGTATTTAATTTTAAGAGAGATGTCTAGGGGGAAAAGCAATGCAAAATGCAATGGAAATAACTTTGCCTAGTGGAAATGTAGGCATCTGAAGAAAAAGAGGTTTGAGTCAGGAACCTCCTCAGTCCCCCTGAAATCAGGACACGTAAAGCAGTATTGTATGCCTCCTAATGATCCTGCGCTGCAGGGAGAATTTACAAACGTTCCAAAGAAGACAAGTTTAAGACATTATTCCTTCAGGCAGACTGTCCCCAGGCCCAGTTTCTAGAAAAAGGCAAAACAAGGGAAACAGGCTTTTAGAATGATCTTGAAAAAACAAGTACCAAAGACAAAATTCCCTTTTTTTTCTGCCCTACCCCATATTATCAATTTCCTATTATTAAAATTTCTACTTGGCTTCCTCTAAAAATTCCACAAGGGCACAGAACATTTGATAATTTGGATCCATTTAGAAATCTACTAGAAAATAATCCTGGGAACTTTTTAACAGTATGATAAATGACAATACTGTGCATCTGTCCAGTGAAGCTGGCCTCAGACGTAATGCCTTTGGGGAAACTGCATGGATCAGTTTAAAAGGATTTCAAGTGTAATTCTTTCGGGAATGCCTTTCCTCCCTCCATGGAGGTCCCCCTGGCTTCCAAGGCACCATGGGCGGTTTCAAGAATTATGCAGGTGGTATCCATCACAAAATGCGGGGAAAGGCTCTCAGAAAGGTGACAAAATGCTAACTTGGACCCTCACTCTAAGTTGGATTATTAAGTGTCCCCATGCCGGGTGCGGTGGTTCATGCCTGTAATCCCAGCACTTTGGGACGCTGAGGTGGGCAGATCATCTGAGGTCAGGAGCTCAAGACCAGCATGACCAACATGGTGAAACCCCACCTCTACTAAAAATACAAAAATCAGCTGGGTGTGGTGGCTCACGCCCGTAATACCAGCTACTCAGGAGACTGAGGCAGAATTGCTTGAACTGGTGCAGCGGAGATTGCAGTGAGCTGAGATCGCACCACTGCACTCCAGTCTGGGCGACAGAGTGAGACTCCATCCCTAAGAACAGCAATCTAGCAACGGCATCATCTCTGACTGCAGTCTCCTAAGGAAGTCATTCTTTCCCCCAAAGGCTTGTGACACTTGCCAGTGGGGAGGATCCCACCTAACTCTGCCACTGGCTTTCCCTGTGCTCCTCCAACCAATTCAGCGGGCTTCCCAAAAGCTTACTGACACACTGGAACCCAAAACCCACCTGGTTAATAATCCAGATACAATCCCTTTGGGTCTGGCAGCACATGCCAGCCAAGTCCCAAACTAGTTTATTAGTTTAACCAAAAGGTAAACAGATGATGGAGATGCAGAAAGACAAGCATGCGAGCAGCTAAAAGCATTACCCGGCTGTCCACCAGGAAACAAATTTAAGACATTTAAAGTGGCATTAAATAAATGAAGCTAAGTTTTAGCTACTTGGAATTTCCATTGTCTTTAAAAAAGGTAAATATATATATATTTTACATTGCAGTATATAAATCTAGACTCTACATATACAGTATAAATACACAGGATGAACACGGGCACAACATATATGTCTTGGTGGTCACGCCCTCAACCAGGCCAATGGTTTTATTTATTTTTTTTTTTTTACCTTCGCACCAAGAATATCAGGCTGAGGCTACATATACTTCAACCTGCATGAGGGCTGCCACCCTGGCCATCTCTCCTACAAGCACAGAAGCACAAATCGAACAGGGATTGAAAACAGAAGAAAGTGCTTTTTGACTAGTTGAAACCCAGTCAGTCTTTACAATGTGTAGTCCAATCTCCTGGAAAGACCAAAGGAAATTGGAGGACTTCCTGGCCCGTTCTTCGGTCCATTGCCGCAAATCTCTAAACTTTCCCTGGTGCTTCTTGTGGAATTCACATGGCTATTTATGCAACGCAAATCCCACACAACTTTTAGGAGCTGTATTATGGGATTAAGAAAAAAAAATAGCTCCATGTTACAATCTGCACTTCATATTCCGGGTTTGTTCTCTAAATTTTTGGAATAAAAACTGGTATTTTGAGAATCATTTCTTAAAAAGGACAACATTCTGAAAGTGCTTCTTACACATGTCAATATTCCACATATGGCTTTTAGTTCAAACCCCAGCACAGCTCAGACTTGGAAGGAAGAGTGTGATGGTGTTATGAGAGACAAAAGTGTCACTTAACAATGATACTGTGATAGCAAGCACGGGAACCTGGAAAAAAAAAAGTTATTGATTCCATCTGGAAGAATGTACCTCTTAGACAAATGATTCAGATAATCTATACAGCCCCATCTCTTTCCCCACGACTAGGCACAGTAATGCTATAAAAGTAAGTAAAATAGGATGCTGTTATCAGCAGGGAACATCTTCTGAGGGGCTATTAACGGGACAATCACTGTTCAGAAATCTTTCACAAGCTCAAAATAATCAAACGTAGTCAATTGCAGTAGAAATTTCCACACCTGAGGAATAAATTGCACATAATAAAGAGGTACTAAGATCCAGATGGCAAAAGACTCCAGACACATAGTTTTACATGCAAAAGGCAATCAGAGAAGGCAATGAAGCAGTGACATTCCAAGACAGATAAGAGTCCAAATGAGTCACCATTCTTTTGCGCTTTCTTTTCTGGCTTCATTACCAAAGAACATGGTTATTTGTGCAATGATTATGATATGTTCTTTAGGGGGAAAACGGAAATACACGGGGTTGCCAGAAACTGAAATGAGCTTGTTTCAGGAGCTTGACACCTCCAGAGGTGTCATGATGGCTAGACCAGTGGGGCGATGGTCCTCCGAAGCTCCTCCTGGCCTCCCTAGGGTAGCAGAAAGTGGCAGATGCAGGCAGAGGTTGAAGGCCACCAGCTCATCCAAACCCTTTCCAAAGTGGCCTTTCATACAGCCTGTGGCAGTTCCAGCCTCTGCAGTTGTTTTTATCTGGTGGCACTTGATTGAGAAAGTCATCCTCTCCCTTTATAAAAATAAAGTTTGGGCTTCTTGTAATACTGGCACAAAGGACACTCTCTATTCCCAGGACTGATTCCATTTACTCAGAATATACGAGACTAGGTTCTCAGTTTCTTCTATTTCCCTGTAAAAAGTGACCTCAACTTCCCAGGCCATTGTGCAAATTTGTTTTTCCATAGTCCATACTATCCCATAAAGTCCCTCTTATATATTTTTATATAGATACACATGCATACCAAATACATGTGCATATATATGTTTTAAATGTTGGTAATTCTGCATTTTAGTCTCAAATGAGTCAAAGAGAATCAGTGAATCGTTCATCCTTTTCATGTCAAATTCATTTCCAGTTTCCCCACGGTGCCTATCATAATGCTTTGCACACCACAGGAACTCAATAAATATCTGCTGACTTCACCAATGATCCTCGAACACCGGATGGTAATTGCAATCACCGCAGCCTGTTTCTCAGCCCCACTCTGCCTTTGGCAAACAAGGGGCCACTGGTCCCTCCCTTCAGAGGGTGATTTTGCTGTGTCTGTTACTCCAGCAGCCCCGTTTAGCTGTCCTGGGCAACGTCAAGCTGGTCCGGCTACGCAGTTTCACTTGTTCTTCCATGGAGTTCTTTTTGCGCAAAATGAAGTCAAAGTTCACTTGGCTGTTCATGGCATAAAAGACATTTGCTGAGTCTGGAATCACAAGTTCTGAAAAAGATAAGGAAAGATAAGATGGTCAGCTTGTGGAGGTCAGCTCAGTACTGACAACGGCAGCTGTAAACCTTGCCCAGACACAAGAACGGGACTACGGCCCTTCATCTCTGGAATGTGACCTGAACCAGACAGTGATCACCATCACTACCCCAAAAATTGGCCCCAGCTTCTCAATCCCAATTTAAAAAATTAGTACAAATGAGATTTTAGAAATTCGCTCCATGAATTAAATGTTCCAATAGAAAATGTTAAAACTAGAAAAAAAGTACAGTAGGAAACAGAGGCCAAGAAAAGTTAAAGAAAATTCCCAAGATGGCAGCTAGTGAATAGCAGAACTGGGATTTGAACTCGGGTTTCGTTTCTCCTGCAGTCCATTTTCCACCCCAGTATGCAGATTTTCTCAAAGACTAAGAGAATCCAATGACATAGAAAAAACAGAAAATCTACAGCACTCCAGAATTCTACTTGAAATATTGAAATATTTTTTGAAGTAATCCCGTCAAACGAGTATTTTATTTCCCATGTAGGAAAGTATGTATATTTTTTTAAAAAAATTTTACTTTAAGTTTTGGGATACATGTGCTGAACGTGCATATCTTTATTTTATAGTATTTTACTTTAAGTTCTGGGATACATGTGCAGAATGTTCAGGTTTGTTACATAGGTATACATGTGCTGCACCTATCAATCTGTCATCTAGGTTTTAAGTCCTGCATGCATTAGATATTTGTCCTAATGCTCTCCCTCCCCTTTTCCCCAACCCCCTGACAGGCCCCAGTGTGTGATGCTCCCCTTCCTGGGTATCTGTCTGCTAATATGAATTTGGGTATTGTATTTGTTGAGAGAAGGAAACAGGCTGGTAGAAAACTCCTCTGTACCTTGTCACTTCACAGACAGTGACTGTCAGGATAGGTCTCTTCTCCAAGTGCAGAAGGAGCAGCAAATATTGCAGCAAATATCCCCTTCTTTTAATATTTAAACTATTTTCAATTTCAATGATTCCCAACTAGACATCTGTAATTTTTGAACAAGGATTGTTCCAAGTGTAATATGAAATCATCAAAGCAAAGTTATTTTGACTCAGTTTTATTTTATTTATTTAAGTTATTTATTTATTATTATTATATTTTTTGAGATGGAGTTTTGCTCTTGTTGCCCAGGCTGCAGTGCAGTGGCACAATGTCAGCTCACTGCAACCTCTGCCTCCCAGGGTCAAGTGATTCTCCTGTCTCAGCCCCCCAAGTAGCTGGGATTACAGGCGTGTGCCACCACCCCCGGCTAATTTTTTTTTTTTTTTTTGTATTTTTTTGTATTTTTAGTAGAGGCGGGTTTCACCAGGTTGGCCAGGCTGGTCTTGAACTCCTGACGTCAGATGATCTACCTGCCTCGGCCTCTCAAAGTGCTGGGATTACAGGCGTGAGCCACCATGCCCAGCCTCACTTTTATTTTTGTTTTTTAATTTTTATTTTATTTTTACTATACTTTAAGGTCTGGGGTACATGTGCAGAACGTGCAGGTTTGTTACACAGGTATATATGTGCCACGGTGGCTTGCTGCACCCATCAACCCGCCATCTACATTAGGTATTTCTCCTAATGCTATCCTTCCCCTAGTCTTCCACCCCCCAACAGGCCCCGGTGTGTGATATTCCCCTCCCTGTGTCCATGTGTTCTCATGTTCTCATTGTTCAACTCCCACTTATGAGTGAGAACATGCAGTGTTTGGTTTTTTGTTCCTGTGTTAGTTTGCTGAGAATGATGGTTTCCAGCTTCATCCATGTCCCTGCAAAGGACATGAACTCATCCTTTTTTATCACTGCATAGTATTCCATGGTGTATATGTGCCACATTTTCTTTATCCAGTCTATCATTGATGGGCATTTGCGTTGGTTCCAGGTTTTGCTATTGTGAATAGTGCTGCAATAAACATATGTGTGCATGTGTCTTTATAGCAGAATGATTTATAATCCTTTGGGTATACACCCAGTAATGGGATTGCTGGGTCAAATGGCATTTCTGGTTCTAGATCCTTGAGTAATCGCCACAAGAAGGTATACAGTATTTAGCACTCAAGTGTAATGAGTATTTGAAAAAACAAACAGAATTAAAAAAGGTAAAATGTGCAAGTCTAGCTCTGTGGTAGTGGGGTCGGGGAGGCAACCAGAGAGGCATATGGTTGTAAAACTGGACAAATTGAGTCTTAAGTTAACTTCAAACATTGATATCCAACAACAAGACTGATATGAGCAGGTTCCAAGTGACTCCTGTACATTCTGTGCACAAAGGCTCAGCGGAGAACAATCCCCTCAAAGTGTCCCATGCTGCTGCCCACATACTCACAGGTCAGTAATAATAGTCCTCACAGTTATATATCACTTAGTGTCTCCCCATGTTCAGGTACACGATTTCTTGTTATCTTCAGAATCGCCCTGTGATATATGAGGAACCAGCAGGGTATTGTCTCTAATTAAGGACCAAGGCCCGGGGGTCCAGCAGCTTGCATTTAGGACCACACAGCTGGTGGGCAACACTGGGTCCTGGCTACCCCTCGAGACTCCTGGACCTTTAGACCCACCAGCCTCACCTTAGTGCTGTGTTGTAAGCAAAATGGTACAACTTGAGACCATCTTTTAGGCTTAGAATTATAATTATAATTACATCAAAAGGTTATAACTGAGAAAGTGTTGCCCCACAGCCTAAGGCTCAGCTGAATGAATGAGAAATCTTCCAAGAGGAAACTGAAAAAGAATTTTCCCAGAGGCTGTAGCTTTTAATCTCTAGGAGAAGGTAGTATTCTAATTTCAGCCACTCTCCTCTAAACCAGCAATAGAGCCCTGGGTGACATGCTGATCCCATAGCCTAGCTTGTGGAATGCTTCTCACTTATAGGGGACACTGCTTGTTGGTGAGCAGAGGACTACTTAAGGTGGCTGCAATGGACAGTTTGGGGTCTGGCGGCAGAAAGGGTTGGCTTCGGTCAACAATATTTGCTGCTCCTTCTGCACTTGGAGAAGAGACCTATCCTGACAGTCACTGTCTGTGAAGTGACAAGGTACAGAGGAGTTTTCTACCAGCCTGTTTCCTTCTCTCAACAAATACAATCCCCAAATTCATATTAGCAGACAGATACATGCAAGGGTGATTATTTCCCCCAAAAAGTATTTCATAAAAGAGATTTCTTTAAATAATATGTTCCCAGGCATATTGAAGCCTTTCATAGATTACCAGTTCTTTGCCTCAATAAATGTGAGGTAAATAACCTTCAAGTTAGAGGTTTGTGTTATTTTAAAATTGATCATGAATAAAGAAAATACCTTTCATACATGATTAATTGAAATGATGAGAAATTATTACAGGAACCACTAAATTTCAGATTCACACACAACTTAGAAACACATTCTTGGGTAAAGGAGGTGTGTGGCCACCTGCAATGCCCAACAGACTCCCCTACCCTCTGCCTCCTGGCACAGGGAGACACTTCTTCCTAGAAAAGTGTTTGAAGAGCTCAGAAAGACTGGGCAGAAGAAATACTCATCAAAATCGCAGGAAAAACAAGAGCTGGGGAATCGGAGAGCGGTTTGAGATACTTAATTCCACAAGTGAGGTGATGGCACGGTTGTTCACCCTTGCACTATCAAAAACCACCACTAGGTCCCAATAAAACAATACGTATCCGTTTTCTGCCTTCTAAACGCGGAGCACTGTGGACATGTGCTAGCCACCTGCCCTGGGAAGGAACATGCCTGTCTCGGAAGGATGCCCACCTTTGTCCTCCGAGATGACCTGCACCAGCTCGTACTCCTCGGCGGGGTCTGAGTCCAGATTGTGCTTCAGCATGGCTCTCTGGATCACAGCGGGGGTTTTATCCTGGCTCGTCAACTGCAAAGACAATGAACAGGTTTGTAAAGTACTTAGCTTCACGTTTCCTGAGGGAGTTCTCCTGACCCTCTCATTCTTGCTGTCTTGTGTTGTGATGCCTTTCCAGAAAGAACGGACTCGTGGAATTGGAACTGGACCAAGAGCCAGGATCCCTGGTTTCTAGTCCTGGTTCTACCCTTAGCAGCCACAGATGATGGGCGAGTCACCTAATCTCTGAGTCACAGCGTCATCCGCTATTAAAATGGAGAGAACGCTTTCCTTGCCTATCTCCTCCACAGTGGTTGAAGTTCCCGTGAAAGAATATATATGAGGGAATTGTGAAAAATGCAAAGCATTATTAGTCCTGGCCCAAAATTATCCTCCCATGTTGAACTGCTTCTATGGCACTGGTTACAACCCACGGGATAAAAATGGTCGCAGTTCTGCCCATTGACCATTTCAAAAAGTACAGGTGACCCTGTGATTCAGCAGTCCCACTCCTAGGCATTTACCAAGCGGAATAAAAACATACGTCCACAAAAGGACTTGTACACAAACATTCATAGCAGATTTATTCACAATAGCTAAAAACTGAATCAATCTGAATCTCCATCAACAGGAAAAGAGAATAAATCGTAGTATATTCATAATAGAATCCTACTGAGCAACTGAAGGGAACTAAGAACTGGCACATGCAACAATGCAGGTGAATCTCACAAACATCATCTTAGGCAAAAGAAACCGGACACAAAAGATTACATACCAGTGGAGTCTATTCTTTCAAAAAAAGGAAAAACAAAATCTGTGGCATTAGAAAATGAACCTCTAGGTTAGGAGGGGATTGATTGGAAAGGGCACAGGGAATCTGGCAGGCAGGATGGAAATGTTCTTTATCTAGATTTGGGGTAGTAGTTTCATAGATATATATAGTTATTAAAACTCAAAGAATCAAACATTTAAGATCTGCATATGTAACTACATGCAAATTATGCTTCAATAAACATCAGCTTGTAAGTGTTTTAAAAGCACAAGTTAAAGGTTTCCCTCGTCCCCAATTCTGATGTTCTTCCCTTCACCTCACTGCCTGCCAGCCAACTATTTGCAGGGTGTGCAGAGCAACCTGAAAAGAAAGCTAAATTATGTACCATACCTTGGGTGATTTCTTTAAGTTTGAAAGAAGTGAATGAAAACTCAGATTATTCTTACTTAAAAATAAAAGCTGTTCTCACCAGGGGGCAAGAGGACTATAGAAAGAAAGCCCCCCACGACCCCCCTCGACACATACAGAAGTCTCATTTCCTCCCAGAAACTGCCATTGTGTGCCTGAGGATGGCAGTGCCAAGATGCCTCACTCTGATCTGGGGCAGCAGCTGGTGTTTGTGATTCCATAAACAATGTGCATTACAAAGGGGTCCTTGTAAGCAGCAAAGATCTTGTTCACGTGTCTGTTACCAAAACATCTGGCATATTCATTTACAAGGGAAAAGTAGGTGCACACAAAATTCTAAATGAGGAAAATATGTTTTTGATAGTATGAAGAAAATACTCCCAAAGCTGGGTCACACTGGACTAGTAGCAGAAAGCTAAAGGAGAAGACCTCCCTTCAGGGGATGCATGTCAGGCTAAGGTGGGTAAGTCATATGAGACAGCCAGGCTACCTTCATTCTCCTTTCCTTAAACTTCCCCAGGTATGTCCCAATGAAGACAAGATGACCAAGGGCTTTCCCTTGCGTGTTTATTACTTTGTACCATCAAAGCGATGCTGAATCAAACTTATGATTACAATGAGTATTCACAGCTCAAGCGTGCATCCTTATGCTGATAGACTGAATTAGCACTCATAGGTATCGAATGTGAGCCACATATTTCATTTTAAGTTTCTAGTAGCCACAATTAAAAAGTTTTTAGGACGGGTGAGGTGGCTCATGCCTGTAATCCCACCAACTTTGGGAGGCCGAGGCAGGTGGATCAGGAGGTCAGGAGCTTGAGACCATCCTGGCCAACATGGTGAAACCCCGTCTCTAATAAAAATACAAAAAAGTTAGCCAGGCGTGGTCGTGGGTGCCTGTAATCCCAGCTACTCAGGAGGCTGAGGCAGGAGAACCGCTTGAACCAGGGAGGCAGAGGTTGCAGTGAGCTGAGATCGTGCCATTGCAATCCAGCCCAGGCAACAGTGCAAGACTCTGCCTCAAAAAAAAAAAAAGTTTTTGAAAGGTGATATTTAACTTGAACACCCCAAATATTACATCAGCATATATAATCAATACAAAAATTGTTAATGCAGTATTTTACTTTTTTGTACTAAGTGTTCAAAATCTGGTATATATTTTACCCTCAGCTCATCTCAATTTGGAGTATTCCCATTTCAAATGCTCCATCGCCACCCGTGGCCAGTGGCTGCTGTACTGAATGCGCGGTACTGAACGATGCTTTGGTGTCGCCCTCATTGACTTTCCTGTGACAGAAATACTGCATTCCCTGTGTAAGGGATCTTGGGAGACTGACTCTGTGATTGACACAATGGAGAGAAAGATCATTTCGAAAGAGTGATGGGTTCAGTGGTAGAAGACATTTTTCCATGGTCACTGAGGAGGTAATTTTACAAGGGCTAATTGCTGTCTCTTCTTCTATGGAAGGGCCTTGGATTCCAGGGACATTAGTTGCTCTTGCAAAGCAAGTTCTCTAGGCCACCAGTTCTCAGTGTGCAATCTATGGCCCGTGGGGTCCCTGAAATCTGTGAGGGGATCCATGAGATCAAAATTATTTTCATGATAATACTAAGATGCTGTTTGTCTTTTCTTTGTGTTGACATTTGCATAGGTATTGCAGAAGCTATGGTGGATGGAATTGCTGGCACAACAGCACAAATCGGTCCAGTGGTTTCTAACTACAAATCTACTAGCTGTCACTGTATTCTTCAGTACCCTGTACTCACAGTAAAAACAAAAACAAAACAAAACAAAGCCAGTCTCACTCACATTTTAACAGACTTTCAGAAATGGAAAACAATGCCACACTTCTCACTCAATAATTTTTGGAAAAAAATAGATATTTTTCATTAAAAAATAAAATTTACATTAACATGCAATGTGTTCATTATTGTTATTTTAAATGAATTAATCAACATTTTGAAAGTTTCTCAGTTTAAATATCTAATGTGGTAAATATCAACAGATACAACCCACATAGTCTGGAGCTCTTTGGAATATTCAATGCTGTTTCAGAGTATAAAGGGGTCCTGAGAACAAAAAGTTTGAGAACTGCTAGTCTCGCCTGAACCTGGACTGATTTATTTCCATCTTCTGGTCAACAGCACACAGCATAATACATTTCAGAAAGGTACGTCCTGTGAGCAAGGTTTCTCCTGAGAGGCCTAACGATTAGAATGAGAGCACGAGAGCAGTGTGTCGTCTCTCCAGAATAAGCCTGTGACATGCGCTGGCAGGATTTTCATGAAAGGTGAGTGCCACCACCTGGTGCAATATAAAGGGCCACAGGAAGGGGTTGGCAGGAGAGGTGATTCTCACAGAGGCAGCCCATTTGCTGGGGAAGGAGGAATCTCAGAGCAGGGGGCAGGGGATCTTCTGCTCACTACCCTCCCAACACTCAGACAGCATGCACAACCTGTGACTCCTCCTGGGCAGTAGAGGTTTGTGCAGTCCAACCACTCACAGTTCCCCCCAGACTGAGCAGAGTGCACGCTGACCAGGCATGTCCCAAAACATAACTGTTTGGTGTACAAATCCATGCTATAATTCAGAGACACTGTAGAGTTATGCAGTGGACATTCTCTCTGATTGGTGCAGGTAAGAGGTGCCAGGTGAACAGACCATGCTGAGCAGGCAGTAACCACATGGAGGACCTTGGCTTCCCTGTGTTTCCTCTACCTCTCGGGTGCTCCTTTATTAGCCCCTCCCTCATTACCACTTGCATTCTGCCTCATCCTACACTCAGTCTCGCGAGACCACGTCCCCCCTGTGGGGTTTGACAACTCCCAGTATTTGATCTCAGCACCAGCCTTGCACCAGCCCATGTTTCTGACCATCTATCAGACAATGCCATCTGATGTCATACTGGTACCTCTGATTTAAATGTCCCTGAATATCCTCCTCTGGTAGTTCATATCTCACAGACCCACCAACTACCCAGACAGCCTCTAGTCCTCCACAACAGTAACCAAAAAGTTGGTAACTAAATGAATGGATTCTACAATTCTACCTCATCAAAAGCTTTCAAAAATCCTCACCATCTCCAGCCACATGACCGTCATTCAAGCCCTTATCCTCTCCTACATGGAACATGATAGCAGCTTCCTAACTTGCTTCCCCGCCTCCAGTCTACCCCGACACTCCAGCAAACACAGTGCCATGACTTTCTTAATGAGCAAATCCCATCACTACTTAAAAGCCTTCAACAAGACCCTATTGCCTGCGGGATTAACACACTCCTCTGTGTGGGCCACAAGGCCCTTTACCACCTGATCTTGGCTCTATTATTTTGCACATTGTGAATAATGCTTTGTGGGCTCCCTTTCTAATTAAAAGTTCCTCAAAGGCAGAAATGTCTCACTCATCTCCCTATCCCCAAAGCCTGATCTAATGACTAGAACGCAATAAATGTTTGATATTTTGTTGACTCAATAAATGCTTTAGCAAAGCTTTTATGTGGAGCCTCCATACCACTTATGCCATATTCAGACCTGAGCTTGTAAGCACTGAGTGTGCCTTCAAAGAGGCGAGTGATAAAGATGAGGAGAGATGTGGAATTAGCTGTGGGATTTTGCTGCAAAGGATAAAGTGATTTCCAATACATGATTATCTCCCATAAACTAAGGAGTTTATATTCTTGTGATAAACCTACCAGACCTCACATACCCAAGGTTATCGCCATGAGAGGCTCTGTGTGTATTCCCAAAAGACTGCCATTATTAAAAATATCTTTGCAATTGTCCTCAGAAACACACAGATTTTACAAGAAGCTCAAAAAGGTCAGTCTCATTTTATAGGCATCGTTCCTCATTAACCCAAACTGTATTTCTAGCTTGATCATCCACTTTATTAACTAGGTTTGATCCAAATGACTAAATGACAAAAATCTGCCATCAGGGGAGTACACTGCTAAGAATGTGTGGAAATTCAATGATAAAACCAGACATATAATTCCATAGGAAGGCTTCCAAAAATGTGTGAGGTTGTGTCATCCTCCCTGGAGCACATTTACACTGTCACCCAAATTGAGAATTTTCAAATGGCTAATACTGACCTAAACGAATAAGTTTTAGCATTTCTTTAAGATGTGAAAATTATATCCTATATACACCATGTGTGTGCATATATATGTATATATATTTTATATACATATATCATTCAGCATCTATGCCCAGGGAGACCTGGAACTGACACACATCCCTTCTGTGTGAATGCATATATGTATATGCTAATATTGAGTGTGCATATTTAGGGCTATTAGTCTGAGCGGCCGACAGACACAGACACACAATCTAAATGGAAACCCGCTCCTGGGTCAGGGCTTGCTCCTCACCATGATGCTCTTGTACATGTTGCCGTTATTGTCTTCCACACTGATGCGGATTATGCAGGTGTCTTCATTCTGTTGGTTGTAAACAGGAGGCAGCACAGTCGAGGTAATGGACGTCACCGAGACAGAGCGCTTGTGGATTTTGGGGTTGTTGTTGCAGGACGGAGGGGAGGAGAGGGGGTTGATTAAGGAAGACATCCCTGAGGAATTTGTGTCCATGGAATGGATAGAAGAACAGGATGAGGAGGACTCAGAGAGCTGGAAGAGTAAACACACCCCAGAAGAAAACAGATTAGAACGCTGGCCAACAGCTTTGCAATTTTCAAAGCAGAGGTAGATATCAAGACTGATAGACTGCAGTTATTTCCTCCACAACAGCCCACAGCACACATGTGTCTCATCCCTGGTGTAAGTACTCTGAGTCCCCATCAGTGGTAGATGCCTATCGGTGACTCAGTGTGACCTAATCACTCTATAAGCACGTGAGGCAAAGCAGTTCTATTTCCCTAGGTTTTAGCTGTTCTTATAGAAGTTAACCAGCAGGTGGCAGCAGACACCAGAAACTGGAGGCAATATGGGTTCCCAAAGAAGTCAGAAGCTTACGGGGCTGGAGGAAAGCCTTGCCAACGCAGTTGATTCAGTCCTACTGCAGTCAGATTTCGTAGTGAGAGAGAAAGTTCTGTATTTTTAGAAGTTTCTAAGAGAAGTACCCCAGATTATACGGCTCTGCATTGAATATTAGTGCTAGAAAGGCCTTGGACATCAACTAGTCCCATACCTGTTCTGCTGAGGAACCTGAGACCCAGGGAGAAAACTGGGGCTCCAGGTCCACACAGCTAGTTGACAGCACCCCTAGAACAGGAACCCAAGCTCCCTGATTCCCACTGTCGAGTTCCCAGAGCAAGCACATGGCCAAGGCTCAGCCTGTGGCTGATGACAATAAGATGAATCAACATAGTATGCTGCTACCTCGGTATGTTTAGTACTGTGAGGCTTATCATGAACTTTCATATTATCTTATCCCATTTTAATTCCACAACTGTCTTGTGAACAAAATGCAGAGCATTATAAAGACGAGGAGAATAAGATTCAGAATATAAAAGTGACTTGCTCAAGGGAAATACAGCCTTTAAGCAGCTTCACCACTTTCCACATTTGCTAGTAGAGCCAACTGTATACATTTTCATGATGTGTATCAAGGACAATTAAGAAATGGAGTACTACAGTTAATATGCTTTTCTGATTAACTACACATTTCTCATCCATGCAATACCAATAACCAAAGAAAGAAGTTATTGGAAGAGGTACTTTTAAAAATCATTAAATTGAACCATTTAAAATACCCATTATTATTGTAGAAAATTATAAAGAATTTCCCGGAATGACTTAAGCTAAATTATACCATGTTAATCCTATAAAATATTCTGGAAGTCATTTATAAAATAAATAACATTTCTTTCATATTTATCTGCCTTTCCATGGAAACAGTATAGAAGTTGAGCTTTCTGGTTATCAGGCTTCTGATTAAAATGGAGTCTATTATCTTATTTCCTGTAGATTTCCTCCTGTGGCATAATTATACATTCAGTTCTATTGCACAGTTAGTTTACAGCCAGCCAGCTGATGTGACAATTCTCATGGGTAGGGGTCTGATTGTGGCTCTATCATAATATGGTTTAGTTTTTGTTTTGGTTTTTGGGTTTTTTTCTTCCTTATGTTCCCAAATGAATCAACTTAGTGGCTCAATTTGAGGACTAACTGATGATAGATAAGTTAATAGCATAAGTTTCTTTGCAGATATATTAGTTAAGGGGGTGCATTTTCCAATTATTCATTCAATTTTTTCGCCTTCATGTTCCTCTATCCAAACTCTATTTCCTTTGTTAGATTTTTCTATGATTCTAGTGACATTTATAGTTAAGATAAAGCCTAGAATATGCCTGGGTTATAGCAGCTCTAAACAGACTGCCTGATGAGCCCCCAAATTCCTATTGAGAATTTAAGAAGTGAGGAGCAAGTGCAAAAATCAATATTTAGAAATCATGATCGGGGAATGAAGAAAGGAATGCAAATAAATTACACTTCACCCTTAAGAGCAACCTCACAGTGCAGCCTGTGGAAAAGGAAGAATGACAGTCTGGAGGACTTTTGGAGAAGGCGGCTGTCACAGGCTCTCAGGTCAGGAAGGAAGTGTGGAGGTCAGCTCAGTCCAGCTATGTGCCAAGCAGGAGAATCACGAGCCTTTCTAGCTAATATGCAGGGATTGTGCAGTCCAGGAGCTACTTGCATCCAAGTGAATCACTGATGTTTAAGAAATGTATGACTCTGAGAAAGGTTCATCCAAAGAATAAAGAGCCATGACTTCTGCAAGAATTTAAAAAGCCAGTCTGATGAGGGATGAGACAAAAAAGATGAAGCAAGGGATGTGCAGGAGAAAGCACACTGGGCTTCTGCATAGTTTTAAAAGGTACCATTTGGACCAATGTACATTTCCACTATGCCACAAGGTGTGACTGTGATTCCATCTCCTTCCTGGAGAGACAGGGAGAAATCCCACAATAATGTGGGCAATACCTCAGTTATTACTTTCCTACAATGTCTACCATCAGAAATGGAGCCTATAAAACCTCAGAGGCTGTGAAAAAGTGAATGATGAGACTGCATTCCAGATTTTGACAAAGCTAATTTGTATGTCAAGTCACGAAGAATGACTACATCCCGGGTTGAGGAAAAATGCCTTTTGAGAGCATGGCCAGTCCGTAGGTGTCCACGAAGGCTTTCTTTCAATATTTAGAGCATGAATGATTGTATCCCCTGGATTTCAAAGCAGAAAGCTAAGAAATCCAACTAGAGCAGCAAATTAGTCATCTCAGTTTGATGAATCCTGAATATGATGCTTTTCCTGGATTGGCTACATTATGACAAAGTCACTTGAGGGTTCCAGGATTACCACTGTTGTTTTAACACCATGTGAAGCAACACACATGTCCCCTTGAAGAGCAGCAGATATAAACCAAGGGATGAAACCATTGCCAACATTCTACCTTACTGACCTAACCATAAGCTAAGGAGCCAGAAGTCACTATTGAGTAAGCTTGGTTAGCCAGAAACCTTCCCCAAATGGTGCAAATTCTAGTTATGTCATAGTTGACTTTCTGATCCAAACCCTTCAACCAACAGATTGAAGCAGATGTGTACAGAAGATTAACACTGATATTGGTGGGGTGCGGTGGCTCATCCCAGCACTTTGGGAGGCCGAAGTGGGTGGATCACCTGAGGTCAGGGGTGTGAGACCAACCTGGCCAACATGGTGAAACTCCATCTCTACTAAAAATACAAAAATTATGCGGGCATGGTGGCACATGCCTGTAATCCCAGCTACTCGGGAGGCTGAGGCAGGAGAATCCCCTGAACCCAGAAGACAGAGGTTGTAGTGAGCCAAGATCGTACCACTGCATTCCAGCCTGGGCAACAGAGTAGTGAGACTTCATCTCAAAAAAAAAAAAAAAAAAAAAAAAAAAAGAAGACTGGTCTTAATTAAGATCTTAAGATTAAGATATTTTGGTTTTTAAATTTTTATTTATGCAGTCACAGAAAATAGAAACTCGACGGAAATTCTTTTATCACCTCTCATCAGTTTCCTTTTTTCCAACATGGGAGAATGTATCCTTGTTACCAATCCCTCATCTTCCCCTGCAGCTGTGCCCTTTGCACTGTGATTTCAGAGTTCCTCCCACTAAAACTGGAGCCTATTTCTCTGCTTCATTTACTTATGTGGAATGTGGCCACATGATTACTTTAGCCAATAGAATGTTGGTTGATACGACTCAAGTAAAGGCTTGACATATGCTTGCGAGTGGGCTTGCCCTCTTGCTTGTCCGTCTTAGCATGCTAAGGGCATGCCCTGGGTAGCCCGTTACTCCAACAATAATGAGAGGCAAGTGGAACAGACCTGGACCAAATCTGTGGCCTAGTGTCAAGCCCAACCTAGATCAGCCAACCAGCAGATACATAAGAGAGATAAATAGTGGTTGTTTTAAGTCACTGACTTTTGGAGTGGCATGCAATGCAACATTATTGTGATAAATGCTTGGCTAAGACAAAACATGGCACCAAGAACCTGACACATCTCCATCTCTGACTTTTTGCTCTTTCTAAGAAGTCCTACTTCCCCTAAATAACTCCAGTGCCTTAAGAGGTGGGTATAGAACAATATTTCAAAGGCCAAATGAATAAACGAAACTGCTTAGTGCTTTTACACCTGTTTCTATTAGTAGTATGTCCCCAAATTGAACTCTTCTTTTGATGCCTGTTCAAAACATGACTTTCAAAATACTATAGAGTGATCCACTTAAAAACAGACATTCCTTGCTGTGGTGTGGCAAAGAGCATGTAGGTGCCTGCATTAGGAATTATGAGAAGGGTTGAGTATATACCTTTTTTTGAGGCTCATCAGGGGTGTCCATGGGAGTAATGGAGCCCTCCTCAGCCTCTGAGTGGTTCGACTCGCAGGATGACACGCTGACAGAGTCCATGCTTTCACCAGAGCTCCCGCTGGCAGTGGACTTGGGCTGCTCTTTGGTGGGAGTGGGACTGGTGATCATGTCAGACCCTAGAAACAGTCTGGAAAAAAACAGAATGCCAAGCATTTGGGCTGTTACAAATCTGGAATCCATGATTAGGCAAATATTTTGTGTTGATTAAGCCCTTGATGTTTTTTCAGTCTTGTGTGTTCTGTCATTATTATTTTAGGAGGACATTCGCTATAAAGTTTCTAACAAATAGTAGTAAACATCTTGTCCCAAAAGAGTATTTCCAACTTCAAAGAACACATAGATTATTCAGTACTAATCTGAAGTCTTTCTAGGTCAATGGTCCTCTACATTTTAACAGTCTATGGACCACCTTGGCAGGATCAAGATACCATCAGCATACCCCCATCACTTCCTACCATAAAATGATCTTCACAGGCAAAGAAGGGATGGCACTGCTTTGGGTAAGAAACCAAGGAGGAAGACTTCTATTTCCAACAATCTGTGAACTACAGTATCCTAAATGCTTCCTCTATAAAACAGCTAGATAAGAAATATTAAAAACTCTTTTTAGTTGAGCTTGCAAGATAGGAAGGGAAATCCCTACAGGCCTTAAGTGAAAAAGGAACTGAAAACCAGAAGCACGCGAGCTAGTTCTGCAGCTGCTCTGGTGGGGGAGTGGGAGGCCCCAATCTTGGCAAAATAGTGATATGGGTTTTAATGCACACCCAGGGCCCAAAGATGAGGGTTTCTGTTTATGAATGGTGAGGAGTTAGAACCAAAACTATATACAGCCAGGGCCCACAAAGGGCTATACCCTTACTAAAAAGATAGGCCAGAAAAATATCTTTCTACTAGCATAGGAAGACAACAGGGAGACTGTTCTTGCCTGAGCATGGAAAGAAGAAAAATGTCTCCTATGAAGTCATGTGTGAGCTGGGTCTGTGCCTCACTCCAATTTGCTATTTATGTGGTCTATGGGGTTAGAAACTCTCAACCGGTGACACCGCTAGTAAACTAGATTTTTTCTTAAAAAAAAAGAAAATCTTGCGGGAGGGATATACCTTCAGCCCAGGCTTCAGAGAATCCCCTGATAAAGATAAACTCGTGATACAAAATTACAAAATACACACAAGGAAATATTCCACTGAAAGAGAGAGCCAACAGGCATAACAAAAAGCAGGCTTAGACTCCTGAGAACTTCAAATTTGAGAACTGTCAGAACAAAACTAATAATGTGCTTATTCATCCAACAAATATCTGCATGTCTACTATAAGCCAAGCTGCAAAATAAGTATGTTAGGAAATATTAAAGACATAAAAGAAGAAATTGAAAACCGGAGCTCAGAGCAAGACATCCTAATAAAGGAAGAAGATAATTTGAAAAACATTTCACCTCTAAGTGAAAAAGGTGGTGACTTAAACTAAAACCTCAGTGGAAGGATTAAATAACTTGAAGAAAAAAATCATGAACTAGATGACAGATCTGAAGAAAATCCTCAAAAATCATCATCAAAAGATAAAGACATAGAAAGAACAGTGAAAAGATATGGAGAAAGCAGTAAGAAAGCCCCAGGTATGTGTAGGAGGAGTTCCAGAAGACATGGAGAGGATGGAAGAAGGCCCATATCAGAAGAGATGGTGGCTGAGAGGATTCCAGAACTGGTGAACCATAGGAATCCTCCCATCCAAGAGCCATGTCCTGAATAGGGTAAGACTAAACTCCCACTTAAACTGGTATATCAAAGACAAAAGAAATTCTTAAAATCAACAGGGGGCCAGGCACAGTGGCTCTCAAAGTGCTTCCAGCACTTTGGGAGGCCGAGGCAGGCTGACTGCCTGAGTTCAGGAGTTCAAGACCACTCCAGGCAACGTGGTGAAGCCCCATCTCTACCAAAATACAAAAAAATTACCCAGGTGTGGTGGCATGTGCCTGTAATCCCAGCTACTTGGGAAGCTGAAGCACAAGAATTGCATGAACCCAGGAGGCAGAGGTTACAGTGAGCCAAGATCACTCCAGCCTAAGCGACAGAGCAAAACTCTTTTGAAAGAAAGAGAGCGAGTGAGGAAGGAAGGAAGGAAGGAAAGAAGAAAGAAAAGCAACAGGAGTGGGAACATAAAACAGAGGAATAGTAATTAAGCAGATACCACACATCTCAAAAGTAACCATGGAAGTCAAAAGACACTGAATAATATCGTCAAAGTGCTGAGTGAAAGTAACAGTCAGTATTGAATTCTATACCCGTCTAATATAATTCTAAGAAGGAGGGCAAAATAAAGACTTTCTCAGACTAAGACTGAGAAGGTTTACCGTTAACAGATTTACACCACAAGTAGTGGTAAAAGGAGGGCGGGAGTCAGATTAAGAAGGAACGGCATGCAAGGCAACTAGCACGTGGGCTGAACCTAAACAAGTACTGACTATAAAATAACAACAATAATAGAAACAATGAAGGTGAACTTGATTTTTTATTAAATATTTTCGGAATTATATGCTTGAATTCCAAGAGCTCAAGCATATTTTTGCTCTGCCTTATCTCTACCCTGCTATCTCCAGCCCCATTTTCCCTGTCTTCCTTTTATGACCCTTCAAGCATTACAGGAGCATTACAGGGACTATAGGGGTATGAGCTAAACTCTGATCACAGAAGCAAAAATAATGCCCTTTCTTACTGCTTCATAAATTACAAAGGTAGATCTTGAAAGGATGTCAACTAGTGGTCCTCCATCCATTATCTCAGAGTCTCTAGGGTTCTTCCATTTCTACAATTCAGTAAGGTCCTGCTTTGTCCTGCGTTGTGAAGGTTCATTCTGGCTCAGTAGTAGGCATCTCTAACTTTCAAACTAGGCCTAAGCACCCAAAGTTTTCTCCAACCTCTTTGGAATGATGAGCCATTGAATGTGGGAACAGCAAAAATGCATTTCCCAGATTTGTAAACATGCTAAGAAGATCATGAAATCTTTTGAAAAATAATGGTATGCAAACACCCTTGTATGTACAAGAAATAAGATGGGGGCATATGAACTGCTTTCATAATAGATGCCCAAACTCAACTGCAGATACCAAGGGTTATCCCAGCAAGATTTTACTAGTAAGAGATGTACTGAGTACCTACCACACTTTGTGAAGGGCATAGCACCCTCACAGTCCTGCCCTCTCTGGATTTCACAGTAAATGTTTTCATAGGACTGACCACTTGTCTGTGTCAGTGAAGACAGAGGATCCAGGGGTATTAGAACTCCCACCACAAAACATATAGATCCCGGGCTTGGAGAGGAGTACAGAGAAGCAGTAGCATAGAAATGAGGATGGGGAGAAGGCAGGAGGATAGAGGTAGCAGGACGCAGGATTAGGCCTGCCTGCATTGAGAATTTTTGTTTTTTTCCTTAAGAACCTCTGACTGCCATAGTGGGTCCAGAAGCTCCCAATTCCTTCTGCTGCCTCAGTGAGCAGAGTGGACACCCAGGATCCCCTGCATGTCTGGACTCCTCTATCAGGGAGCTGATTCCCTGTGCACATGCCAGTCTTACCAGCTGACAAGGCTTGGTCAGGCCCCTCAGATTATCTCAGTAGTTCATTCCCCCATATCTGCAAAGATGAAAAGACAGCAAGATACTATGAAAAATTCTCCTCAAGAGCTGACTCCAAAAGCTCATAAATCTAGAGTTCCGCAGGGCCAGGACAGTCATCTGAACAAAGAGAGGGTGAGCAAAACACAGGATGATCTTCCAGATGCTTTCTACTAAAGCGCATGTTCCAACCCACCCACAATGCCTCATACCACCCATATCACCTGATGGCAGATAGCAGCCTGCGTGGCCGCTGATGGTGGGAGACCTTGCTATCCACATCCAGCAGAGGTCTTTATGTTACACCGGGGACATGGCAACACTCAAGGTCATGTGCCATCCCTGCCTGTGTCTCAATGTGACTCACTGAAGTAGGTGGAGAGACAGTGCTGGGAAATATCAAATGCCCATAAAGACAGTCAGAATCCTGATCCCCCCAAATCCTCAAAAAGATATTAACTGATTCATTTCATTAAAAATAATGGTGGTTTTTCAGGCACATATTGAGAGCTAGGTACTGCATATATATATGTATGTGTATATATATATGTGTGTATAAATATATATATATATTTGTTGTTGTTGTTTTGTTTTGTTTTGTTCTTAGAGACAGGGTCTCGCCCTGTCATCCAGGCTAGAGTGCAGTGGCACAAAAATAGCTCACTGTAACACTGAACTCCTGGGCTCAGGCAACCCTCCCACCTCAGCCTCCCAAGTAGCTGGGACTACATGCGTGCACCACCATGCCCAGCTAATATTTTAAGTGATATTTTTTTGTAGAGACAGGATCTCACTACATTGTCCAGGCTGGTCTCAAACTCCTGGCCTCAGGCAATACAACTGCGAGCATGATAGACAAGGTTCCTGTTCTCAGGTTGCTTACATTCCACTGGAGGAAGCAGCTAGTATGAATGAGAATGAGGGGTGGACAGCAACATTAGAAAGGGTTCTCTCTTGGCACATAACATTTTTGCTAATATTTGAAGGAGCCAGTCATGAAGAAAGAGCATTTCAGGCCAGGCACAGCCAGTGCAAACGTCTTCAACACTGGTGAACAGAGGGCAATGTTGTAAGAGAGGGAAGTCTGCAGGTTAAGTCATGTAAGGCCTAGTAAACCAGGATACAGAGTTTGGGTTTTATTTTAAAATAAAAGCTATAGGGGTTTTTATACAGGAAGCAACATAATCTGGTGTACATTTTAAAAGACAACCTAGCTATTTAGTGGAGAATGAATGGTTGGGTAAGGGGCAGCCAGAAGACAGTGAAGATGTTACTGGAGTGATTCAGGCAGGAGAGAATGGTGATTCACAACAGAGAGGGGAGTGGAGAAGAATGGACTCAGCAAATGCTTTGAGTTCATGACAGAAGGATAAACGGCTTAACAAATGAGCGGAGTGCTCTTCACTTTCACCCTGGCTCAAGGTCATCCTGTTGAATACATCTCCTCTCACGACTCTGATGGCACCCTCTTGGAGCCCCAGAACCCCCAGGGGACACTCACAGGCTGAGTCTCTTCACCATGCTCTTCCGAGGCTTGGGCGAGGTGGTGCTGGCGTCAGCAGCTGCTTCAATCTCACATGACAGGGCATAGCTGAGAAAGAGAAGGGGGCTCCATGAGGTCAAAGTTAGAGAATTGAAAAACACACTTAAATTCACATGATGTCCTGGTTTTGTTTTAGAGAAGGCTCTAATTGTTCAAAGTAAAGATATATACAAACGTTGTCCTATCATAAACGTCAGGGGGTACTGACTTCACGGCCCGATTTGACACATTTATCTTATGTGCTTCCTCCCTCACCTCCACTGGCATATGGATTGAGGCTATTTAGTTCTGCGTGTTTCAAATACAAGGATATATGCACTTTGGCAGCATCAAAAACTAACTCCATTCTGATCATTCTCATCCCACTGCTAGGCCAGTGGAAGAATCTTCCTTCCTCTACTACCTCCCCCTCCTATTTCTTCTCTATTACCTCCTTCCTACTATTTTGTATGTGTGTTTGTGCACATGCACAAATGACTTAGTTTTATCTAAAGAAAATGAAGAGACTTTTGTAATCTATCTGATCGTCAATGAACAGACATAGGCAATTACATTACTGATAAAGATATATATATATATATTTATTTATTTTAGTAGAGATGGGGTTTCACCATGTTGGCCAGGGTGGCCTACAAATACTTTTTTAAATTTTTAATTGCCAAAACTTCCTAAATTAAAAATGCTCCAGATTCAGACCTCTATCTGCCAGGCAGATATAACTGACACAAGCACAAGAGGAATTTATATGTGATTCCAAGTGCCTTTTATGAAAGCTTGTAGCTGTAGACAGTAGATGTATTTCGTTACTGAGTAGGTGGGGAAGGGTGCCCAACATTATACAGCCATCTTCAGAGCTTAGGCTGTAGAGCCGGGCAGACCTGAGTTTGAATCCAAATGCTGTCATTAATTCATTCAAATATTTCTCTAAACCTCAAGTTTTTTTTTTTGTAAATACTTATTTTGCTGTCAATTTCACTCTCCCTTATGATAAACTTCCAAAGAAATCCCCTGGGCTAGGGTAGGGATGGGCCAACTTCTTCTGTAAAGGATCACATAGTATTTTAGGCTTTGTGGGCCATATGGTCTCTGTTGCAACTACTCAACTCTGTCTTTACAGCATGAAAGCAACCATAGATGAGATGTAAATGAACGGGCTGTGTTTCAATAAAACCATATTTATGTAGATACTGAAATCTGAATTTCAAATAACTGTTTCGTGTCACAAAATATTCTTTTTTTGTTCCCCCCCACCCCAATCATTTAAAAATGTAAAAACAGGCAGTGGGCCACATATGGCCTGCAGACCAATCTGCCAACAAGCGAGCAGGCTACAGGACAGGGACGTGCTGAGCCAGCAGGCAGGGCACTCAAGTGAACATGCCTTTCTATGCCCATCCCACTATTTTTAAACTGTTCTTTGTGTCCCTGCCACACCTGAGTTATCACTGTTCCTTCAAATGCCAAACATGTCAGGCCACCAAGCTTTTGCTTGTGTTCTCTCTCGGTCTGGAATGTTCTCTTCCGGTTCTTATGGCAAAATCTTGTTTCTCCTTTACAGCCAGCCTAAATATTAATGCCTTTATATTTTCCTTATTTTCCCCAATTCTTCCCATAGGTTTTGTAGGAATGTAGTTACCCATCATATTTCAAAGTTTCATGAGTCTCTCAACCCCTCTAGGTTGAAAGCTTCCTGGAAAGCTACCATCAATTAACAGGAATGACAAACACAGTGACAGTGGTGGTGGTGACAACGCTGAGGACAAGCATTCTAACAAAGCATTCCCACATAAGATCTTAGTTACGCCTCACAAACATTCTACAGATGAGCATCCTTAAGATAGGGAAGAACAAATGACTTGTTCAAGGTTACAAAGATAAATAAGTGGCCAAGCAAGAGTCTGAAAGTACATCTTGATGCTATCAACTCAGCCTTTCCTGCCACACCATGCGCCTTTGAAAACCAAGGACCTGGAACCTAGCAGCTGCTCACTAAATAGTTGTTGAATAAATGACCCAGCGAGGTATTAAATGCAGCATTTTTCTTGCCAACACTTCAGTTCTACCCCGATGAACGACAGGTGATCCCACCTCTCCTCCTCTGTCAGGAGCTGCTGCCTCTGGAACCACTGGATGAACTTTTGGTCTGGGGTCATGCAATAGCTGTTGCAGGCAGACTGTAAGAGCTTTATCTGGGCAATCACTTCAAATTCCTAAAGCAGACAGAATACCAAAAATTAAAAAAAAAAGACTGAATAATAAGGCCAACCAAATATAGAATCTTTCAACATGAAAATATACCACATTAGGATAAAAGATGAAGAAAACCATCTAGGAGGATTCTGAAATACTGCTTCCTTAAAAATAAAGGAGCTAACTAACTCTTAAAAATTCTAACTAGAACTCTCCAAAGTCCTTGTATGCTTTAATTTTTAATCCTCTTTTCTCCTTGAGAAAGCAATTTGTATAAAACAAGCTACCAAAGCAACCCAAACTAGTCACTACGTTAAGTTACAGTGGCTTCCTTTTTCTCTTCTTCACTTTCATCCTTGGAATAGAAAAATGATTTTTAAGGTTTTAAGTACTTCATAAAATATATTAATTTCTATTCATATTTCTTAAAAAAAAGAAAAGAAATACTTTAAGTCAGGGAGCTCCCAAGATCCCCATCCCCATCTTCCTCAACCTTTACCCCTCAATAAATAAGTTTTGGTAGGGCTGAGTATCTAAACAGTCCTAGGTCTCATAAAATTGAATGTTTAGATTTCCTGAATCCTTGGGTTTTTACTACGCCACTAAATCATTTAACTAAGTCTTTTAAAACTCACAGAGAGGCAAGTACATAATTATGTTGAAAATTATTTATACTTATTTGGATGTTTCAATAAAAAAAATTTAAGTCAGCAATGGGTATAAGCTTTAGGTTTAGGTTTTACAGTCAAACTTTCCAGAAGTTTAATATCCTAGTCTAAAAAGGAAAGAGATTACCAACCACAGTTATTCTGAAGTTAAATGACAGAGAGGGGAACTGAGGGGGCAATAACTGAATTTATTATCATTACAGGACATGACAGAAGTAACTCAAGAACTGGTAGATTCTCCAAGTCTCAACTTGCCATCCAGTGACCTCGGCCCTTGGTCTCAGTATCCTCAAGGAATATTTACCATCATGCTAAAGAAAAAAGTATCGTCTATATGGGACAAAAAATTTACATTTGTCCAGGTTAGTATCTTGTTCTGATAAGCCCAGCTTTGTTTAGCTCCTCTATGCCTTTTTGGTTTTAACTTCAACGTCATTTTCTCCTGGAAGTTTCTCTGGCCCTACAAGTTGGAGATAGATACCCCACCTATATACTTCTCTAACACCCACTACTTCTGCTCACAAACCCTTTTCAGGTTGTATTATAACTGCCTATTTATTTGTCTACCTCTCTCCTGGATTGTGAACTTTACGAGGGCAGGCAGCTCTGTTCTTTCTCTGCTGTAATTCCCAAACCCCCCCCATGTTAGGTAGACAGTCAATATTTGTGGAATGTGAAAGTACTGAAAAATAACGAGAGTACTACAGGGTGAAGTTATTATTTTGCTCACTCATTTTCCTTTGAGTCTTTTAAATATCTATTTAAATATGCCATTTGAATATGAAAATCACAGAAAAATTTCAAGACTGTTTTATCTTGAATAGCACAGTTCAGAACTGTGCTATCCACAGGAAGAGTGAAATTGATGTTGAGCACACCTTCCTATGCTGACACGAAAGGGAAAGAATAACTACCTACACCGAAGACGAAGGCCATTTCCTTTCCTCTCTCGAGTATACCCACGAGAGTTTACCATCTTTATTAACTCTTCTATGTCATTTACTCATCAGAAACCCCTTATCCTTAATAGGGTAAACCTGGTTTTTATTTTAATTGGCAAATTAAAAAATTGTTTGTATTTATGGTGTGCAACATGATGTTCTGAAACATGTATATACCGTGGAATGGCTAAATCAGGCTAACTAACATATGCATTACTTCACATATTTATTTGTGATGAGAATACTTAAAGTCTACTCTTAGTAATCTTCAAGTATAAAATACATTGTTATTAATTAAGTGGCAAGCCTGCTATTGCTGAAGCTAATTGTAAAGGAGATAAGGAGTGGGCAGGGAAGAAATGTGGGCTTTGGGGCATCAGGACAGGATGAGAACCCTGGCTTTGCCACCAAGAGATTCTCGTCCAGTAATTTAATCTCTTGAGTCCTAGCTTCCTCACCTTTGAATTGAGGATGATAAAACCTACCTCATAAGGCTAGTGGGGGATAATGTATAGGAGAATGCCAAGCAAAATGGTATATGATAAACGTTCAGTAGGTGCTAACTCATTTTTTTCTGCCTCTACAAAAAAACTTAAGTCCCCATTTCTTTCATTTTTTTCATGCTCAGACAAAGGAAACACAGCCAACAACTCTACTTACCCTTCTCCTTTTCTCAAAGTTTATCAGTCCACCCTAAAAGAAATTTTAATAAAAAGAGTGAGCAACCAAGCTACTTTAAAACACAGCCATATGTTGTCGTAGGTCACATTAAAATAGATCAAAGGGGTGATAAAGTCACAATTATCAATGATCCTATAATTACGACTACTGTGGAAGAAGAGAGTCCTGTTTTGCTTTTAAAAAAAGTATTATTATAAGGCAGGATAAGCAGAAAGCCTTCTCTTGAAATGTCTGAAACCAACTAAAATAGTAATGATAAATAATTACAAATCAGGATCCAAAGACACTTGCAGAACCAGTAAAGATAAAAGCTTGAGTAAATATTCCATTACACTTTTTTCCCTTACCAAAAGCAACTAAAACAGATGGTCATTGACTCATACGGTTTATCAAAAGGGAAGTCATTTCTCCATAGCATCATGAAAAGTTAAGTTTCAATTCTTCATCCCCTCAGCTCCTATTCTCAGTAGGCTGAATTTAACTTCTAAATCTTTGGTTACTCCCCAGAATTCCCCAACACTGATGGGTGTTTCCTGAGATAAGCTGAGAAAGAGGATGTGAAGAGACATAGAAGTCAGGAGATGCAAAATGAATAAATGTGTCCACAACACTGTGGCAAATCCAAAGGTAGGTAGATCTATGCAAAGTAACTTCTACTTCTTCTAATTAAGATACAATAAAAGCAGGCTGGTTGCATATGATAACAAGGGGGTAGTATATACTGAAATATGCAAGCAATCTTTCAATTTCATTTCAAATTTGAAATTTCTTCTTCACTTAATATTTTATTGCTGCTACTAACAAGTTGTTTATCTGAGTTTTCATGTATTTTCCCTTTCAGAGAAGATGGGGGATGAAGGGAGTAGGGGTAGAGAGAGGGGGAACAGAGAGAAAGAGGGACAAGGGGACAGAGAGAGAGAGAGACAGAGAGAGAGAAAAATACCCCACAGCAGGCAGCAATACAAAAAGAAAAGCATATTTGAAAAATCACAAATTTGACTGACTCTCTACCCCACCAAGTAGTCCTACTCAACATTAAAGTCTTGTGGGGTTTTTTGTTTGTTTGTTTGTTTGTTTTTGTTTGAGACCGAGTCTCACTCTGGCACCTAGGCTGGGCACCTAGATCGTGCAATGACACGATCTCGGCTCACTGCAACCTCTGCCTCCCGAGCTCAAGTGATTCTCCTGCCTCAGCCTCCAGAGTAGTTGGGATTATAGGCACCTGCCACCATGACCGGCTAATTTTTGTATTTTTATTTATTTATTCTTTTTCTTTTTTTTGAGATGGGGTCTTGCTCTGTCACCCAGGCTGAAGTGCAGTGGCGCAATCTCGGCTCACTGCAACCTCCGCCTCTCGGGTTCAAGCAATTCTTCTGCCTCAACCTCCTGAGTAGCTGGGACTACAGGCATGTGTCACCATGCCCGGCTGATTTTTGTGTTTTTAGTAGAGATGGGGTTTCACCATGTTGGCCAGGGTGGTCTCGAACTCCTGACCTCATGATCTGCCTGTCTCAGCCTCCCAAAGTGCTGGGATTACAGGCGTGAGCCACCACACCCAGCCTAATTTTTGTATTTTTAGTAGAGACGGGGTTTCACCATGTTGGCCAGGCTGGTCTTGAACTCCTGACCTCAGGTGATTCACCTGCCTTGACCTCTTAAAGTGCTGGGATTACAGGCATGAGACATCGCGCCCGGCCTTAAAGTCTTGTTCAAACCCAAACCCACTCCTTCATGAGCCCTGTTCATCACAACCCCTCATAAGAGTTCATTGTGGGCCGGGTGCAGTGGCTCAACGCCTGTAATCCCAGCACTTTGGAAGGCCAAGGTGGGCGGATCACCTGTGGTCAGGAGTTCAAGGCTAGCCTGGCTAATATGGTGAAACCCTGTTTCTACTAAAAATACAAAAAATTAGCTGGGCGTGGTGGTGCACGCCTGTAATCCCAGCTACTTGGGAGGCTGAGGCAGGAGAATTGCTTGAACCCGAGAGGCAGAGATTGCAGTGAGCCAAGATCGTGCCATTGCACTCCAGCTTGGACAACAAGAGCAAAACTCCATCTCAAAAAAATAATAATAATTGTCATCTCCCATGTTCTCTCAATGCATTTGTTTGAATTTCGATTATTACTATCGTTCACTGCTTATTTTGATATATTAATTACTTCCACTGGATTTTGAGCCACTTCTGGTGTTAGTCTTTGGTGTTATTCTTTGTATTCCTCCTAACAGCTAGCACAATGCCATGTACTTTTGGACCTTCAAAAGATACTAAGAGAAGTTAACTACTCTTTAGGGTATCCAGTGGGAAGGCTGCAGGCCCGATCACACCACCCACATGGAACTCACCTCGATGTAGTCCTGAAGGGCAGTGTCAAGCATGGTCAGGTCAGTCAGGAAGGTGCCCAGGTAGGGCACAGTTCCCTGCATCACACCCTGAAGAGCATCCAAAGCAAAACTGTCTTTATTGTCATTGAAAAGTTGAGGGGTTTTAGGAATCTTCAAGCTGGAGCAAATGGATGTATTCAAGGCCTAACTGCGGGCCAGTGGTGCTAACCTCCATGAATAACATTTTTTAAATTTCTACACAAATAGGATAGAAACTCCATGATCTAATATCTAACTTGTGAAATCATGAAAACCAAGCCTCAAAGCCAGGAGATCATACACATCTGTTCAAAAGTGTTGACTGTGGGGTTTATGTTTTGCTTTGGCTCAAGTGAGAAGGATGTCTGTTCTCTTTCAGAGCATGGGGACATTCCTGGTAGTTGGGGATGGCACTGGATAGTCATTGCCTCACCATTGGCTGTTGTACACAGAGAAGTATGTACCACAAAAGCATGGGGCATCACTATTAATATAACCCCTTGGGCTAGACTTGGTGACTAACTCTCAAATAATAGAGGAGGGAAAGAGAAAAACAGTAACTTCTGAGGAAGAACCTGGCAAACTCTTCCTTAACCAAGTAATAAAGATCAACATCATTCGTGTCACCATCAACATGACACCAGATGTCACGCTGAAACCATTCATTCACTCCTTGATGTGATGTGATGAGAAGGGCACTTTACTCTGTGATATTCTTTCTAAAAATCCAGAAGCTCAGTCTAATCACTAGAAAACAGCAGACAACCTCAAACTGTGGAACATTCTACAGAATACCTGGATAGACCCCTTAAGACAACCAAGGTCATAAAAAACAGTCAAGAAAACACTGTCGTAGACCTGAAGAGACAGGGGTGACAGACAACAAAATGCAGTTGGTATGCCGGATTGGGTCCTGGAACAGATAAGAAGATACTAGTGGAAAACTGGTGAAATCCAAACAAAGTCTAGATTTTAGTTAATAGTATTATGCCAGTGTCAGTTTCTTAGTATTGACAAATGTGCTATGGTTTTAGAAGATGTTAACAATGAGGGAAACTGCACTTCTAGCTTTGCAGCTTTTCTGTAAATCTAAACTTATTCCAGAATAAAAAGTTGGAAATGAAGGTGGAGGCACTTCTACCTACAACTGCAGGGATACACTATATTCATTTCACTAAATCTCCTTTAAAATCATCTCTCTTCTTCAGTAAGCCACCAAGGCACTAAACATCCTAAAGGAAAAGTAAAAAGCGGTCCCCATGGATCCCTTATCCTAAATCTCATCAAGCCAATTCTGGAAATTTTGGCAGAACACAAAGCCTCAAACAGGGTAAAGCCAGGCTGCTTGACATGAGGCTGGCTGCTTCCTCAGCCAGAACTGCTTTGTGAGGTTCATACCAAGGAGGGTTTTGTCCTTCAGGAACTCACTGTCAGCTGCAGTGTGTCCTTCCCATTCTGTGTACAAGGTCTCATCCTGTACTAAAATAATCTATTTTTTTGGTAACAGCTATTTTTAGCTTGTCTTTGAACAACCAAAAAAGTTTGTAACACTGTGAATGTTTTATAGGCTTCATGTTGCGGAAGAGTCCTATCATTCAAAAACATTTCTTACTTACGTTGAGCTTTCCAAAGAAAGAGAAAACCCTCTTAAAGCAGAATATTTAGAGTTTGTCAGTCTCTAATCTCCTCCCTCTGGTCTTCCACACTTTATGCTAACAGTCAGAAGTTTAAAATGAAGCTAAAGTTGATAATACCTATCTTTCAGTCTTCAGGAGGGAGGCATGATGCTCCTTTAAATATTGAAAAACTATAAAGATTTGGTTAGCCTTGGGATTAGTAAGGAGAGCTGGGCAATGGCTAGATTAGAACAAATGAAAAGATCTCTGAGTACAAGGACCAGGGCCCTGTGGAGAAGACACTCTTTCTCCTTGGTCACCATGTATCAGAAGCTGACTACAGTAGGAAGCTCAGGAGGCCCTCAGGCCAAGGTGGAGCAGCTTCTAAGTGCAGGAGGGGGCGGAAGAGACTGCAAGAGGGAGGAAGTCGACCTGCTGTAGACTCCCCCTCACCTTCAGAAAACAACTTTGCCAGAAAACAGGATTTGCCACCCAGTGCTTACTTCCTACTAGTTGAATGAGGGTAATCATCTCTCTCCTATAGACCTCCCAGGGCTGCTGAGAACAAATGGGGTAGAGAATGGGAGACCCTTTCTGAAAGCCTGGGTGCCCTGTTGACTGAAGGTGCCAGTGCCATGTGGGAGCCCAGACGCACACGGCCCTTCTCCTCTGTGAGCTGTCAGGGAAGACGAGGGCCAGACATACCATGTCCTTCTGGAGCTGCAGCCGCCTCTGGGTACGCTTCTGGTTTTCTTTCACACTGCTGTCCAGGTTTGCAAATTTTGAGGTTCCTTCCTGAGAAACAGAAATGCACACAGAGGGAATTGATACAGGATGCCACAATGGTAAGAAGTAAAGAGGCATCTAGTTTCTCGCACACAACCCTGCATAACTCTCGCTCGGAACACCATGCAAAATGAAGAGGCCTCCAGCAGGCTCTCACGATGTATATTATGCAAATACTTGGCTGGCTTGTTGCAAGTTGCCTATTTATAACGAGGCTGGTGGACTTGGATTTTCTTGTTCTTCCCCCAACTTTGTTTTTTTTTTTTTTGAGACGAAGTCTCACTCTGCTGGGAAGGCTGGAGTGCAGTGGCGCAATCTCAGCTCACTGCAACCTCTGCCTCCCAGGTTCAAGTGATTCTCCTGCCTCAGCCTCCCGAGTAGCTGGGATTAGAGGAATGCGCCACCACCTGGCTAATTTTTATATTTTATTTTATTTTTTGTTTTTAGTAGAGATGGGGTTTCGCCATGTTGGCCAGGCTGGTCTTGAACTCCTGATCTCAGATCATCCACCTGCCTCAGCTTCCCCAAGTGCTGGGATTACAGGCATGAGCCAGCCACCACACCTGGCCTTCCCCTTACTTTGTAAGAAGATCACCTGATTTGGTTATGAAAGCAATCATCAATACAAGCCAGGCAATTCTCATAAATGAAGACATTTTTACAGATCCCAAATTAAACTCAAAGTAATCAGATATCCTGAAAACAAAGATCGACTTCCTCAGTACATTTTGTGATTTCTCGATCTTGGCCTGAAATGGATGTGCCAGCATTCTGTGAAAGAAAGGGACTACTTCTGTAGCATTTCTTAGCTAAATGAAACTTTTGCACCGGAAGTTTTCTGAGGAAGTCCAATATTGTACTACATGACCAATCCATAAAAGTCGAACTTTCACACATCCCCAGCCCCCAGTCAGTTCTTCTAAATTGCCTCTCAGGTTTGGAACTCTTACAAATCAATCCTTCCTCCTGGTGCCTGAGGACACATGGCTACCCTTTCTCTCCTCCTGTCTATTGTAACAACAAACTCTTCTATATAATGAGTAATCATGAGTTTGCTGACTGAACATTAAGTGCTTTTGCGGTTTTGGGGTCTTGTTAAGTTCTCATTTTCCAGGAACTGCATGAATGGGGGGGTAAATTGCACAATTCAGTAGTATATAACTTCTACACTAGTTTTTCCTTAGTCACTTTTCCTGAGATTTATGTATTACCATAGCACGTGACCTTCCACTACTGTACAACCACAAAAGGGTTTTTTTCAGTGGCTTGGCCTTGCTGATAGTGATAGAGCATCAACATGTTCCATCTCTCAGCCTTAACTCAGGTCCCAGGTACACTACTGGGACAGAACCCACAGTGACTCATTACCTATTTAAGTTCTTCCCATCACAAATGATAATAAAGAGAGCCACTATTTAATGATCTCCCATTCATAGTTTTTCACAGGGATGAATGAAAATAGCCTATACTGGACATGGCGGCATGCGCCTGTAATCCTAGCTACTCAGAAGGCTGAGGCAGGAGGGTCGCTTGAGCCCAGGAGTTCAAGTCCAACTTGAGCAACATAGTGAGACCCCACCTCTAAAAAAAAGAAAGCAGCCTAATATGCGCCTTTCCTGTGCTAGATAGTTGTGAGTCCTCCGAAATTCTTGAGAATTTGCTTAGAGTGAGAAATCAATTATGTCTGACTTGAATAAGAGTGCCCACCTCTTTCCGGTGTGTAGGTCCTTCTGGTCTCCCTCCAGTATGTCAGTTATGGGCAGAGGAATAATGTATCATAAGTTATTGTAGACATGGCTAAAATTCCTAAAGAGAATTTCTGAAAAGTTCAAAGGCTCCTAAGAATCACAGAATAACAGAGGTGAAAGGGATCTCAAAAGAGCACTTAAGACAACCTCCTCATTAGATAGGAGAGAGAAACGCCTGAGATGGGGAGCTACAAGACTTGTTGATTCCATGACTTTATGATTTCATGAGAATGAGATTCCATCCCTGCTAGAGATCTAAAAAGACCGACGAGTCCCTATTATTCCAAATGAGGTGTCAACTGAAAATCCACTTACCTGCCACATCCAGCAGTTTCAGTTTTTCCTTCCTCAGCCCCAAATCTCCTACTCTGCAATGTCGCACAACACCAATCCCTTGAACCTTCTTGAAAGTTTTCATAGGTTTTTGTGACTGTATCACTCATTCTCTCCCCCTGCCTCCTCTGCTGTTCTCATATTCTCTTAGTGATTCTTCTTTTTGTCAAAGTTATCCTCTTGTTTTCTGCTGTACTCATGTCTTTGGAAATACTATCCAATCTCATGATTTTAATCATCACCTATGTTTGGATAAATGCCAAATCTCCCTCTTCCTCCATCAATCTCCTTCTCCCTCTCTCTCTCCTTTTATCTCCCCCTCTGCCCTTCTCTTCCCTCTCCGTCTCTTAGTGCAAATGGCTTGCTTAAGTCTCACCTTTTCTTTATAACCATCTTTAGCAGAGTTCAGCTACCCTCATCCATGCTGTTCTTGGGCTTCAGAGGGCCCTCTTCTACTAGGTCTAGATGGAACTTGTCTACTGGACTCTGGATCCATCTCCATAAATGTTGGTTAACTTAAGCTCAGTAGCTACCAGCAATTATAGCTCAGAACTGTCACAGTTGTAACAGACTCTTGCTCTAACTTTGAGTTTAGCATGTTTTGGAGTGTCACTGAACATACGTCTCCATCAGGGTTGAATTTCTGGGGCTTTCTAGCAGTCCTTTATATAAAGTCAACCGAAAAAATTCTTACCAAGAATCATGAGAACCAAGATTTGCTGGCATTCTGCTTTCTTCCCTGATGTCTTGAAATTTCCAGACTATAATTCACCTGCTTAGAATTACCCAGGTTTCAGAAATCACAAGGACATAGCAGGTTTAAGATAGTCTTTGAGAGGAAATGAAACATTTTTAAAAACAATTAAAAGGAAAACCACAGATTTTTGCTAATAATCATGTTGCCTGGGCCATATTATATAAGTGGCACGTTACATCTTCCCAGAAGAAGAGAAGTTAGGTCATTTAAAACTAAGAGTCCAAGAATTTGAGACCAGCCTGAGAAAAATAATGAGACTACATATCTACAAAAAATAAAATAAAATGAAACTATTATATTGTTACCCAACCATAAATCCGTATAAAACCAGGAGTAACACTAGAAACAGAGGCCGGTAGTTTTTCCTAGTGACTCTTTTGAGAAACTAAGTACCTTGTGATTCCATTTAAAAAAAAAATGTGCTGACAATTTACACTCAGAATTAGACACTTCATATGAAGAATGATTAACAAAAATGACTGGAAAAGGACCTACAGATATACATGGACTGCCCAAAGCATTTCACTATCATTAATGATAATGCACAGACCACATGAATTCACAGCCAAGTTTTCCATTTCTTTGGAATTTGAGTCATATCTATAAGAAATTTAATTTAGAGTACGGGGGGTAACTTCTGCATTTAAGAAAGGTTTATGGGATCTTTAATGTCTAGATACAGCTTCACTTCTAAGCCTTCAGCCAGAAGGCTGCTACCAGGCAATGAGCTGCACAGTATTCAATTTATCTACTTTGGAAGGAAGACTCAGGACTGTTTGGATTTGAATGTGTGGCTCCAGTTAGTCTAGCTTCGTACTGCTGACAGGGAGACCACTAAGCCATCTCCTTCCAGCCAGATGGGTTTCCATTTAAAGTATGCAAAGCCAGGGGCATGTGAAGCAGGGAGTAACACGATCTCAGTAATGATTGTTTAGTGTGCAGTTAATCAGGTAGTCCAAATCCAAAGTCAGACATCAGCACATACTGCCCTTCTCATATCACCTACTCCAAGAAGGGCTAATAGTGGGCATATTGTTAAAAAGTCATGTGAATGATAAGACCCATCAATTCATGCAGCCAAACAATAGCTTCTGAACACTTACTGCATGCCAGGCACTGGTTGGGCATTAGGGATACAAAGTGAAAAGATACATACAGCCCCTGCCTGCAAGAGGCCTACAGACCAGTAGAGAGACAGGCAGTTGCAACAGAGCAAGTGATAAGTGCCAGGACAGAGAAATGACAGCTTCTCCTGGAGCACAGACCTGAGAATGAAGGAAGGCTTCCAGAAAAGGAGGAGTCTACACTGAGACATGAAGGATAAGTAGGACATAGGACAGGAACAGTCATGAAGACCTTAACAAATGCCCTTATAGGATCGACTAACCTAAGGGTTAGCACCTGGATGCCTTTTCTTACTAACCCCACCTCTACCTGATTTTCACTCCTACTCCAAGTATCTTCCCTAAGCTCAAATATGCAGCTTATTCTCTATTTATTTTCATTTGTTATGCATACTTTGGTTTTACATGAATATAGCTCACCAAATACAAAAAATAACTTACATTTGCATAGCACTTTCAAGTATTTTACCATAGTGAATCTTCAAAACAATTCTATGAAGTCAACAGACCAAATACTTTGATTGGCTCCCATTTATAGAAAAGGAGATTAAGGATAAGAATCACAACTTTTGATTGCCCAGTTCAGGACTTTCCCCTATGGTAGGACCTATCACACTATTTTATAAATGTTTTACCTCCCACATGAGACTGTAATCCCCTTAAGATCAAACACTGCCTTTAATATGGTTTTATCCCCAATACCTAGTGGGTGCTCAACCAATATTTACTGAACTACTAATTTACCTTCTCTATGAAGCTGGATCTGATCCATCCTGCACCTTACTCCAAAAAGGTCAGAAGAAATAGCTTTATGTCTTGGTGATAAAAGCACAGGTTTTAGAGTCTCACCACATTACATTCATATTTTAGCTCTACCACCTATTGGTTGTATGCCTTAGGGCAGGTTATTACCCTCTCTGAGTCTTGGCTATCTACAAAATGATGATGATAAAATCTACTTTATAGAAAGACTATGAGGATAATATTTGGTCTATGCTAGTTCCCCTCTGATGGTTGTTCACAACCTGTTAGTTGTCTTTATTTGACTATTTATTCTTGTTGTTTAGTGTCTATATACCCCAATTAGATGGTAAACTCCAGGAAACAGTGTTTGTGTTAGTCACCTTCATATTTCTAGAAGCAGGTTCAAAGCTTTACAAATATTAGGCATTCAACAAATGTCTGGAGACATAAAATGAACTAAGCTATATCTTTACCTAGTGTGTCATTCAGAAGTCAGCACTTACTTGGTGTTCAATAAATACTGCTGACTGACAGATTGTGCAATTTAGTCCAAATAAAGGATGTGGAATTGCAGGCAGGCTTGGCCTCTGTCATTCTAGATGTTTTGCTGAGAAGGAATATTCCAGGGCCTCTCACCCACCTAACTGCCAGCACTTGGTATTTGCAGAGTAGCTTGTTAAGGAGGTACATACACATATGAACTCAAGTTTCACAATCTGCTTGCATAACAGGCAAGCTAAGGGAGGTAGAAAGAGAGAGCTCAACTGGACTTAGAATTTTCTCAGCCCCAAGTTTCTTAGATTCTGCATTTAAAAAAATTTTTTGCCTTCTAGTTACTTTAGGCTTTCTTTGGAGTTGAAGGAACTTAAGGAGCCCTCACACTACTCTTCCTTGAATGGATTCCAGAGCTATTAACAGCACTACACAGCAGCCTCACTAAGAGCCTCACCTTCATCAGTAGTTCTCGGCTGGTCAAATGGTTATTATGGTCTGAGAAGATATCTGAAAGTTCTTCAAACATCAGCATTCGGTCCCTATGAAAAGGGATTAAGAAAATATTAACAATGAAGAGTTAGGAATAACCCGACACTTTTGGCCCAGCTGTCCTCAGGACTCATGTCTAAGGAGGGACTGTGCTGATCTCAGGGTTGGTGGGTACTGTAAGCACAGATAAGGCCCATGATTTTTTTTTATGCGGGATGGCTTTTTATTTCTTTTAAGGTGGACTTGGCCACCCCTGTGGAGAGAGGTATATTTCCCTAGCCATGCATATTATAATCATAAAAAAGGATTATTCAATTGGGGCATCAAGTTGTTCAATTAGGACATGTTCTTCTCAGTGAGTTAAACAAAAAAAAAAAAAAAAAAAAAAAAAAACTGTTACACACACAGAGCCCACAGATCTGAGAGGTCATCTTGGCCAGGCCCCTAAGTTTAGAGATGACGATGCCAGAACCAGGGATTTTCCCAAATTTCCACGAATAACTGCTGAGGGTTGTAGGTATGGAAGCCAAATTTTCTGGCTCACAGGCCACTATTTCTACTCCCAGAGTCAGAGAATGGTGGAACCGGATGGGCTCTGCAACCAGGGGTGGTGAGTTCCAATTGCATCTCTCCACTCACTTTCTGAATGATCCTGGACAAGCTGCTTAACTTTCCTGAGCTTCAATGTTCTCACCTCTACAAGGGAAATATGACAGTGCTTTTATGGGACTGCTGGGACAGTGAGTGAAACCACATATGCAAAGCATCTGCTCTGCCCCTCTCCCTTTCCAGGACACTACATCTCTGTGAGCCTCATGGTTTTCTCTACACACCCTCCAGGGTTAATGAGTGCATGATTCTGAAGACAAAGAATTAATAGGGGCAATATCACTATATATGCAACATTTTCATTATTATGAAAAAAACCATTATTAAGAGCCTGTTTTATAGTGAGTGTAATATTACTCTAAATAATAAAGAAAACCATTAAGCTATTCATATTTGGAGAAAATAATTTCAAAATTAATTATATGTGGCCCTAAATGAAGAGAAATAAATAGGTATTCCCTTTGTCTACTTAAAGCGACAAATGTCAAGGATTATAGGGAAAGTGATAACCAAATAAGATATCTTTTTTCTTACAATAACAGCTTTATTGAGATATAATCCACATATCATTGAAGTATACAGTCCAATGCTTTTTAGTATATTCACAGAGTTGTGCAGTCATCCCCATAATCAACTTTAGAATATTTTATCACCCCAAAAAGCAGCCCTCTACCCTTTAGCTATCACCCTGGGACCCTACCGTCCTCCCAGTCCCAGCCCTAGGTAACCACTGATCTACATTCCGTGTCCATAGATTTGCTGATTCTGGACATTTCATATACAAGTCCAAGTATATGATACGTAGCTGTTGTGGCTGGCTTTTTAAATTTAGCATGTTTTCAAGGTTCCTTCATGTTACACCATGTATCAGTACTACACTCCTTTTATGCCTGCAAAATATTCCACTGTATAGATGTACCATGTCCAAATAAGTTATCTTAATCCTGTTCCTTGAATTTAGCAATGGAGAACATGTAAAGCTGATATAGAAGTGTGTTCTCTAAGGAACTGTGACACTTCTGTAGTGTCCTTGCTAAAACACATACAAACCAACTAAGAAACAAACCAGAAACATATGTTACACAGAATGCAGCTTAGAGGGTTTTTCCTTTGTCTTTAGAAAATAGTTTTAAAAGCCAGCTAGAATAAATCTTTTCATATGGCAGCCAAGGAGACTAAGATACAAGTCCATTAATTTTTTTTGCTCATGTTTTAGTCTCAAACTTGCTGTGGAAGAAATCTTAGGCTGGTTACGTGACTTTCCTTAGTGTTCTTTTTTCAACCATCAAAGAAAGGATTACCTTTCGTGGCAATCAGACAAGGTTGCAATCAATTGAGTAAGGCTACATTTTAACACTTGACTGTCCCTTTGTTTTTGATACTATACTACAGTTGAGTGGAGAGTGGTGGTAAGGGAAAGAAGAGGTGAAGTGGAGGTGTGAAGGGTGGGGACACTGCATGCTTCTGATTTTCCCATCGCATTTCACCAGGGCCTATCAAGTAATGATTTTATATGACCCCATCGTTCTTAAGGAGAAATGTGCAGAGGAAAATCAACCAACTAATCTCTCTTTAATACACACAATCACCTTGATTATTCAAAATAGAGAAGAAAGAACCTAAAAAAAGAATAATAATCAAGAAAATTGCATTGGTCTTTGAAAAGCCTGCTAGTTCTTCTACTGATAAATATTGATGTCATAAACAAAGCACGAGCTTTGGAGTGCAAGTAGCTGTGGCTTCTACAGCTCTGTAACATGAGGCATTATAAACATCCACTTTATTTTTTTCTTTTTACCCATCAAAGAATCACCTAATAAATAATTTGGCTTACACCAAGTAGACTATCCCCTGAACGAGAATATGAGCTTATCAGCAAGCTTGAGGATTCTGGCACTCATTTTTCAGCATAAATTTATGAAACTCTGGTTTACCAGCTTGGGGCTCTTGCAAATTCAAACAATGCCAGTCTCTTAGGGCTTGATCAACTCTGAGTAAACTTATGAAACTGAGGACCCAGACCTTCCATTCTGCCCCACTAAGGCAGCCTGGCTGGGAAGCCAGCTGGCATCCCTCTCCTCCTAACTGAAACTGACTATACCACATGTGGTATAGACCATACAGAATTTATAGATTCTTCCCTGATATAGCCTAACTTCCTGACTAGTTCAAACCTGGGCAAACTTGTTGAATGTAGCTGGCCTAGTTGTACTCATGACACAATCCCCAGCCTCTAAATCTGTAGTGACAGAGAATCAGAACTGCCCCCTCCCTCACCTTTCCTTCCTTTGCACAAAGTTCTTTGATCTACAGTGAAGTTCCGGAAATGGAAGTGATGGCAGTAGTGCAAAAATCAGGAAACCAAGTTGTTAATTATTCCAACGGTTGCACCAAGAAATATGAAGAAAAACAGCATAGGATGTGGCCAGTTAATAATTTCAGGTACTTAGGAAAGAACATTTAAAGGTTTTTAATGCCAATAAGATAGTTTTTAAAATGCTGAAACTAAAAGGACAACTAAATAGTTTCCTACTGAACATCAAGAACTAATGTCCTATCTGCACACATTACCCCTTGAGTCCTAAAATAGCTTAGGGCTTTGTAGTGAGGCTGAAAAATAACCAGAAGTAATGGCAAATTGCTGTAACTTCATCACTCCACAACCTTATCCCTCAAAATCCAGATAATAAGCACATCCTTCAAATCATCCCCAAAGCCAATAATCTTGGCTTTGGTATACTTAGAATGAGTTTGATTTCTGCAGGAGCCCTGCCTCAAAAGTCATTAATGATTATGTGTAAGATGCACCCTGCCTGAAACACACAGAGGATTTCAAATATGTTTCTCTAGTTATGCGATACAAGCTTTGAAGGTGAGGACTCATCACAACCACTAATTATCCCGGCCAAAGAAAAGCAGAGCAAACACTTGGGAACTTACCTTGGGACGGCAGCCCAAGTCTTTTTTAACCGATAGATGGAATTAGACTGCAGTGCCGAAACGATGGCCCTCAAGGAGGAAAAATTCTTCAGGAGTCTACATTCCTGCATGGGGAGTGATTAAAACATAAAAGGCATTTAACTATCAATATTACAATGACTTGGTGGTTTCCTGTTTTAGAGGTATCACAGCTGCTATGAATTCTTACCACAAAATAGGCAGCTGTATAAATAGTGAACATCAAAAAGTGGCTCCTTCCTCCCACCCCAGTCATCGAAACACTTTATAGATTTTGGCACAGTATGCTTGTTTTTCTCTCGTCAATATATTTTTTTGTGTTGTTGTTACAGTTTTATAGTTTCCAGCTTTCCTAGTAAAAACACTAATGGAGGTAAGTCTACAGAGCTATGCTAGAAAGAGCAACTTTCTTCTGCTGAAAGCACACAGATGTCCTAAAAATATGCACTTTAGATCTTCTTTAGATCCCAAAATGAGCTGGGCAGCAGCCACTTTGAGGTCAGATGGTATTGAACATCTCATCACCAACCCTTGTCCACAGAGGTGTATATAATTTGGCAATAAAAATTCACCACAAGTTGAACTTTGGCTTTTATGCTCTTAGCCAAGGGGGGATATTTTTATACACATTCATTTGGTTTCAAATTGGCTTGTCCTGCAACCATAAACATTCAAAAACACCTTGGTACTTCAATGCTTCCAAAATAACTCGGCCTTTTAAAATAAAATTCATTTTGGCAATGTTTTAAAACAAAATAGAAAGAGAACAGGAAACATTCTGGATGCCATTTTCTGGGTAAGGAGAGAGGCTCCCTATTTAAACTTAAGCTACCATAAGGAGCCTGTAGCATCAGCAGTTAGTGACCTTGGAGTCAAAGTCCTGTGACTGAATAGCAGGGACAGCAAAACAGACAGGGAGAAAGTCCCATTCTTGGCTGGCATGGGGAAGGTAGCAACGTGAGGAGACTGGACCAGGCCTTATGTCAAAGGAGATGCTTCATATACAGGCACATGACAGCGTACTAGGCCCAGTGTTTACAAGTGAGTACACCATGTGAGCACGTATTTGGTTTTGTGTAGAGTATCTCAGGTAAGAAGTCCCAGAGTGATTGGGCATAAATGTAAATCACTTCGAGAATCATTTCACAAAGAAATGTTAATCCTGAATACGAAGGAAAAACAGCACTCTAATTTAGCATGCCAAAATCTGGACACTGAAAACTATGCCAAACAAACCCTCAAACATTTTCTTTAGAGTAAATGCCAAAGTACTTAATAAAAGTCATGTCCACCCTTTTTAAATGCCTCAATGTCCTCCCCTTATTTGGAAAGATATAAAGAGAAAGAGAGAAGAAGGAGGGGAAGGAGGGAGGGAGGGAGGAAAAGAGGGAGGGAGGGAGGGGAAGAGAGAGAGAACAAGAGAAATGTTCTGAATTGCAATCTGGAAACTAAGCCTATGGGAGCATGGTTCAACAAAGGTTCACAAAAGTTATATTCTAAAAATCAGGAAACTTGCAATAAAAAAAGGAACTCAGGAACAGATACATCATGCAAATTGAAATAAACACATGGAACACATTATTCAAAAAGAGGTTTAAACTAAGGGTTTAAAGGAGTACAAAAGGCATCTGGTCCCATTTCTAGAAAAAGAGGCATCTTCCAGGAGATGTGATGCAAAAGTAAAAACATACCATTAAGGGCAGTCCAAGAAAATATAGTCATATTAGGTCAGAAAAATTTTCTTTTTCAAATATCCTTTCAATAGAAATTGACTACGATGAATGCAGGAAAGGTAAAATAAATCTTGGTAGCAAACCACTGGTAAGCCTCATTATTTTATTACATTTCCCTACACAATTGTAAAAGATACAACATACTCAGTATTAGGAAGTGATATCACCAAAAAAAAAGTAAGAGCCCTTGGCTTTATTAGCACATGATATGGGATTTGAAATATACTTCAAATGATTCAACTTGCATTTCTTATTACTACATAAATGCACAATTTACATTCAATTTGGACCAAAAGTCATCGCTTGAGCCCCACTATGTCACATACACAGATGCTATATTGTCACTATAGCCAAAGTAGTTGAATGAATTAGGGGTAGACAGTCTGCTTTTGAGACATGCTGTGACACTTATGGCAAAAAAAAAAATAATTCCTTATCATTCTAAAAAAACAGAGAACTTCTACACTATATCTCACTCACAACTTCTTTTGTATCTCTTACTTGCTGAGCAATAAGCTCGATTTAGAATAGGAGAAATAGAAGTTGTTTATGCAACTTACACTCTTTGTTTCTTGCTGACTTTCATAATACACTAAGAAGTCTGTAATAACAGACCACCTGAAGACTCAAGGCAAATTATCTGGCACAATTGTGTCTCTGCTCTTTAATCAAAGACAGCAAAAGAGAATGTAACATTATGCCCTATCAATAGGGGCTCAAGGAAAAATATATTTAAGGGGACATAAAGCAAAATGTGTTTTGGTTGAGAGTTTACCCATAGAGCCCAGAACACAAATTAATATGATATTTTCATATTAATAATTTTTCAAAATCATTATTTTGCTGATGTAATTTCTTTTGCCTAGAAAAAAAAAAACCTCTCTAATCTTCAAATACCAAAAATCCTATCTGTTACTCAAAGTTAATTTCAAATGTCAATTCATCCATGAAACCTTCCTTGATCATCCCATCAGAAATGATTTCTCTCTCCCCCACTTTTACAGTGCTTATCTCCCATGGCCCTACTCCTCTACTGTCTCAGGCTGAGATAATTCCAGTATATCTTAGCTTCCTTGTTTGTGTACGGGTTCCTGCAAACAAATAATTATGCTCTATCCTAGTATGTCCCCTAAGTACAGAATATTGTGGTTTACACACATTAGAAGTTCACAAAATATTTGGTGGCCCACTGACTGCACACTGTTGCCATTTTCTCAGTCATGAGATAAGATGCTGAGAAGGGGAGGTCCTATGGTATGTAAGCAGTTCATCCAAGAGACTAGACTCCAACACTCAGAAGAATGTGAGTCAGGCCTAGGAACAGACTCCTCCCCTCCAACTTCAGATTAATATGAGACATGACCTCAGATTAATATGAGATCTCTGTAAGTGTCTCAGTCCTTTAGAAAAGAGATTCAGGACTCTGAAGAAGTACCAGCTCTTCAAAACTGCAGAAGATGTAATGCCTCCAGGTACTGGGAGGGGGCATAGGTAATCACTCTGGGTTGAAGGGCAGTCTGTTTTGACATGCAGACCATACATTTATATTTACTGAACATGGTGCTGAAACCAACACTCAGTCTTGTCGTGAATACAAAGGGGAAAGCAGACAGAATGTCTCACTCTAGAGAGGTAGCAGTGTGAGAGCCCATAACTGGGAAGAAGTGAGCAGGGGTCCAATTTTTTAAAAAAGAGGAAAATAAATAAGCTGCCAAGTTTAGAAAGGCAACTTTTTTCTTACTCTGGAAGAACAACAAAAACCCAGTGGGCTCTCATATATGGTCTTTTGACTGCCTTTTCAACCAAACAGCTAAACCATTTAAACGAAGTGATGGAGCAGTCTCTTGCATCTACCAAACACAAAGAATATTTTATAAAAGACAATTACATGAGCGATGTTGATCCACTTCTCAATGATTTTGGCTCTCTGCTGAGTTTTGAGTTCTTTGCCCCCCAGGATGGTGCTGACAACACATTTGGTGAGGGTATTAAACTGAGAGATGGTGGCACGGATCGTAGGAGCCAAATGTTTGTTTTCCTTCTTATCCCTTCGAGACCAAATGCAGCCCAGGCAGTGGTGAGGCACTACTTTCTTGAAGAGTTGCTGGAACAAAAGAGGAACTGACTTTAAGGACAACACAGACATTTCATATGGCAAAGCATGTCATCTGGGTCATTTGTAAATTGGTATTTTTGTGAATGGCCAGATAATCCTTTTCTACTTGATTTGTCTCATGGTGTCCATTTCAACAGACAAAAGTAAATAATTAATATACTCATCGATAATGTTCACTAGAAGGAAAATCTCCACCCTGTTCCACACTGCCTTGTCAAAAGTGATAAAGCAGAAGAGCTAAAGCCACCACGATAACTCCTCACAGTCCTCTTGTATTTACCATCTAACACCGACCTATGAAATCTGACTGACATACTCAAATATGTCCAGCTCACAAAAATATTCAAACTTCAAAAGTACAGAAAGCACACGTGGAAATGAGGGGCCAGATACAATCACATGTGGATTCTGTGAATTTATTTTATTCTAACTTATACTTTGATCCCTTTACAATCCTCCAAATAAACAGTTCAGATCTTGAAATATTTATGAGTGTAAAGGGAGAAAAATACCCACAGAACAAGGCAGATTTTGTTTCACAGGGATTCGAATTCTTATTTCCCTCTGTGTCTTGAGCTCCAAAAGCACCTTCTCCTAGAGTTGCAAGAAGAGCTCAGGCCTGAATTATTCAGATGATTGATTCAAGACACATCTTAACTCTGTATCTGCAGGCGCAGCCTGTCTCAAGGATTCAAGAAGACTTAAAATCACATTATCCCACTGCTGTCACCGGGGCACCAGTGCCATCACTCCCCTATGTTTTAAGTGAAAGTACATCTGATCACAAAGAGAAGACATACTGCATCCATGTAGGTCAGCTGCTCTGCCACGAGATCTTCTGAGAAGCACGTGAATTCTGCTGACTCTCCACCCTCCAGTTCCTCTTCCTCTTCCAGGCTGAAGGAGATCGTGTTGGGAAGCCCATCTGTTCACATATGGAAAAGATTAGTAATTTGGCGCCAGTGTATATAATCTTGCTTATAGAGTCATCAGACTTTACTCCTTGTTTAGGAAGAAGAGGGCCAATCCTCCAGAACAGCCACAGGGAGACAACCACAAGCACAATGCATCTGAGAACAATGGAGATCTTCCCATCTCTGCTTGTTCTTAGATTCTCTATTAAGATCAGAGCCCTCATGCTCTCACTCTGACAAATCACTGGCTCCTAGGCCAAGGACAGAGCCAGGATAGGCAAAGTCTAGAGAGAGCCCTTTGTCTAGGGCTCTTTCAAACTTTTTGATCAGATCAGCTCCAGGACTAATCCAACTAACTCCTAAACCCCAACCATGCAATTTTTGGTTGCTGGGCGACTTATAACCAGAAGCCTGGAAGGACTCGCCATGAAGGCAGGTATGACTTTGGGCAATAAAATGAGCCATTTTGGTGTTAGAAATGCTGACGAAGCCCTCAAAATTCTCAAAATGTTCAGAGTCACTTTCAACTTCCACCCAAAGCTAAGAATGCATGAAGCAGAACAGTCTTCAACTAAATTCACCTGAACCTATCACAGCCAAGATCATCAATTAGCAAATTACATAGGGCACAGCATGAAGAAGAGAAAATCAGTACCCAGGATTCCGAATAAAAAGCAGAAGAGCCCACACCTGGAATAGGACCTCCAGTCTCCATTTTGAAAGACTGGAATTTGATGAAGGTTTTCTGACTTAAATCCCCAGCCTTCCTTTCCTGGAACCTTTCCCCAGTGCTCGGGTTGTTTCCCAACCTCAGCCCCTTCACACCCCTCACACTCCTTCCTGTCAAACCTGTTCTCAAGGAAAGAAAACTCTAGTTACATTCAGTTATATCTTAGCAGAAATGTAAATCAGCATGTTACTACTCCCCCAGAATGCTTATATTTTGAGCCTTTTCTTTCTTTCTTTGTAGAATTAAAGACTATTGGGCATCTTGGATTAAGTCACAGTGGCTTTCCTTCATTTTCCAGGGAAAAGGAGCTTCCGAGAGTGGACCCTACACCACTTCCCCTTTAGGGCAGCATGTGGTTATCTGCCTATACTGGTGGCAGGTATGTGATTTGAGGATTGCCCCTTTACCCTGGACTTGAAGTTCCAGATGCCAATGGGGTTGGGTTATGACTGAAAAACGTAGAAGGGGATCACTGCCTATCCCCGGAGTCTGCGACACAAACAGGTACAAGCTAAAGGAAGCTAAAACCCCATGACATGGAGGATGTTAAGCAATCTAATTTCATCATTCTTCCTCCATACAACTCTGGCACTGTTTAATTTAGAGGTGTAATTAGAAACTTGGGATCCCAAATAAAGGTTCAGAAACGGCCTCTCCCTCGTCTTGTCAACAAATACATACATATATCCCATTTGCCCTGCAATGCAGAGCCTAACCCACTTCAGTCAAGGAGCAGGGTATGTGCTAAGGCTTGATCTTTCCATTCATTCATTCAGCAAACACAGCAGCCCAATGTGTGTCTATAATGTTGCTGTGCATGAAGATTACATGATCCTTTCTCTCTGGGGCATAGTCCATGCCTTCACTGTTTTCTGCTTTTGATTCTCCTCCAGAGATAAGTAACAACATGAAGCACGATTTTACTTTTTAAAAACATATAGGAGAGCTTGCTTCTTCCGCAGGAGTAAAATTGGGTAAAACAAGCACATGGGAACTGAGGCAATCTCCCTCTCCCCTGCCTCAGCCTGCCAAATGAGCTCTGCCTTGCAGTCCCTGTGTTGGAAACAATGAATGACTGGTCCCACCGGTTCCCCAATTAGGCTCAGAGCCAGGGGCAGCCCCAGTGGGGAGAGCTGGGCTCCAACACAGCGTTTCCCACTCCAGCACAAAGCCAGGCATGGAGGCCCTGAAGGGAGCTGAGGTCCGCAGCTGGAGGAGTGCCCCTGGTATTCAAACATTCCTGGCAGATGAAGTCATCTGAGATATAGAGTATTTGGCAGTCAGCTTCCAATGATGCAATTGCATTTCCCTCTCTCTGGGACCCCCATCCATAAGAAATTCAGCAGGTATTGTTTGGAATTTAGGTCTATTTTCTTTGGAGCTGATGCAGCTTTCCTTATTGGTGCTGAGGAACATTTCCTTTCCCTTACTGATGAAGTCAGGCATCCCTTCAGGGTAATGCCTGTCAGAAGCTCCAAGTGGGTCAGCCACCATGGAAACTGTCACCCAGCACCCCAGTGAGAGGATACAACATCACACTGGAAGCCTGTCCCAGCCTCTTTCTGACTTTCTTCAAAGCCTAATAGTTCCAAGCACCTCATAACCTGCAGTGGTGGCCTTTCCTTTGTCCTTGCAAATAGGAAGTTAATCTTCAAATAGGGAAAAACAGCTGCAGAAACTTCCTTTGATGAGGCCCTTATAGATGCTAAATGATGACAATCTGCACTGGCAGGGGACCCGTTACAGTGATGCTTTTCCATACTGAAGGACAAACACCTTTTCCAAGCTTTTGGGAGGGCAGGATCAGAACTAGACTTCATTCCTTGACTGCTAGACGGGAGTGGTTGTGATGGAAGGCTAGAAGGAGCCATTAAACAGGTAATAAAATGCAAATTCAGGTTCAGCATGGTACATGTTGATAAGGGAAGATTAAAGTTCATCAAGGAGACCCTCTTCTTGGTAACAGAAGAAACCCCAGGAAATTACTTAATTTTTCTGAGCTGGAGTTTCCACAGTTTCCTCATCCATAAAATGAGGGAGCCAGATTAGGTAGTCTTGAAAATACCCTTCTCTGTCTAAAATTCTAGGCTCTCTAATTAGTACTTCAGTAATCTTGAGAATTTTATACTCAAGCCAATCCTCCAGCAGCATGTTGTTTTGAGGGTACCAAGGTTTCCTATTAGCCAGCACAGGGAGAACCTTTCTCCAGCGTGGAGGCTGGAGAATCAGAATCTAGCCTTTTCCCTGGGAACAAACAAGTACTCACTGTCAGTTTCCACTTCTTGCTTCTGAAACTGCTCAAGAAGATTTTGTGCTCTTCTTTCTGGGTCAGAGCCCGGCATCATCCGTGTGAGATAATCCAGCAGTTTCTGTAAGCAAGGGAAGTGAGGGGGCTCTCGGAAGTCTTCTGCACACTGGTCAAGCCAGGCCCTTAGTATGGAAGCGATTGCACTGAGAAAGACAAATGGAGAGTCACTGCACCCAACTGGCTGTGGGGAGGCAAAGCAATCCCTGGACACCAGGGTGGACCCCAGGGGCACCCCTGGAAACTTGGGTGGGTGGTCAACAGATCATTCATCCAAAAGTTCCTAGAAACATCAATGGATTTAAAGCACTTGAAAACAAACTAAACTTTATTGTTTTAAGTGGAGTGCTGCAGTGAAACTGATAAGGTTTTTTGTTGTTGTTGTTTGTTTGTTTTAAGGAGGCTAAACTTTGGAAAAACCCATACAGGGCAGAAAAATTGATGTGTAGAAGGTTTAGTGAGTCCTGAAGAAACTTCAAAGCAATCTGTACACAATAAGATTATGCTCAAATTAAATCCCACAAAATCTGCCACCTAATATGTTAGGAAATAACTGACTGCCGGTAGGCCAGAAATCCATCTGATGAAAGGAAGTGCCTGAGTGTGGAAAGATAAATGCATAAATTCAAGTTGACAAGGATCACCAGGGCTTCAGCATGAACACTGAAAATGTCCTCATAAAATTATCCTTTTGTTTCTCAAATTACAATGAGAGGAATATGTTTCAAGTAGCAGAAACAGTAGGTAGAGAAGTTATGTCTTTAAAAGATAAAGAACAAAAACTTGATAAGCAAAGGTGATTTCTTCTGATGGCTCTGTGGGTCACAGAGTCCACCTAGGGGAAGACAAGGTTCCAGGGCACAAAAAGAGACAGGGTCATTTGTATGTGCACAGCTCCCTCCAGTATGTTAGTAATAACACAGCATGTTGTCTTTAGGTTGGGGCACCCACTCACTGAAGGCTAGAGACAAATAGCTGAAGGATAAAAAGGATAAAATGTTTTGCATGCTATTATTCTATGCTTCATCTTCAAAGAAGACTTTACCAACACTCCTGACTCAATCACATGCCACAGACAAGGAGAACAGAACAGAACACTCTGCCTGCCTAGCAACCAGTTACCCCATACGGTCCCGGAATAGTCACTGCTGAAGGCTGGAGAAGATGACAGGGACTATACATTAATCCATGCATCTTTTATTGACAGAGACACAACACCTCATCTTAACTAAACACTTTACCAAAATTTTTCAGCCAAAAAGAATTTTTTAGCACATTTTAAAATTATCATTATCACCTAATTATACTTCAAAGAAATTGTTTTTTTAGTTAACAAACTATAACTGGACTAAGTTATTACCCACATATGTGAAAGTGAAGGCTGGGCTTTCACAGGTGTGTCTAACTTTCTTCACATCTTGATTTCACACCAAGAAGCTGGACTATCATCAAAGCATAAGTATGACTAAAGCCAATTTAATGCTTAACTTTTGGAATTGAAGTACAAACAGAAAGAAAATAAATGTGTTACTGTTTTCATTATGGTGTAGATCATTGTTTCACTAATGTGGAACGTTAAAGCATTTGGAACTATAATATTCAATTATCTGCATCTAAAGTAGATACATGAAACCATCAAATGAAAGTCATAGAAATAATTCAATACTCCAAATATTTAGTCCAGATTAAATGAAATGATAAACAATAATTTCACTTTCTTCCAGAAAGCCAGAAATTAATTGAAAACCTGATATTTGCATTTACATCAGCTTGACTTTTACAGAAAAAGAGTTTTGCACCTTTAAAAAGAGGGATGAATTAATCTAATTAACACCACTATACTTGCTTAATGTTTCTTAATATTTCAGTGAAAAGATACTCTTATGATGACACTGATGGAAAAACAGATATGGAGAGGTGATAATTCATATCATATACTCAAGTCAAAAACAGTAGCAGCCTAACAACAAGACAGTGTTTCACTGAAAAGAACACCCAGACGGAAACACAAAATTACAGGTAAGAGTCAGTGATGCTAATATATTATTCACTTCTTAAATGCCTGTGATCCTTAATTATTATGATAAAACTCATTATTTATTGCAAAAAAGTAAGTCTTACAAATGTACATAAACTAAAAAAGCAAAATACCTACTCTCTCCCTTCATCCTAATCCCATTCCCAGGACCTTTTGTTAACTGTTAGAATATATCCTTCTAGGCTTTTCTGTGGATATGTATACATATTTAAATATACATAATATGTGCCAGGTGTGGTGGCTCACGCCTGTAATCCCAGCACTTTGGGAGGCTGAGACAGGATTATTGCTTGAGCCCAGGAGTTCGAGACCAGCTAGGGCAACGTGGCGAAACCCCATCTCTACAAAAAATACAGAAAATTAGCCAGGTGTGGTGGTACACGCCTGTAGTCCCAGCTGCTCAGGAGGCTGAGGTGGGTGGATTGATTGTACCCAAGAGATAGAGGCTGCAGTGAGCTGTGATCACACCACTGCACTCCAGCCTGGGTAACAGAGCGAGACCCTATCTCCAAAAAAAAAGATAGACAGATAGATAGATAGATAGATAGATAGATAGATAGATAGATAGATAGAAAGAAAATCAACATGGGCTTTTTTACTGAGCAGTATATTACAGATACTTCATCATTACCTCTAGATCTATCTTATTGTTTCTCATGATGTGGACACACCATAATTAAGTATTCTTCTACTGGAAGGCAGGTATTTAAGTTATTTTCAGGTTGTCACAACTACAAAATATGTGCATCCTTGCCTCCATCTCTGCATGCTCGTGTGGGTATTTCTGATGGGCACACAGCACTTACCTCTATGGAGAGCTGCAGCCTCAGAAGAACTAGGAGAGTTCTAAAGAGGAGCCTTCGTCCACATTAGACTTGCCCTTAGGTGGACATTTTGTGTTCCTCAATCTGATGTTTTTAATGAACTCTGGCGATCTATACATTTTTTTACTCTTTGTGACAGTGACCTTCCTGTAGCTTAGCCTAAGAAGGCTTTGAAAGTTCACCACAAACTCAGATACTCAATCAGCCAGAAAAAAGCATTTTCACACAAAAGAGGAATGAAGGGGGAGGAGGACGAAGAAACAGAGAAAGGGAAAGACATACACAAACAGCACAATAGAACACGAGGCAGAGCCCTGCCCTCCTCATCGGCAGAGCGTTTCTCAGCACACCAGGCAGGGAAGCTTTCTGGAAAGGCCTGGACACATGCCCAAGGCTCACAGTAGCTTTGTGTGTGCCAGTCCTGGGAAGAAACTTTCCGTTCTTGATAGATTTAGAAGCAGATACAAATGCGAAACTTTTAAGATTTCAAAAAAGAAAGCAACATCGCAAAATAATGATGAAAAGAAAAACAGGATTACTGGCCAATGGCTTTTCGGTCTTACCCAGCCTGGCTCCAGTCCTAAGATCTAACTTATATATTAACCAGAACAGAGTGGGGGGATGTAAAGAATCTTACAGCTGAAGGGAAATTCTGGTTTGAAGTCACAAATTTACAGGTCTGGTATGTCTGTTAGACTACAGAAGCCACTTGGTTCTGTACACAGACCAAGACAGGACGCTTGGAGACCTGGAGAAAGAAAACTCTATCTTTCATCCTGGCTGTCCCACCGGGGAACTAAGGAAGCCTGGATAGGTCAGTTAACTCCACTGACCCCCCTCTCTGGGGAAGAGATATAATAACACCTTCTTCATCTACCTGACACTGATCAGTTGTGATTTCAAATGATATAATGTCAATAAGGACATTTTGAGATACCTGGAGAGAAACATAATTATCAACAGTCTTACAACTACTTGCCAGAAGTCATAGAAGGAAGGGATTGAAAAGGTAAAATGGCTCAGCGAAAATCCATCAGCACTCACAGGAATTGACTCAAAGAATCTGCCACCTCTCACAGGAAGAATGACACAGAATACAAGCCATGCTATGACATGTGTGACTTCAGGCCTGCTGGAAGAAGATGGCTGCTGTGAACACACACACAAGACACACACACACATATGTGCCCACATACATATACCTTGAGGTATCCTCTCTAGGACAAATCAAAGACATCAAACTGTAGTATTAACTGCAAGAGATGATTCTTGAATAACTTGTAAAGGCAGAAGTAATTCCTGAAGCCAAACTGGATGATTACAATTGTGACATAACCTAAATTCAGTCTGGAGAAAAGCCAGTATGTGACTTCCTTTTCCAAAGTAATCTTTGGTGGCTCACAGAACAAAACTCCTCGGTCCTAAGGGCAAGTATGCCGGGTAGGTGGCCAAGGCCAGGGGCCCAAAACTGATAGCAGAGGAGACAACCAAAATTGAGTTTTCTACCTCAGGCATTCTTGGCAACATACAAAACTTTGTAGTGTGTGATTCTTTTCCAACCGACTGCAATCGTCTATAGGGGAAGGAAGACATGCTCAGATGTCACTGTTTGAAACATACTAAAGCAGCTTCTAGGACTTTTGCTTCTAAGAAATTCATTCACCAATTAAACTAATATTTGTTGAGTGCCCTTTATTTCCCAGAGTCACAAAAACAATTTATGCGATGAGCATCACAATACAGGAAGTCCAGGGTCCCAGGGAAGCACTGAACTTCAGAGGGAGCTGACCTGGTCAAGGCTTTAGGGAGGATCTCCCTGAGGAAATGATGTGAAAGCTGAGATCTTGAGGGTTAGGAGTCAGTGGGATGAGGATTCTGGGGCAGCAATGAGGCAGAGGTTCTGCGGTGAAAGAGCTAAACACTTGTAGAGGACTTAAAGATCTGTTAAACTAAAAAATATAAAGAGTTGGGGGAAAGGAGCATGATGAAATCTGCTATACTCATTGATTTTTTTTTTTTTTTTTTTTTGAGACAGAGCTGTCGCCCAGGCTGGAGTGCAGTGGCGCAATCTCGGCTCACTGCAATCTTCGCCTCCCAGGTTCAAGCGATTCTCCTGCCTCAGCCTCCCGAGTAGCTGGGATTACAGGCACGTGCCACCATGCCTGGCTAATTTTTTTTTTCTTTTTAGTAGAGACCAGGTTTCACCATGTTGGCCAGGCTGGTTTCAAACTCCTGACCTCAGGTGATCCACCTGCCTTGGCCTCCCAAAGTGCTAGGATTACAGGCATGAGCCACCGCAGCTGGCCACTCATTGATTTCTCAGCCAACCAGAAATCACACCTAATAACACCTGCTTAGAAGACATTAGACAGATGCACCTTGGCTGAGAGATAAAAGAAAATGGTTCAGAACTTCTAGCCACCCCACGATCTTCAGGCACGCAATGCAGAGAGGGCTGAGGCAAGCATTTAGGCAGCGATTATGCGCAAATCACAGACTTTTTAATGAATGCAGATTTTAGGTAAACGTATTAAATCATATTAACATTCCATAGGCAGTAAAATACTCTATAATTGGTCAAATGTTTAATACAAATTTTTTCAGGTATGAAGTCACCTCTCCCATGATGTGTAACTTCTGAGCCAAGAAATAGGATTACCGTGACAAAAAGAATAACACTATCCATCTAGAGTTCTTTTCTCTCCCCAGCAATCTATTTGAAATAATAATTTTTTGTACTTAATCATCAGCAGAAAATAAGACATGGAACCATTTTTCAAAAGCAGCAAAATGTTTTTCTATTTTAATACATTCTCTGAGAACTGGATCTTGTCTTCGCTGCAGATAATGAAAAGGTAAGAAGATTTACGCAGACGGTGGGCCTTTCAAGCAATGAAGTAACTTCTGCCAAGCTCTGAGGGCAGGATCTAATACACTTTGTCCTTCAAGAACTGAAGCCTAAGTCAACCTTGACCCTGACTCTGGGCCGGACCCTCCACCTTGTTCTCCTAATCATAGAACAGTTTTGCTCTGTTTCAGGGAAGGTTGCCAGATAGAAGCTGCCTCTGAGACCTCCAGCTAGATGATTTTCCTGATGAGAAGGAACAAAGAAAGATACAAAGCTTTCCTCTTTGTTTTTTTCCTGGAAAGGATGAAAATATTATTATCTGGACTTGTCAAGGTTGTCCTGCGTTGCTTTTTTACACTTTACATTGTCACATTTCAGTGCTGTTGGTAAACAGGGATTCAAATACTAGGAGGAGACGTGAAAGAGAGATTGAGAAAAGACCAGGGAAATAATGCCAACAAAGCCAGAGTCAGATTTAAGCACTAAGAAGGCAAGGGCAACGCAGGGACTATGGGGAAGGGAGAGAAGAGAAAAAAAAAAACCTCCACGGCAAGAAGGAGGAAGAAAAAGATTATGAAAGGAAGACATACAGAAAGACAGTAAATGTGAGTGGGAGAGGGCCCGGAGTAGGATGGATAAGCCTGAAGCCAATTACCCAAAGTCAAGGTTATTTACACACCTGTCTTTCATTCCCAAGCTAAGTACTTAAGAGAAATATTTTCATTTTTATCAGAGGAAAAATAGTAAAGGTCATGCAGCACAGAGGTTAAGGCCTCGGTTAAATCCCAGCTCTTTCATTTATTCACTGTGTAGCCTTGGACATGTTCCTTAACCTACGCCCCAGGTTCCTCCTCTGTAAAATAAGAATAATAAAACATAATCATTATGAGGATTTAACAAGTATGTACAGTACTTAACACAGGGACCATTCCTACTAAGTAGTCAATAAATTCTAGCTATTATTAGAAAAGGACATCGCCAGTCACCAAAATTATCTTTCAAGGACCTCAATAACTCATTCCCCACAGTCCAAGAAGGGAGTTTTCATGTTATAAATAGAACTCTATTGAAAAAAATGGCTAAGGCCTTCTATAGTTTTCACCACTAGAACTGAGTTTCCGTTGGTAGTGACAGATGCTACGAGGCACAAGGAACAGGAAGCAGGTTCTCCTTTGATGGGCCTAATTTGGTCTTGTTTCCTCACATTCTTCAACCCATCTCCTTCCCCAGGAAAAAGGTCTAGCTTCCACATTTCTAACAGCTGTGTGCGAACCTTGCTCAGGGTGTTCATTCAATAATAAAGCAACAGCCAGGCAAAACAGCATAGAGCAATGGAAATAATGACAAAAGATCTCAGAATAATAACAATCTAAAACATTAGTCACAACAATGATATTGTAATCTAGTTCTTCATGTACTTCCGCAGTCTTATTATGGTGATATAGGCAAATGCGGAGAAAAATCTTGAGTATCCGAGATCCCAATGCTCTTCTATAAATGGCATGCCTGGGCTTCCCACCCAGGTCTTGGAGTCAGTTGGACGGGAGTTCAAATATCAGACCTGTCACTTAACCACCTGCCTGATCTTAGTCAAAACACATAACTTCTCTGAAGCTTCACTTTATATCCTATAAAGTGAGGACAATATCTCAGCATATTTGTGATGGTTGAAGAAGACACAAATATAAAGTACTTAGCAGAATGCCTTGTAAGCATACCACAAATTGTAGCCAATGGTGGTGGCAAGGGCAGTGTCATCATTTTCTTTGTTTACAATGCTGTGCAGGGAATCAAACAATACAGTCTAATTGTGATGTCTGTTTTCCTTTCTAAAAGAGACATTCTTTAATGTAGAAAACCCTAGGAGATACTCGTATGATTGATCTGTCTTCTTTTTGAGCCATTGATTATCAATGTTGTTTTATTCTTCCTCAACTATTAGAACATCAGTTTCTGCTCAGGGCTTTCTACCCATGTCCCTAAAATGCAGACTTGACTTAGAATGCTAATGACTTGTAAAACTATGGTTTTTATTCTTCTTTGTCCTGTAGGGATATTTTAAAGACAATACCAGACTCTTCGATATGGCATATCACTTCTTCATTTCTTTTGTTTCACTTTAAAAAAAATTCCTTTCACATTATAACTTTTAATTCTTCTAAATTGGAGTTTTAAATCTTGTTTTTGCTGTTCTTCACCCCTCCTCCTTTTCCCCATTTTTGTTATAATCACTCCAATTAATTTCAATTGCCTTCTTAGGGCATCTGAATTTGCAGGAATGAATATTGATTGCAAACTCTCTGGGAAGATTTTTTAACTTTCCACTGTGAAGTTTCTGAGGCAGTAATGTAACACAGCCAACTTCCTTTAACTCCTTTCCTTTCTCTTTAAAGTGTATCCGATGTCTTGGATTACTACTATTTACATGATCCTTTACCAGTGACTGAAATCTGGTGTCACTGTTTACAACTTCTGGGAAAAGATTACAAGAACAATATACGTATCTTCTGAATATGTGGAAATGAAAGCAGAACGATTTCAACAATTTGAAGTAGTACTATGGTAGAGAGTTTGAGAAAACAAAACTTGGCACTCCAGAAGGAAACTGATGAGATTCAATTAAAGAAAAGAAAACAGAAACAATTTCAACCTTATAATAGTCATTAAAGGAAAGAAATAAAGCATCATTTCTTGAGGAGTTTTAAATCTCTTTAAATAAAGTTATATATAGAGAGAGGGAGATATGGCCATCTCATATAAAATTCAGAGAATGAAGATTCGTGTTGTAAAAGCTCTATATGGTTAATATCCCTTCTTTACATTCTCTTCATTTCTGAATTCAATGACTATAATAAATCTGCCCTAGAGACAATTCACTTTTTCCATCTGGTTCAGATTTTATTATTTAAAAAGATAGCATTTTATCGTGTAAAAATGTCAGCAGGAAAAGGGCACGGGTAGAATGAATATAGGCAGAAATGTTTTCTTCTGTCATAGAAAGTGAGTTTCCTAATTGATAAATAGTGGCCAATTTAGGAATCCTAGAAATAAATGTGGCACACCTTATATAATCAGTCTAGCCCTACCATCAGAAATCACCGTGAGGCAAAGATTCCAACATCCAGAAGCCTTGGAAGTTGAATCCTTTGCAACTGAACACATTCTTGTCTTAGCCAGATAACTTTAGAGGGTCCTGACATTGTGCAAAGCCTGAACTCTGGACTGGAATTACAAGTACTCCGCATGTGGGAGTCCCTGCACAATCTGATACTTTTTTAAATGCATGAAGAACACTAGTCGGTTGTGGTCCAAGACATCAGAAACCAATTTTTCATCTTGAATGCTTCATCTGTATTTCCACATTTTCCTTCTTTAAAGTTCTTTTACCCTCTGAAAGGTTTAAATCCATATTTGGAAATACAGGAAAGATTTTACTTGGTACTTGGGAGCCTGTATAAAATGTAAGGGTTGCTCTTTGCTTTACAGCTAAAACGGGAAAACAAACAATATTTGGGCATTTTTCTGTTCATGGTTAAATCCAATAGTGAGTCCCTGTCCCCATCCCCTCCTCCACCCAGGTCTGCAAAACTGAAGGCAACTGCCCTAAACAGGATGTTTACTTCCTGAATGTCATTGGATTCCTGCTGTCGGTTTTCCACCTGAAATCACAAGAGAACAGATTCATAGCAAAAGAAAACAATGGGCATTTTGCCACTCCTTGCCTTACTCCCACAAGACAATGCTTTAGCTCAGCTCTTTATTCATGACCCCAGTGAGCAGCTGTGATGTCATGACTAATAACAAACAAAGCTTGTGTATGTGTTTCTTCCTGTCTCTTCAAAACTGGTAACACACTTTCCAACAGAGAAAAGTGGTCGAAGGTACCGTACTCTCAAAAGTCCACTATGCTGTGTGGACCATATCTCTGTTTCTGTTATTCATTTTTTGAGAGAAAGAAAAAGCTAAATAAATTTTATCTTAGACATCACTGAACTTAAAAGGACCTCAGCGAGCATTTACTCCAAGCACTCATTTTTCAGGTGAAGAAACTGAAACAAAGGGAGGTGAAGGGACTAAGCCAAGGTCAGATGACTGGTAAGTGACAGAGTGATAGAGAAGGAGCAGGATCCGAGTTCTCCAGGCTCCTTCACCAGGGCCTTTCCCTCTCCATGTGGCTGCCTCTGAATCACTTCCACATTTGATTCAGCTACTTATAAAAAGAGACACAAATAGAGAAATTTCCAAATAGGCCTGCTCCTATTTTTATGTATGTTAGGTATTCATAAAGACAGTTTCACTTGAGAACTAGAGCCTCAATACTACATAGCAGGGCTTCTTAGGCACTATTGACATTTAAGGTCAGATCATTCCTTGTTGGGGTAGAGGAGAGTTACTTTGTGCATGCTGAAAGATTCTCCCCCGGGCCCGAAAGCTTGAAGGGATGAGTAACTCCTCCCTTCTCAGGCCCAGTCCCAAAGCTCAAGGCCACTTGCGCCAGCAGCACGCGTCAGCAAGATAGCAGAAGCAGGAAGACAGCGGGCCAGAAGACACCTACCCTGGCCGGAAGACACCTACCCTGGCCGGAAGACACCTACCCTGGCCGGAAGACAACTACCCTGGCCGGAAGACACCTACCCTGGCCGGAAGACAACTACCCTGGCCGGAAGACACCTACCCTGGCCGGAAGACAACTACCCTGGCCGGAAGACACCTACCCTGGCCGGAAGACAACTACCCTGGCCGGAAGACACCTACCCTGGCCGGAAGACACATACCCCTGAAGACCGAGAAAGAGGCCGTCCAGGTACTACGTAGCAGTCACGTCAGACTGGGACACTTCCTGTTTACAGAGGACTACAAAGCCCCTGTCCCGTCCTCACTTGGGGCTGATGTCATTTTAGGTCTCAGCCCGCCTGCACCCAGGCACTCATTAAAACAGTGTGTTGCTCCACACCGCTTTGTGTTGTCTGTTGGCATGCTTTTAGGGTTCGAACCAATACAAGAAACTTTCACATGCTAGGACGTTTAGCAGCATCCCTGGCCTCTACCCATGAGTTGCCAATAGCCTCCCCCCACCAAGTTGAGACAACCAAAATGTCTGTAGGGCATTGGCAAATGTCCTCTGGAGGATAACAATCGCCCTGTTGAGAACCACTGCCATACCTCCTACACATCTATTGATCATCAGGAAGCCCTCAATCATTGCTGCAAGTCAGATGCCAGAGGTCTGGGATGACCAGGAAATTTGCAATACATTACATACAGATGGGAGAAGATGCTTCCCTGATTTCCTCTCACAAAGACAAAGACAAAGCAGTGACCCTATCTAGGCACAGAAATGATCAGGAGAAGCATAGTTTCAGAAAAAGAGAGCCAAAAAATAATAGTGAAGTGAGATGAAAAACAATAAAAGATGTGGGGAAAAAACAGTGAGAAAGACAGAAGAAAGGGAAATGGAAGGAAGAAAGAGGTCACCAGTAAGAAGGGATTTTAACATTCCAGAATCTGTAGGACAGAGCGACCCATTATAAGATAAAGTGGCATATTTTCATCAGGCATAATTTTTTAAAAGGCAACTCAGTCTGAGCAAAAGGGTCAAGAACTTTCCACCAAGTTATTGTGAGACTTTAGGAAAGGACCATTGTCCCCAGAGGATGGACCCCTCAGGGGAGTTCTGTGTGAAGCTCTTTGTTAAGCCCTCATATGCTTAAAACTCTAAAACTCTTTAAAACAGCTTAGCTTGGAGTTTCATTCACATTAGTGTTCCTAGTATACAACGAATTCGAATGAGACTTTAAAAGAATGAACATGACTCTTCATACCCAGGGTGCAATTTTCTTAACTGCTACTTCCCAAAAAATCTATTTTATCTCAAAACACCTCATGGGACAGAGAAGCTCTGGATTTTTTTATTATTATTATTTACTTTTAAGACAAGGTCTCACTCACTCTGTTGCCCAGGCTGGAGTGCAGTGGCACGATCATGGCTCACAGCAGCCTCAACCTCCCAGGCTCAAGCAATCCTCCTGCCTCAGCCTCCCAAGTAACTGGGACTACAGGCATGTGCCACCACATCCAGCAATTTTTTAAAAAAATTTTTGTAGAGACAGAGTCCCACTACGTTGCCCAGGCTGGTTTTGAGCTCCTGCCTTAAGTGATCTTCCCTCCTGGGCTTCCCAAAGTGTTGGGATTACAGGCATGAGCCACCACGCCCGGCCAGCTCTGGATATTTTTGATTGTGACTCTCCTCAGAGTGTTCAGGTGGCTAATTGAATGGCAGCTCTAGATTGGACTGAGTTCCAAAATATGTGTATAATAACATGTCTATTTCTGAATCTGCTCACAAGTCTAGATTACACTCAATTCTTACAGTATCTCTCCTTTTGTATATGCTCCAAAATGTCCATTATAAAAAGGTTCTTCTAAAAAAATCATTATCTTAGTGAGTTTTCATAGACTCCTATGATTCTCAAAACTCTAAAGTGCTTAGGAATCACTTGAGAATCTTGTTAAAATGCAGATTCTAATCCATTAGGTCTGAGTGGGGCCTGAGAGTCTGCATTTCTCACAAGCTCCCACCCAGGAGATGCTGATGCTATAGGTCCACGGTCACACTTTGAGCGAGAAGGCTCTATGTCTAACCCATTCTGAAAAATCACCTTTTAGATTATATTGTTTCCCTCCTATAAAAATTCATTACTGCTGACTGCCCACTGCTTACCAGGGAAAGTCCAAACTCTCCTGCAAGAAATTAATGCCCTTCATGAAGTAAGTCCAATCTAGCTTCAGCTCCACTGACTCCCCTCTCACCTAACATGTACTCTATGAAGCAGCCACACCAATTCTGTGTTGTTCCCCAAAATTCCATGAAAATTGCATTTGCCCAATTTGGTCCCACTGTTTCCTATACCCAGACGGCTCTACCAACAAAATCTTCACCATGCTTCAGGGCCCAGATCAAAGGTAACCTCCTCCAAGAGGCCTTCCCCAAGCCCTTCTAAAAACAAAAGAATTGTTCCTCCCACTGTACCTTGTGCTTGACATTCAAATACCTACACTGGTATGTCTGGTTTTCTGGAAAGTTATGATCCACTGAACAAAACTGTAAAACTACATGGAACCTAACTCAGGAGTTAAAAAAGATACTCAGCTTTCTACTTTCACATCCCTAGCTCCTGAAGAAAGGAGTCTATCAGTAACTCTTCTGAGGAGTTAAAAATTCCACAGGATTCCCCCCAGACTTTTGGCCCCAAAATGAATATTTAACACTAGTGGTTTCAGGCACCCAGGTGCACATTCCATCTACTCAGGAACATCACCCCTACAATGGCCCCCACCCCCGCATCATGGATGTTTTCTCATAGGACATTCTCATCAGCATAAAATATCTTCCATCTTTTAAAAAACACATATACAACCAAAAAAAAAACCCATCTTCCATCCATTTCTCTATTCCCCTTTGCAGCAAAGCTCCTCCTCTAACAAGACTCACTGTCCCCACTTCATCCCCTTCATTCTCTCTTGCCCACCTTTCCATCCACCAAACTGCACTTGTCAAGTCACCAAAGACCGCAGCACTGCAAAGGAGGAGTCACTTTTCAGACCCTCACACTCGATCTAGGGCAGCACTGGAGGGAGTTGGTCACTCCCTCCCTGAAATCCTTTCTTTGCTTGTCTTCTGGGGACACAACAACTTCTTTTTTCTCCTCCCCCATCCTTCCCCAAAGCTGCTCTGTTCCAGTCTCCTCTGCCAGACGCTCTACTTCCCTAACTCTAAACACCCAAGGAACCAGGCTCAGTCTCTGGATCTTCTCTCCTCTATCTGCCCTTAGTTCCCAGGAAGCCACATTCAGTCTCATAGCTTTAAATACCATGTATAAACTAAAGACATCCAAATTTATACCTCCATTCCATGCCTCTCCCTGAAATCTAGACTGAGCTAATTATGTCTGTGACTGAATTTCTGATACACACTCCCCATTAAACCTGCTCCCTCGATCTTCCTTATTTTATAAAGCCAAGGTTCTGTCTCTCCGCTGCTCAAACCGCAACCCTGGGAAGCATCTGGCCTCCTCTTGTTCTCTCACACAGCCCATGCACTCCAGCTTGTCCTGCCACCAACACCTGGAAGATCTCTGCAAAGGCTGGTCACCTTCACTGCTATTGCTTCAGCCCGCACCACAAGCAGCCCTCATCTGGACTCTTGGGAGGGTCCTGACCAGGCTCCCTGCTCCCACCCTTGTCCCCAGCCACACTGCCACAGGCTACTTTCCGGACACAGAGCCAGAGCGGGTCTTTTAAGATGTGTCAGGCCACAGCACTCTTCTCAAAACCTTCTAAGCGCTTCTTATCTTCCTCAGAATCAAATTCAACATCTTTCCCCAAGTTGCTATGAGTCCCCTTGTGAGTGGCCACCTTCCTGCTCACCTCACAGTGCTCATCCCCTAGCACGCGCTCCGGCCACATGCAATTCCCTGCTGATTCTCAAACACCGCTCCTGCCTCAGAGGCTTTCCCGTGGTCTGTCGGCCTGGCTATTTGCAAGGCTCAGGGCACACCTCATTTCGGCGTGCTCCAATGCCAACAGACCAGACAGCCCAATCCGGGCACCCTACACATAGCCAAACGCTCCAGCCCTCAGACCCTGCTTCATTCTTCTTCACTTTTTTGTGTGTATTCTTTGTCTCTTTCTGGTAAAATACACACTTTTTATGAGCTGGGACTGTTTATTTTGTTCGTTTGTTTTCTTCACTTGTTTGTTTTGTATACCTTAGCACAATGCCTGGCAGACAGTGGTTACTTAAGATACTTTCACTGGATACATAAATGAATATTGTTAGGTAATCAAAAAATAAGCCTCTGTATGCACTATGGAAAAAAAAATCATGGCAACATTCAAAGGAATAAAATACTCTACTAAACTACTTTAAGATATTGTCTTGACTGAGAGCTTAGAATGCAAAGAAAAGGGAGACTCACTTCCTGATCACCATTTTGGACTCTGATGAACTTTGGCTTCCATCTTCTTCACAGTTTGGGCTTGTCAGGTTTCCATACCTGTAGAGATAATAATGAACAAGCAAGCAAAAACAGTCAGTGGTGTTGGAAAGCAACTCTATTCAACTTCAACTACAAAGTGACAGTTATACTTTTCAGAAGTAATTAAGGAAAGATATATCTATGAAATAGCATTGAAAATGATGCAGTATTATTGATAGTTACTTAATGGATATATCTGCATATTCTAAACAGAAAAGTCATTTAACAACTAATCACACTACTTAAAACTTTCTCTTAATATTAACACTTAACATTTATTGACTTTTTTAGATTAGAGTGTTCCTATCAGCAGGAGAATCGGCTATTACATAATACGAAGAAGGCAGATTCCTCATGAACTCTGTAGCACACCAAACCCTCCCGTCCAACCCCTCTGCATGTCTATGCAAGGGACACATGGCTCTGCAGGCACAGCATCCACACTCATGCCACATGGGAGCACAAACTGATGGCTCCAGGCTACACTTAAGAGTCTGGTCTCCTTGAAAATAAGTCCGTTGTAGAGGGATTATGGAAATAGCTCTGGACCCTAAAATTAAGGCTGGGATAGAGACAAGGACTACAGTAGAAGCTCTCATGTCTTAGCAACCATGAGAGCAGCTGTAGCTATACTGAGGCCAGGTTGCGCTAGACACAGCAACTGGGGAGGTGGGGTGCAGGGGTCTGATTTTTGGGAAAGCAATAGATGCTTAAATTTTAAAAATTTTCTCATTACCAACTCAAAATTTACTCAATAATTCATCAGTCCCTACTTACACTGCTAGCTGTTCTCCCAACTCCACATGTGAGCCAGCCTATTTCATACAAATATATCATATTTTGTTTGGTTTGGAATGTAAACTTAGTAAACGCACTTTAAATTATTAAGGAGGAGTCTTTAATTAACTTATAATGCCTAGACTATTTCTTCAGTTTCTCCTTCCATCAATACAGAATCCAGAGATTCCTTGGGGTTTCACAAGTGAGTAGTCTGTCCCAAAGTTTTGATAAATTCTATAATTGATGAGTTTACATTTTTAAAGAGCACACTTTTGTTTTCTACTAATGGGATTAAAGGCCCAGTACCCTTATGGTTCCTTGTTCCTAGGACTTACAAATCCTTTTAAAAATAAAAGCCCACCATCTGGTTTGACCCAACGCCAGTCCATCTGGTGTCCCTATCATCCCATCCCGGTAGGTTCCAGTTTGCGCCCTTAGGCACCAGCTCACCCATCCACCTGCTCCTTTCTCTAGCTCATCAGCCTTATGGATTTCTTGGCCTCTCAAAGATATTTTCCACTGGTCTCCACCCTCTCTTTTCCTCTTCATTCTGTCCTGCACCTGCTATTTAGAAGGCTTCCAGGGCTACCCTTTGCTCTTCCTGAGATAAGAACTCAGATTAAGATTTACTCAGCCCCACATGAGCAAGGCAAGGATGGAAAACAAGATTCCTAATAAATAAACAGGGTGAGATTTTTCAGCTCTATACTTGGCCAACATCGTAGCAAACTATGTCCTCGTACTCTCTCACAGCAGGCTTGGTGGTTTATTTAAGTAGGAGAGATTACGGTGGGTGCAAGCAAGAGTGGGATCTTGGAAAGCCAGTGTATCTTCTATGTATCTGACTAGAAGGATCCATAAACTCTTCTCTTGCCATCTCTCAATTACTAAATGTGGGACTTAATCTTTGTTTTTGTTACATTCCATGTTAGTCCATTAATTCCCACTCCAGTTATTGTGGAAATATCACATCTTTTTATCTTTCAACTGGAAGCTATGAAAGGTAGATATAAAAAGGGAAAACACCAGGGAAAGATACACATTTTACTGCTCCTGATAGTCTTTTTTTCAAAGTGGTTTGTACTACAAGTTTCCAGATCTCTCTATTCTTTATCTTTGCTTTAGCTCCTCCTACTCTTCTGCTCTTTTCCTGCATTCTTCAGACTCAGAGCTGAGGTGCAGGTTTGGATGGCACCAACATCTATCACAGTTCCTCCCCAGAATGTGATGCCAAATGTGTAATGAGAAGGTGTCAAGAAAGACTAAGTAACTTATACTGGTGAGCCAAGTTCTCTCTCATTAACTAACCTGGTAGCATCTTCTGAGCAATGGCTCAGAAGACCACAGAAGTATTTCTCCTGGCTACCAGAGTGTCTACAGTTTCTCAATTGGGATCAGAGTGACTGCTTGATAATAACTTGGACACCAATAAGGGCCATGGATAAAAAGGAGTGTGTGGCAGAGCACACGATCCAGTTGCTGAGGCTCAAATCTTGCAGACATACTAACTCTTCTCCACCCAACCCATCAGGAAATCCTTTTTGCTCTGCCCTTCTAATATATCCTGAATCCAAACACTTCTCATCACTTCCATTGCTTCCACCCTGGCTCCAACTACACTATCTTGGATAGTGTAAATCAAGTGTAACCTAAATCAATACAACAGCCACCTAAATGGTCCCCAGCTTCTGCCCAGTAGCCAGAGCAATTCTGCTTTAGGTAGATCAGATCATGTCACTGCTCCACTCAAAACCCTCCCATAAAAAGCCAAGCATGGTGGCACATGTCTGCAATCCCAGCTACTCAAGAGGCTGCAGCAAGAGGATCTCCTGAGCCCAGGAGTTCAAGCCTAGCCTGGGCAACACATAGCAAGACGCTGTCTCTCAAAAACAAAAAACAAAAAACAAAAAAAGGAAGAAGAAGAAGAAGAAAAAAGAAAAAGGGAGAAACCCTCCCATGACTCCCATCTCACTCTGAGAAAAGGCGAAAGTCTTACGTGTCTCACAAGGCCCTGAATGATCTGCAGAGACCTCCTCCCACGCCTCCTACAATTCCTCAGCCCTTACTCCCTTTCCAGCCTCACCAGCCTCCTCCCTGCTCCACCCACACACTGGGCATCCTCCTGCCTCTGAATCTGTGCCTGCTGCTGCCTCCTCCCACACCTGTGCCAAGGGCTCACTCTCTCAGCTCCTCAGGTCTTTGCTCAGGTATCACTTTATCAGTGAGGCCTTCCCAGACTGCCCTATTTAAAATACAAACCAACTGTAACATCAGCCCCTTCCCTCCTTTATTTTTCTCTATGGCTTTTAATACCTTCTGATATACTGTGTAGTTCATTTTGTTGTTGTGTTAATTGTCCATTAGAAAATAAACTCCAGCATACCAGGATGTTTTCTTTTTGCTCACTACTCTTTAGAGCTGGCACCCAACTCTTTAGTGCCTGGCACCCAACAGGCATGCAATAGCTACCTGTTGCTAGTGCTCTATTGGGGTTTCAGAAGCAGACGCAGTAATGGACCTCCCAACTACTAGGTTCAGATTTGCCTCTGCAAAGGCATCATCTGGCCTTATTTATGCTTCTACAAGTATCAAGCCCTCACTTCTAAGGGCTTAGGAGCATAAAAGTTTTAAGATAGCTGTGATTATTCCAAAAATCTACAATTAAAAAGAAAAAAAGTTTTAAGATGTTAAAGTTGAGATCTTAAAGGTAAAAACTATTAAAATGCAAAACAAAAGTATACACGCTATTCCAAAGAAGTCTTTTAGAAGTGAGATAAAAGGAAAGAGCCTGTAACCTTGTGGAACTTAATGGACTGGGATGGAGATGATTATTTGCCCCTGCACCTTTCTTAATTTTTTTTCTTTTCCCATTGAAACAGGGTCTCACTCTCTTGCCCAGACTGGAATGCAGTGGCACAGTCATGGCTCACTGTAGCCTTGTCCTTCTAGGTTTGAGCAAGCCTCCCACCTCAGCCTCCTGAGAGGCTGGGACCACAGGCACTAGCTGGGACCACAGATGCATGCCACCATGCCTGGCTAATTTTTTTTATTTTTTGTAGAGACGAGATCTCACTCTGTTGCCCAGGCCGGTCTCGAACTTCTGGGCTCAAGTGATCCTCCCGTCTTAGCCCCTCAAAGTGCTGGGATTACAGGCATAAGCCAACATGCCAGGCCATCCCTGCACCTTTCTTATCATTAAGGAGAATTACTGCTTTACAGAAAAGAAACTAGACTAGTGTTGGAATCCAGAACTCTTTAAATGTTCAGGCTAGGTCCTTTGACAGTCAGTACTACTAGATTAAGAAGGTTCCTTTGATGTTTTCCTGGACCCTCTCATAGCTTCCCATCAAAACTCAAAGTCAAGTTCAATTCACTTATTCCAGGGTAGTAAATAAAGTGTGTGTATGAGTGTGTATGTTTAATTAATGGCCATAGAATAGCTACCAACAAACCTGTCAACGATGTCGTGTCCAATTTCTGCAAAGCCTCCCTAGGATTTAAGATCAAAGCTCCAACCTCTTAAGAAGGCTTACCAATGACCAACTGCTCTTCTTTAAATGGTAACTCATAAAACTTAAAATAAAAATTGTCAGAATGACTTTTGACATGGTTTTCTCTGTTATCACAAGGCAAAAGAAAAATTTACAAATGTCTCCTAAAGTGCAGCCTTAAGCAATTATTTACTGCAGCCTAAAAAGTAATAGAAAAGGGAAAGAAAAAACCAGTACAATGTTTAACTGGTTGCTAAATATTTAAACAGAAACAGTTATTTCCAGAGAGGATGTCTGTATTCTTTGTAGCCTATCTGGTAAGGTGAAGTGTTTTATATGTGTTTGAAGGGGAAGACCAGGTGTATCTGTGGTTCAAAGAAACCCTTAGATAAAGTTGTACCCAGGGACGGTCTCTCTAGTGGGGGCCCTTGCTAACCTTTGCTCCCCAACAGGAAAGTCTCAGTAACACCAGATCAGGAGGCGGGTGATCCTGAAGAATCTCTCAGGCTCTGCTTGATTCTGGCAAATGATCCAATAATAACAGCAGTTAATAATTATTGAGAACTTACTATATGCCAGGTACTGTGCTAAGGGCTTTACATGCTGGCTTGGTTTAGTTCTCCTATAATTCTATAGAGTGAAGTTATTTTTATTCCTATTCTACAGATGAGAAAAATGAGGCCCAGAAGGCTTAAATTAAGTAACATGCCCTCAAAGATACAACTAATACGTGCAGCAGGGATTTCAGCCATGACAGTCAGCGTTCAGCAACCAGCCTCTGAATCACTCCCTACCATACAAGCTATGGTGAGCCTTTCATTCATTTATTCCATCATTCATTCTTTCACTCATTTAGTCCTCATTCAATGAGGATTATTTACTAAGGACTACGTACAGGTACTATTCTAGACATTGAGGATACAGCAGCAAACAAACCAAAGTCTCTGTTTTCATGAAGTATACATGGTAGTGCGGAGGAGACAGACAACAATAATTAGTTAATATATACTAAGTCAGAGAGTGAAAAGTGCAATGGAGAGAAATAAAGCAGGTCAGGGTGACCTGGTATAATGGAGGGCCAGAGGTTGGGTATTTGGGGAAGGCCCAATGTGAATGTGAAAACTAAGTAAACTCTCCAGAAAGTGAGGAAGTGGGCCCTGCAGATCTCCAGGGAAAGAGCCTCTAAGCAGTCCAAAGAGCCAATGCAAAGGCCTTGGAAGAGTAGCAGAAGGATGTTTCTAAGAAACATTAAGAGGCCAATGAGGGGCAGAGCTGAGTGAGCGTGAATAGAAAAGGAGGCATGGAGATGACAAGGACAGATGCTGAGGGCCTGGTAGGTAGGCTGTGGCAAGGACTCTGGTTTTACTCTTCTATTTTGCTTACTGCTACTTCTACTGAGCCTGGAATAGAGCCTGCACAAAGTAGACAATAAATATTTGCTCAATGAATTAATACACACCCTCTTCTACCAAGAATAAAAGAAAGGCTGGGGCGGGAAGAGTTGGGAAGGAGGTACTTTATTGGGGATAGTGAAAGAACGGAAAGGAAGAAGTAAAGGAAAGAGAGACCTCACATGAAGCTGCTGACTCAAGGACTCCTGGGAATCTTTTCTAATAAATGCTGGCCTCAGAACATCTTAGGCATTTTTCTGTAACTGACCCAAAAGAACACAGGTCAGGTATGAAAAAAATGTTCAGAAGCTGACCTTGACTCAGGAGAACGACATGGGTGAAATAGCCTGCAGATGTCTGGTGAAAACCTTAGTGAAGACTTTGGACTGTTTCCACAGATCAGCAAGAAGTGTGGTTTTAATTACTCTGAATAATATCCTCCATGGCAGGCACCTCTCCGCCAAGTCTGACCTGAGAACTGGGTCACAGCCACCAAGCCTACCTTGGAAAGGTCTTGTTACCACTGTGAAGTTACTTATTCAAGGGGAAAGACAAAGGTCAAAAACAACAAGGCAAAAACTCCTTGTTCTCTTGCAGGAAAGGAAGGGGCCAAGAAGATTGAGCCGAGAACCCTATACTGTGCTTTCCATTTATGAGGGTTAGTTCTCTAGGCCATTTTTCCCTGACTAGAAAAAGCTAGAAGACCCAACAAAAGCTGCCCTCCTCACCTCTAGGCCTTTGCTGTGAAGGACACTGCACCTTCCTTGTTCTTTCATTGTCCACATATCTCCATACTAAGTCCCTGACACTTAAGGCAACATTAACAGCAAAAGAGTACCTGATATTTCTGCCCCACTTGACAGTTACAAAATGCTATAACATTTTCCTGGAGAATAACCTTTCTTTCCAGCCCTTAACCCACAACTGTCTAAAGAGGAGTTCAAGAAAAGGACACTATTCATCCAAGGGAAAGAAAAAAAGTTCTCTCCTGCCACAACTTATATCTCACGCAGATTTAAAATTATTTAAGTATGTTGGCTCTCACACTCCTGCTATAAGGTTTCTTCTATTTTCCATTCCAAGCCTCTGTCATCCGTTTCTTTTCTCTGGCCTGTTTCCTGCACTCAGAGCTTGGTGGCCCATCCGTAGCTACTCCTTCCACTTCTAGTTCATAACAATGCTAAACCACCAACTGCAAACACATCTTGTTAGTACACTGCAATGGATGAGGCTACAATGACGGACAACAGAAGAAACTGGTAGATGGGGGTAGGAAGGAGGCAGCACTCAGACTCTGTTCATGAGTCTAGATTTTTCTCAGGTTTAAGATGAATTAATACATTATTAACAAATCAGTACAAGCCTGTGGCTCAGTTTTCCCCAACCACAAAAAGCTGCTATTGCAGAGCTCTTCAAAATCTTATGAAACATGCTTTGTAACATCAAATACAATGAATATGAGTTTAGTATCATGGCATCCTTTCATTTTCAAGAATACTTTTCTTTTTCGCCTATAGCTTACAAAAACTCAACGGAATATCAATTTATCTAAATGGGTGCTTACTGTTAGCTTTAGTAGAGGCCAAAGGCAAAAGAATTGTGTTCCCAGGACTAGGGGCCTGACAGCATTATCAAGGGCTAAGTTCACAAAAAATAAATGTAAAAAAAATTTTCAGATAAGAGAATAGCGATATGAAAAACAAAATTAACTCAAAACCACCAGTATCTTCCCCTTTTAGATGTCCCAAGATACTTTCTAAAACCATTAAATTTACCTGAATGAACCATGAAGCGTAATTTTAGTTAATTTGATTGGTTTACTTTTCAGAGCCACACTTAAGGTCTGTGTTCCAGTTATAATAAAGCTAGGATCAGTGCCCACCTCTCATTCATAATGGCTGCCTACATATCCCCTGTTACCACGCTAGGGACACTTTGCCTAGGGGATCATAACCCAGGGTCTCTAGATGAATTTACAGAAGTCTGGGAAGTCCCTAAATTTTATGAAAAAAATTGTGACATTCTCTTTTTTCTAAAGAGAAGGTCCATAGTTTTTAGTACATTCTTACAGGGGTTTGTGATCAATCACTCCCACCAACTGCTGAAAAATGGTCAAAACCACTGCTTTAAATGATCAAAGCTGAATGTCTGACTGTCCAGTTACTAACTCAGTTACCACCCATTACATTTCAGTTTCTTGTCAGTTTTGTTTTGTAGTTTACAAATGTTAAGCACACTTTAAAAAAAAAACCTGCTGGGCAATTTTATATTCTTTTCAAAAAAAGGATAATTGCATGTCCTTGCCTCCCTTTGCCAAGTGAAATAAAAAAAACAAGCTACTTCATGGAAACATTTTTATCTCTTAGGTCTTATAAATCCCATTTCAAGAAAAGAAAGCTAGCCTGGCTATGATCTGAGGCAAAGTCTTTGACAGCATCCCCTCAGTGTCTACTTTAACAAAACCATCACTGTCGTCCCACAAGCTAAGGCTCTACAGTCGCCACATGTTCCTATCCAGAATTCCCATAGTGTTGGCAGGTGACAGTTGGGTCCACTTGGCAAAAGTAAATATTTACCAAAGGCCACCAACCCAGCAGGGAAGAGAACTTATTTCCATTTTCCCTCAGGTAATTATGGTTGGATATAATTCTCAAACAGCACCAGATTAAATTTTTCTGGTTAATCCAAAGTAACTGGCATAGTTACAGGGAGAAAATAATAACAATGCCCATCACATTCTGGCTCCGGCCATGCTTCCTGGAGCTGAGTGTGTGGACCGAAACTGAACAGGGCATGATGTCCTGAACAGAACAAAGGTGAGGGTGGACACCGACCTTCAACATCCTTGAGCCTATGGCCACTAGATTTTTCAGAGTCAATCTCCCTGACAAGAATTCCTTGTTTCTTATCTGTGTTGCTGGAATAAATTATTACAAACTTAGTGGCTTATAACAATACAAATTTACTATTTTATAGTTCTGTAAGTCAGAAGTCCAACAAGGGTCTCAATGGGTTAAAATCAAGGTGTTGTCAGGGCTATGTTCCTTTCTAGAGGTTCTAGAAGAGAATCTGTTCAATCCCCTTTTCTAGCTTCAAGAGGCTGCCTGCATTCTTTGGCTCAAGGCCCCCTTCCTCCATCTTCAAAGCCAGCAACATAGCATCTATCTGATCCCATTTCCATCCTTGTATCTCTTTCTCTGTCTTCTGCCTCCATCTTTTACATTTTTAAGGACCCTTGTGATTACTCTGGGCTCACTCAGATAATCCAAGATAATCTCCTTATTTTATAGTCAGCTGATTAGTAACCTTAATTCCATCTGCAACCTCAATTCCCCTTTGCATATAACCTAACATATTCCCAGGTTTCAGGGATGAGGATGTGGACATCTTTGGATATGTAAATTATTATAAATGTTATACCTTCTATTGTTTTCTGAGCTAAACTGTTTCTCTCCACCTGATAAAGTGTGAGCCAGCAAGAGCCTGAGACCTTTTATGAAAGGCATCCCCTATCAAAGTTTTTAATGCTCTTTTCTATATTATAACCATTTTCATACCCAAAGATTTTCACACCCTTCTTACAATCCTCTTTTCTCTTCTACCAACCAATAGTGTCATGTTTCTCATAGTTGCAGGAAATAAGATCTAAGTCCAATTTATCTTTCAGCAATCTACCTTTTTTTAAAAAACACCTTAACATATATATATATATAAAAATATATATATATTTACAGGGAGAAAATAATAACAATTCTGGTCACATTCTGGCTCCAGCCATGCTTCCTGGAGCTGAGTGTGTGGACCAAAACTGAACAGGGCATGATGTCCTGAATAGAACATAAACTCATAATTTGACATTTTTCTAAACTTTTTGTTTGTTCTAAGAGTTATTTATTAATGTTTAACTTCTATCACTTATATAGGAAATTTTTCAAAATAATTCCATATTCTCTTCATTAATTTTAGTAACCCCCCACAGAGCCAAATGGAAACTAGTAGAGAGGGTCATATACATAACAGAACATATATATATATGTTCTGTTATATATATGTGTGTGTATGTGTATGTGTGTGTAACCCATCCAAGTTTTTTTGGGTTTTTTTGCCTAGGAAGTCATCAACACCCAGACCTAGAGAAAATCTATTTAAACTCATCTGTTCTAACAAAAATCTTAAATAGCAGCCTTCATTTACTAAGAAATTCTCACCCTAGTCAGGATATTCAATATGATTGTATGTTAAGCTAGAAAGGAAGCAAAGCAATGTTAAGATTTCCTGAAAGTTTTTCTACTAAATAAATGGGATGTGCATCCTGGAGCCACCAACCACTAAATCTCAACTGTTTCATGCATGGGTGGGTTGGGGGAGGCACAAAAGACTTAATGAGTGACCCTCTCTGCTAATTTCGATTTGGCCCTGTAGGAGGTTACTAAAATTAATGAAGAGAATGGTATGGAATTATTTTGAAAAATTTCCTATGTAAGTGATGGAAGTTAAACATTAATAAATAACTCAGAACAAAAAGTTTAGAAAAAAATCAAATTATGAGTTTCATAGTAACAAGATTTAATGTGAGTGTTAATGCTATAAGAGACCAGCACCTACAGGTGAGTTATGGTCTCAGTGTCACCTCTAGATGCTGGTGACCCTAGAGGCGACACTGGGACCATAAGTCACATGAAGATGCTCTGAGACCCGTCGTGCGGGTTCAGTTTCCAGTATGTTTCCCAGTGCTCTCTCTGTTGACAACTTCCTTTCCTTGGACCTGGAAGAGGAGAGGAAAGATATTAGAAACCTTGCCTCTTACTGAAAGAAAAGGAAGTACAGGAACATGAACACTGCATGCCAGCATGAATCTAGGAATATTTGGCAAGTGCCTAGTGTAATTCCAGCACTAAATAAAAAATTCAATTATTTTTAAGTGAGGTTTAACAAAAAGCAAATTGGAACATATTGTACGCATCTCAAAAACACTTACCAGCTTCTCATGCAACGAAAGCATTTGAGAACTGAATGGATGTGTGCAATGGGCTTTTTATAGAAGGTTTACAACTACCAGCTCCCGGGGGGAAAAGGTTTTCATTAAAAACGCACATTCAGCCTCATGGCCTTGACAGTGATGACACGAGTCTATAGACTTATTTGTCTCTCCCACTAAACATGGGCAGAGGCTGGGCAATGTTCACTGCTGGACCTTCCAAAACACCTGCTTGGAAAAGGCATGAATAATGATAACCATTATTTATTTGTTAGACAAATAGTTCCTAAGCACCTACTGCAGGCACCATTTTGAGGGTAGAGCAATGAACAAGACTAACATGGTCTCTGAGTGGGAAAGACAGTCATGAAATAAGCAAGATAAATAAGGTAATTTCAAATAATAATAAATGCCTTGAAGAAAGAAAACAAGGTAATAGTAATCTCTTAAGCACTTAATATTTTTCAGCCACTATACTACAAATTTTACCTATATTATCATGTTCAAACTTTATAATAACTCTATAAATTAGGTGCTATTTTTGTTATTTTATAGATGAGGAAAACTGAAGCTAGTAAGATAAATTCACTGCCCAATACTGCAGAGCAAGTAAGGAGTGCAAAACTGGAATAAAATTCAAATTTCTGACTCCTAAGCCCATGTTCTTAACCATTATACTATATGCCTTAAATCTGAATCTCATGGGTAAAAAAAAAGACAGGAAAAATTGCTTTTCCCATAATGTATCCTAAAATTCTGAAAAGTCTGTTTGACATCTATGACAAAATCCTTGGAAATAAATGAAAATTTTCAAGCTTTATATCTGATCAACTCCTCTCTACACTGTGGAGGAACTGGTTGCACTAACAAAGGCAGCTCCGTTTTGCTGGTTATTGGTATGTCAGGTTTTGCATATGAAAATGTTACTCCAGGCGACATAAAGAATGGATTTAAGGTTTCTGTTCCCACGGTGGTACTATACTTACTTAAATCCACCCGTGCTCTCTCATTTGCTATCCCTGACCCTTCAGGAAAAGCTGATCGAGGTCAGGGATTTGGCCAGGCCCATTCAGTACACAGAAACACTCCAAACACACAGACAAAGCAATTACCTTTATGGGCCATGATCTAAGTGATCACCTAAGATCCTGGCCAACATTCAGTTTTATTTGGGTACAGCTCTCCAAAATATCCTTTATAACTCTGTGTTATAGAACCTTTTATCTCCCAGTGGTCTATCAATTTTAATTATATAAATGTATTTGCACACTGATTTGTTTAATGTTACTCTTTCCCACTAGACATTCAGCATGAAGAAGGCAGGTTTGTCCACCATTATACACACAGCATCTTGTACAGTACATAGTACACATTAAAGAGCTGATAAATATTGCTTGAGTAGACAAATAACAGCACTGATGCTCAAGTGAACTGCTCACAACTGTGTGAAGGGAGGAGCCCTTGGGAAATACAGTTTCCAGGGAAAATCACTTGAGGTAGTAGTGAAAAGGATGGCTAAAAAGGATTCCCAAAAAAGGGTTCCTTTAAAGGTGATATTAACAAATCAAGGAAGGTGATATTGTACACTTGGAAAGAGCTTCCAAGTCAGAAAGGAGTAGGTTTTAATTCTAGCTCTGCTACTTACTGATTGAATGTTTCTGAGCCACAATTTTCTAATCTGTAAACATAGGGGTAAAAATAAGTGAACTAAATGAGATGAAGCCTGTGAAAACACATGGCAAGCAAACATGGGAAGAAGAAATAAGTTCAAAGACCTACTGAATTAGTCTCTTCTCTGCACCATAAGCAAGCAAATTTAAGTCAGATAATCTTAAAGCATAGTGTTTACAAATGGCTCCAACCTTTAAAAACCCCGAATGTCCTCCACTGGGAGAATTCATTTGAAATTAAGGGAGTAATTCAGACTATTACTCAGTGCTTTCCATAGTGTGACCTGAGTGCCATCAGCTTGGCAAAGGTTTCTGGAGACCTAGTTAACCCCTACTCTGGTTCTTGTTGGCATTCTGCTTACTTTTTTTTTCTTTTAGACAGGGTCTCGCTTTGTTACCCAGGCTGGATTGCAGTGGCACAATCTCAGCTCACTGCAACCTCCGCTTCCCAGGCTCAAGTTATCCTCCTGCCTCACCCTCCCTAGGGCTACAGGCATGCACCACCACGCCCAGCTAACTTTTGTATTTTTAGTAGAGATGGGGTTTTGCCTTGTTGGCCAGGCTGGTCTCAAACTCCTGGCCTCAAGTGAACCGCCCACCTCGGCCTCCCAAAGTGCTGGGATTACAAGCATGAGCCACTGCACTCAGCTCATTCTGCTTAATTCTGATATTAGAGTGCATAACACAGAAAGAGAGAATGTTCAAGAAATGGCCCAAAAGGGAGCTATTGTGACAGCTATCTGAAGAAAACTCTAGATACTTGTGCCAACATTTCATGGCTCTCACTGAAGGTCACTAATTAAAGTAGGTTTCTCCCTACATTTGAGGTTGGGCATATTCAGTAGTATCTAACACCCTTATGTTTAAAATGGTATGGTGGAGAGAACAGATGATTTTTTTTGAGACCAAGTCTTACTGTGTCGCCCAGGCTGGTGCAATTTCAGCTCACTGCAACTTCTGCCTCCCAGGTTCAAGCGATTCTCCCGCCTCAGCCTCCCGAGTAGCTAGGACTACAGACGCCTGCCACCATACCAGCTAATTTTTATATTTTTAGTAGGGACAGGGTTTCACCATGTTGGCCAGGTTGGTCTCAAACTCCTGACCTCAGGTGATCCACCTGCCTCAGCCTCCCAAAGTGCTGGGATTAAAGATGTGAGCCACCACGCCTGGCCAGATTTTTAACTGAGTGAGTGTATGTTTGAAGTTAGATAAAAGAAAATCTCAAAGCCCCAACACAAACTGCTGGCCCAGAATTCAAGAACTTTCTCTTGGGTTAAAAGTAGGCCAATGTGGACTCTGAGCCATGTTGAGAAGCACAGGAAACAGGGGTCCTTGGGAAATGATCACCCCAAGTAAGGGGTAAAGCAAACACATGGAATTAGCTATACGTGAATTCAAACCACTGTCTATTGGCCAATCACAAAAGGCTCATATTATAGCAGAATAAAAAACTGTCAAAAGATAAAAAATAAATCCCAGAAAGCAAATAGTTCCATATGAGAAAACCCACATTATTAGAAGTCTTAAGGGAAATCAAAGCTTGACATCAAATAAGCTTCTCCGGTGGGAAATAAATACTGCAGTATCTGTCTTCAATCTATTCTTGACTGATTATTGTATGATTAGCACATGCTGTAATAGCGTCTCAGTGTTAATTTCACAACAGATAAGCAAACTACTATTAAGAAACCAAAAGAAATTATTTTTAAAATTATGTCAGAGACCCATAAACAAGTCTACCACAATCTACTGACAAAATAATATTTCAAATGCTCATCTTCAGAATAGGCAAGTTTATACAACATAATTGCTTCCTCTTAATTATAGACATTAAAAGTCTCAACAACCAATTTAAGAACCCACTGTTTCACAGAATGTGCATTTTGGTTAAATTTAATCAAGACTGAAGCCTGGCTCAAGATCTAAGTGTGAGTAGGAAATGAAGCAAGGAAGAAATACTCATGTTGAGGTTTGTACTTATTTGAACAAATCCCAATTTCTGCAGAATAATCTAAATAAATGATATTTATTCCTCTGAACTTCTATATCCTGTTTCATCTGCAGAACATGTTAGAACTTCATCTAATACCATCTCAAGCAGTTATCTACTTGTTTCAGAAATGCAAGCCTTAATATGTTATCTTTTGCAGTAAAATATTAAGTACTGAGGGGTGGATCCAGGTCTTATGGATATGTAATTTGAAGCCATATGTAATCTGAGGGATCCTCTCAAAGAAAAAGAATACAAAATCATGAATATAAAATTATGCAGAGGGCATTCCAAGTGAGCGCCCCTGGAGGTTAAGTACCAGTGGCTTCATAGTAAATCTACCTCTAAACTATCTCAAGGCATGAAACAAGTCTCATATTCCTGAGTTCCATCTGCATGGTGTCTTGCAGAAGCTGGGTATTGTGTAGGCATTGAGTACTTGTCAATTCCATTCATTTCAGAAGCAAGCAAAGGATCTGTTTATGAGATTAAATTCAAGGCCAAGCCTTGGCCCATCCAAATGGTAAAAAAATAAATCCTAACTCTCCAGTTATATCGTACATGACAGCTTGAATTAAATGCAGTTTGATTCATTTTCAGTGTTAGTCAGTCATCCAGTTAGTGTTTTAAAAAGCAAAAACATCTATCCTCTATAATAGAACAAAGAAAAGATTTAAAAAATATCAAAATCTGGATGTACATGAGTCATAGACTAAACACTCCAGTTCCTGTGTGTATATGTCCTCTATTTAGGATGAACAGCTGGAATTTACGTGCACTCCTTTATTGACTGTGGATATCTGTGGCCTATTATCAATAGTCACCCCATAAATAGAAGAGGTTACCAATTCCAAAGTAAACTTGTAGGAGTTTTTTAACGTTTTGAACAGTCAATTCATACTGCCTGCCAACAGCATACTGCATTTTTTTATAAACATGAAATACCAAAAAGATAAAATTCATATAATTTTTCAATTTCTACTTACAGGTATGATCTATTACATAAGATCCTGCCTATATAAAGAAATGCCTCACCAATCCAAGTTTATATTCCAGGCCTATTTTGTCAAGCACTGCTATGAAAAAAGCTACAGAACTTCCTATCTGTGCTGCAGCTCAAAGTATCATAATCCAGATCAATGTATGACAAAGAACAGACATTTTGTGAGTATTCTTGAAGATTAACATATTAATAACCATTGATCCAAATAATCTTACTCTATATGCATCTTACGAGTAAACTACTTTGAGAGAAAACCCACTATTGTCAATAACCTTACTTATATTGGAATATAACTTGATTATTAAAGGTATTTCTTAAGACTAATAGATATGACTACACAAAAAATGTTAATGTCGTTATAAAAAATTTTAATAAATAACTTTTAAAACGAATGGAAAAATTAGGAAAATATTTCTAACATATGATAAGCAACAAACTAATTCCCTTAATATGCAGAGTTATAATTAGATAATCAATAATTAGATGAAAAGAGTCCAAAAGAAAAATAGGCAAAAGGATATGAAAAGGCAGTTCACAGAAAAGAAAACACAAACAGCCAATAAGAATTTTAAAAGATGCTAAACCTCACTCATAAATGTAAGAAGCACAAATTCAAAAACAAGAAGCTATCATTTGTCAGTGGTCAGGTCATGGCAAAGACAGTTTCAAAAGTAGAGAGAAAATATCCACAGTTGGCAAGAGTGTGGGGAAAATGAGGAAATAGGCATTCCCGTTTTCTGTGGACAGGAATGTCACTGGTGCAATCTGGCAGTTATCTTTCAAATCTTTAAATGCTGATATACTTTGACCCATTAGTGACTCTTCTATGACATTATCCTATAGAATTCTCAACCAACTATTCCGAAGATATATATTCAAAAATGCTCCTTGCAGTACTGTTTACAAAGTTTAAAAAACAAATTTGCTGGGCGCAGCGGCTCTCAAGTCTAATCCCAGCACTTTGGGAGGCTGAGGCGGCAGATCATGAGGTCAAGAGATCGAGATCATCCTGGCCAACATGGTAAAGCCCTGTCTTTACAAAAAATACAAAAATTAGCTGGGTGTGGTGGCATGCACCTGTAATCCCAGCTACCCAGGAGGCTGAGGCAGGAGAATTGCTTGAACCCAAGAGGCGGAGGTTGCAGTGAGCCGAGATCACGCCACTGCACTCCAGCCTGGAGACAGAGCGAGATGCCATCTCAACAAAAAAAAAAAAAAAAAAAAAAACTAAAAACTGGAGAAAACTTAAATGTCTATCCATATAATAACCCATTCAATAAATATTATAAAGCTATTGAAAAGATTATGATAGATTCATCTACACGTGCTGGTTTTGAAATAAGAATTACATTTTTTGAGCTTTCAATATGCCAGCCACTGTTCTAAGCCTTTTATATATACTAATTCACTTAATGAGTAAAAAATTTCCAAGATATGCAGATAAGTAAAAACTGAAAACTGGCCAGGCGTGGTGGCATGCACCTGTCATCCTAGCAACTCAGGAGGCTGAGGCTGATCTCTTGAGCCCCGGAGTTTGAGGATGCAGTGAGCTATGATTGTGTGACTGCACTCCAGTCCAGTCTGGACAACAGGACAAGATCCTATCTCTAAAAATAGAAAAAAAAAATTTTTTAAATGAAAATTGCAGAACAGACTATGTACTGTGATGCTATCTGTATCATAGGTAAGTATATGTGTCATATGATAAATATATAAACATATCATATATATGACATACAGTACATAAATGTGTGTATATATACATACATACTTTCTATACACCCAAAAGTGTGGGAAAAATACAAAAGGATGGTTCACAGTGATTTCCTGGGAGGAATGGGATTGGAGCTTGGAGAAAAAAATATTTTACTTTTTATTTTTATAATTATCTGGGCTGATGGAACTTTTCACCATATACATGGATTACCTCTATTTTTAAAATGTTAATATGTGTTATTTGCCTAGTTGATGGTCTATTTAATTTTCTTCTTACTACTAATATTTTTAAATCTAATAAATGTTATTTGGGGAAAAGGCAGCAATATGAACAAACTTTAATATTTTGCATATTCTTCCACAGTGTAAGAATTTTTAGCATGAGCACAGATTACTTTCAAAATAAAAAAATTTAGTTAACAAACATCAATACTCAACAAGCCCAACAGAAAGCCGTATCTCATTTCCTTCCTTATGCAGGAAACCCCAGAATATAAGGATTTAGATGAGGATTCTCCTGATTCTAAAACAATTGTTTGGCTGACAGCTTTCTTCCTCCCAGTATCAAGTTGATTTAATGATATTTTCTAAAAGACCAAGTTTAATTCTAAATAAAACAGAAATAAAGAGGAAAATCTAAAGTTTAACAGTGTGTAAATATCAATGTATACTGCTCTATGTAATAAGTAGCTTAAAAATACGGATCAAGGATATTTATGTGCAGATCCTTAAAACAGTCAATACATGCTGACTGTTAATAGTTATCATCATCATCGCATCATCATTGCCACCATTCCTAAGCTGCTTCCTGTGGATCTAAGAATGAGCTCCACACTTCACACATATTAGCACATTTCATCCCCACAACATCCCAGTAAAATTCTTGGTCAACTGATTATTTACTGAATAATATAAAATTATAAAAATATGGAGAAATTTAGGGTGGCAAATAGTAAATCCATAAAGCAACTGAATCTAGATTTAAGGTATCCACTCTCAACTCTTTTATAAATCTTTTAGGAGATATTTTTCCCCAGCAACAGACCATAAGTGGCTCCTGAATGATCTTCTTTTCATTTGTGCCAAAGGTCATCCCTTCCCGTTAATCTTTCCTCACATATCTCTCTCCGAATACCAAGTGCAGGTGATTCAGAACCTCGTGCTCCACTCCATAATCAGCCTACATTTCTTTCAACTCAAAAGCTCCTTTACATTCTTACCTGTCCAGCAGTAGTTCCAGCACTTCTTTAGTGGAGGCAAAGCCTCTGTACGTTGAAAGAAAGATGCTGATATAGGTAAAGTCATTGTCCCCAAAAGCTGTCAGCAGGTTCTCCACAAGCTTCTCCAAGGTGCCAGCTTTTATGGTCCTGATCTTACAGGTTTCATATTGACTGACTGTGTGTCCTGGAGGCAGCTGGTCCCCTTCAACCTGTATAATAAATTAACAATTACCATAAGGAGAAATGACTCCCTAAAGTAAAATTGGAAGCATTGAAATAGTTGAAGGCCATAGCCTGTTATGTTTCCTCTCATTCTTATTTATTTATTTATCCCTTTTGTTACCCAGGCTGGAGAGCAGTGGTGTGATCACAGATCACTGCAGCTTGGAGCTCCTGGGCTCGAGTGATCCTCCTGACTCAGCCTCCCAAGTAGCTGGGACTACAGGCTCAGGCAACCATGCTCTGCTCATTTTTGTATTTTTGTTTTTGGTAGAGATAGTGTCTCGCTATGTTATCCAGACTGGTCTCAAACTCCTGGGTTCAAGCAACCCTCTCGCCTTGGCCTCCCAAAATGCTGGGATTATAGGTGTGAGCCACTGCATGCAGCTTACCCTCACTCTTATTTAATTTCTCTACATGTCATATAAGGCAATGCTCTCTCCTATGAGTTTAGTGTGGTAGGGTGGTGGTGGTGGAGGTATGCGTGTTTCCTACCTTTCTAGAAGTAGAGGTATTACTTCATAATGGTTACATTTGCTTCTACTTACTCCCCTATCAAGAACTAGTTTGCTGATATAATTTTACCAAGCGCATTTTTAATGATACCAGGATCAGGTTTAGCAAGCATTCCCTTTGTTTTGTTCCATGGAAAGTTTTCAAACTCATTCTTTTTTTTGAGATGGAGTCTCGCTTTGTCGCCCAGGCTGGAGTGCAGTGATGTGATCTTGGCTCACTGCAACCTCCACCTCCTGGGGTCAAGTAATTCTCCTGCCTCAGCCTCCCGAGTAGCTGGGATTACAGGCACCCATCACCACACCCGACTAATTTTTGCATTTTTAGGAGAGACAGGTTTTCACCATGTTGGCCAGGCTGGTCTTGAACTCCTGACCTCAGGTGATACGCCCGCCTCAGCCTCCAAAAGTGTTGTGATTACAGGCGTGAGCCACTGCACCTGGACAAACTCATTCTTTTTTGTTGTTGTTGTTGTTGGAGTTTTTTATTCTTTTTTTTTTTAAAAATTATACTTTAAGTGCTGGGATACATATGCAGGTTTGTTACATAGGTATACACATGCCATGGTGGTTTGTTGCACCCATCAACCCATCATCTATATTAGGTATTTCTCCTAAGGCTATCCCTCCCCTAGTCTGTCACCCCACCCCCGACAGGCCCCCATGTGTGACGTTCCCCTCTCTGTGTCCATATGTCCTCATTGTTCAACTCCCACTTATGAGTGAGAACATGCGGTGTTTGGTTTTCTGTTCTTCTGTTAGTTTGCTGAGAATGATGGTTTCCAGCTTCATCCATGTCCCTCCAAAGGACATGAACTCATCCTTTTTTATGGCTGCACAGTATTCCATGGTGTATATGTGCCTCATTTTCTTTATCCAGTCTATCACTGATGGGCATTTGGGTTGGTTCCAAGTCTTTGCTATTGTGAACAGTGCTGCAATAAACACACGTGTGCATGTGTCTTTATAGTAGAATGATTTATAATCCTTTGGGTATATACCCAGTAATGGGATTGTTGGGACAAAGGGTGTTTCTGGTTCTAGATCCTTGAGGAATCGCCACACTGTCTTCCACAATGGTTGAACTATGAGTGAACAGGCAACCTAGAGAATGGGAAAAAAATTTTTGCACACTCATTCCTAAAGACAGCTCCTATGGTGGAGTGCTGGAGCTGAGTCATACTGGTTTTGGAGAGAGGATTGTTAAATTTTAAGAATTTGTGTGAGCCAGTTGAAATCATGTTGATAGCTTGAAAAACTGGCCATGGTTGGAGTATATTCTCCGTGGAAATCTATGGAGATGGAATCATGATCTGACTTTCTTCAGTCCACAGACGGCAATGTGCATTTTGATTCAATATCATCAGCAATCAACAGAGCTGACTGAGAAAATGGTTGTACCAAGCACCACTGGGTTAAGCTCTGGGGAGTGATGAAAAGGGTGGGTGGGTGTATGACCCTGCCTTCTGGAAACTTGCAAAGTCTAAAAGAAGACATTTACTCACGAGAAGCAGCTAGCACATGAAAATGAAACTGTAAATGAATATTGGTAGATATAATTGTACCTTGGTAGATATAAACCATAATACATAAAAATTCATTGGTAATAAAATCTTCACAGCTTAAAATTTGAGTATAAGGGAAGAGAATTAAAATGAAGAAAAATATTGGTGTGCCTTACATTCTGCAGTAAATCTGTGCCTAACAAATTATACAGAGATGCAATTTTGAAAGTTTAACTCATCCTTCATAGGCACTAAGGAAACTGCTCTAAAGAGAGGAGGTCTATTTCTAAAGCAAAAATAATCCTAAGTGATGCGAACAATCGCCAGGCGGTTTATCTGAATCGCAAGTTGAATTGTAATTGTTTTATGTCAGATTTCCTAAATTGAAATAGTCACATGTGAAAATTAAAGAAGAGACACAAAGAAGAAAGAAGTGGATCTCTAATGATGATATTGTGCTTACTAAGTAGCATGTTTGCTTTTCCTTCACCTGGCCTGTCAGAAATCAAACTACTGGAAGGAAACTAACAGATGGATTGCTTTCAGAAAGACCAGAGTGGTGGCAACTGCTTTCAGAAGGGGGTTAGAATAGCTTAATGTCATCATGTCAAACCGCTAACAGGAATTAAAATTAAGACTCCAGCTTATGTGGTAGATGGCTTTATCTCTTTATTTAATTTCTGAAAGTTTTCTAGGGAGAGGGATCTGGTTCAGGCAAAATAGCAAACATTTCTTTAGGCCTCTTAAGACTGTTGACTCAGATCAGGGTCTAATAGCTGTTCTTTATCACTCTATATGTAGTTTTAGAACAAACCTTGTAGTACCCATCTGTTCCCCAGAAGTTCCAATTAACTTTATCAGAAACAATAAGTGAAAAAGATATATGGTTTAGAATTCTACATGTTATTAATTATTTGGTTCACTGTTGCTTGAAGTGTGTGCCGTAAAACACTAGTTCCAAAAAAAACTCCTATGGTCAAGTTTGGGAACTATAGAGTTCAACAAAGTCAATGATATCTCTTTACTGCAGAATTTCTCATATGCCAACGGTGTTATTCAACTCCAAGAGAGGGGTATGGTATGCAGCATTTCCAGATGGATTTCTCTTTAGTCTGAGAGCATCTTGCAGAACTTCAGAATGCACATACTTTGAAAAATTTTGGCTTATTAAATTACTGTAATGCATTTAAAACTTAACTCATATTTACCACTTTTCATTTAAAAAAGAAAAATCAAAACATTATAAAATATAATGTTAATTTTTATTTTCAAATGTGTATTCCTTTGATCTCTTTATTAATACAAAAATGTCAGGATGTTTTGTGTTTTGTACCTTGTCACTTCAAAAGACCTGGCCAAAATAATTGTCAGCCTGCATGATATTCAAAAGTAGCAGTTAGAAAATATACTTCAGGATGGGAGCGGTGGCTCACGCCTGTAATCCCAGCACTTCGGGAGGCCAAGGGGGGTGGATCACCTGAGGTCAGGAGTTCAAGAACAGCCTGGCCAACATAGTAAAACCCCATCTCTACTAAAAATACAAAATCAGCCACGTGTAATGTGCGTGCCTGTAGTCTCAGCTACTCAGGAAGCTGAGGCAGGAGAATCACTTGAACCCAGGAAGCGGAGGTTGCAGTGGGCTGGAGATTGTGCCACTGCACTCCAGCCTGGGCAACAGAGCGAGACTCCATCTCAAAAGCAAACAAACAAAAAAAAACATGAAAATATACTTCAATGTTAAATATTAACAACAATAAAAGGAATGGCTTCTCAGTGGTTAGGGATAGTCAAACTCTGATTTAAATCAAGCTTCCTCGCCTTGTGATAATAACAGTGTTCCCTTACCAAACAATGTTGAAATTTGACGATTCTTATTTTACTTACAATGGAAACTCTACTTTAATTCTAAATCCTTCTTATCAAAAGTGATGATTATTTAAAAGAACTATTTTTTCACCGAGTATTGACGTGTCCCAAAATTCAAACACAGAGAAAAATGCTTGTCAAAGGACCTGATGAAGTGGGTCCCATTTCCTGCCAGAAAGCAGAGATTTGGCAGAAAGCCAGGGTTCTCCCTTGGGAATGGAATTATGTTTCTCATTAACCCAGCCCCTCTCTTTCAGTACTTTCTTACTCGGAAAAAATTTCAATATGCATACATGATTCCTGTAAGTCCCTTTAACAGTATTTGTTCCTCAGGGTTTGCATCTGTGCATTAGGAAGAACCACATATGACCTAACAGAAGACTAATAAAATATTTTGAAAATTTAGATTTAAAAAATAATTTTCAAAGTGAACATCAATGACAATATCATAAAATAAGTATAGAATTGCTCTTGTGCCTACAATCATTCTCACACAAAATAACAATGCATGTTAAGTTATCAGAGAATTTGCTTAATGTCATTTTCTGTAGAACTGCTAAATATCCTAATACCTGCTTATTATGGCAGGGGAAAGATCTGATGACTTCTAATTTGCCAACATTCAAATAGAGTACATTTCTTATGAAACAAAAACTTAAAATGATCTGCTTACCACTGAAATTATTTTGAAATGAAACTGTACAGAGGGGAAACACAAAAAATACTCTGCCATATGGCCCGACAAGAGAAGCTAAAATGTTAAAAGTTTCATTTTTGCAAGAAAAGATTCCTATAGGTCTGTAAGTGTTTTAAGAGACTTTAGGACCTGTTTTTGCTTATATTATCTTAGTAACTTTGAATTATTAAGTTGAAGACGAAAGGGGTGGAACCCTTGTCAGACAAGTGCTTAATAACCCAGACTTAGAAAGCAAGACACGGAGGCCTGAGCCTGTCCTGTGGGTTAGCACGCTAACAGGAAACAGCTCAATCTGGATTTAATCATAGACCGTCGCTTTACTGACAAGATCACGGTACTGTGACCACAAAAATGTTTCATGTTTGTTTTTTTGGTTGATCTTTGTGCCTTTAGAATCCAGCTTTTTCTAAGAGAACATGTCTGAGTCCTATGGGGTAAATATCTAAAACTGTGCCCAAGTGTCCTACCAGGTAATTTCCATAATTATCGATTTTGGCATGAGACGGAGAGGAAAAAGGGCATGTGAGAGATGAAAGATGCCATATTTCAATTCCGTTTCCAGTCATGGAAAAATAAACTCTTTCACCTTCTAAAACATAAACTGTTAACCAGTTGGGTGTTTCTAATTTGAAAAAAAAAAAAAGTCCCTTCAATCAAAATAATAATTCAGTCATCTGATAGTTTAACAGGGAACGTGTTAAGCAAACAACCTCATTAGGATGGAGACAGTATGGAGTCCTCCACACCATGATCACTCTTCAGTATATCAGTTCTCAGGCATCTTGGCCTGAGCAGCAAAGTAAATAGTGAGTACTATTCCAGCTGTTAACTCCCTCCAAAAATCTAAAACCCACACCCAATCCCTACATTCATCCCCAAACACCAAAAGTAAGTTTTATGCTTCCTTTTCATATGCCCTACAACCACTATCCAGCAACAACAAACCACCACAATACAGGCTGAGGATCTTTTATCTCAAATTCTTGGGACTGAAAGTGGTTTGGATTTCAGAATTTTTCAGATTTTGAAATATTCCCACTATACTTACCATTCAAGTATCCCCATTCTGAAAATCCAAACTGCAAAACACTGCAATAAGCATGGATGTTGGAGCACTTTGAATTTCGGTTTTAAGATTAAGGATACTCCACCTGTATAGGAAAACCCACAAGCTGACTCACAAATAAGCTCTGCTCATCTCTCCATATTACTCAACTGCATAAATTTCTTTGCCATGCAACAAAATTTGCATCATTCTCTCAGCAGAAATCATGTATGTAATGACACCCAGCAGAACATGACAAGGCCAATACACCTGAGTACTACAGTGACTATTTACACACAGGACACTCAGAGATGTTAAGGTAAAGTCTAGAAAATACTTTAGGGCCCATGATGTCAAGCTCAACATGAGGTTCTGCCTTGTGTGAACTTTTATTAGGTTGGTGCAAAGGTGATTATGGCTTTTGCCATTAAAAATAGTGGCAAACTTAACAAAACTTAAACCAAAACTTGTCACAATCACCTTTGTGCTAACCTAATATTGGGTGGGAAGTCACTTTTTTGCTAGGTTAGGGTTGACAGATAAATTACAGGATGCCCAGTGAAATTTTAATTTCAGAGAAATAATGAATAATTACATACTATGTGGTATAAGTATGTCCCATTCCATGTTTGGGATCTATGCATACTAAAAAAACCTATTTGTTATTTATCTGAATTTGAAATGTAATTGTGTATCCTGTATTTTTATGCTACTAGCACATACACAATGGCTGTCTTTTCCATTTATTCATCTACTTATTCAGCTACATATTAACTAAATGGTACTATGTGCCAGGCACTGTGCAAGGTACTAGACATATAAAGGTAAATAGCATGCAGTTCTGGCAACCAAGTTGTTCAGTCTGGTGAAGGAAACAGACACAAAGAAACCATTACAATAAAATGTGAGTAAAATGGTGGAGAGAGAGGCAAGACATGGAGGGAAGCACCAAGAGGGGCCCAGTGTAAAGGAGGTGTCAGAAAAGGCTTCTTAAGTAGGTTCTGTCTGCACTGGGTTGTTTTGTTTTGTTTGTTTGTTAGAGATGCAGTCCATCTCTATTGCCCAGGCCGCAGTACAGTGGTGCAATCAGGGTTCAATGCAGCCTCAACCTCCCATGCTCAAGCATTCCTCCCACCTCAGCCTCCCAAGTAGCTGGGACTACAGGCACGCACCACCCCAGCTAATTTATTTATTTATTTATTTATTATTTATTTATTTATTTATTTATTTTTTAGAGACAAGGCCTCGCTATATTGCCCAAGCTGGTCTCAAACTCCTGGACTCAAGCGATTCTCCCACCTTGGCCTCTCAAAGTGCTAGCATTACAGGCATGAGCCACCATACCTGGCCTGCACTGGGTTTCACATAATGAATGAGAGTTAACTATGTTGGGGAGGGCACAGCAGGCAGAGAAACAAGCATTAAAAAAGTCATGAAAACGCTATCCCAAAGTATGGAACTTTGACATGCTGAGGACTTTGAACTAAAGGAATTGGAAGGCCTCAGAAGCAGCCTCAGAAGCAAATTCTCTGACCTTTTCCTGCCCTCCTGTCTCCTACACTTCTTTCTCCCTTGAAGTGAATCATAGAAACCAGGATTCCTCCTTCCCAAGGTGAGTCATAGAAACTAGAACCCCCTCTTATCCTAAAGCAAGGCTTAAAGCCTGGAAATATTGCTCTAACCTCCCTCACCTTTTTGTTTAGAAGCTGACCATAAATTCTCTGACCTACCTTGTCTGATAGTAGATCATAAGACCCTCATTCCATAGGGGTCCTGGCCCACACCCAGGGGGAAAGAAGAATACTACAAAGAGTGGCCAGGAAGAATCTGAACAGACAGGCCTTGCTGGGTTCCCCCTTAGTCTATTACCATTAGATCATACCCGTTTCATCCAATCACATTTCCACATGGCTGTCCATTCTTCATTGACTCTAAGCATAAAAATGGAAAGTTTCCTCTGGCTCTTTGGGCCATTATTTCTGAAGGCTCCCATGTCACATAAAACTTTGATTAAAGAAATCTGTTATGCTTTTCTCTTGTTAACCTGTCTTTTGTTATAGGAGAGTTACCGATGACCCTTATGATGGGTGAGGAAAGGCATCATACCTTTCCACCACTACAGGGGGAAAATGTGTGGCTGCATAAACAATATGACAGAGGGAAGGAATGCTTTGGCTGGAGAGCCAGCAGGAGACTACCTGATTATGGAGGACTTAGGTTGCATGCTAAGGAGCTGAGACTCTGTGTCCTGTTGAAATGGGAGACCAATGATGAGGTTTTAAGCATAGTCAAGGAAATCAACGTGGAGGACAGATTTGATGAGGACAGTTTTAAAGTTGGAAAAACCAGTACGAAAGTTGTGGATATTCCAGATAAGCAACTGCAAGGGCTTTAACTAGTACAATAATAGGAATGGAGAAGGTGGCAGATGGGAGGGACACATTTACCCTCCCATCAAATAATCAAAAAGAAGATCATCAAGACTTCTGATCAATTGGATGTAGAGAATAAAATGAAGGAAAATAAAGAATCTGGAAACTTCACCTGATTTCTAGTGTGGATGGCTGGAAAGGTAATGGTGTCACCTATAAGAAAGAAAATTGAGGGGAGGAAGTCAGATTTTGGTGGGTTAGGTACTGAATTACATGCCAATGGTAAGTCCAACAGGCAGTTAGAATCTAAAAGTTGGGAGAAGGGTCTAAGATGGAAATATGTAGAAATTACATCAATTAAAATAGGAAGAGTAGTAGGCTAAGGATGGTATCTGGATGAGTACCAAAATTAAGCTGGTTCCAAGAGTAAAGATGGGCAGCACCAGAAGAGGCACTTGCACATGTGGCAAATTCATACATCGTCTGATCTATGATGGCATTTCTGGGCAGAGAAACCAGAAGAAATCTTCACCACCAGATTCACATATGTGCTGACATATGTACCTTCCCTCTAATTATACAAACATATCAAGGCTTAGACAGCGGTATGCTGGAGCCAGCTTGAACCTCTTGCACGAGCCAAATGTGCACACTCCTCACCTCTGCATTCAGTGGCATCATGTTGGTAGTGTGAGTTCAGACATGGTGACACTATTTACGCCATGAAAATTAGCAATGCTACAAATTAGGGTTTTTATTTTGGAGGGCCAGTTTATCAGCATACCCCTGCCCAGAAGTCCCTCTCAGATTGTGTCAGTGTCAAGAGACACCTTCACACTGGCTGAGACATTTTCTTTCTGTGTACGTTCCAGTTAAGGTATTTGTGTTGTCACCATGATCTTTATCTGATAGAAGAAGGGAATTACACCTCTGAACTATGAAGAAAGTAGAAATGTGGAGGCAGGAGAGGCAGAAGGGCATGTGTATGACAAACCAATGTGCTCTGAAAAAACTACACGAGCCCCAAGAGTTGACCTTGCTTGAAGCCACTTGTTAGAATGAAGCCACGTGGTCAGGCTTCTATGATGAATATCCTTCATCCTCAGGAAGATGTAAAGGGAGCTGTAATAACAAACAATAGCTAGTGTTTTATCACACAGAAATCCCATCCCCCTTTGCCATCCTGTCTCAGTAGGGTTTCCTAGATAGAGTCCAGGAACCCTCCTGAAGGAAACAGGAAGCTGTGTTTCTCATCTCCTGAAAAAGAGTAGTACTCCTGGAGTCTTGGTCCAACATTAATCCATAACAGATTCTATCTTCTCTAACACAAATCTCCATTTCTGACATTCTGGTCATCCTTTAAGGATTCCAAAGTTTCCCAGAAAGCAAATTTAAATATTAAGTGGATTTTAAGAAGTTTGCCGACCACATTTTTCAAATAAAATAATTTCACTTTCATCTGATACTTTTCTGCTTGAAACTCAGAATGCCAATAACTAAAGCAAGGGTCTCCAACCCCTGCACCATGGACCAGTAGCAGTCTATGGCCTGTTAGGAACCGGGCCTCACAGCAGCAGGTGAGTGGCAGGTGAGCCAGCATTACTGCCTGAGCTCCACCTCCTGTCAGATCAGCGGCGACATTAGATTCTCATAGGAGCGCCAAGCCTATTGTGAACTGCACATGCGAGGGACCTAGGTTGTACACTTCTTATGGGAATCTAACTAATGCCTGATGATCTGAGGTGAAACAGTTTCATCCTGAAACGAACACCCCTCAACCCCCGTTCATGGAAAAACTGTCTTCCACAAAACCAGTCCCTGGTGCCAAAAGGTTGGGGACTGCTGAACTAAGGCGTTATGAATTAACAGGTTGCATTTCCATTTGGAGCCAATTTACTGTCGGACCTAGGGCAAAAACTTAGTTTCAATGACTTCGTTACCTACTTTATAAAAGGAATACATCAATGCAATTTTGAGAAGTTCAAGGATTTAAGAGTTGCACGGAGGGAGAGGAGTTTGAATTAAAATAGTCACTGTTGCATTTGCCAAATAAGATCACAAATTGTCACATACAAATTAGTATCCAGAGTGAACTTCCAAAATTCATAGCTCCCTCCTTTTTCTCTCATTCAGAGCCTCAAATGTCCAAGGTCTTCATAAACTAAGGTCACAGGTTAACAGGTGCCCTGGCTTGCTTGAGTCCATTCTGTTTTTGTGCAGCCCAACCAATCTCTGTCTGTAAAGGTCAGCAGGGGGTAGTGAGCTTCTGTGTGACCTAATATTCTCTGTGAATGAAGCCTGCTATGAATGGAGAGGCTTCCCCACAGCCCAGAAGCTTTCCCAGCATGCCATAAATCCCACAGACAGCTCCATGGGGCTTTATCTCCTTGTGAGATTTATAAGTGCTCCTTCACCAATCCTCCAGGGAGAGTACGGGGAAGGGTAGCAACTAACTGATGTTTCCAAACTTTAAAGTCAAGTCATTAATTTTTGATTCTTACTCCGTATACCACATTAAGGAATCTTCTGCACTTTCCCTACCTAGGCGATTCCTATGGGAACATTTAGTTCCCACTGTTATGATTACCTATTATTGTAATGTTAAAAACCAAAGCCCCATTATCCAAAATGACAATAAAATTATTACTCCCCTGGATCTCGGAATTCAAGTAATAATGACGTTGTTTAGTTTGATCCCTTCCCCTCCAAAATGAAATATTTAAAGTCTATGTGGACTTATAAATTCAGATGTAAGATGTAGCTTTATGACTCACAAACCTCTGGGCTGCAGTGTCTCTGGCAAGTATTCTATCCCTCAGCACTGTTTTTGGCACGTATAATATTCCTAGATCATGGGCTTGCTAGAATTGGCTACTGATAAACCCACCAGGTGTCTTTCAAGCATGTTATTAGGTGATCAAACCTAGGGCAAAGTTCTATGAAAAACAGTTGCGTGTATCCTGAGTATACCTCTTTGAAACATACACTGAAGGCTGGGCGCAGTGGCTCACGCCTGTATTCCCGCACTTTGGAAGGCCTAGGTGGGTGGATCACCTGAGGTCAGGAGTTCGAGATCATCCTGGCCAACATGGAGAAACCCCATCTCTACTAAAAATACAAAAAAATACAAAAAAAAAAAAATTAGCTGGGTGTGATGGCGGGTGCCTGTAATCCCAGCTACTCGGGAAGCTGAGGCAGGAGACTCGCTTGAACCCAAGAGGCGGAGGTAGCAGTGACCTGAGATCGCGCCATTGCACTCCAACCTGGGCAACAAGAGCAAAACTCCGTCTAAAAAAAAAAGAAAAGAAAAGATACACTAAACTGGCTTTTTTTCTTAATAGGTTTTCTTCTTCATAAGCTATACATTAATTCTAAGAAAACCATTCTTAGACTGTAAATGAAGAAAGAAGGCTAACTTGTATTTACTGAGTGCACATTATGGATTAGATGCTCAACCCTTACAACAACCCTGTAGTGTAGGAATTATTCCCACTTAAGGAAACAGAGGTTTGGAGAAGTAAGGGGTCACACCCAGAGTTACCCAGCCAATTAGCATAGGCATTAAAGCAAGGATATAAAACCAGCCCTGTCTTTCAATCATGGAATATTCCCTAAAAACACAAAGCAATACGGTATTGGGTACTCAATCTCCATATCTGTACACCCAAGAATTATCAGAACTCAATTGCCCAGAATCTACAGACTTCATAGGATTTTTGTAAGAAAGAGAAAGTTAGATAATAGATCTAAGGCATGTTGAAAGATTACAAGCTATTCAGCACTCTACAAATACTTTTCACTTTCTTTCCCCTACACCAACTACTTTCACCCAAAGTTAAGTCTGATTACATCTGGTATTATCTCTGGTATTATCCTTCTTACCTCTTGACACTGACTGAAATCCTTAACACCTAAAGACAAAAAATAACGTCTTAGTGCCAAAGACTCTCTTTGGGGGGAAACAAAATCCCTCTCATTATTATAGTTTCTTAAATGAGTAAATTTAGTCTAAGAGTCTAAGAAAGATGGATGAATGACTTAACCCAAGGGCTCAAGGAAAGCCAGGAGAAGCTGGCTTCTGCATGAGAAACTACTGGGTAATACAGACTGGGAATCCATGGAAAGCACTCGTGTTCTGCTCTGATTTCCAGATTATTAAATAATTTTCCTACCTGCTAGGTTTAGAGATCTACTCTCTAGTCAAAAGACAGTTTCCTTCTATTTTCAGAAATAAAGGGAAATGAAAGCAGAATGACAATATGATTGATTATGGGATACAGCCAGACAAAAGGGCAGATTTATAAATTCTGACTTGTAAAAAAACATTTAAAGAAGAAAGTAGCATATAGAAAGGCCTGGTAGCTGGCAAAAAAACACAGATCCAATTTGTCCAAATGAACAGAAACCAAGAAAGCAAACATTTTGTTTACTAGATATTAATGATCAAAATTTTATGTAAAAAGATAGGCATTTGTTTGAAAAGAAAATATTTATCCTCCTAAGAAGATGCTCATCATTTCCATGGCTTGTGACCCGCTCTTGGTATCAGTCATTAAAACAGTATTAAAAGTGCTTTGGCCAGGCATGGTGGCTGATGCATATAATCCCAGTGCTTTGGGAGGCTGAAGTGGGAGGATCGCTTGAGGTCAGGAGTTCAGGACTAGCCTGGGCAATATAGTGAGACCCTGTTTGTAAAAAAAAATTAGAAAATTAGCCTGGGTGTGGTGATATGTGCCTAGCTACTTGGGAGGCTGAAGTGAAAGGATCTCTTGAACGGACGAGTACAAGGCTACAATGAGCTATGATTGTGCCACTGCACTCCAGCCTGGGCAACAGACCAAGTCCCTGTCTCTAAAAATAAAAAAAATACAAAATAAAAAGAGAAGAGCCTCCATTGTGCCAAGAACTCAAATGAGGTACTAAGGAAATCTATAAAAGGAATAAGGAATTTCTACTCTCTAAAAACCTTAGAGATGATGAGTGTGAATTTCTTCATTTAATGACGTGTAAAGAAAGGGGTACAGAGCTTAGTACTAGTGCATATGCCATAGACATTAAATACATGCCAGGTAAATAAGCAGGAGCCTCACAGAGGGAGTTGCAGAACTGATGGGGTAAGGCCTCTCGCAACCTTAGGATTCAATGATAAAGGTGGCAGTCAGGAAAAAATGAAGGGGAGGGTGGGCAAGGAACTAGACTCTGTTTCTAGTTCCAGTTCAATTAATTATCAGCTACTTGCTAGTGCTTTCTAGAACTAGCTATCTCGGTAGTGAGCTAGGATAATTCCTTTTGATTTGGTTGTTTTTGTTTGTTCCTAAATACACTTGAGTAGATACATTCATTCAGCAAATATTTGTTGAGTTCCTACTATGGGGCTGCTGGAAGCCAGAGATACAACAAATTAATAGACAGATAAGACGCCAACTCATACAGATAAATGCACCTCCTCTACAATTAAATAAGAAAGTAAATTCACGAGGCTTTTACCACCTAGACCTGGCCTAGACTCTTATGAGGTCCCACCTCCTAGAGACAGTCTTCAAAGCTACCTGAGCCTCAGAGTTTTATGCTGCTATGCTAAAAAAAAAAAAAAACAGAGAGAGATATGGCTCATTTCATCATCATATGCATACTGAAGCTATAAATATAGGGGGAGCAACTCTTTCTAATCAATACTATATAACTAAAAATACTAACTGCAGGTAGGGCCATTAACCGAATCGATATAAAATAGAGTCCTCAGCCATAGCTTCTCTGTGACTTCTCCAGCAGTGCTGTGGTAACTTACCAATGGATTCTATTATTCATTTGTAAGGTCAAATCAGTTTTACTTTTAACCAAAAGTACTATTCAACTGCAAAAATATAGCAAATCATACAATATGTTCAGAACAAGGTTCTAAGGTTTTAGTTATAGTAGCCTGAGTTTCTGAATACAAAATATTTTAACACTTTTTTGTGAAAAATCTCACTAATAAACAAGATACATTTATGGATCTATTTGCCTGTTCTCTTAAATACACTAAAGGGTTTTCAAGAGATTCACCTGGAGTGCTGGGCAGAAACTGATTCCTGAGCCCATGCCCCAGAGATTCCGATCAGTAGACCCAGAACAAGGGCTAGGTGGTCTGCATTTTAACCAGCATCCTAGGTGATTCTAAACTGCAGAATCTCTATTGATTACCCTTTGAGCTATACTATGCTTGACAATGTGAAAACAAGGATGACTAGGGTTTATTGATGGGATAACAGAGAAGTTGATTAATAAAAGCTTGGATAAAGTCATCTGGCCTCTCTTAGTCTTAGTTTCCTCATTTGTAAACTAAGAATATTATCTTCATCTTCCTTAACTCACCTTGATGTTATGAGGGTGATTCAAAAGAACACAGGATACACTTTGAGCTGCTTTAAATTAAAGAACTATATATTAAACTAAGGTATTACTAGCACTTATGTCAATAACCTGAGAGGCTTTCAAGCAAACCATGTGATCTTGCTTGTGTGTTTATGTTATGAAATTCAATAGGTGTTCCTACAAAAAGGGACGGTATTATGATTAGCCTACAGAGTTTGTTTCTGCCCCCATTACTCTTCCAGCTGGTTGTCAATCCTATGGAAATGTTTTAGCACTTACCTCCTGTGATATCCCTGGAGAATCGGCACTATTGATTCCCGCCTGAAACTCTGTACCTTTTCCTTATAAACATCATTTTCTCAAGAATAACAATAACAACAACAATTCCAAGCATTTTGTATATATCTTATAATAACCTTATAAAGCAGATACATTTATTATCCCCATTTTACAGATAAGAAAACTGAGACCCAGAGAGGCTAAGTGACTCATTCCAGGTCACACAGCTAAGAGGCAGAAAAGCCAGGATTCAAATTCAAGCAGTCTGGACCCACAGTCAGACTTAACCACACTATCTCATCTTCCTCAAAAATCTTCTGTGAATCTAAAGGCTCATCAACAGTTCCTCATCCTTCACTTACCATCAATATGGAAACATTTCTAACCACAACCTTCTTTCCTCTTTTTCTATACTCTTTCTGGTCATCCCACACATATATCCTTAGAGTTTCACCTAACACAAATATTATATTAACTCCCAAAGCTTTATCTACAGCTTTTACTTCTCTTCTGAATTCTAGACTTGAATTTCCAATTACCACATTCACCTGAATAATTCACAGACAACTCTAATTTAACACATACATAAGGAAATTCATTTTATTCCTCTAAAAGCTCACCCCTTTTCTAGCCTCTGACTTAATGACCCAAGTCATAAATGTACAGATCATCCTTACTCCCTCATCCCCCCAAAATCCAACCTCTTCCATCTCCTATATCGTCCCACTTCATTCTCATTCCTCAGCCTCATTGCCTTTGCCTTAATTTACATCTCAGTCCATAACTGGGTATGAGTAATAGGCACCTAACTAGTCTCACTTGCCTCTAGTCTTATCACTTCAACCACTCATCCATATACAAAATGATCTTTCTAAAGTACAAATCCTGCTTTTATAATAAAGTCCAACAAGCTACTAAAGCTTGACATGCCTATCCTATAATTCACCAATTCACTCAGACATATTCTCAACAGAAATGAGTGTATATGCCCACCAAAAGACATGGCCAGAAACATTTATTACAGTTTTATTCATAGTAGCCATATACTTCCCATATTAGGTTGTATTTATTTAATTATAGGTATCCCGCACTAGACTGTAAAATTTTTAAGAGCAAAGACTATTCATATTTAAATCTCTAGAAATTGGCCTTCAACCAAATCAGCAATAAGCTCTTCATGAATATTAATTAAATGGATATGTTTCTAATGTAATGAATCTATCTAGTGACATTATTATAGTCCCTAAATAACCTTTACTTGATTCTTCCAAATTCAGTCAAATAAAAATATGTACATATAAAGTCTGTACATATACAATAAAAGCATGTAATGCTTGATCATCACCTCTCAGCTGGACTGCTAAAATAAACAATCTTTTAAATTGTTCTTATGGCATCCATGGTGATCTTTTAAAAACACAAATCAGATGGTGTCACTCCCTACTTAAAACCTCCCACTGGCTTCCCATAATCCTTTAAATGAAATCCAGCCTTCTGCCAGACCTCACAAAGCCCTTCCTACCTATCTCCTTGACCTCACTACCAAAACCATCTCCTTCCCTCTCTAGGCCCCAACCACACTGGCCTTCCTTCAGTTCCTAAAACACAGCAAGCTCATTCTCATGGAAGGATCTTTGCATTTGTTCCATCTGCCTTAAATGCTGCTCAGCCTGAGCATGTTCTCAGACTGGCTCCTTATTGCCTTCTTTTCATTGGGCAGTACTTACTCAGATAAACCCCCTAGAGCACCCCTCTGGTCAGTGTCACACTTCCCATCTTCCCCTGCCACACCAGATTACCTTATCTAGACTAATTTATTGATAGTACTGACTTCTTTACTTGTTTGTTGCCTGTAAACTCCATGGGTTCAGAGCCCTTAACTGTCTTGCCCACCACTGTGTCTCTGGTGCATAAAATAATGTCTACTACATAATGGATGCTCAGTAAATATTTGTGGTAATGAATGGAAAACAAAGTAATACTGTAAGTAAATTGCATATTATTTTTAAATCTGAATTCAATGCATGCGAAACTCCATGGATACCTTGAAAAATACAAAAATCTGTTTTTCTGAACTAAAAATTTCAAGTAAACAAAATTAACTGGTCCCATCTCTTCATAGCAGTTGAGAACTGCAGTGAATTTATTAAAATGACTGTTCTGAGATTTTTTTGAAGACCAATTAATTCTATATTTGGTTATCATGATTTTAAAAATTACTTAAGTCATGGGTTTTTTTTTCTCCAGAATTCTTTTCCCAACAAGATTGAGATGCTGAATCAAGCTACACATAACAAAGATCTCTCATTCTCTGGGGCTGACATTGCTCTTATTGTTCTATCTGATGTAGATGCCACTGGGCCAACTGTTTGCTTCGAAAACAGAGAGTGGGAATATGCACTTACTTGACTTTTTACCACTCCAAGTGGGAGTATCTGAGGAAATGAATACACAATCTAATCAACCAGCTATGTGATATAAGTATAAATAAATACATTGCAAGAAATTTACTTGTGAGGCATTGGACTACCAAGCAGCTTCCAATACTTTCTGCATGAAAGATGTCATGCAAAATAAGTCAGGATTTCATCTGAAATCTTTATAACTTCCCCTTTTTCCCATACCAGGTTCTAAGCGTTGAACACAAAGGATATTGTTTGAGGTGTCTGAACTTATAAGAAGTTTTTATCACTGAAATAAACATCTCATTCTAGAATGCTAAGTTAGGCGCATTGCCACTTTATAAAAAGGCCCACTCACTGCATCAGTCATTAAATCCTCATAAGTGGAGGACTAGAGCATCACTTCTTTGCCACAAATCCCATTTTCATTCATTTTTCAGAATATTTCCTGAGCTTCCACTATATTCTGCATACTATTATAGGACACTGTGGATACAGAAATGAACAACACAGACACACTCCCTATCCTCATGAAGCCAACATTCAAGCAGAGAAGATAATTTAACAACTGTCTAATGGCGGTAGAAACCATTGCTCCCTATAAAAAGCTGCTTAAAAACATGAGAGGATCAGGTTTTGTCTTAGATATAAGATAAATTTCACGAGGAAACATGGGAATAATCAGTAGGTGTGCACCAGATAAATGGTGAGAGAGAGAACGTTTCAGGGGAGGGAACAGCATGTGCAAATGCCATGAAGTAACTTGGAATACAAGAAGGATAAAAAGAAGTTGATGTGGCCAAAGGAGAGTGAACCAAGGGAGAGTGGTGGAAGCTCAGCCAGAAGAGCTTTGATACTCAACTTAGTATCAATGTGAAGCTTTTAAAGGGTTTTAAGCAGGTGGGTATTATCAGGATCAAATGTAAGTGTAAATATGAGTATATCATGATGAATGAGTTTACATGAAGAATGAACTGTATGAAAAAAAGAAAAGATTCACTTAGAAAACTACTGGAGAAAGCAACAGTGATGGGAGCAAAATTTCCTAAATGTTGATCACGATCTACTTTTTTTTTTTTTTTTTAAGCAGGGTCTTGTTCTGTCGCCTAGGCTGGAGTGCAGTAGCATGATCATGGTTCATGCAACCTCCACCTCTCAGGCTCAAGCAATCCTCTCACCTCAGCTTCCTGAATAGCTGGGACTACAGGTATACACCATTGTGCCCAGCTAATTTTTTTATTTTTTTCATAGAGACGAGGTCTCACTATATTGCCCAGGTAGACTCATGGGCTCAAGCTATCCTCCTGCCTCAGCCTCCCAAAGTTCTGGGATTACAGGCATGAGCCACCATGCCTGGCTGATCCACCTTCATCAGAATCACCTGGGGTACTTGTTAAAAGTAGATTCACGGGCCCCACCTCCAACTCCCTAAATCCAAATCCCTGTAACTGAAGAAGGTGCATTCAATCCCGGTTATTATAACAAGCATTGATGATTAAGAACCATGGTAACAATATTAGAGAAATTCCTATGATGACAAAATGAAATAAACCATGACTGAAGTAAAGTCATCTGCTTCTACTGAGCACAGTGTTATTATTCTCCTCTCCAACTCTCTTCCTCACCCATAGAAAGGGGCAAATTTTATTCTTTTTCCATTGTCATTGACTGATACCAGTTTTATTCCGAGTAGAAGCATACACTTGCTTTAACTTGTTCCTGACTGGAGCAGATCAGAGGAAATGAATACAGAAGTCAATCAGTGTTACAAGTTCATTTTTGACTAGTAAATTTCAGATTGGGAATCATTATCTTTGGTTGTGTCTAATATTCGAAGCCCTTTTAAATACACAATCTCATTTGATACTCACAATAATCTCAGTTTATAGATGAGGACACTGAGGCTCAAACAGGACAAGCAATCCACCTGGTCACATTACTAGTAATTGACAGAGCCAAGAGTCGAAAGACAGAACCCAGATCCCTCAGACTCCAAAGCCTCACGGAAGGAGCAGCACCAGACGGCCGAGTAGGTCAGGCCCCCCATTTGCTCACTGAAGACATCCCCACGTGCTGCCCTCTACCCCCACTCCACACATGCCAAGTAGTTAAGACCTACTCCATGTCAGATGCTGTAAATAAATCACAAACTCAGCAACAAGTCAAAATTCCACTTACGGGGTGCTGGAAGGGAAAAGACATCATCGTAGGCAAATTAAGTCATGGCTGTTCCATGTTACTGAAACCGTTTGAAGACAAATATTTAGATTGCATATTAACAGGATAAAGGTCATGTGACTATGTGAAATTATAACTGTCTAAATTAAATAAAACATAGGTTTCTCTTGTCAAAGAGGTGTAATGGTCATATCACTGGCAGTAATAGTATGTTTGGATTTTCAAAAATGCATTCTCCTCTCCTATTAAAAAAAAGTTGCAACATTTCCCTTTCCAGGAATGTGATTTAACTTAAAAGCTAAGCTAATAATCACTAGCTATTTATTTGGTGAAAACAAAGAAAGCACTGTCTCTGCAAGTGGACACAATGGTCCTGGATGTGAAATGGATTTAAGTATCTGTTGTGAGTGACCATTATATTATGTAACCAATGGAGCTGCATGAATACCTATTACATAACTCCATACTGCTTTGTCATTCTAATTAAAGTGGGGACACTTTCCCTTCACATTAAAAAGTTTTTCTCAGTCACTACCATAGATTGTAAAGTTTAAAAACTTATATTATATTGAGCCAGGGAAATAGCGTACACAGCTATTGTATCCAACGTAAATAATGAAAGAGAGGGAATAAGAAAAAAATGTTTTTTCAAGGACTAAGAGGCAACTGTGGAGAAGGGTAAAATGTGTAGGAGGTCAGGCTACGCCTCTTGAACTGAAGAGCTATGCTTTGCAGCTATACCTTAATCGAAAATACAGCATTTTTCAAATCTACTTATGCAATTCGACAGGCATCTCACAGTAATTTAGAAGCACTTACTCATTCATTTTGCCAAAAAGACATGAGAGTAACAAACAGGCCACTGACGTCCTACAATAAAGCAACAGTCTGTGAAAGCAAAACCAGTGGGAGAGATTCCAGTTTAACAGTTTTTAAGTTTAGCTGCCATATATTTCTCTGTAGCTCCACACCTTTGGGTTAATTCCACACCTTTGGGTTAAAGGTCTCTGAGACTGGAAAAAAAAGGAGGCAAAACGTTTAACATTTCCAGTGGACCTGCAAGAAAGTTGTTCAGGGTGTCAATAAGGTTAAGGAAAAATCAAATTTTAAGAAACTGGCACACGGCCGGATGCAGTGGCTCACACCTGTAATCCCAACACTTTGGGAGGTGGAGGCAGGTGGATCACTTGAGGCCAGTAGTTCAAGACCAGCCTGGCCAACATGGCAAAACCCTGACTCTATTAAAAACACAAAAATTAGCTGGGCATGGTGGCGTATGCCTGTAATCCCAGCTATTTAGGAGGCTAAGGCACGAGAATTGCTTGAGCCTGGGAGGCGGAGGTTGTAGTGAGCCAAGATCATGCCACTGTACTCCAGCCTGGGCAACAGAGTGACACTCTGTCTCGAAAAAGAAAAGAAAAGAAAAGAAAAAAAAAGGTACATTTAAATCACATAATAATGGTCATTCATGGGAGAATTTAGTGTTCAATACAGGAATTATTTTCCCAAGGAGGGACCCTTTAAACATCAACATTCTAAAAGTTTCATTTATTTGATTAAAATGTTACTGAAATATGTTATTTTTCTGCCTTCAAAAGCAGAACATCCGGAGCACAGTTTAACCTTTCATTTACAGCTCAGTAGGCCATCAGTGCTACAATGAACTGTAGTATCTTCCCCTAGAGAAACTGACATAAATAGAAGTGCTTATTCCAAAGCTAAATGATCTATATACCTATACACTTTTCTTATTTTTATGCCTGGTATTTCATCATCATCTTCTTCTTACATGCATTTATTCCACAAATAATCACGTGTCTTCCATCGGCTAGGTGCTGTTCTAGACTTTGGGAATATAGCAGGGGGAAAAAAACAACCAAAACCCATGTCCTCATGGAACTTACATTCTAATGTACGAAGCAGCAATCAATCAATCAATAACAATGAAACAAATGAACAAATAAAAAGGTATATTAGACAGTGGTGTTAAGGAGGAAGTAAAGCTGAAATGGAGGATAGGGAGTTGCAGGGTTAGGGGGAGTTGAGATTTGTTTATTTAAAAAATAGAGACAGGGCCATCTTGGCTAACATGCTGAAAGTCCGTCTCTACTAAAAATACAAAAACTTAGCTGGGTGTGGTGGTGGGCGCCTGTAGTCCCAGCTACTCAGGAGGCTGAGGCAGGAGAATGGCATGAACCAGGGAGGCGGAGCTTGCGGTGAGCCAAGATCGCACCACTGCACTCCAGCCTGGGCAACAGAGTGAGACTCCGTCTCAAAAAAAAAAAGAGAGAGACAGAGATGGGGAGAGTTGCGATTGATTGATTGATTGATTGATTGATTTTAAAAATAGAAACAGGGTCTCAGTATTTTGCCCAGGCTGGTCTCATACTCCTGGGCTCAAGCAATCCTCCCACCTCAGCCTCCCAAAGTGCTAGGATTACAGGTGTGGGCCTCTGCGTCTGGCCTTCATGGTTGCAATTTATATGAGTGATTAGACAAGGCCTTACCAAGAAGGTGACATTTGAACATAGGCTTCCACTGGGATTGTCAGTTTTTGTTGCTATGAGTGTGTCTGCTTCTAAAAGCCCCACTTTCTTCAGATTTGCTACTTCTACTCAACTGGAACAAGGAACTTCATTATGACTTTATATAAACAACCAACTTTGTTATGCATTCAGAATTGATATGATATGCATTAAGAATGATAACCTCCTGGCCTTTCCTATGGGATGAGAGCTATTTGGGTTACTCAGAGAAGCTTTTCATTAATGTTCAGTTTTAAAATATGCTTTGGAAAGCTGAAATGACCAAAAGTGACAGGATGTTACTTGTTTTTAGAGTACACAGTCTTATGTATTTAAAACTTTGGCCTCCCCTAAAGTCTGTGCCAATGAATTAGCCTGTTACTGCTGCTACCTCCCTAGCTATGCTTTTCTGACTCCTAGGCTAACCGGTCTCTACCTTTTGGTCCCCTGAACATGACATTACTCACACTTGGCCTGCAATACTCTTTTATTTTCCATTTTCTCTATATCATTCATTCTTACTGCTTAAAGTATCACTGATGTGTAAATGATACCCAAATGTACTCCTCTAATCCCAAATCTCTTCTAATCCAGAAACCCTTCCAGCATGATATGTCTAAAATTCAAATAACTATATCACTACCCTCCCACCAGCACCACAAAGAAGTTCTTCACAGAATCCCTGTTTCTACTAATGATACCACTGTTCTCTTTGTTCAAATACACCAAAAGTCTTGGAATTATCTTTGACTCCTCCCTCTCAGTATATAAGCACTCACCAATAGCTATCAATGCTTTCTTCTAGGTTTTTATCTACTCTACTGATAGGAGGAAATAAAAATAACTATTAGTCCAGACATAATTATGCTCAGTTATGAAAAATGGTTGCTGCAGGATATATAGAAACCTTGGCGGAGGGTGATTACATTTCTTGTACAGGTGTCAGACATGTATCCCAAACATTAGGAAAGCATTATTATATAAACCTTCTTTAACAGGCAAGAGGCTTCAAGAAAGGTGAGACAAATATTTAAAATATGCAATGAAAGAAAGCACCTAAAGAGATCAAGGTGGTTGTACATGTTTTCCAAATTATAAAAGATAGAAAGCAGGTCCCATAATTAAAGCTATACATATACTTAGGATAACACATATTTATAAAACACAGTAACATGAAAGTGAATAGTATAATGAACTGAGCCTTGTCAAAATTGTTAAGGTCAAGTAAAAGGACTTTTTTCAGCTATTCTAGGAGCAAAAATAGGAAGGCAGTGGTTGCTGATAGGTGGGGTAATGTTAACTGATAACAAAGAAAAAGCAGAACTACTTCACTCCTCTTTTGCTTCTATCCTCCCTATCAAGGAAAATGATCTTCAAACTGGAAAGGGTAGGACCAGCATGGTGAAGAGGAAACTAAAGCCCAAGATAGAGAAGGTGATAGTAAGAAAGCACTTAGCCCTTCAAGTGATTTCATGTCTCCAGGGCCGGATAAATAACCTGGAAGGACACTAAAAGGAGAAGCAGATGTGATGAGCGGAATCTTCACAGAAATTAGAATCACAGTGGTGTCTAAAGGGTGTACAAGAAGGTATACCAATTTTTAGGCAGCAATTAAGGTAGACTGAAAACAACGGATGGGTAGTTCTGCCAACAAATGTTCCCAAAATCCCAGATTTGGTTTGTAAGCAACGATCACTAGGAACTAACATAAAATCACCGAGAAAAATAAAATCAGCCAGGTATAGTGGCTCATGCCCATAATCCCAACACCTTGAGAGGCCAAAGCAGGAGGATCACTTAAGCCCAGGAGTTCGAGATGAGCCTGGGTAACATAGCAAGGCCCATCTCTAAAAAAAAATTAAAAGAATTAGCCATGGGGGATTGCATAGGCCTGTAGTCCTAGCCATCCAGGAGGCTGAGACAGGAGGATCTCTTGAGCCCAGAAGTTTGAGGCTGCAGTAAGCTATGACCATACTGCACTCCAGCTTGTGTGACAGAGCAAGACCCTGTCTCTAAATTAAAAGAAAAAAAATCATATCAAACTAACTTTCCATCCTTCTCTGATTCTATACAGGTAACATGGAATGCTACAGACATGATATTCATTGACTTCAAATAACTATCCCACCAACTCTCTCCTGAGATCTCTATAGCTACAGTGGAACTCCGTAAGTTGAATAATTGTAGAGTTGCCTAGATATGTATCCAAATCAGATGTCACGGAATACTGAATGGTGAAAAAAATGTTAACTGGCGAGTATTGCTGGGAGTGGGGAATGTCTCCAGCAATATATCACAGAGCTTTATGTTTAGCCATGTTGAATAAATCATTTTAACAAATAAAGTAGATAATTATACAGAACCTTATTAAACTACACTGAAAGTTATAGCTAATACATTGGTTTACTGAATCAAAATTTTAGATGATTAGCTAAGACTAATAAAATTAAAAATAAATATTTTCTATATTTAATTTTTTAAATGAAACTTGCAAGCACAGGTTTAATGAAACTTAGTTTAATAATAACTCATATTTTTGAAGAAAAGACAAAAGAATATTTCTGGCTATAAGTCTTGGGGGCAATATATTTATAGAGGCCTAATTTAAGTTCCATACAATAACACAGTTAATATTAGCTGGAACTGTATGAAGCTGCCAATATTTAACCATTTTTAACTTATAAAACTGGTGATTTCATACAGTTCATTCTAAGAAGATTATGTGTGGTGTTAAAAAAAAGAAGTACAAAGTGCTTTGGCTTGAGAGAAGAATCACTTACTACCTTTTGAGAAACCAGAGAGGACTCACAGAAGTAACATTTGAGCTAGAATTTGAGTGATGTCTGGCGATTTAAAGATGTCTGGCATTAAGGAAAGGAGGACATTTTAGACCCTGGCAACAGCAAGAGAAAAGACCCTAAAACAGGAAAATAGCCCAGTTAGCTGAAGTGTGGAGTTGCAAAAGTGAGACATAGGAAATCACCCCAGAAAGGGAGATTGGAACTTGACTTTGAAGCCCTCAAATCTACTATGATAAGTGCTCTAAAATCCTATGATTTTCCTACAAAGGCCAACATTTGGCACATAGTAAGTGCTCAAATTTGAGTGAGTGAGTAAACAAACAAATTGTTTGCAATAAGTATAAAACAAGAGGTCAACATAAACATAACTCCTGACTGCCATGTCATTCCGTCACTGGAGTCATAGTACTTTTCGTCTACAAAGGACCTTGACGATCTTTTAGTCTAACTCCCTCAAACATTTTGGGTGGCTACCAACAGGACTGGAAATACTCAAGCAAAGTAGAGGCAAAAGGCCGCCTGTTCCTCTGCCAATTCCTAGGGTAATCTAATTCACCAGGGCAAAATCTCCAAAGGAGATTTTGGTTCAATAACTCCTAAATATTGTACTTTTGGATTCCTTCCTGAAAATGAATGCTATCTAAGTCTACAAGTTTCAGAAAAAAAATGTTTGGTGGCTTTTGTGGGCAATTGTTTTTAAAAAGTCAAACATGTCTAAGGTATAATTTTTAAAGAATCTGGCTCCAGGAGAAAAAGCTGAAGCATTAGTCACATGGTTTACATTTCTTCCTCTTGCCTGCCAGATATTTTTTTTTTAATTAAGAAAAGAAAAATGGGTCAGCCCAAAAGAATTTTTACAACTGTCAGAATAAATACAAGGCCCATGTAACCCCATAAACTTCATTTTTGGAGCCTTTTCTCCCTTCTCTCTGTGGCTTACAGTGTCATTTATTTAGAACCCAGCCAAAAGTACAGCTCTGGTGACCACCCCTACATCTTTTGTACTGTAAGGACATGTTTTCTGTCAGGCAGGAAGAAGACAGACATGCTTCTAGATTAGAATACAGTCTCTTCTGATTTCAACAGGATATGATGCAGGGAGGACCTGAGGGTCACAAGGAACCCTGTCCAATTCATCTTGGCTCTAAGGTCATTAGGAAATCATCCTGCTTCTTAGAAAGTATCACCACTCATGAGACCATTTTGAAAAAGTCTCCGAGAAGCAAGTAACCAGACAAAAGTCATTCTTGGACTCCAGGGACACTTTAGGGTTGAGCACACAGGTCCAGCTTTCAGTAAGCTATCCTTAGTTCACCCTTCACTCTGGAAGTCTCCTGAGTGGCCACTGCTTTTAGGATGAGCACTAATGTTCAGGTTTACTTTCCTGCAGGGTCTGGTCTAGTTGAAGAGTCCCAGAATAGCTTTTACCAACCAGACCTAAAATCTATAAAGTGTTCCTGGTACCAACCTGCCCTCTTACAGAGCAGACCAGGCCTCCTGGTAATGCTTCAGATTAAGTCAGGCCACCCCAGATTACTAATCTTCAAACTTTTTAGCCATGATTCATAGTAAAAAGAAAAAATACATTTTACATGGGATCCAGTCCACACATGCATACTTTAAACAAAAAGTTTTACAATAATGACATTCTAATATTTTCTATTCCATTCTGTTCTGATTTTAAAATATTGATTTTTAGCCCACCTAACTGACTTCAGAACCCACAAATAAACCACAAGCTGCATTTTGAAAAGTAAGGCCTGAGAGCAACATTGTCTAGTAGAAATATAATGCTAGCCATAGGCAATTTAAAATTTTTTAGTTGCCAAATTAAAAACATTGAAAAGAAACAGGTACAAGTATTATTATTATTATTATTATTATTTTAGACGGAGTTTCGCTCTTGTCGCCCAGGCTGGACTGCAGTGGCGCAATCTCAGCTCACTGCAACCTCTGCCTCTTGGGTACAAGCAATTCTCATGCCTCAGCCTCCCGAGTAGCTGGGATTACAGGCGCCCACCACCACGCCCAGCTAATTTTTGTAGTTTTAGTAGAGACGGGGTTTCACCATGTTGGCCAGGCTGGTCTCAAACTCCTGACTTCAGGTGATCCACCAGCCTCAGCCTGGTGTATGTAATCCCAAAGTGCTGGGATTACAGGCATGAGCCACCGCGCCCAGCCATAAAATTAATTTTAACGATACATTTTATTTAACCCATTTTACCCACAGTATTACCATTTTAACATGTGATCACTATAGGAAATTACTGAGATATTTTACATTATTTTTTCAAACTCTGGTGCGGATTTTACAGGTACAGAACATTTCAATTAGGACTGGCTATATTTCAAGTGCTCAATAGGCACATATGGCTAGTTGTTACCATATTGAACAGCACAGGCCTAGAGAGTTCTGGACCCACATCCTCCAGAGCAAGAGAGTGGCAATGATGTCTAGAAGCAGAAGGAAAGAGCACCATCCACTCCAGCTGAATTCCACTGCACGTTTGTCACATGCCCTCATCTCATATGGTGCTATCAGGGTCCTCATGCAAGCCCCACACCCCTGATACAGGATGGGAGATTTCGTGGGGGTAAAAAACAGAAATGAGGCTCATTAACCAATAAATAAGCATTATCACCTTAAAACTCCTCAAACACCAAGTCCAAATACATTCTTTTGTCTGTGGCATCAGAAACATAACAAATATCACAAACGATTCAAATTAGAAAGTAACCTTTCTAATTTGTTCTGAAAAATATTTCCTGCCTATCACAAACGGAATAGATAGCATGATTGCAACTATGTTAAAATGTGTGCCTGTGAACAAAAATTGGAAGATAATAAGTAAAAGTGAAAAGAACTGTGTTATCATGGCAGAATTATAGATGATTTTCTTCTTCTTTAAATCAAAACGAAACAAAACAAAATGGGCTAGTCATGGTGGCTCACGCCTGTAATCCCAGCACTTTAGGGGCCCAAGGTGGGAGGATCGCTTGAGGCTAGGAGTTCAAGACAAGCTTGGGCAACATAGCGAGACCCCCCATCTCTACAAAAAATTTAAAAATTAGCCAGGCATGGTGGTGTGCACCTGCAGTCTCAGCCCCTCGGGAGGCTGAGGCAGGAGAACCCTTTGAGACCAGCAGTTCAAAGCTGCAGTGAACTATGATCACACCACTGTACTCCAGACTGGGCGACAGAACAAGACCCTGTCTCTTAAAAAAAAAAAAAAAAGTATAATGTTGCTTCAACACTCTTTTAAGAATGGCATTGCTTTAAAAAAAAGTCCATCCTTCTTTTCTAAAGCAAACATTTATGCCATTGAACACCGATGCAAAGAAAAAGGCAAGGAAGCATGCAGGAAGGTTCAGAAGCCATCAGAACACTTAATTTTAATGGAGCCAATTACATTTGGGACAATGTAAATGAAAGCACCTAAAAACAGAATTCTGAAATTCTAGAATTCTGAAAACCTCTTGCATAAACTTTACATTTTGCCTAAAGTGAAAATTTCAAACTTAAGAATGTAAAACCACAGAATAAAGAAAAGTGTCGGAGGGCCAGAGAGCAAGGGAATTGAGTTGTACTAATGAAAATGTAAAAGTATACCCAAAATATTATGTAATTTATGTCACTTATTAAGTCTCCTTTTGCCTGTGAGTTCCGGTAAGAAAGGTGCACCACACAAAGTACACTACAGGACAAGCCTGCAACATAAATCTCAGAGTAACAGGCCTCATCATTATGGGCATAACCTTCATTACTATGTTCATGGAGATGTGTCAGATCCCTTCATAAAAATGTGTTATGTAGGGCAAAGCCTTATTGGCTTGACAGTGGGTCAATGCAAGTTTGAAGCCAATTATAGGCCTCAGATACCAGATATAATAAGATACATGAAAATCCTAAGTAGAATAACTTCAGAATTCAAAGCAGAAACTGAGTTCCCAGAGGTCTATCCTTGACCCATGACTCAAACCTATATGTCACTAAGAAGTATATGGATTAACTCTAAATTCCAAGTCATCCCATCTATAAAGGTTACTGTCATACCTAGGCCACTTTTCATACAATCATGAAATGTGTAGGTCAAGTAATGATGACAAAGATGAGGCAAAAGCATCACTTTCTTTTTTTTATTGTTATCAGTAGTTGGAGTATAAAATATAAGCTAAATTTAGCTGCTTCAATGTTTTCCTTTTGCTTCAAAAAATGGAACTTACAATATTACCAAATACCAAAAAAAAGTCACTAAAGATACACGTTCTATAATAAAGATAAGGCCAAACAATTTATAAGATGCTCACTAAGTACTAACTATGTCTCAAACACTGTCCCAGGTTACGGGAATATGATGATTAATTAAATATGGCCCCCGCCCTTTCATGAAACACTGAAACGAATAGGGCAAAGAGAAACATTTTTTTTAATAGTGTGATAAGTGCTGTAATACAGCTTTTGGTAAAGTGCTAAGGAAACTCAGATAAAAGGATCCTTAATCCAGAAGAGAGGTTGGGAAAAGTAGAAGAGTAAAGATAACATTTGAGCTGCAACTTAAAGGGTTAAGTAGGATTCATCAGTCAACCAGTGAACAGAAAAGCAGGGCAGGTAAATGCAATGCCATAAGCAGTGACACAGTGATAAGAGAGCTGCACATAAATGTGAACTTCACTATGGCTGATGAAACCAAAAACTCCGGATTCTCTACTAAGAATAGGACCAGGTCTTTTCATGGAGACATAACCACATAGGTTATGTCTGGAGGTCCAGATGGAAGGAAACCTTTTAAAACTCTTTTGCCACTGAGAAGAGGATCATCATCCCTGCTGCTGTAACAAGAGCATAATAGTGATTTCAGGTTGGGGTTGGGCACTGAAATCAGAGCTGCTGTCATCAGCACTTTTTATCCCAGTCATCTAAAGTTTTACAAGCCTTTATCCCTCGAGCAGACACTCATTTGTGGATTGTCTAGATCAACATTGGATAGGAAGTCATTTCTGTAAAGAATATCATAATCCTCCAACTCTAACCAAAGAATGTTCATGAGGAAACACTTTAATCAACTTTCGGTCCCTGAGAAACACTTCTGTGGGAACAAAACAGCAGCAGGTCCCTCCAGGATACCCTTAACAGTACGTTGTCTGAAAGCTGGTTCCTGAGGTTCAAATGGTCACAGTACCATTGCTTTGCACAAAAACGAGTGTTACACGCATGCCTTGAGTCAGTGTACAAAGAGTCCCTTCTCCTCTACCACCACACACAGTCAGTAGATTCAGGGAGAATTCAGTGTTTGTCAGTAACACTTAACATAAGTAAATCACTTATTAAGCATCTTTGTAGGAGAGATTTAATTTTCAGTTACAGCTCTGAGTACAAGGGTCATTTAGCTCCACAAGTCAGCTGAGAACAGGGAATGAATGCTGGGGTTCAAGTATCTTGAGAGAGAAGGAAAAGATCTTTAGATGCTCAGGGGGATCCCATATGAATAGAAGGAAGGTCGGATTTGTGGCCGAGCAGCCAAAGACCCTGGAATCTATTTTTAAGTCAGAAGAAGGACAGGAAGGAACAGGAACAAAAAAAGGAACTCACACAAGAGAAATGGAAAGCAAGAAGGAAGCAGCTATAATCAGCAAATGGAAAGACAGTGAGAAAAATAGATCTTTAAAACTGTGCTCCTAACAGGGAGGCCAGGAACACTGCTGGAAACGACTGAAAGAGAGAAGAAAACATAGAAAGCAGCAACAGGACTACTCAAAGGAGTATTTTAAATGTCTACATTTTATGAGGGTCAGTGTTGGTCAGCTGGTAACATTCTTGCCTCTGGGATTAGGTCATGAGTTCAAGTCCTACATCGGGATTTGGCTTCAGACCAAAAGTTAACTTTCCAGGACCTCTGCAAAGATGGAAGCACTTTCCATTCCTTGGTGCATTATTAGCTTTATCACCCTTCTCACAACAAATTAAAAGTACCAGAAAGAAAAGGAAGAATCAAAGAAGAAATAGAACATTTTCAAACACAAAATATCCACTGCATTTGTCTTAAGAATCCTGTGAGTATGGGGTTTTTTTTTCCCACAACCAATCTACAAACAGAAGCCTTGCTGTCTGCATTCTCGATGCACCTGGAATCCCAGTGGGGACAACGGTGGTAGCAGAGGAAGCACTCCTCCTAGCTGAACATCACCTCTCATTAGTTAATCAGCAAGTGGCAGCAAGTGGGAAGAAAACAAAGTAGAAAAGATTGCCTCTGGAATGAAGGAAGAAAGGCAAGACTAATAAACAGAGCCACATGCCTATCAAGCATTTAGGTAGTGAGCAGAGAGAAAAAAAGGCCTCTAGGTTAAATGACAGTAAGAATATCCTTATATTTGTATAAAAACTTACATATTAAAAAATACTTTTATACACATTAACTCATCTGATCCTCACAAAAATCATAGGCAGAGTAAAAACAGATATTAACGCCATTTCACAGGTGAGGAAATGGAAGATTCAGAAAGTCACAACCTCACAAGCAACTCAGCTCATTCCTGGCTGAGGCAGTGGGGCTCAGGCACTGTATAAGCTAATCAACGTGTAGCACAGTAAGAAATTTTATCTTTATCTCATGTAGTTTAGTCCAGGACTTGAAACTGATGGTGCAAGAACAATTTACTAACATCCTAAATTATGTCCTATTAAGAAAGATTAGCATAATGCTTACCAAGCAGTTTTTAGAAAAATTGTTTCCGACTGTCTGATTTTTCTGTCAGAAATGGCAAAACAGAAGACAGAATATGGCCCACTGTTAAGTAATAAAATATTTTTTAAAGCATAAAAATAATACCAACAAATTACTTTAGAAAACTGAAGGAATTTCAAATGCAAAATGTTGGAGCCCGAGGAATAATGCAGTCTTTCATTATGCAAGGAGCCAGAGAGATAAAATACAATAGATGTTATTTCTAATATACGAGGATTACTAAACCCTGCCATGATTGTTCCTTCCTCTCAAATGTACAAAATGAGAGAGGGATGTTAATGACATGTCCTAAAACCTTGCTAATACTGTTTCTTAAGCAACCTGGGGTTACATATAACACCAAGCTTCAGGGGGTCCATGTAAGAAAGCCACCCAGGTCTCTCCAAGGTTCTATGGCAGGGTTCTAGAGGGCCCTGATGGTGGGGGTGCTGACGAGAGCCCCACCACTCAGTGAGTTGAGTGCACACCATATCCTAGCACCTTACATACATAACTCATTTACTCCTGACAGTCATTCCATCAGGAAGGCACTGCTATTCTCCCCGTTACAGGTAAGGAGCTCAGGCCTAGAGAGGTTAAGTAACTTCACAGCTCAGGCCTGTATAGCTCACATGTGGTAGAGGTGAGTTTTGCATGGAAGTCTGGCTCTAAAGCATAGGTTCTTGACCACTGTGCTAAGCTACCTCCCTATTCCAGGGCTCCTGCTGAACATACCCCTGAAAATGAAAAGCAGCCAGGAGGTGCCAGTGTCTACGAAGTCCCCAACTGAGCTAATTCCCTAGCCAGGCCTTGATGGCTCTGGGCCCTAAAGTCATTTTTAAAACAGACATGTTTATTGTGTCATGTCTTTAGAAGGAATCAGCCTTTGGACAGAAAGTGGCAAGTCTTTTCCCTGTGCTTCACAAACTAACCAAATGCTTCAATTACCTCAGTTTTCTATTTAGGAGTATCATTTATCTCAATAAACAATTTCAAGTATTGCAATTTAATTTTTTTTTTTTTTGAGATGGAGTTTCGCTCTGTTGCCCAGGCTAGAGTGCAGTGGCACCATTTCTGCTCACTGCAACCTCCACTTCCCAGGTTCAGGCGATTCTCCTGCCTCAACCTCCCCAGCAGCTGGGATTACAGGCACATGCCACCATGCCTGGCTAACTTTTGTATGTTTAGTAGAGACGTGGGTTTTCACCATGTTGGCCAGGCTGGTCTTGAACTCTTGACCTCAAGTGATCCACCCATCCGGACCTCCCAAAGTACTGGGATTACAGGCGAGAGCCACCGCGCTCAGCCAAGTATTGCAATTTTAATTGGAAAAGTCATGACTATAAAGCATTTTATTTTTAGCCAATGTCTAATCCAGTTTCAGTTATTTTTACCTACATACTTAAATGTTCTTTTCTTAGATAAATATTGTCCACAGACTCTAGCTCCATCACCATTAGTGACAGAAGTTATGGGCATAATAAGAATGGCACATAACTATGGAAGAATTACTAGCAAGAGGGTTGCGGAGAGATTCAGTTGATATGACTGACCTAAGACATCCTACCCTTAGCAGAAAAGGTTTGCTTTTTGCCTTCAAATTGTCTTCAGAATTAAGAAACTGGAAATACTCAGCCTTGGCTTCATTTTTATAAAAGATGAAAATGAGTATTTAAAACAGCAGGAAACAAGGGAAAAAAGTTGAATTGCTGAATTCTTTGCAGAAAAGAAAAACATAAAAAACTTCTGGGGGAGTTTACATAGGATTAGATTAACTGTGCTGAAACAAATTCAAATGAATGGACCACAGATGGCATAAGCAATTACATGCTAGAAAATGTAGGGTAATGAGTCTGTGAGAGTTTAAAAAAGATCTAGAACCACCAGCAACACCCCACCCCCAACCACCACCACTGTTATCCTCAGAAGTCATACGCCACATAACATAAAGGAGAAGGTGGTTTTGAGGAAACAAGCCAAGCAGAGGCCCAAAGCATTGGGAAACATATGCAGTCACATCAGTGGAAAGACACAGGTATTTCTACAATGACAAGACAAAAGGATCAGTGGGAAATGACATGATTCTCTCTCTCTCTCTCTGTATGAGACTAACTGAGCTTCCTACAAGGTGGTGTCTTCTACCCAATGTTGTAAGCTTGTTCTACTTTTAGTCCTTCCTTTCTTCCTCTGTTTTTATTCCTTTTTAAACTAAAAGCAGTTCTCTGAGTAAAGTCAATCAAACAATCTCAATAATGACACAATTAAGGGAAATCAAGCAAAACATGACAAAATCAAGCTTTGATCAATTATATAGAAGAGGCCATAAGTGACATTATAAGGTGAACCAAATCCTAAAAAATAAAATGTGAAAAGACATTTTAATATATAGGCTGTGTGTGTATTTAAGTGAGAGAGTGAGTGAGACTGAGAGGAGGTAGCAGTAAACTAGGGAAGCATTCTATCTTACTGAAATTTTTCTTTTATACAAGGAGTGAGAATTAGCAATCAGAGTGAGCCTTTAAGAACAGCAATGTCAGCTGCTAGGATAAAGAGTATCAGACAGAATTTAAACACATTGTGTAGGAAGATGGAAAAAGACCAGGACACCTAACCATAAAATTTCTTGTGTCCCTAACAACACAATTATAAGTTTAACTGCTGTTTTCTAAAATACAACTCTGTAATCATAGTCCTGCAGGTTCCATATTTATTCTCTCTCCATGGTCTTCAGATTCAATTTGTTTGGTTTGTAGGGAAACAGAAGACTTTAAAAAAAGAAAGGAAGAAAGAAAAAGAAACCACCAACTCTGCAAAGTTCTCTGGAATCTGAGAAGTCAAGCAGGGCTTCTGCCTTGTTCATGGTGAGCCTAAACTGTGATTTCGTCTCTAGACATGACACATCAGGCATGCCTGGATCTGGTTTTTCTGCCAAGCCTTCTGACAGTAACGCAGGCATTTGCTAGTGTATATGGAGGAAGGCTGACTTGAAGTCCCCAGTACATTTCACCCAGTGAGAAGAGGACAACACTGACTCCAGAAAGCCTTTTGCTGACCTGCTCTTTGAAACCAGTGTGCCTGCCAGGAATCCTCGCCCTGTGCCCCGCCTACACTCATCCCCACCTACCTTGTCCACTCTGCCGCCACAGCTTCAGTCAGGTCCTCATCCCTTTCTTCACTTCATTACCACTAAAGAAAGCCTCCTCCTGGGTCCCCATGCTCCAGTCTGGCTCCCTTCCGATGCATCTCCCCTGCAGCTGTCAGTCATTGTTCTAAAATGCAAATCTGACCATGCCACTCTGCTTAAAACTCTTCAATGACTATGCTAACATTAAAGATGAAGCAGATTCCATAGCTTAGCATTCCAGGTTCTTGGTGACATGACTCATGCCTTTCTCTCCAGCCCCCTTTCCTCTCCCTTTCCCACCGGGTTCCCTTATCTCTTCCCCAGGCTGAGCCTCACAGGGGAAGTCTCATTTCAGGCCTCCACACCTTCCCACAGGCTGTGCTCTCTAGTTGGAATGCTGGCCCCCAGCGTCCCAGCCCTCATTTAACTCTCACTCATCCGTCACTTCTCCACTGAAGGGCCCTCTCCTCTGTGCAGGCTTCCTGGACTGCCCACCTGTCACTCGCATTTGATTTAAATGCCCCTGATTCTGGGCTCCCCTAGCAATGGTCACACTTGCCACAATATATTGTAATTAATTCAACTTTGTCTCCCTCACTTACTTGTAAGTTCCTCTAGAACAAGGAGTATTTTACTTTGTATTCTCAAGATTTAACATGGTGTCTGGCATAAAGCAGGCTTTTGATGAATAAATGAATGGTATGGAAGGAGAGTTTAGCAGGCTCAAATGCAAATGACAGAATCATATAGAAATATGCAACAGCAGCGAGGGAGTTCACACTGGATGTGTTTACTAGCAAATGACCCAGAAACTGCCAAAATCTCCAAAGAACTCCAAATCAACTCTACGTCTTGAGATAGCCACACCCATTGGCAACCCAGACACAGAGCTGAGCTTCTCTGGTGGAATGAAGTAACATTTCTTATCTTCCCCCACTTAACCAAAACTTTTCTTGCTCTGTTTATAGAAACTAATTTTTTATGTAAAAAGAATATGATGGTACAAATTAGAATGTTTTACTATGTAGTGCATTTTTGCATATCTTAACATAAAATACGTAAGACAGTCAAAAAATTCTGATTATTTAGAAGGGGGAAGCTTAAAGAGACACATATACCATGGGCAAAGGAAACTAAAGGGAGTGGAATTGGGCAGTGACAAATTCCAGCTAAGCTCTAAAGTGGAAAGGCACAGTATTTACCTTATTTCTCTCATTTTCTTTCTAAGAGTAAAACTCCAAGAGGCTTTTTCTTTATGATTTCACAGAAATAAGAATAAAATATGTTCATAAAATTGTTTTAACAGAATATACACTTTTAAGTATAAGGAATTAATGTGCCTCTTATATTTATGCCATTATGTATTTGCTGGGAGTTGACATGTATTTTGAACTCAGCTGAGTATTCCCTGGATTGGTGAATTGAAATGGATATTCTTGATTACATGTCACATATTCCTAACACAGATCCCAACAGAATTTGAAAGCACTAGCACCAAAAGGATCCAGTGTAATAATATCTCAGGCAATTTAAATTTACTAAATTTTCTTGATTGGTAGAGGCTACCCTATCAGTGGATTAATAATTTTAAAAACGTGTTTCTAAGGTCAAAATTAAAAATACCAGTTGGTTCATTTACACATAGCTGCTAAATTCTGAAATCTACTTTCTAAAGCCTAAATTAAACATTCCAATAGACACATATAATGCAACCCAAGGGCCTGTTTTCCTAGATGAAAACAAGGATGACCAACTATAAACTAAAGGCTCCTCTAGGGCTTATCTCCTTACAATTCTAAAATCCCACTCCTGCACTTTCCAACCACACATAATTGTAATGCTAGCCAATGCTTTTTAACTCATGCATTGCCTTTTTTTTCTTCAACATTCAGCAGCAAGAGAAGTACAACTGGACCTCTTGGTTTTAAAAGGCACTGGGGAATGTTCGTTAAAATGAATAATTGATACCTTTGTGCCCTGCTTTGTTCTCGAATGGGTGTAAGACAGCTATAATCATTACCTAATTGATTTTTCTTGCTCCCATGCCCCTTTCTTCTTCTTTGTAAGTGAACATCTTCATGTAGACTTTGTTTTAAATGAGAACCAACTATGCATTCATACTTATAAAAACAATATTAGTCCCCCAAAGAAGGATGAGGCATGACCTATTCATTCAACAAACATGTATTGAGTTTCTGCCAACTAGATGGCCATGGTTGCAAGCTTACAGTCTAATGGAAGATAACAAACAAGTAAACAGGCAATTACAACAGAGTGAGGTAAATGCACAACAGTGAGACGCAGAATGCCTCTGGAGCACACAGAAGGGACGCCTCATCCAGAGCTGGGGGATTAGAGAAGGCTCCCAGAAGTGAAATTAGCTGAAAACTCCAGGAACTGTATGCCATTTGAAGGCAACATGGATAGCAACACCATGAAAATGCCAGGTAGAGTCAATCTAAATAGAACATCCAAGTGAGAGTCAACTTCTCAATCCAGATGTGACAAATGGTTATCTTACCACAGTCCCCACATAACCCATGATTGGCCACAATTTGCCCAAATGCCACGTTCTATGACCTAATGTTTCTAGGTTCTTTTATTTCTACATATATTCAACTTTCTCCATTCTATTTCCCTCTCTTTACCAGACTCCCATCTATCTTGCATTTCAACTCAGTCCCACAAACATTTATCAAGAGCCTATGTGGGAAACGGTGTGACAAACACTGGACACAGGGCAGAAAGGCCTCAGTGCCCCACCACAAGGACTGCATGACCACAGAAGTACAGGACTAAGAAGAGCCACGTGACTAACCACTGATCATTCCACTGCCCACAAATTTTGCAGAAGTGACCTAGCACTCACAATCTTGCTTGTAAAAAAAATATCCTCACTTGGAACTTATCTTAGGCTGACATGTTTTTTGGACCCTGAGTCTGTCATATTCTGAAGACAACAGCATGAACTTCTGACACCAAAGCCCTTCCCAAACAGTTGAATTCTTTTCCTCTGTCCCTTTGAGTATTCATCCTGAAATGTTACACTTCCTGCTTCCAGAGGATACTGATATTTTCTTAACTCTTTTCTATATTATTCACTGTCCATATACAACCACAACACTGGGACCAAAGACAAATAACAAGTTTTGACACTTTGCTCTTCCAAAAATCACAAGATAAGTGAATGTCTGGGTGAAATTACTTCTTTTTTTAAGAGACAGAGTCTCACTCTCTCACTCAGGCTAGAGTGCAGTGGTGCAATCATGGCTCGCTACAGCCTTGACCACCCTGGCTCACGCGATCCTCCCACCTCAGCCTCCCAAGTAGCTGGGACTACAGGCACACACCACCACACTCAGCTAATTTTTTAATTTTATTTTTATTTTTAGTAGAGACAGGGTCTTGCTATGTTGCCCAGGCTGGTCTTGAGCTCCCAGCCTCAAGCAAATTAGCCTGCCTTGGCCTCTCAAAGTGCTGGGATTACAAGAATGAGCCACTGTGCTAGGCTCGGAATTGCTCTTTAATGTCTCTTCCAATCCTAAGATTTTTTAAATTTTGTGACATAATTGAAGTCATTTTTCTT